>NC_000015.10:44526874-45151874 GCF_000001405.40 Homo sapiens
GACCTGTATACACATTACAACTCTGGAGTACATATTAAAGTCGTGCTATTTCCAGTGGTAAATGTCTGACTTTTAAGACATTCTTTTAAATATTTGTATCATTGTTAGGATGTTTTAATCAGTTGTTTTTTAATTCCATGTAATATATGTAGCCCTCATCAGATTTATATCACCATATTTCTCCTTGTGTCCTAAGAGAATTGATGACAATTCGTAACCATAAATTGTTTTATATTAGCTAGTATGTATATTTATTTTTACCCAATGGCTTTATCTGTTTCCCAAAATTTGTTTGGGATTTGTTGAAAGCATTGTGTAACTTCTATAAACGGCTATTTTCTTGTAACTGTCAGTGAAATGAATGTGTACATTGTTTTCTTGTATTTCTCTGGGTTGTTTTTTGTTTTTTTTTCCAAGGGTTAACATAGAATGTTTTTTTTAAAAAATTATCTTTGGCCAATGACTTTTTCATCTAGATCTTACTTTCATTCAACCTTCTAAAGAAGTTCGTTTCTCATTGTTTTGTTCTGTCAACTTGCCTGAAAAACAGAGACTTCATCTCATCAATGAAGAAAGCATTTCATTATTCCTACAGATCTTTCCTGCGAGCACAGAATTCTTCATAAGGACCAGATCTCTTCCATGTCTGTGTCAATCACATAAAGCTAAAATGTAAAGGACATTGAAGCCTTTATTTAATTGTACTAATATGATGGTGTTATATACTACATCATTAGCTAGTTAAGGTTTTCTGACCTGACTTCTCTTTGTCTTCCTAGGTATTTATTTGTTATCTTTTAATCTTGTGTATCTAAATTAACTTAGTTAATAGTTACCCACCGAATAACTATGCCAAGCAACTAGTAAAGAATGTTTATTTTATTTCCCCTTATAGGGGAAGAGTGGACTGGGAACAAAAATGTATGGGCCAAAAGGCCTTAGGGTTGTCATTCATTGACTTTCTTATTCCTCTCATGAGCTATAATTGAGTATAGTATTTTTTTAGTGCTGATGTCATTACTTCTCATGTCTTCCCCTGAGTTGAAAGCCTACGACAAACATGTATAAAATACATTTAAGAATTTTCAGAATATGAACCACAAAACTCAGTATCTTATATTTAAATGCTACTTAAGTTATTATTGGAATCCAAGTCTCACTAACTAGGGTACATTTTTATAAAATGTTTCTCTGTATCTTGAATTGAAATTACTTGCCCAGAGGCAAGAGTTCTGGGGATATAACATGATTTGAGATCTTTTTTAAAAAAGGGTGGGGCGGCGGGGGAGAGAGCGACAAGTTTATACTAGTTTATGCTTTTGATATTAGTATTTTAAGATACATCAGTTGATCCCGAAACCTGACCATTAGAATTACTCTGAGGAGCTTTTAAAATAGATTCCTGGAGCCTACCCCTGGAAAATTGTCTCGCTGGATCTCGAGAGGGGCCTGAGAGTTCTGGCTTTTTTTTTTTGTTTGGTTGGTTTTGTTTTGTTTTGTTTTGTTTTTTCTTTAAAGCTCTCCTGGTGATTCTAATAGCCAGTATTGGGTAATCAATGTTTTAGCTAAATGTGACACTGGTTTGAGAGTAGGCAACAAAATTAAAGTTCACCAGACATCTCTTTGTGGTAGAGTTTTTTTTTTTTTAAACTGGGACCAGATTTCACAGAGCTTATTCAAGATACATGGAGGAATAATAAAGAAGATTAAGGCTACTGCTCATTATCATTTTTGTCTTTCATATTTTTTAAGGGTTTGCATTTCTAGGACTTGGAATAGTTGACCATATACATAGCTAAAGGACATGTCCCTGAATGAGACCATTATATATATTATCTGTAAAATATTTCACTATTTTTTTATTTTATAAATCTTTGTAGAAATAAGCAATGAAATACTACTTTCATCTTTTGAAATGGGATTTTTCAAGGCAGTGTCCTTTTGGCATTAAGGTAGGGGGGAGTTAATATTCTCTCTGCCTTGTTTCCACGTGAATCAATATTAAAGTCATGGACATTTTAAAATCTCAATTTAATTTCTTCTTATTTACTATGCAGTATAGCCGTGAACAAGTAATGTAGATTTAGTTTTCTCATCTTCAAATGCCCTGATCACCCTACCTCACAGGGTTGTTGTGGGGATAAATAAAACTTTTATGGAAGCACTTCTCTTTGATGATATTTTATCAGCCATCAGAAACAATATAATTTCTAACAACATTTGTACAGTGCTTTTTTTTGTTTAGAAGCATATCTTTTTTTCACATTACTTTCCCTTTTGATGTTGAAAAACATAAAGGAAATTGAGACTTGGAGAAAGCTGTGACCCAAGACTATGCAGTTCCTCTGGGAGACTTGAATTTAGTTATCACCATAATATTCTGTTTCCTAGTGCCTTGGCATTTTGTATGATTATGTTTGTTCATGAATACAAAGCTTTCTCAAGTTTGTAAGTCTATTTAGCCAACAAAATGTTCTTATAAAATGTAAGGAATATACAGTGGTACAAACTAGACCTATAGGTAATAATTCATTTTAAACTAGAAGGAAATTTCAAGTTCTAGGTGTACTCTATTTTAGTGTTTTCCCAAGATCACAGAGCTAGGACTAGAATGTAAGTCTCTTAATTACCGTTACAGTAATGATTTTGGAAGGGCATTCTTTATTGCTGGAACTACTGTGAGCAGAGGTGAAAAACACTTGAAGATACCAACCAGAATTAAAAGGGGTTGGTTTTGAAAAGGAGAGAGAAGATGGCAAGAGTGAACCAGATTATAGTGCGCTAAGATGAGGAATATACTCGATGTATGGGCTAAAATAATGAGCCAGTATCACTATAGCATAGTAGCACTCTGGTCCCACACTAGTTTCTGTGATGAGACTTTGTGATAGCTATTTTCCCTAAGCTCCAAAGGAGTTTGAGGCGCACACAGTTTTGAAAGCCACTGCAATAATCCTTGAGAAATAAGTGATTGCACTATAACATTCTATTCAGGCAGATAGTTGACTTGAGAGCATGGTCAATGAAAGCATGAAGTTCAGAATCAAATTTGAGTTCAAGTCCCTGAAAACCCAGCCACTTAATAAGCAAGAGGGTTGTTACCTACCTTTCAGAATTATAAGGATCAAATGAAATGTCAAAACATGTTATAAGCCGTAAGCAATATACAAGTAACATGAGGATGGAGATGTTAAAGCAGGTAGTTTTCTGAAGGAGGGATGAGAACTATATACCAGGTTTTGAGAGATGTCTGAAGCCAGAAAGCAGGAATGTGCAGTAGGATCAGGATATTGTAATACCACAGGACCACAGATGTCAGGGAGGGTTTTTAAGAAAGACAGCAGTGGGTTGCATTTTTTAAAAGACCTGTTAGGCCGGGTGCAGTGGCTCACGCCTATTATTCCAGCACTTTGGGAGGCTGAAGTGGGCAGATAATTGAGGTCAGGAGTTGAGACCAGCCTGGACAACATGGTGAAACCCCCGTCTCTTCTAAAAATACAAAAATTAGCCAGGTATCGTAGTGCACGCCTGTAGTCCCAGCTACTTGGAAGGCTGAGGCAGGAGAATCGCTTGAACCAGAGAGGCAGAGGTTGCAGTGAACCGAGATTGTGCCACTGCACTCCAGCCTCGGTGACAGAGACTCTATCTCAAAAAATAAAAAATAAAAACCACTACGTGTTAGGCACCATGCCAGGCTCTGTGAATGGTAGAAGGTGGCAAAACAGACAATGCCTTAAAATCTTAAGCTTAAAATCTACCAGTAGAGAAAGTCAAGATCCTTTTATTGGTTAAAGGGCTAAAGCTAGGCTTGGCTGTGGGGAGAGGAGGCTCAGGGGAGTAAATGATCAGGTGCGTATTTTAAAAGATCGCTTTGGAAATAGAGTGGGTGGGTGGGAGGCCAGTTAGCAGTTATATAACTCTCCATGTAAAGTATTCCCTTTCTCTAAGTTAATGCACTGGGTGATAGCATCATAGTGGACAGTCAGGTCAGAAGATTGTTAAGGTTCTGGGGAGAGTATGGCTTGTGTGGCTTACTGAGAGCTTACTAATCATGTGGATTTTAGGCACTCCCTGAGGAAGGCATGTTTTTTCCGCTGGCCAGACAGGAATAGGAAGGTACTGTAGGATTTTATGGTACCCTGTAAGTATGGAAAAATATATGGAAGTTGAATGGAGACAGTTTCGTGTCTTAAGACTCATGGGGGTAGGGTTTTGGTTTTTCGTTTTGGTTTAAAATAAAAAATTTCATTTAACTTAATCAAATCATATAAATCAAAAACTTTATTTATTTAATTATTGAGATGTAATCTTGCTCTGTTGTCCAGGCTGGAGTGCAGTGGTGGGATCTCAGCTCCCTGCAACCTCTGCCTCCCGGGTTCCAGCGATTCTCCCGCCTCAGCCTCCCTAGTAGCTGGGACTACAGGCGTGCACCATGATGCTCAGCCAATTTTTGTATTTTTAGTAGAGACAGGGTTTCACCATGTTGGCCAGGCTGGGCTCAAACTCCTGACCTCAAGTGATCCACCCGCCTGCCTTGGCCTCCCAAAGTTCTGGGATTACAGGCATGAGCCACTGTGCTCTGCCAAAATTTGTTTTTACATGTACTCTTTTTCCCAAGAAATCATTAGAAAAAACATGCAATGACTCCATAATTTTGCACTTTTATAAATAGGAGTTTTGACCTGCCCCTATTTCCAATTAAAACAATCTGCTCTTCAGCCTTAACCTAGTCCATCTTTATAAGATTTTGAGTCTGATGCTTAAGGTACTTCCTCTTAAAAAGAAGCTATAAAGGGGCCGGGCGCATGGCTCACACCTGTAATCCTAGCACTTTGGAAGGCCGAGGCGGGCGGATCACGAGGTCAGGAGATCAAGACCACGGTGAAACCCCGTCTCTACTAAAAATACAAAAAAAATTAGCCGGGCGCGGTGGCGGGCACCTGTAGCCCCAGCTACTCGGGAGGCTGAGGCAGGAGAATGGCGTGAACCCAGGAGGCGGATCTTGCAGTGAGCCGAGATTGTGCCACTGCACTCCAGCCTGGGTAACAGAGCGAGAGTCCATCTCAAAAAAAAAAAAAAAAAAAAAAAAAAAGAACTCTAAGGCCAGGCACAATGGCTCACACCTGTAATCCCTGCACTTTGGGAGGCTGAGGCGGGGGGATCACCTGAGGTTAGGAGTTCGAGACCAGCCTGGCCAACACGATGAAACCCATCTCTACTAAAACTACAAAAAATTATCTGGGCATGGTGGCACACACTTGTAATCCCAGCTGCTCAGGAGGCTGAGGCAGGAGAATCACTGGAACCTGGGAGGCAGAGGTTGCCGTGAGCAGAGATTGCGCCAGCCTGGGCAACGAGAGCAAAATGTCATCTCAAAAAAAAGAACCTATAAGTAGCTCTGCTTCATTTGTGTTGTTTATTTACTCTTCTATAGCTTCAATGATGAAACTTTTTTTTTTTTTTTGACATGAAGTCTCACTCTGTTACTTAGTCTGGAGTGCAGTGGCGGGATCTCAGCTCACTGCAACCTCCACCTCCTGGGTTCAAGTGATTCTCCTGCCTCAGCCTCCTGAGTAGCTGGTGGAACTCCTGAGTTCAGGTGATCCACCCGTCTCTGCCTCCCAAAGTGCTCGGATGACAGGCATAAGCCACTGCACCCAGCCATGAGGAAACTTTTTTTGAGACGGGCTGGCTCTGTCATCCAGGCTGGAGTGCAGTGGCACGATCATGGCTCACTGCAACCTCAACCTCCCAGGCTCAAGTGGCCCTCCCACTTCAGCCCCCTGAGTAGCAGGAACTACAGGTGTGTGCCACCATGCCCAGCTAATTTTTTATTTTTTGTAGAGATGGAGTCTTGCCATGTTGCCCAGGCTGGTCTTGAAATGAGCTCAAGTGATCCTCCTGCCTCAGCCTTCCTAAGTGCCGGCATTTTAGATGTGAGCCACTGTGCCTGGCCTGGAACTTCCTGACAGAAGTTTTAATGTTAATTTGTTAAGAAACATTGATTACCTAGTCTGCTCATCTGTAAAATGGGAATACTGTCACTGTCTTTGTGATTATAGAGCTCCCCTAGAGACTAACCTGTGAATCACAAGTTTTTTTGTGTGTTTGTTTTGAGACAGAGACTCGCTCTGTTGCCCAGGCTGGGTGCAGTGGCATGATCTTGGCTCACTGCAACCTCTGCCTCCTGGGTTCAAGCGATTCTCCTGCCTCAGCCTTCCAAATAGCTGGGATTACAGGAGTGCACCACCACATCCGGCTATTTTTTTGTATTTTTAGTAGAGACGGGGGTATCACCAGGTTGGCCAGCCTGGTCTTGGAACTCCTGACTTCAGGTGATCCACCTGCCTCAGCCACCCAAAGTGCTGGGATTACAGGTGTGAGCCACCACGCCTGGCACAAGTTTTACAGACTAAAGGAAGTCCCTAATACATAGGTCTAGAACCTTGTTTTCCTGTTTCCTCATTTGAAAAAGCAGTATGCACACCACTATAAATAAATTCTCAATTTCTGCTTTGAAAACAATGCTGCATACACATAGCCCATGAATTTTTCCATAGCACCTTCAACCCACATGCCCCAGTTTTTTTTTTTTTTTCTTTTCTTTTTTTTTTTTTTGATAGAGTGTCATCCAGGCTGGAGTGCAGTGGCACAATCTCAGCTCACTACAACCTCTGCCTCCTGGGTTCAAACCATTGTCCTGCCTCAACCTCCCAAGTAGCTGGAATTATAGGCATGAGCCACTATACCTGGCTAATTTTTGTATTTTTAGTAGAGACAGGTTTCACCATGTCCAGGCTAGTCTCGAACTACTGACCTCAAGTGATCCACCCACCTCGGCCTCCCAAAGTGCTGGGATTACAGGCATGAGCCACCGCGCCCAGCCTTCTTCTTTTTTTTTGAGAGGGAGTTTCGCTCGTCGCCCAGGCTAAAGTGCAATGGCGCGATCTTAGCTCACTGCAACTTCTGCCTCCCGGTTCAAGTGATTCTCCTGCCTCATCTTCCCGAGTAGCTGGTATTACGGTGCCCGCCAACATGCCCAGCTAATTTTTTTTTTATTTTTAGTAGAGATGGGGTTTGCCACATTGGCCAGGCTGGTCTTGAACTCCTGACCTCAGGTGATCCGCCCGCCTCAGCCTCCTAAAGTGCTGGGATTACAGGCGTGAGCCACTGTGCCCAGCATTTTTTTTTGTTGTTTGTTTTCAGATGGAGTCTCTCCCAGGCTGGAGTGGAGTAGCACAATCTCGGCTCACTGCAACCTCTGTTTCCTGGGTTCAAGCAATTTTCCTGCTTTAGCCTCCTGAGGAGCTGGGGTTACAGGCATGTGCCACCACGCCCGGCTAATTTTTGTATTTTTAGTGGTCTTGGGGTTTCATCATGTTGGCCAGGCTGGTCTTGAATTACTTCAAATGATCTGCCTGCCTCAGCCTCCCTAAGTGCTGGGATTACAGGCGTGAGCCCGTAATAGGCGTGCCTAACCAGTTTTCAGGTTTTTGACTTAAGCAACTAGATAAGTGTCACTCAATATCCAAAGGCATCGTCTATCTATTTCTCCCTTCCCCTCCTCCTTCATATCTAGTCAGACACTATATTAGTACGGGTTCTCCAGAGAAACAGAATCAATAGGATGTGTATATGCAGAAAGAGATTTATTTTAAGGAATTGGCTCACATTATTCTGGGAGCTGGCAAGTCTGAAATCTGCAGGGCAGACAAACAGCCTGGAGACCCAGGGAGATTTGACGCTGCAGTCTGGAGGCTGAATTGCTTCTTCTTAAGGGTCTCGTTTTAATTTGAACTGACCGGATGCGGCCCACCCTCATTATAGAGGGTAATGTACTTTAATCAAAGTCTGCTGATTTAAATGTTAATCACATCTAACAAATACAATTCATAGCAACAACTAGACTAGTGTTTGACCAAAAACTGAGTAACATGGGTAGCATCGCCTAGCCAAGTTGATAGATAAAATTAACCATTAAAGTCACTAAGTTCCATTGACAATGACCTTTAAATATTTCTCAAGTTGGTTTCTTCTTCTCCATTGCCATTGCCTTAATTTAGGCTTGTGTTCTCGTTTAATTAATTCATAAAATACTTACGTATTAGGCATTATGCCAAATGTTGGAGATACAATTGTGAGTAAGATTGTGTCCTTAGGGACTTACATTCCACCCTTTTCCTGACTTCTTTCTTGCCTCCTTCCAATCCACATTTTTTTTTTTTTTTGGTCTTGTCACTTTGATGCCCAGGCTGGAGTGTAGTGGCCAGAACGTGGCTCACTGCAGCCTCAACTGCCTCAGCTTCCTGAGTAGCTGGGACCACAGGACCACAGGTGCACACCACTATGCCTGGATATATATATTTTTTTGTAAAGATGGGGTCTCACCATGTTGGCCAGGTTGGTCTCGAACTCCTGGGCTCAAGCGATCCTCCCGCTTTGGCCTCCCACAGTGCCGGGATTACAGACGTTGAGCCACCGTGTCCGGCCCTGATCCACCTTTATAAATGGCTGTCTGTAGATCATGGCCTCTCACATTTTAACTGGGCTGTAGAATATGTATTGAAGGATCATCTTTATAAAATGTTTATTTGTAGACTCTGAAAAGATAACACCAGAAAGGGGGAACAATGGTTACCACTAGAAAGAACGGAGCGGAGCAGCTGATCGTTGTATCTACCTTTTTTGTTTTTTTTTTTTTTTTGAGACGGGTCTAACTGTCGCCCAGGCTGGAGAGCCGTGGCGCGATCTCGGCTCACTGTTGCAACCTCCGCCTCCCGGGTTCAAGCGATTCTCCTGCCTCAGCCTCCCTAGTAGTGGGGATTACAGGCGCCCGCCACCACGCCCAGGTGATTTTTGTATTTTTAGTAGAGGTGGGGTTTTACCATGTTGGCCAGGCTGGTCTCGAACTCCTGACAGCAAATGATCCGCCCATCTCGGCCTCCCAAAATGCTGGGATTACAGGCGTGAGCCACCGCGTCCTGCCCACGTATCTACCTTTTTATCACATGAATGTTGTACCAAGTTCGCGTATTACATATTTGAAAATAAATTGCGAAAATAACAAAAACAAAATCCATCTACTGGCTAGCTCTTTAAAATCCTGCGGGGGAGCCCAGTGGCCCAACGGCGAAGTTTAGCCCATCTTGCCCTTTCTGGTCAGTGTACCTGTTCCATTTATCTCTGACTGCGCCACTCAGTCAGGTGAGGGACCACTGGAGTTTTCTACCGGAAATGCACTTCAGCAAATGCCACTTGCTCTCTCCAACTTCAGTTTCAACCAGCGCCTACCTCAGGAAGCCTTCCTTCATCCTCCGGCCCCCGCCGCCGCTAAGGTTATCCTTTTACATTCAACCTCATAATGCTGCTTTTTGTGGCAGTCATCACAGTGTCGAAATTTGTTTACATGTCCATCTTTGCTACTTGATGGAGGGCAAAGATACACCTCATACCTAGCATAGACCCCAGGAGGTCCGAAATTGTTCTGCGAAAGAAAAAAAAATCAATGTGCTGGCCTCAAAGGGGCTCACAGGAAGGGAAAAGCCTCGAAGACTAAGGCTCTCTTCGATTCCTTCGTGACTAACTCGAGGCAAACATGCCAGGAACGCGGCTCTCCCCACCCGCTCCTGCATCTGCGCCCGGGGATCGCCGGATTCCAGAGGGGTCCCCTCCACCTAGCGCGCGACGACTCCCTCTGGGGTCCCGGAAGCCCGGCCACCGACCCCACAGGCGGGCGTGGCCTCAGAGCCCTCTTCTGAGCACGGCGTGGGTATCCGCAGGCGGCCATGGACGGTGATCACAGTGACCAGAGGGACAGCGCACCCTCCGGTCGAAGCGGGGTAGGCGTTGGCAGGGGAGGGGCGACGAAGACTGGCGAGGTTCAGGCGCCAGCCAAAGAACCACTCTGCTAACTTCCTGGCACTTACGTTTCCTACCCGGGGCCCAGAGTCGGGCGGCGGTCTTCCAGCACCACGAACTCCAGTACTGGTCTGCGTTGTAGGGAGCTGGAAGCCCGACCCAGCACTCCTCAGCCCCCTGTGCCCCTCCCTCTGCTCTTTCCGCCCCTCCCTCCGCCCCCCTCCGCCCCCCCCTCCGCCTCTCCCTCAGCCCCGCAGCGCCACCGACCGCGTTCCCCGCCCACTTCTTACCCGCGCGCGTCGCCGCCGCCGCCTGAGGGGGCGTGGCCTCGGCTCGGCGCACAGTCAGCCACGGTCCCATCCTGCTCCGCGCCGGTCAACGAGAGCAAACCCAGTGACTCACCTCCGCCGTGCTAACTCCTCGCTAGCTCTCCCTCTCACACACGCTCACACCCGGCTCGAGATGGCGGCGGCGGCGGCGGCGGCGGGGGACTCGGACTCCTGGGGTGAGGAGAAGTTGCTGGGGCAGGGCCCGGGCCGGCGCCGGCCCCACGCAGTGGCAGGCACTAACACGGCTCGCTTTCTTCCGTAGACGCCGACGCTTTCTCCGTGGAAGACCCAGTGCGGAAGGTGGGGGGCGGCGGCACTGCCGGCGGGGACCGCTGGGAAGGCGAGGACGAGGACGAGGACGTCAAGGTGGGTGCGGGCTAGGGCGCCGGGCAGCGCGGAAGCGGGCTGGCGCTGTTGCCGGCCGACTCTGGGCCCCGGGTCGCTGCCGGGGCCTGCGGGCCGTGGGTCCAGGCGCGAGCATAGGGCCTGGCGGTGCTCTCTTCCCCTCCGCTTGCCGGCCATGTGTGGGCCGAAGACTGGCAGCGTGGCCTCCCGGACTCCCTCGCCGGTTGAGAGTCTGCTCTCCGGCGTGGATCCCACCCGCCGGCTGGCGACGAAAGGTGACAGCATCGGCCGGGTCGGCCCACGTGCAAGCTTCGCGGTCCGGAGCCTCTCGCAGGAATGAGACCGGGAAGTTGGGAATTGAGCCTTGTAGCTTATCCATATGGAAAGCCTTGAGACTCGCCTGTCTTTTCGAGCTCAAGTCAGCCCAGGGCCAGTAACTCATTTATGACCCTGAGGTCTACTTATACAGTTTGTTCGAGGGATTAGATGAGTGAAATATTGTAGTTGAATTTCAACCTTTTTTTCCCACACGAGACAGCTAGAAACAGTAAAGGGAAATAACTTTTGGCTCTCCCTTCCCCCACCCTGTGGTAAAAAGAATGAACTGACCACTGAGATAGCCCGCAGTTAGTGGACAGAAACCCAGGTAGTTCACACCGTGACCTGAGAAATGGAGAGACGACAGTTACTCAACTACACACATACGACACCTAAGGAAATATTGAAGATTTGGTGGTGGTTGTAGATGACGGGCCCGTGGTTTTTTGTTGTTGTTGTTGTTTTGTCTGTGCCTTGTAGATAATCATTTTTACCTCAGTCGTTTGATTTTGAAAACTCCGAAGGGTTCATTATACAGCTGTAAGTGACATTTACTTCTACATGGTTTTTTTTTTTTTTTACAGTAGTTACAGAAGTCTCAAATCCAAAATGTTAAGACTCTTATTAACAAAGTTCTCAAAATCTTGTTATATTTGTGCAGATAAAGTTTTGTGTGAAATGGAAAATGATTTTTTTTTGTGGTTTTGCCTAATTTAGTGAATTTCTCCTAATTTATAAACACAAACGGAGAACCCTATAAATCCTGCCTGGGCTGAAAAGTTTAAGCTAGATAATCACTATGAACTTAATAGGAATGTTGTTTTGAGTTTTTCTGTTCTCTCCCCAGTCCGATGAGGTTGGATGTGTGGATGTCCGATTTACTGACAGCCTGAGGTTCAAGAATGTTGTGAGCTTTGCACACATTGAAGTTAATAAATCGACTGGTTATTGTTTGAAGACACTCAGATGCTTTATTTACATGTTGTAGAAACATGGGACTAGATTTTGTTACCAGCCGCATTACAAGATATTAGTTACCCCTCTACATTGTAGCAGATTTTCAGTTTTGAGCCTTGGGTTCATATTGGTCCTTTCATTTTTTTCCATGCATATAGGAAGTGGCAGTTAAGACATCTGTTATGAAATTTGGGAATAAATTAACAAATGCAGAGAAAAGATTAGAGATATTAGGAAAGAAGTTGCAGAAAATGAAGTTTTAATGGATAGTCTAGACTAATGTCATGGAATAACTTCCTTGGGATTAAGGGATCTAAATGGTATCGATCTTGATGAATATAATTCTTTTTTTTTTTTTTTTTGAGATGGAGTTTCGCTCTTGTTGCCCAGGCTGGAGTGCAATGGCGCGATCTTGGCTCACTGCAACCTCCACCTCCTGGGTTCAAGTGATTCTCCTGCTTCAGCCTCCCAAGTAGCTGGGATTACAGGCACGCACCACCACGCCTGGCTAATTTTGTATTTTTAGTAGAGACGGGGTTTCGCCATGTTGCCCAGGCTGGTCTTGAACTTCTGACCTCAGGTGATTCTCCTGCCTTAGCCTCCCAAAGTGCTGGAATTATAGGCGTGAGCTACCGTACCCAGCCTCTGATGAATATAATTCTGATCACTTGGAACAAGTTTTGGATATTTACAAGTTGTAAGGGACCACAAAGATTATCTTGTCCAGTTGCTCTTTTTTTTTTGGAAATGGAGTCTCGCTCTGTCACCCAGGCTGGAGTGCAGTGGCACAATCTCCGCTCACTGCAAGCTCCGCCTCCCAGGTTCACTCCATTCTCCTGCCTCAGCCTCCCGAGGACTACAGGTGCCCACCACCACGCCCGGCTAATTTTTTCTATTTTTAGTAGAGACGGGGTTTCACCGTGTTAGCCAGGATGGTCTCAATCTCCTGACCTTGTGATCTGCCCGCCTTGGCCTCCCAAAGTGCTGGGATTACAGGCGTGAGCCACCACACCCGGCCCCAGTTGCTGTTTTAGTGCTAAATTTCTTTTTCTTTTTTTTTTTTTTTTTTAACTTAAAGCAATCTATCTATTCATCTAATTTTTTGAGAGAAGGTCTCACCCCGTTTCCCAGGCTGGAGTGCAGTGGCACGATCTCTGCAACCTCCGCCTCCCGGATTCAAGTGATTCTCCAGCCTCAGCCTTTCTAGTAGCTGGGATTACAGGTGTGCACCGCCGTGCCCAGCTAATTTACATATTTTTTTCTTTTTTTTTTTTTTGAGATAGAGTCTTGCTCTGTCACCCAGGCTGGAGTGCCGTGGCACGATCTTGGCTCACTGCAACCTCCGCCTCCCAGGTTCAAGCAGTTCTCTGCCTCAGCCTCCCGAGTAGCTGGGATTACAAGCGCCCACCACCACACCCAGCTAATTTTTGTATTTTTAGTAGAGACGGGGTTTCACCATCTTGGCCAGGCCGGTCTTGAACTCCTGACTTCGTGATCCACCCGCCTCGGCCTCCCAAAGTGCTGGGATTACAGACGTGAGCCACCGCGCCTGGCTATATATATATATATATATATATATATATATATTTTTTTTTTTTTTTTGTAGATACAGGGTTTCGCCATGTTACCTAGGCTGGTCTCAAACTCCTGAGGTCAAAGTGATCTTCCCGCCTCGGCCTCCCAGAGTGCTGGGATTACAGATGTGAGCCACTGCACCTGACCTATTTATTTTGAGACGGATTTGTGAGACTGGCTAATTTTTGTGTTTTTGGTAGAGGTGGAGTTTCGCCAAGTTGCCCAGGCTGGTCTCAAACTCCTGAGGTTAAAGCGATCTTCCCGCCTTGGCCTCCCAGAGTGCTGAGATTACAGGTGTGAGCCACTGCACCTGGCCTATTTATTTTGAGACAGATTTGTGAGACTGGCTAATTTTTGTGTTTTTGGTAGAGATAGAGTTTCGCCAAGTTGCCCAGGCTGGTCTCGAACTCTTGGAGTCAAGTGATCTATCCTCCTCAGCCTCCTAAAATGCTGGGATTATGGGCGTGAGCCAGCAGACTCAGCCATATCACCAAATTTCTGAATTCTTATGTTTTTGTACTTTTTATGAGGAGTTGCAGACAAGGCTTAGTTTCCGTGAGGTCTTCTGTTCATGTCAGCATCTAGTACTTAACCTTTAAAAATACAGGTTTAATGTCATTTGTAATGTCCTGGGAAATGAAAGGAAAACTGATGTTTTTGTTATTATAATTTGCTCCAGCACTTTACTCTCATTTAGTAGACTTAGTATTTTGCTGTCCTTGACTTTTCAAATAGCTGTCTGGCAGTGGCAGAAGTGGACTTAGGTGAAACTGTACAACCGTTAATATATATGGCAAGAAAAGACTATGCTTTTCCCCAGTTAAAAAGATGAGAACTCGGGAGCATAGTTTCCCATCACCCTGGCTTTATTTACCTTTTTTACTATCCTGATAGTTGTGCAGAGGTAGTGGGAAGAATTGTTCACTTGGCATATATGACTCCTTCCTCATTGCTGGTATGATATGTAGGATGTGTTGACTGAGAAGGCAGTGAGTACCTACTGGACACAAGGACAACATAACTTTTGCTCCATTTTACTAGTCTCCTAGCATTTCAGTAGAACAGTTTAGAAGCTAGATTTATTCAAAGGGTACAGAGTTTGCAGAAACTTATAGCTGTGTTCAGCCATCTCACGCATTTGCCTCTGTAACCATATAGCATTTCTTTTAAAAGATCCTGAAGAGGCTGAGGCAAGAGGATTGCGTGAGCCTAGGAGTTTGAAGCCAGCCTGGGCAACATAGCAAGACCCCAACACATTTAAAGAGAGAGCGATCCTGAAGAACAGATTTAGTTGAGCCTCTCTCGTCCTACTCATTCACTCTCTGTTAGGATCCTATTCCAATAAATAGTTTGAATCTACCAGATAGGGACAATTTTCAGGGGTTGGAAACAACTTCTAAAGAACAGGATCTGTATTTTACAGAATGTGAAATTACTAGGAAATACCCAGAAGGTGGGCATTTTGCCAGAAAATGGGTATTTTGAAGAGAGTGTGTGTATGTGTAACTTAAGAAAAATTCCAAACATGCAGTAGAGAGAAACATTTAATAAACCAGTGACCAGTCTTGTCTCCTCTGTATCCCCACTTTCCTCCTCCAACCAGATTATTTTCAAGAAAATCTCAATCATATCATTTCATACCCTGCCACTTTTATAAACTAGCAAGTTTTGAATTAGGAAGCATGTTTGTTATTGAAAAATATTTTCTTGTCATGATGGATCATTGTAAATAAACCACTTGTTTAGTGTTCAGTGTCTTGATATCGCTGAGCCAGAAATTTAAAGTAGATTGATAACTGTCCTGAATATGAGACAGGTAGGCATTGAGATGGAACTCAGCTGAGTGCTGATCCATTGTAGTATGTTAAAAGCTTAATGAATTGAATTAAATGAAGTAGAATTTACTAAGGCAGGCACCTTGGCTTCTAGGCACCCAGCATAGTTCTGAGATGGTGGAAGAACATTTTGGCTTTTAAAAAACTGAACTTTGCTGGGAAGTCTACCCTTGCCAAGATCTCGTTGCACAGTTCTGAGTTCTCTCAGAACTGCACAGCTTACAGAACACAAATTAAAGGCTTTTTTTTTCTTTCCCAGCAAGAGATTATGTTTTACCTAAACCAAATTATTTAAAGAAAAAAGGAGAAGGAGTATATGTTAGTTCCTAGGCTGTTGCTATAGGGCAAAAGAGTTTTATTGCTCGTTTGAAGCTACTTCTATTTGACAATCTATAAATACATCTTGCTTAAGTTGGAAAGCATTTTCAGCCCTAAATGTGTTCTCATTGCATGTGACATAATGTAGTTTTATATTATGAAGACAGAACCAGCTAACTACTGGCCACATTGTTAGAAATAAAAAGAAAGCAAGATATAAAGTTTTCTGCTTTGCTTCTGATACTTAGTTGTGTTCAATTAGGGAAGCAAGTTTTAAAGTTAAAAAGCAGCCATCTCTTTCATAGAAATAGCTTAAATGATGGGTGTGTATCTGCAGGGCAAGAGTATAGATAAGCAAGTAGTTTATAAACAGGCCCTATTCTAAGAAGCTAGCCATTTTAGGAGAGCAGCCTGGGTGATTCTTTTGAAGATAAATTGGATATTATAGTTGAAAGATTAATTGGCTACCAAAAATAATTGGGTAAAGGATTTAATTGGATGTTCATAGGTAGTCTCTTGAACCAAATAACCATTTAGGGCTCTTTGAAGTGAGTTGTAGACTTGCTCCCTATTTTAAGTGTTAATTTTAGCTGTTTCTCTAGGAAGCCTTTTTACATTTTATCTGAATTTGCTGCTGGAATTTACAAACTTCTAATGTTTACAAAAAATTGGGCATATTTTTTGAAGCAGCGTGGTGAACATTCTACCTTAAATCTACTTTTCAGACACTTAATTTTATAACTATGGAAACAAAAACTCTAACTTCCTGGGGAAAGCTACCTGGCCTTTTGCTTTTATAATTACATCTGTTTGGAAGTGTGACCAGTCTCTTTTTGCTGACACTTACTATGCTCCTTTCTTTAGGGGCTTAGTGCTAGTTTGGTAGTAACTTCAGGGCAGACTTGTAAGCACTTTGGGGAGAGAGTGACAGTCAAGGTTTGGATGGTCCTTTTATGAATTGAGGAGCAGATGTCATGGCTCTTCTTGGTACATGTTGATAGGAACCACTTTTTTTTTTTTTTTTTGAGATGGAGTTTCGCTGTCTCCAGGCTGGAGGGCAGTGGCGCAGTCTCGGCTTACTGCAACCTCCGCCTCCTGGGTTCAAGCGATTCTCCTGCCTCAGCCTCCCAAGTAGCTGGGACTACAGGTGTGCGCCACCACACCCAGCTAATTTTTGTATTTTTAGTAGAGATGGGGTTTCACCATGTTGGCCAGGATGGTCTCGATCTCTTGACCTCGTGATCTGCCTGCCTTGGCCTCCCAAAGTGCTGGGATTACAGGCATGAGTCACCACGCCTGGCCAGAATCACTTCTTTTGCTACTAAAATCCATTCTGTGATGGAGTAGGGAATGTCTAGGTAGCTTCATTATGTCTGCATTGATGTGTGTCTGGGGTAAGGTTTATGCTTTGATGGGAGAAACTAGGGACAGGGATAGAGGTGGACATAGAGTTGGTGTGAATGTACTGAGGGAGCAGTGATATGGGTGGGGTGGGGGTTATGTTTTTCTGGGAAGGGTAACTGAAGAGCATCAACATTAAATAAAAATGCTCCTGTGTTGAGTTTGTTTCTTTACCTTGGAGGTATTGAGATGGAGCTCCTTATTTTCAGCCATACTTCTTCCTTCTTGACCTCTTACTACCAGAGGCTTGCAGACCAGTTTTTTTCTTTTTTCTTTTCTTTTCTTTTCTTTTTTTTTTTTTTAGACGGAGGCCTTCTCTATCACCCAGGCTGGAGTGCAGTGGCGTGATCTCGGCTCACTGCAACCTCTGCCTCCCGGGTTCAAAGTGATTCTTGGGCATCAGCCTCCCGAGTAGCTGGGACCACAGGTGCACACCACCACGCCCTGCTAATTTTTTTTGTATTTTTAGTAGAAACAGGGGTTTGCCATGTTGGCCAGGCTGGTCTTGAACTCCTGAACTCAGGTATTCCACCCACCTTGGCCTTCCAAAGTGTTGGGATTACAGGCGTGAGCCAACTCATCTGGCCCAGTTTCTTAAATTAGTAGAAAACTGGCCAGGCGTGGTGGCTCACACCTGTAATCCCAACACTTTGGGAGGCTGAGGTGGGTGGATCACCTGAGGTCGGGAGTTCAGGACCAGCCTGACCAACATGGAGAAACCCATCTCTACTAAAAATACAAAATTAGCCAGTTCGTGGTAGCACATGCCTGTAATCCCAGCCACTTGGGAGGCTGAGGCAGGAGAATCGCTTGAACCCAGGAGGCAGAGGTTGCGGTGAGCTGAGATCGTGCCATTGCACTCCAGCCTGGGCAATAAGAGCAAAACTCCATTTAAAAAAAAAAAAAAAAAAAAAGGTGGGAGGGGCCAGGCACGCCTGTAATCCCAGCACTTTGGGAGGCTGAGGTGGGTGGATCACGAGGTCAAGAGATCAAGATTATCCTGGCCAACATGGTGAAACCCGGTCTCTACTAAAAACACAAAAATTAGCTAGGCATGGTGGTGCATACCTGTAGTCCCAACTACTCAGGAGGCTGAGGCAGGAAAATTGCTTGAACCTAGGAGGCGGAGGTTGCAGTGAGCTGAGATTGCGCCACTGCACTCCAGCCTGGCGACACAGTGAGACTCCATCTCAAAAAAAAAAAAAAGATCAGTAGAGAACCACTACAGGCAATTTAAGGTGAGAAGTTTGGTAACCAGTATACCTCTAGCTGGGCATATCTTAATATGTGTAATAATCCTTCTCTTTATGAGATTCCCAGAGTTCCCAGGAGAGGGACTTAGTTCCCAGTTAGTTATTTTATACTTCAGGACTCAGGGAAGAAGTCATATTTACTATAATACTATTTTTATTTTTATTATTTTGCATTGGAATTGCATTGGAATTGCTTTATTCCAGCGAATTAAATTGTTTACCAGACTGTGAATTTTGTAAGCAAGTGTTTAAAACATGCTTTTTAAAGACCTTCCTTAACATTGTGTTTAAAGCCTTAAATGAAGCTGTTTACATGTATACATTTAAAGGATGTATCTCAGCATGTTACTCTAAAGATGTGTTGTAAGCTGCTTTATTACAGTGAATTGAACTCTACTAAACCGTGAACTTTGTAAGCAAGTGTTTAAAACATGCTTTTTAAAAAAGTAAATCATTTTATTTTCAATAAAAAGGTCAGTCAAATGTTTAGTTATTTAAAACTTTTTTAAAATTAGTTTTTATAATTGGCAAATAATGTACATATTTATGGGGTATATTGTGATGTTTCAATGCATGTATACATTGTAATTACCATTTCATCACTTTAAACATTTATCATTTCTTTGTGGTGTTAACATTCAAAATTTTCTTATGGAACTATCTTGAAATATATAACATTGTTATTAGCTATAATCACCGTACTGTGTAATAGAACACCAGAACTTATTCTTCTAACTGTAACTTTATACCTATGACACTTTAAAGAACTTTGGTCCATTCAGAGCAGGTCCCTTAGTTTTTCACTGAGATTGTGGGTTGGCTATGTCTGGGCCTGGGTTTCCTTTTCTTTAAAATGGGGGAATAACACTACCTTCTTACAGGACTGTTGTGAGAATTAACCTTGTTACTACACCTGTTTCTCAGAAGGGTTTTAAATATGCATCTTCTGGAAGTAAGCAAATGGTCCTCCTATCTGAAACACTGCCCCCTATCACTCACAGATCCAGCCTTCCTGTGTTCTGTGAAGATTTAAACAACAAAAAATGCCTAGTAATTCACTTTTATTTTTAGCTCTTTGGTTCCTTTTGTACTGTGATGTATAGCACTTAGCAAACTAACGGCGAAATACAAACGTTTGATCTCTAATTTCTAACTCTAGTATCACAGTTACTCAAATAATGACTAGCTGGTTTGCTTTCAATCTGTTAAAACTGCGAGCTGTGGGTTAAATTGCTGAAGTAAGATGAATATAAAAATACACTTACTTTTTAATACAAAGTTCCTTTAATTATGCTTGCAGACTGTATGACAGCCTTAATCAGGATGTTGAATTTTTAATTTCTTTACTGGACTTAGAGATTTTTATTAAGAACCAAGGCTTGGTTAGTTTATATTCCTAGACTGATACAAATTTGTGATCTGTCGTGTTATGAAACCAGAAGCTTGGTGTCATATTGTGGCATATTAGTCATACTAGTCAGCCTTTGCTTCTTTAGTAGCATCAGGGCCTCTTGCCCTGCTTTTGCCATCTTGCCACTCAGCTTCAAATGGCATGTCATAGTGTGCCTGGTGGCTGCTGAGACAATGGCCAGGCTACCTATGATTAAAGCCATCTTTAATCATAGGGCTGTGTCTGTCCCTATTAAACTTGAGCCTTCTAAGTTCTGTGGAGCTTTTAGAAAATTGTGTTTGATAATTGGTTTATATTTAGCTCAATGATTGAGTTAGGCATAGAAAAAACAGAGTATAGATCTTTTTTTTTTTTTTTTTTTTTTTTTTTTGAGACAGAGTCTCTGTTGCCTAGGCTGGAGTGCAGTGGCTCGATCCTGGCTCACTGCAGCTTCGCCTCCTGTGCTCAAATGATTCTTGTTCCTCAGCATCCTGAGTGGCTAGGATTACGGGCGTGCACCACCATGCCCACCTAATTTTTGTATTTTTTAGTATAAACGGGGTTTCATCATGTTGGCCAGGCTGGTCTCGGAACTCCTGGTCTCAAGTGATCTGCCTGCCTCGGCCTCCCAAAGTGCTGGGATTAAAGTGCCCTGAGTTAGAGAGTGGGATCCATGAAGGCTTGATTAGCTGTTGACTTTTTTTTGTGAGACGGAGTTTCATTCTTGTTGCCCAGGCTGGAGTGCAATGGCGCGATCTCGGCTCACCACAGCCTCTGTCTCCTGGGTTCAAGCAATTTTCCTGCCTCAGCCTCCCGAGTAGCTGGGATTACAGGCATGTGCCACCACACCCAGCTAATTTTGTATTTTTAGTAGAGACGGGGTTTCTCCATGTTGGTCAGGCTGGTCTTGCATTCCCGACCTCAGGTGATCTGCCTGCCTTGGCCTCCCAAAGTGTTGGGATTACAGGCGTAAGCCGGCCTTGATTCTTTTTTTTTTTTTTTTTTTTTTTTGAGACGAAGTCTCGCCGCACTGTCACCTGGGCTGGAGTGCAGTGGCACAATCTTGGCTCACTGCAACCTCCCACTCCTGGGTTCAAGTGATTCTCCTGCCTCAGCCCCCAAGTAGTTGGGATTATAGGTGTCTGCCACCACGCCCAGCTAATTTTTTGTATTTTTAGTAGAGACAGGGTTTCACTATGTTGGCCAGGCTGGTCTCAAACTCCTGACCTCGTGATCCGCCCACCTCAGCCTCCCAAAGTGCTGGGATTACAGGCATGAGCCACGCACCCGGCCTGACTCCTTTTTAATAGTGGGCTTTAGAATTATATAGACTTAATTCATTAACCAGGCTTATGTTGTATGGAATACTACTTGAAATAAATGAGCTATTGGCCAGAGTATAGGATGCTTTTTACATTTGGGGGGAAGTAAGAACTATAAAGTTCTCTCAGTTTTTATTTATTAATAACTGAATCACTTTCAGAGAGGCTATTGATTTCAGCTAGGTTGTCCTAACTGCTAATGGAGAAGCTTTCTTATGAAGTTAGATAAGTTGATATGAGGGTTCATATGGAAAAACAAAACATGCAAGAAAGGCCAAGAAAACACTAAAAAATCTGAAAACCTACAAGGAAGGACTAGCTCTAGCTGACATTAAAGTAAAGCCTCTGTAATTAAAACAGTACCGGCTGGGCATGGTGGCTCACGCCTGCAATCCCAGCACTTTGGGAGGCTGAGGATCACCTGATGTCAGGAGTTCGAGACCAGCCTGGTCAACATGGAGAAACCCCGTCTCTACTAAAAATACAAAAATTAGCCCGGCATGATGGTGGACACCTGTAATCCCAGCTACTCCAGAGGCTGAGGCTGGAGAGTCACTTGAACCCAGGAGGCAGAGGTTGCAGTAAGCTGAGATCGCGCCATTGCACTCCAACCTGGGCGACAAGAGTGAAACTCCGTCTCAAAAAACAAGACCAAAAAAACCCAGTATGGTACCGTTATATGGAGAGACAGTAGACTAGTGGGATAGGATCAAAAGCCCAGAAATAGACCAAGTACATATGAAAATTTAGTATATGGTAAGTCACAAGGTATCTTAAAATGTTTTTTGCTGCAATAGAATGCAATAGACTGGGTATTGTATAAACAACAGATTTATTTCTTATGGTTATGGAGGCTGAGAAGTCCAGTATCAAGGTGCTGGCATCTGGCGAGGGCCTTCTTGCTCTATTATCCTGGGGCAGAAGGGCAAAAGAGCACAAAGGATTGCAGGAGGTGTCAGAACTCATCCTTTTATCAGATATCTACTCCTAATATAAAGGTATTAATAATTCATTCATGAGGGCTTTGCCTCTAATCATTTCTAAAAGACCCTACTTCTCAACACTGTTGGATTGGAGATTTCATCACATGAACTTTGGAGGACACATTCAAACCATAGCCCAGGGAAAAAAACCATTATTTATTAAAGGGTTTTTAATAAATGATGCTGTGACAACTGGGTAGCCATTTGGGAAAAAAATGAAATTAGATCCATGTTGCATATCATAACACAAGAAAAAAACTCCAAATCAGAGATCTAAATAAAAAAAAAAATGAAACCCTATACATTCTAGAAGAAATTGTGGGTGAATTCTTAGGTGTAAGAAAAGACTTTCTGGCTGGGCGAAGTGGCTCATGCCTGTACTCCCAGCACTTCGGGAGGCTGAGGTGGGCGGATCACCTGAGGTTGGGAGTTCGAGATCAGCCTGACCAACATGGACAAACCCCATCTCTACTAAAAATACAAAGTTAGCCAGGCATGGTGGTGCATGTCTAATCCCAGCTGCTTGGGAGGCTGAGGCAGGAGAATTGCTTGAACCCGGGAGGTGGAGGTTGTAGTGAGCCTAGATCATGCCATTGCACTCCAGCTTGGGCAACCAGAGCAAAACTCCAACTCAAAAACAAAACAAAACAAAACAAAACAACAAAAAAACAAGAAAAGACTTTCTAATTGACTTGAAATCCATCCAGAGGCAATGAAAGAAAAGACTGGGGCTAGGCACGGTGGCTCACGCCTGTAATTCCAGCACTTCGGGAAGCCGAGGCGGGCGGATCATGAGATCAGGAGTTCGAGACCAGTGTGACCAACATGGTGAAATCCTGTCTATACTAAAAATACAAAATTAGCCAGGCATGGTGGCATGTGCTGGTAATCCCAGCTACTCGGGAGGCTGAGGCAGGAGAATCACTTGAACCTGGGAGGCAGAGGTTGCAGTGAGCTGAGATCGTCCCTGTATTCCAGCCTGGGCGACAGAACGAGACTCCGTCTCAAAAAAAAAAAAAAAAAAAAAAAAAACCATTTCTACTAAAAATAAATGAGCCAGGCATGGTGGTGTATGCCTGTAATCCTAGTTACTGGGGAGGCTGAGGCAGGAGAATCGCTTGAACCTAGGAGGTGGAGGTTGCAGTGAGCTGAGATCGTGACATTGCACTCCAGCCTGGGCAAGAAACTCCGTCTCAAAAAAAAAAAAAAAGTCTGGTAAATTTTATTGCATAAATTTGTTGGGATGCATAGCAATTCATGGGGAAACAATAGAGGCATTTCCATCAAGAAAGCAAGGATGCCCATTACTTCTGCTGCTGTTCAACATTGCACTAGAGGTTTAGCTGGCCCAATTAGGTAAATCACTTGTGAGGGCCTAAGGATTGGTAGAGAAGTAAAGCTATCTTTTGTTTGCAGATAAGGTAGCATACCTGTAAAACCCTAGAGAAGCAACGATAAATCTAACTTAAGTGATAAATGAATTCAGTAAGGTAGCAGGATATTAACATATAAAAAAGCCAATAGTCATTTTTGTTTATTTGTTTTGAGACAGGGTTTTTATGATAGTGAGTTGCCTAGGATAGAGTGCAGTGGCACTATCATAGCTCACTGCAGCCTTAACCTCCTGGGCTCAAGTGATCTTCCCACCTTAGCCTCTCAAGTAGCTGAGACTACAGGCACATGCCACGTTGCCCAGTTAATTTTTTAATTTTTTTTTTTTTTGCAGAGACTGGGTCTTGCCGATAGGTTTTTATACACAAATAATAGCCACCTAGAGGACATAATAGGAAAACACCCTATTTATAATAGCAACATACAAGATGAAATACTTAGGAATAAATCTAAAGAGAAATGCGCAGAGCCTCTAATAGGGAAATCACTTTAAAACACTTCTGAAAGGTACAAAAATGTACTTGATCAAATGGAAAGACAGTTCTTATTCTTGGTTAGGGCAGCTCAGCATTATAAGATGTCAATTCCCCCTACATTAATTTATAAATTTAATGCAGTACAAAAAAATACCAACAAACATTTCTCTGGAGTTAGTCAAGTTGATAATAAAGTTCACATAGAAAAGCAAACATGCAAGAATTATTAATGGAAGTCCTTTTCTTTAGGATAACTGGGATGACGATGATGATGAAAAAAAAGAGGAAGCAGAAGTAAAACCAGGTGAGCCACTGGGGCGCCTCCATTTTTGTTTTTATGTCTTGCTGAGCATTTGTGACTTGTATTAAGACAAATGACAGAACGCTCACAAAATGGAACATTTTGGTATTTAGAAACCAAGTGTCCTTCCATTCCCACTTTATTCTGTTTTCCCTGCAACTTTTCTCTATCGCCTCAAAATATAATCAGATTAGATACTTGCTGTATTTCTGTATGAGTGCTTGTTAGTAGGAAAGGGTAGAGGTTCTGGCATTAATTATAGTTGAATGATCTAAGCCCTGCCTATAGGACGGTGGGGAAATATGAAGAGATATTTGGATCTTAGGGGTCACATTAGAGAGGAGAAGGAAGAGTCCCAGAAGTTTCCCATTATTTGTGAGAAAAATCACTGTTTGAAGCTGGGAAAGGTTTGGTCTCTTAATAGTATACAAGTATCATGTCTGTCTCATCCATAAACTGGAAAATACTCAGTATAACTGAATAAAACTTTTTTTTACTTTTAGAGGTAAAAATTTCAGAAAAGAAAAAAATAGCAGAGAAGATAAAAGAGAAAGAACGGCAACAGAAGAAAAGGCAAGAAGAAATTAAAAAGAGGGTAAATTCTGTTTTCTAAAATACAGAATTCTCACATCGGTAGTGGTATAGTTTCTAACAGGCTGCAAATATTACCTAGGAATTTGAAGGGCTCTGTGAAGACTGTAAATGGATACCATAAGATAGGTAAAATCCAAAACAAATTGATTTGTGGTTTTTGCAAAAACAGAACCCAGTTTTATATATGAGTGTCTTTTAAGTTTTCACAAACATTCAGGAATAGTCATGATAGTGCAGTGACTACAGTCAGTGATTTTTGCCAGTGCCTGTAGTTCATTCTAGTCAGCAGTATTAGTTTTTGTTGTTGTTTTTTGTTTTTTTTTTTTGGAGACGGAGTCTTGCTCTGTCGCTAGGCTGGAGTACAGTGGCACAATCTCGGCTCAGTGCAACCTCTGCCTCCCGAATTCAAGCCATTCCCCTGCCTCAGCCTCCTGAGTAGCTGGGACTACAGGAGCCACGGCGAGCTAATTTTTTGTATTTTAGTAGAGATAGGGTTTCACCATGTTGGCCAGGATGGTCTCAATCTCCTGACCTCGTGATCCACCCGCCTCGGCCTCCCAAAGTCCTGGGATTACAGGTGTGAGCCACCGCGTCTGGCCAGGATTAGTTTTTATTTGCAGTGTATATATTGAACATAATATAAAAATTGTTCATTTCTGTGCCATGTGCTATATAAATGTATTTGTTTTTGATTTTTTGGCACAGGATCAGAAATATATGCTTGTTTTTTTTTGTTTTTGTTTTTAGACAGAGTCTCACTCCGTTACCTAGGCTGGAGTGCAGTGGTGTGATTTTGGCTCACTGCAGCCTCCACTTCCCAGGTTCAAGCAATTGTCATGCCTCAGCATCCCAGGTTGGAATTACAGGCACACGCAACCATGCCTGGCTAATCTTTGTATTTTTAGTAGAGATGGGGTTTCGCCATGTTGGCCGGGCTGGTCTCAAACTCCTGACCTCAAGTGATCTGCCTGCTTCGACCTCCCAAAGTGCTGGGATTACAAGCATGAGCCACCACGTCCAGCCTATTTTCTATTTCTTTTCTTTTCTTTTTTTTTTTTTAGAGATGGAGTTTCACTCTAGTCGCCCAGGCGGGAGTGCAATGG
The DNA here is from genome assembly GCF_000001405.40 of Homo sapiens. Taxonomy (NCBI): domain Eukaryota; kingdom Metazoa; phylum Chordata; class Mammalia; order Primates; family Hominidae; genus Homo; species Homo sapiens. The sequence goes on from NC_000015.10 coordinate 44,552,625, forward strand.
CGTGATCTTGGCTCACTGCAACCTTCTCCCGGGTTCAAGTGATTCTCCTGCCTCAGTCTTCGAGTAGCTGGGACTGCAGGCATGTGCTACCATGCCCAGCTAATTTTGTATTATCAGTAGAGATGGCATTTCACCGTGTTGGCCAGGTTGGTCTCAAACTCCTGACCTCAGGTGATCCACCCGCCTTGGCCTCCCAGAGTGCTAGGATTATAGGCGTGAACCACTGTGCCTGGCCTATTTTCTATTTCAGAACACATTTACATGGTTCAAAAATTAAAACAGCCTGCGTGGTGGCTCATGCCTGTAATTGCAACGCTTTGGGAGGCTGAGGTGGGAGTATTGCTTGAGTCCATGGATTTGAGACCAGCCTGGACAACATAGGGAGACCCCGTCTCTACAAAAAATAGAAAAATAAGCTGGGCGTGGTGGTACATGCCTGTAGTATCAGCTGCTTGGGAGGCTAAGGTAGGAGAATCACTTGAGCCCAGGAAGTTGAGGCTGCAGTGAGCCATGACTGCGCCACTACACTCCAGCCTAGGTGACAGAGCAAGATCCTGCCTCAAAACAAAAAAAAAAAGAAGAAAACGGCCAGGCGTGGTGGCTCACGCCTGTAATCCTGGCACTTTGGGAGGCCGAGGCAGGCAGATCACAAGGTCAGGAGATCGAGACCATCCTGGCTAACACGGTGAAACCCCGTCTCTACTAAAAAATAGAAAAATTAGACGGGCGTGGTGGCGGGCGCCTGTAGTCCCAGCTACCTGGGAGGCTGAGGCAGGAGAATGGTGTGAACTCAGGAGGCGGAGCTTGCAGTGAGCGGAGATCGCACCACTGCACTCCAGCCCGGGCGACAGAGCGAGACTCCATCTCAAAAAAAAAAAAGAAAAAATAATTATATTCCAGTATAAAGAGAAGATAGATATACACTAAGCTGTCAACTGTCATGTCAGAGAAGTGGGTTTGGGAAACAAATGACATCTACTATTATATCTTTAAAATTTGTTATAGTGGTAATTTTATAATTATACAATATGATGAAAAGGGGAAATGTTTTGAACCATTCTGTTGGACATTTAGGTTGTCTGTAAATTTATTTGAAATTATGAATAATACTCTAATGTACATTCTTGGGCTTACATATTTGTGTGCATCTTATTTCTTAAGGTAAATACCTGGAAGTAGAATACTTGATTAAAGCATGTAAAAATATTATTTAAGACTTGATCCATATTACCAAGTTGCCCTAGAAAGGGTTTTCCAATATAGTTTTAGTAGCAGTGTATGAAAGTAATATTTTTACCTTGTCCACAGTCTCAATTCCTTTTTTTAAAAAAGGTTATAGAAGTAACCCCAGTCTTCCTGGGTACAAATCTGTCACGTTACCAGCTGTTACCTTCTATTTAGTTGTGGGCAGGTTGTTTCTTTGTGCCTCCATTGCTTATCTTTAAAATTGGGTTAAGGATACCTAAAGTGGACTGGGCGCAGTGGCTCACACCTGTAATCCCAACACTTTGGGAGGCTGAGATGGGCGGATCACTTGAGGCCAGGAGTTCAAGACCGGCCTGGCCAACATGGTGAAACCCCATCACTGCTAAAACTACAAAAATTAGCTGGATGTGGTGGTGCACGCCTGTAATCCCAGCTACTCGGGAGGCTGAGGTATGAGAATCACTTGAACCCAGGAGGCAGAGGTTACAATGAGCGAAGATCATGCCACTGTGCTCCAGCCTTGGTGGCAGAGTGAGGCTCTGTCTAAAAAAAAAAAAAAAAAAAAAAAAACTAAAGTGTTTAGAAGAATGCCTGAAACAGTAATTACCAGTGTTCACTTTTATTTGTTATTATATACGCTTATTTAAGAATTCGTACAATACAGAAAGGTACTGAGTGCATCATAATCCCTGTGCTTTTTAAAAACTTTTGTCTCATTTTAGTTAGAAGAACCCGAAGAACCTAAAGTGCTAACACCAGAAGAACAATTAGCAGATAAACTGCGGCTAAAGAAATTACAGGAAGAGTCAGACCTCGAATTAGCAAAGGAAACTTTTGGTAAGACGGGATTATGATTGCAATACAGTATTAAACTGTTACAGGTGAAGACCCAGAAAGTTCAGAAAACATCTCCTTTTCTTAAAAGAAACATACTGGCTAATGTAGATATTAGAAAGCAGTTTTTAATCTCTGTGTATATTTGAGATTTCATTACATGTTCAGATTTTTGAATAATTGTTTTGAGTAAAAGATTATTAAGATAAGTCATTTATAGCAATGCAAGAAGGGCAAAAAGGAGTAGACTCAGATGAAGTACACTACTGCATAGAATATTTTTATCAGCTGGATGAAATTTGCATGAAATGTGAGGTCTGTAGCTTTGAAATGGACTGTAGGGCTGTCCTGTTGTCTTAAGACTTAGACAGTAGGATGTTGCTCCAGGTGAGAGGCATGCAGCTTTTGCTGTGCCTTCTTGTGCTCAGTGTCATTTCCTTCTGCAACCCTTCTTTGCCCTTACCATGCCCTATCTTTAGAGGGCCTCCATTTCTTTGTGCGGTGTCTGCAGCTGTGGTTAGTGCGTGAGATAAAAGTGCAGGATCCTATAAATAGATAAATTCAGAGTGTTCCAGAGTAAGAGACATGGCTAGAGAAATAGTCAAAGCCCTCGCTTCATTTAACCAAGTTATCGTTACCTGTTGAGTACTTTTCAGAGTAGAAGATCATGTTGAAACAGTTAAATCACTGAAATTTATAACCAAGAAGGAAAGCTCTAGTTATTCTGATACCCCTCCCCCACTTTCATACTTTCTCTACTCTGAAACAGATCAACAGGCTGACTGTAGTGATTGTTTTCCTTTTCATGAGGAAGTATGACCTTATCTGTCAGTGGATCTGTACAAATACCAGGAGTTGATGTGAATGCTCCTGTGCACCATTGTATGCTTGGCAGGTCTTAACTGCACTCATCTAATTATAGAGAGCTCTTGGCTGTTAATATGTGTCTTCCTAGGATGGTAAAAGCTGCCCATGTGTTTATTAAAGAGGCAGGTTTATGAAGTGTGCATAAAGCCTAGCATGGGACACCTGTTATAGACTAAAAGGTAAAAACATGCATTCATATAGTCATTGTTAATAGGATTTTACTGTTGTGTTTCTCATACTAAAATACCACATGTAATATTGTTAATAACTAATCTACTTGACATGGAGGATACAGAAGCATACTTATCTTAGTGTAAAACTCATCTAGGCCAGATTTTTTTTTTTCTAACAGGGTCTGGCTCTGTCATCCAGGCTAGAGGACAGTGGCTGAGATCGGCTCACTGCAACCTCTGCCTCTGGGCTCAAGCCATCCTCCCACCTTAGCCTCCCAAGTAGCTGGGACTACAGGCGCATGCCACCACGCCTGGGTAATTTTTGTTTTTTGGGGCTTTTTTTGTAGATACAAGGTTTCACCATGCTGCCCAGGCTGTTGTTGAAGTCCTGAGCTCAAGTGATCTGCCGCCTTGGCCTCCTAAAGTGCTGGGATTACAGGCATGAGCCACCATGCACAGCCTAGGCCAGATTTCTTCTATTGGGATTTAACATGTTTACCCCCGCTTAGCTTCTGGAGTTAGACAAATACTTTCACAGGATCCATCTTTGTTTCTTATTCTTTTTGTTCCCTCTCTCCCCACTTTACTGTGGGGGTGTTCTTGGACAAGAACAGAGTATCCCTTTTGTAATGTAATATGTTGTGTTTTGTTTTTAGAGAAAGGTTCTTGCTCAGTCATCCAGTCTGGAATGCAGTGGCATGACCATAGCTCACTGCAGCCTCAAACTCCTGGGCTCAAGCAATCCTCCCACCTCAGCCTCCCGGGTAGCGAGGGCTACAGGTGAATATCACCACACCTGGCTAATTTTATTTATTTTTTTGAGACAGAGTCTCACTCTGTCACCCAGGCTGGAGTGCAGTGGTGCAGTCTCGGCTCATTGTAACCTCCGCCTCCTGGGTTGAAGTGATTCTCGTGCCTCAGCCTCCCAAGTAGCTGGGATTACAGATACATGCCACCACCATGCCTGGCTAATTTTTGTATTTTTGGTAGAGACAGGGTTTCACCATGTTGGCCAGGCTTGTCTCTCGGACTCCTGACCTCAGGTGATCGGCCTGCCTAGGCCTCCCAAAGTGTTGGGATTACGGGTGTTAGCCACTGCGTCTGGCCACACCTGGCTAATTAAAAAAATTTTTTTTGTAGAGATGAGGTCTTGCTGTGTTGCCCAGGCTGGTCTCAAACTCCTGGCCTCAAGCGATCCTTCCTCTTAGGCCTCCCAAACAAAACACTGGGATTACAGGTGTGAGCCACTGTGTCTGGCCTTGATATATTGTTTTTAAATGAATAAAATACTTATTTATAAAGAAAACCTGTTATATATAAATAGATGTCAAAATACTAAAATGACAAATTTGTGATACAGAATTATATGCTTCCTTATCGATGCATTAAATCAGGTGTAGTGGCACGTCAAATAATGTCATTTGAGAGTAATTATGACTGAACAATATTAATATTGTAAGATATCTGTAATGGCAGGAGAGTGTGATCTCTCCTGGTAAGTCAAGTTTTGCTAATACCACTGTGATTTGTTGCCAGTCAATTGAAACTGAAGGAAATGCTGAATTAGAGGTTAATAAAGATGTAACTTTTTTTCTGATTTAAGTTTGTAACCCCCCTCCCCCCTCACCCAGCCATTCTATCCAGTGACTCCAGTGGCTCCAGGTTCAGAGCCCCTGCTTTAGAATGAAACGACAGGGTTATTCAGATAGCTATTGGCTTTGTAAGGTTTCATTTTTAAAAATCCTAACCTCCTGATACTTTTCAGTGCTTCTTTTCTCCTACAGGTGTTAATAATGCAGTTTATGGAATAGATGCTATGAACCCATCTTCAAGAGATGACTTTACAGAGTTTGGAAAGTTACTAAAAGATAAAATTACACAATATGAAAAGTCACTATATTATGCCAGTTTTTTGGAAGTCTTAGTTCGAGATGTGTGTATTTCATGTAAGTAATTCTAATTTCTAGCCCCTCTGGGTAGATTTTTAGTAGGATGTTCTCTTCAGGAGGTTGAAGGTTATTTTTTATTTTCAAGGATACTATAATACAGACTCATGATTTGCTGTTTTTAGCAATTACCTTGTGAATGTTGTTCTGCAGATACAGTGAATTTGAGTGCTGGATCTTTTTGTTTGTTTGTAGGGGTAAGAGGACTTCTTGTTTTACAATGGCTTCCCTAAGAGATACCTGGGCTTGTCAGCAAAGCAGCTAATAAAACACTGGCCTATTCTTTTTATCTGATTATCACTTGAGAGGGGCTGGGAAGTATCTTTTGAGGGAAAAGGTCTCTGGCACTGTAGGATTTGGGTTGGGTGAGACTTCAGCCACTGTCTTTTACAAATCAGAATTAGACAGGGTGCAAGTTGAGTGACAGGGCTGGCACCTATTCTCTGGGTCCGTGGTTGTGGTGCCACACCTTGATAGGAGTCATACATTTCAGGGCAGGGTGAATGGGAGTGACAGCCATGGGTGGTGAAGCAGGAATGTATGGAAGGGACTGGTTTTGCTAGTATTTGCAGTTTTTTTGTTGTTGTTGTTTTTGTGATGGAGTCTTGCATTGCAGAGGCACGATCTCAGCTCACTGCAACTTCTGCCTCCTGGGTTAAAGCAATTCTCCTGGTCTGGCGCAGTGGCTCATGCCTGTAATCCCAGCACTTTGGGAGGCCAAAACAGGCGGATCACGAGGTCAGGAGATTGTAGACCATCCTGGCTAACAAGGTGAAGCTGAGGCAGGAGAATGGCATGAACCTGGGAGGCAAAGCTTGCAGTGAGCTGAGATCGTGCCACCGCACTCCAGCCTGGGTGACCAAGTGAGACTCCGTCTCAAAAAAAAAAAAGCAATTCTCCTGCTCAGACTCCTGAGTAGCTGGGATTACAGGCGCCTGCCACCACGCCCGGCTAATTTTTTGTATTTTTAGTAGAGACGGGGTTTCACCATGTTGGCCAGGCTGCTCTGGAACTCCTGATCTCAGGTGATCTCCCTGCCTTGGCCTCCCAAAGTACTGGGATTATAGGTGTGAGCCACCACGCCCAGCCTATTTGCAGTTTTTAAGATGGAGAAAAAGGAATCCTACACAATGAATTGGGTTTTCTTTGATAAATTATCACTAAGCTGAGGGTTCTACATTTGATTGGTAATGTGCCCAGAGTTGATATTTTATTCTGCATGTACTAATTTTTTTCTGGTTTTTGGAGGTGTTCTCTAACCAAAACTGAACACTTTCTGGTAGCTAAAAACTGGTGTCTCTTTCCAGCTTCATATTTTTATAAGGCTGATAATGCTGTCCACTGAACAGGACTATTTCTTGGTAGGACATAGAGATGGTCACTGTTCTCATTGTAGTTCCCGTGCAAGAAAATGGAGACATCATGGGATAGGGTGTTGTCATTGTAGGTTTAAGAATTGTCATTCTGGCCGGGCGTGGTGGCTCATGCCTGTAATCCCAGCACTTTGGGAGGCTGAGGCTGGTAGATCACCTGAGGTCAGGAGTTTGAGACTAACCTTGCCAACATGGTAAAACCTCATCTCTATTAAAAAAAAAAAAAAAAAACACAAAAATCAGCTGGGCATGGTGGCACGCACCTGTAATCCCAGCTACTCGGGAGGCTGAGGCAGGACAATCACTTGAATCTGGGAGGTGGAGGCTGTGGTGAGCCGAGATCACGCCACTGTACCCCAGCCTGGTGACAAAGCGAGACTCTGTCTCAAAAAAAAAAATAAAATAGGCCGGGTGCGGTGGCTCACACCTGTAACCCCAGCACTTTGGGAGGCCGAGGCAGGCGGATCACGTCAGGAGATCAAGAGCATCCTGGCTAACACAGTGAAACCCCGTCTCTACTAAAAATACAAAAAATTAGCTGGGCATGGTGGCGGGCGCCTGTAGTCCCAGCTACTCGGGAGGCTGAGGCAGGAAAATGGTGTGAACCCGGGAGGCGCAGGTTGCAGTGAGCCGAGATCGCGTCACTGCACTCCAACCTGGGTGACAGAGTGAGACTCCATCTCAAAAAAAAAAAAAAATAATAGTAATTGTCATTTCATGTTTATTTGTCTGTTCTCCCTGATTACTGGGGGTGTGTTAATGGAAGGGCATGTTATCCTCCCCCATTTGTTTAGACTGAGGAAGGATAGTAGGGAGCATTGTGAGCTATAAAGACAGTTTCTCTTTGGTTGAGCAATGGTGTGTTGGTGATTACAGGTCGTCATTATAAATAAAATGAATTTTGTTTTCAAGAGACAGGGTCTAGCTGTGTTGCCCAAGCTGGTCTCGAATTCCTGGGCTTAAGTGATCCACCCACCTAGGCCTCCCAAAATGCTGGGATTACAGGCATGTGCCACTGTGCCCGGCCACCTTACGTTTAAAGAGGAGAAATTCATGGTCCTTTCAAAGTTACTGAAGTTTAACAATGAACAAATTGGATTTCTCATAACACTTTTGGAATGTACATTTTGGGATATATAGATATATATGGAATGTACATATTTAGCTTTAACTTTTCAAAATGCTTAAAAATTCAAGTTTAATGGTATGCCCTTTTTTTTTTAAGTGGAAATTGATGACTTGAAAAAAATTACCAATTCACTGACTGTGCTTTGCAGTGAAAAACAGAAGCAAGAAAAGGTAAGAGCAAGCTGTGTAGGGAAATGGGTATTAAATTAGAGTGGGGTTATAGGTCTAACAGTCAACAAATATAATAGGAGCCTGTCCTAATTAAAAGTCAAGCAACTCACTAATACCATTTAAGTTAGACTAGAAGAGGAGTATGGGTGCTATTACTGTCCTTTTGTTTCCAGACATGTTCCCCTTTTCTGAGTTAATAGAAATTGCTGAAATCACAGACTGGGTTCAAATACTAGCACTGCTACTTAATAGGTATAGGTAAATCAGCTTTTCTAAGCTTCAGTCTTCTCCCTTCTAAAATAGGAACAATAATACTCACTTTGCAGAGTATTTATAAGAGTAAAGTAAGAGAAGTATGTCAAGTAAAGGTTAGAGCTTTGTGATTTTAAATTGGGGGGTACTTATCCACACTTTTCTAAATTTGCTTCAGTGAAGTTAAGGCTGTCTACCAATAACTTATAACCCCTGCTGGTGGGCTAGGTATCCAGAGCAGGACCAAGGACCCAGATCAAGTTTTGGAGAGACTGACTCTGGGAGACCTGTTCAGGTCCAAAACATGTAGGCTCGGATGTCCCTTACAGAACTAGTGTTTCTGGGACCAAAGGTTTTTGTGTGTTTGTTTATGAGGGTTGCTGTACCAGATAAGATGCCCATAGCACACTAAGGTTCATGAATTAACTCTCTTTCATCTTTAGCAAAGCAAAGCCAAAAAGAAGAAGAAAGGTGTGGTTCCTGGAGGGGGATTAAAAGCCACCATGAAAGATGATCTGGCAGATTATGGTGGTTATGATGGAGGATATGTACAAGACTATGAAGACTTCATGTGACATTTTATCTTTTCTTGGTGTCATCTTTATGTTGCCCACAATCCCTTGAACATGTAGCACAACTTCCTTTCCTTTCAGTTCTGCCAAATGCTACAATCAGAAGTGCAGTATCTTTTGTGCTGGTTATTTAACCCCTTGACACTTAGGTGCTAATGTGCAAATGAGGGAACTTGGATCTTGCTGCCAAGGGGTTAAAATTGGGAACCTAAGTTGCTACTAAATCATAGTTCAAAACCTAATAATGTTGTCGTTGTTGCTATCTGATTTCATAGCAGCAGTCACTAAATTGGAAACAAAAGGTTGCAACGTGACAAAAAAAATTGTGTAGTATTTACCAGCACCATTCAGTAATACAGCCTTAACCATACCTCCTTGAACTACTTCATAACTTGTCAAGAAAAGCAGTTTGCAGCAAGGGCATGTGGTGTGCACCTAGTATTAAAATTGCTTTGTCTTAAAATTGAACATGAGGATATTAAAAATACATTGTGAAGAAGACTGCTTATCTCAGAGTGAAGATACTGCGGCTGAAAAGCACTAGTTTGATATAAAATTAAAATGACCAAAACCCTCCAACTTTGAAGCTAAAGAAGGTAAACCTTTCCATTATTGCATTACATGTTGTGGAATCTCTCGAGTGCAAAGACTGTCTAGTTATTTATCAGGCTATTTCTACTGATGAACTGCTTCAGGTGGGGGAGGGAAACTTATTTTTATTTGCCTGATTTAAGTGTCTGAGAAACAAATCTTTGTTCTCTTAGGCTGCAATGGAACAACTTTACCAGGGTTTTGGCATTTCCTTTCCTTTCCTTTATAAAACATGCTCAGCAAACTGCACCAGTTAACTACAGTTTGGTAAATTGTTATGTTAACAATTATGACATCTGCAATGTTTTATAAAGCAACTAATTTAATAAAATCACTGTTGTGAGGACTTAAATTTTGTGTTACCTCCCAAGAGATACTTTTTGAGAGTATAGAACACAGCTCTTGGGAGTACAGTTCTCTACGTTCTCTACTAAATCTTAATAAATGCTTGACATAGTTACAGCTTTAAAACATGAGTGATTTGCCAGGTCCTTATGTTGTCACCATAGAGCAACAAAGGTATAGGGCTGCCTTCCTCTTATTTATTTGGGGACATTATTTTGTTATTTAGATACCAAGGCCTAATTAATTAAGTACCTATAAGAACTATTTATTTGGAGTAACTGAGCCTGTAACTCAGGTTTATGGCTGTTAAGTATAGATTGGGGAATCTTTATTATGTCTTCTCCTAAGCAGTTTAACCAAATGTGTGGTTAGTGTTTTTTTATTCCCCTAAGACAGAAAGAACAAAAAATGTTTTAAATTTCTCTTATATAGGAAATAATAGGAACGTCAAAGCTCTGTATACCTACTAAGTGGAAAACAAGACCATCATCTAAGTGATTTGAGAAATTAACAAAAGTAGTGACTACACAGCAATAATTACAGTAAATTAAATAAAGATTCCTTTAAGGCAGACAAGGGCTAAGATTTCCTTAGCAGTAATAATGACATACACTGAATTGAAAATCTATTTTATTACAGAAAGATCAGTTTCTAACAAATGAAAATGTATCACCTGTTCCTTAACTGTGTAAATAATAATTAAATTTCTTTGAAACTGGAATCTGCAGGTACAGGTATTCTTTAATCATTATTGGATCATCTAAAGTAGAAGCTGTCCTGAGGAAGAGGAAGCTTTTGATCTTAATACTAGTATCTATATAAAATGGTGTGGATGAACAATCATCTAAAATCAATCTATTTTAAATAGGAATTTCCTCCTGAAAAGTTTCTTACTTGCTACCTACTACCCACAAAGGACTGATATGGTACAGTACCGGGATTGTTCAACTTTAGCAAAGATCTCCAATGCATTCTTCTTCTCATCACATCTGTCAGAATCTGCTAACAGTACAAGAAAACAGACACCTATGAAATCATCTAACCTGCTAGCATGTCCTTTAGACAGCAACCTGTCTGAGGGTCCTTCAGAAGCACATTTACAATTTCATAAAACTTGTGTTCGTATGCCAACTTGTAATACAGGTAAACATCTTCACAATATGTGAGTAATTTCTTCAGGTTTTCCATGACCATGTCAGTAGGCTGATGTTGTTTATATCTAGATAAAGAAACATAATGTACAGGTTAAGATACTGTTTTTTGTTTTGTTTTGTTTGAGACAGTCTTACTCTGTTGCCCAGGCTGGAGTGCAGAGGAGCAGTCTTGGCTCACTGCAACCTCCACCTGCTGGGTTCAAGTGATTCTTGTGCCTCAGCCTCCCGAGTAGGTGGGATTACATGAGTGTGTCACCACCCTGGCTAATTTTTCTAATTTTAGTAGAGACAGCGTTCTGCTATGTTGGCTAGGCTGGTGTTGAACTCCGGGCCTCAAGTTACCTGCCTGCCTTGGCCTCCCAAAGTGCTGGGATTACAGGCGTGAGTCACTGTGGCTGCCCTTTTTTTTCTCTCTTAAATAAAAGATGGAGGTCTCACTGTGTTGCCCAGGCTGGAGTACAGTGGTTTTTCAGAGTGTGAACTCCTGGGCTCAGCTGCTTCTCTTGCAGCCTCCCGAGTAACTAGGACTACAAGTGTGCACCACTGTGCCCACCTTAGGATACTGTATTTTGAGTGAGGGCTGTCAGCTCTGAAGTACCACTTACTATTACCTATAGAGGAGAGGGTGCTGGAGTCTGGGTTATCTCAGACTAGTATTAGGGGTGCTTGATAAAATATTTCTTTAAAAATGAGTATGTTAATGCTTACCTTATAGAGTAAGTTTAGTACTCCAAAAGGCACCTCTGATGTTTTAGTGTTTTTCGTTTCTTTTTTTGAGACAAGAGTCACACTCTGTTGCCAGGCTGGAGTATAGTGGCACGATCTCAGCTTACTGCAGCCTCTGTCCCCAGGTTCAAGTGATTCTCCTGCCTCAGCCTCCCGAGTAGCTGGGACTACAGGTGCCAGCTACCACACCCAGCTAATTTTTGTATTTTTAGTAGAGACAGGGTTTCACCATGTTGGCAAGGCTGGTCTCAAACTCCTGACCTCAAGTGATCCTCCCGCCTCGGCCTCCCATAGTGCTGGGATTACAGGCATGAGCCACTGGGCCTGGCCAGTGTTTTAGGTTTTTGGCACTGAGTAGCTATCCTCCCATTTTAAAGTACAAAGCACTATGAGCAAACTGTTCTTGTTGATCTCTTTGCATAAATCTGTTAAAAGACTTCCTTCTAAGGATTCTTGATACTGCTTTGCCATTTTAAGTAGAGGTAATCTAAAGGCATGGTGTACTTAGCCATAAAATTCTTACACTTGTCTCACCTCAAAGCAGAGGCAAGGAGCAATGTTTACAGTCAACTTTTAATACTTACTTTTTGGAAATCTCTTCAAATATACTGGACTTTAATAACCTTTGCTGCTTAAATTCTTCCAAGTAATTAAAGTCTCCTTTAAGAATCACTTGCTGGTATAAAATTTCAGCCCAATCTGGAACAAAATCGTAGGCCTCAGCCACAATAGAAGCCTTAAAAGGAGAGGTGAAGAAGGACACCATCAGAGCCCATCTGATGTAAAATCAAAAACAAACTGTTGTAGAAAACAATACTGTATACTCACTCATGTAGTGAATATGATCATTACCAATTATGTTAAAAGGCTCTATGTATCAGAGGTGGTGAAAAGTCAGGTGTGTGTTTGGCATTTTCCCTCTCATAAATCCCCAAATTATCTTAAACCCTTTTTTAAAAAAGACAGGGTCTCACTATGTTGCCCAGGCTGGACCAGAAATTCCTGGGCTCAAGATCCTCCCGCCTCAGCCTCCTGCATATCTGGGACTACAGGTATATGCCACCATGCCTAGCTTCTTTCAGTGTTTTTAATCTTCCTCACAATGAATTGAAACTGCTAAGAATATATTATTCCCATTAGCAGTATGAGGAACAGTGAAAGGGCTGATTCCCTGATAATCCACTTCTTTAAAGGGCTAGAACCAATCTCCCTGACTTGCTGTACTAACCTGAGTGTGCCATTCTGTAACTGCTGGGGCTAGGAGGTTCTTGCAGGACCACCAGCAAGAGTATTACTCTGAACCTCAACTGTCTTAAGGCAGTGGTCCCCAACCTTTTTGGCATCAGTGACAGGTTCCCTGGAGGACAATTTTTCCACAGACTGGGAGGGGATGGTTTCGGGATGAAAATGTTCCACCTCAGATCATCAGGCATTAGATTTTCATAAGAAGCCCTTGCATGTGCAGTTCACAACAGGGTTCATGCTCCTATAAAAATATAGTCCTGTCACTGATCTGACAGGAGATGGTGTGCAGGCAGTAATGCTTGCTTGCCCAGTGCTCACTTGCTGTGCGGCCTGGTTCCTAGCAGGCCATGGGCCAGTACCAGTCTGCAGCCTGGGGTTAAAGGGCCAAAGGTGTCTGCCTCTCTGCTGGCCTAACAGCACAGGAAAGGGAGACAGCACTGTCTTACCATTCTCTAACCTCTGCCCAACAATATACTAGAGAGAAATACATCAAATTGCCGTTCTATGTTGGTATCAGAGAGTTAAATCAGAACTGTACTGTCCTGGTTCTGTCACTAGCCCTGAGACCTTACCTCTGGGTTCCATGAGTGGGACAGAAGGAGAGAGGATGCTAGCAGTGCTGGCTACAGTTTGCTTTCTTGCTCACCTGGTAGAACCGAGGTAGGGCCAGAATACAGTCCATCAGCTTGTGGCGGCCCAAGTTGATGAGCATTGTGTTCTGGCCAGTGTTCAGAAAGTGAATCTGCAGAGTTATCAACTTGGTGAGCCGCTGACAGTGCTGGGCCTGTCGCACACAGGAGTCCTGAGGAACAAGGGTGGAGAGGCACAGTAGAGAAAGACCTAGTTGTCACCTCCTGTGTGAACCCTCACAACGGTATTCACCCCTTCTGTTCCTGGTTGGCCTATGATGCCCTCCCGCTTCACCTGGAAAGAGCCCAAGGACAAAAGAAAATAATTTTACTGCAGACAGCAAGTCCCAAGGCCAGTCTGAAAAAAGCCTTTGGGTTACCTTGGCATAACTCTCTGCTGCATCCAACATCAGAGTCAGGGCCTTCAGCAGCAGTTGTTTCAGCTGGTGCCCATCCTTGAGGCTGTCCTCTGTAGGGGAAATAAAGAAGATTTGCCGAGTCTGACTCCCAAAGCTCACTGTTCTCATCCCACTCATTGTGATCGTGGCTAGAATAGAAACATCCCAGCCATGTTCACAGGCAGGCAGGAACACCTCACTCAGATAAAGGTTATTGGGCCAGAAATGCATACGCTTATTGTAACTTCACTCCGCAGTAGGATTCAGTGCCCCTTCTAATGCCTCATTTCTCCAAAACATCAAGGAAGGCTTACATGGTATCAACGTGCATGTTGGTTCCTGGTGGATGATACCCTGGATATATAGGCTATAGATCCAAGAGTACAATCCTAAATTGCACATGCCTTCAAAGTCTCCATTCCATCTGTCTGCCCAAGTGGGGGTCCTGCTGAGCGACATACCCACCTCAACATTCTTTTTTTGAGATGGAGTCACACTCTGTCACCTACGCTGGAGTGCAATGGGCGCGATCTTGGCTCACTGCAACCTCCGCCTCCCGGGTTCAAGTGATCCACCTGCTTCAGCCTCCCAAGTAGTTGGGATTACAGGTGCATGCCGCCACACCTGGCTATTTTTTTTTTGTATTTTAGTAGAGACAGGATTGCACCATGTTGCCCAGGCTGGTGTTGAACTCCTGAGCTCAGGCAATCCACCTACCTTGGCCTCCCAAAGTGCTAGGATTACAGGCATGAGCCACTGTGCCGGGCCACCTACCTCAAGATTCTAATAGCCCATCTCATGGGCTCTTGTCCTTTGCTGTAAGAATTTTATCGAGGGCCGGGCATGGTGGCTCACACCTGTAATCCCAGCACTTTGGGAGGCCAACGTGGGCAGTTCACCAGGTCAGGAGTTCAAGACCAGCCTGGCCAACATAGTCAAACCCCATCTCTATTAAAAATACAAAAAATTAGCCGGGTGTGGTGGCAGGTGCTTGTAATCCCAGCTACTTGGGAGGCTGAGGCGGGAGAATCACTTGAACCTGGGAGGCGGAGGTTGCAGGGAGCTGAGATCGTGCCACTGCACTCCAGCCTGGGGACAGAGCGAGACTCTGTCTCAAAAAAAAAAAAAAAAAAGGAATTTTACCTAGCTAGCAGCACTGTTCTGGTAGTGTGGCTGTGACCTCACTCACCCCAGGGCTGAGACTCAATCAATTTCAGTTGGATGCGGGCAGCTGCCTCGTGGTTCTCGCCAATCTCCCGGCACATGCTGAAGCACAGGGCAATCATATTGTGCTTTTCACTGTCTCCAGGACGGCAGCGTTTGATGTAGTCCAGCAGGGCTGTTTTCAGGGTACCACTCTGCCCAGAATAAAAGGGAAAAAGCAAGGTGTCAGTCAGGGACTGCAAGGCAGACAGGACTAGCTGAGTCACCTTGTTCTGCATTCCTTAAAAACTCCCAAGAAGAAGAGGAGCAAAAATGAGAATAAATACAAGTTTTATGCTGTCCCAAGTATGAGGAAACAGGCATGTGTGCTTTCCTGTTGGAAGTGTGAAAGGCAAAACTTTTTCTAAAGGGAGAAACCTTAAAAATACACCCGCATAAGCTGATCTAACAATTCCATTTCTAGGAATCTGTCCCTAAAGAGATAAGCAGAGAAAAGTGCTAAGATGAATGTAACAGGGATATTTAATAGCAAACAATGAGAAACAATCCAGATGTCCAAAATAAGGGGAAGAGAATACCATGTAGCCATTAAAACTTATGTAGGAGGATGATTTGTTGATTTGGGAAATAGTCATGATATACTTTGTTAAGTGAGAAAAGCAGGATATTTCATCTCTTCACTGTATAAGTTTTATTAAAATAATTATATATAGATGTTTTCAGGTACATGTGCAAAGAAGGCCTATACCAAATTGTTAGTGACTGTCTCCAGATGGATAGACACTGAGGGCTTTTTCTGTGTTGTTCTGTTTTCCAAGTGTCTTACCTGGAATATGCATTACTTTTGTAATCAGGAAAAAGTTATTAAAATATTTAAATGCAGAAGGAAAACTGCCTCAAAAACAGTTTTAAAAACCCTTGGGGGATCTTGAAGATGCACCTATGTCCAGGACTTGCTCCTCACTTGATGACTAGATTGGTCTGTCCTGAAATTGGCCCAATATTAAAGAGAGATTTTTTTCTGCTTTCTCTCTTAATCCTGCCTGGCTGGGCCCATGTTCCCAGAAGCCAAAGGTGAAATGAGCAGAAGCAATGAATCATCCAAATGTTCTGGAAACAGGTACTGTGAGGAGTATGCTCGGTGTCACAGAGGACACTGAGGACACACGGGCTTGCAGAGCCCAAGACTTAAACAAGTCAGGCCTTTGCTTCCAAGCCGCCTTCCTGTTCATCATCATAAATGGCTCCACAGCTTTTTGGTCTAAACTTTTGTGTTTGATTCCCAACCTGGCTCTTAGCAGCACAATTTTTCACAGTCTCCTGAAAACTCTCCACTCTAAAAGCCCTCAAACAACCTCAGAGCTAGACAATCCACTTTCAGCCTGGCTCAGGGTTTTTGCCCCTGCCAGAGAAGGCATTTAAGACAGTAGAGGCAGGAGACAGAGGCTGAGGTGGAGGAGGACAAACTTATTTTCTTCAGTATTTAGCATCGGCTGGGCACGGTGGCTCATGCCTGTAATCCCAGCATTTTGGGAGGCTGAGATGGGTGGATCACCTGAGGTCGGGAGTTCAAGACTAGCCTGACCAACATGGATAAACCCCATCTCTACTAAAAACAAAAATTAGCCGGGCGTGGTGGTGCATGCCTGTAATCCCAGCTACTTGGGAGGCTGAGACAGGAGAATCACTTGAACCTGGGGGGCGGATGTTGCGCCGAGATCACGCCATTTGCACTCCAGCCTGAGAAACGAGCGAAACTCCGTCTCAAAAAAAAAAAAAAGAAAAAGAAAAAAAAAATATATGGCATCAGCATATTCACGGACTGATCTGAACCAGAATCTGAAGCCACTGGTGACAGTGTATGTCTTGGGGAGGTCCCTAATTCCTTCCCTCCATTTTCCCAAGAGTCTACCCTGACTGAGATTATTCCTGAGAAAAGCTGAGGCTCCTGAATTATCAGCAGTACACCCCATCCTGGAGCTCATTACTTTGCACCTACCGGATCCAACTTCTTCCTCATTAGCACTTCAAAGTAGTGCTTTTTATGCAGCAAATCAAATATGTATGTCATCTCGTTGTACCTTCCAATGCCAGTGAGGAGCCGTACCTGTGAAGTGGGAGGACAGCTCGCATCAGCATCACCTGGAGTCTGGAGTTCTCTGAGCCAGACAACTACCATCAGTGGTTGCTTTCAGATGCCAAGCTCCAGGAGGAGAAGGGCTAATTTCCAGGCTACCATGCTTAGCTCCCTCCCATGTACCCAACAGGGGGCCTCTGGAGGATTCAGAAATGTCAGTCACTGGGCCACCACTGGCTGTTCTTTTTTTTTTTTTTTTGAGATGGAGTCTTGCTCTGTCACCCAGGCTGGAGTGTAGTGGCACGACCTCGGCTCACTGCAACCTCCGCCTCCCGGGTTCAAGCAATTCTCCTGCCTCAGCCTCCCAAGTAGCTGGGATTATAGGCATGTGCCACCATGCCTGGCTAATTTTTGTAGAGACAGGGTTTCACCATGTTAGTCAGGGTGGTCTCCAACTCCTGACCTCAGGCAATCCGCCTGCCTCGGCCTCCCAAAGTGCTGGGATTACAGGCGTGAGCCACCATGAACGGCTTTGCTGTCCTTAAATGTGACTCTCAAGTGCTAAAGTGCCATTCTCCTGGGCAGGCACTCTTCCTCTTTTCACCACTACTCATGACAGTGGCCCAGTAGCTTGCTCAGCCACTCAGGTCAGTTTCAAGCCCAGAGAATTTAGGGAGGCACATGGGAACTGAGTTGCCGACTTACTTCAATTCAGAGATGGGGGGAAGGTCCAAACCTTGTTTTGGGGAAAAATGCAGCTGTCTTAGCCCTCTATCTAGAAAAGTTAACTGCCCTGACTAGGGGGTGGGATGGCCCTGGAACCTGGGAGGGATCTTCTCCCTTTCGCTCCTTTGGAGCAACCTCTGATTCTGACAGAAATGATAACTTGGAGCAGAGGGTTGGGCTGCCCAGCCAACTCTCAAGTAGGTAGTGGTATCCAGATGGGCAGAACCCCCTACGACTACATCAGCTCTGGGCTGGCTCCCACCCTTTCTACTACTCTCAAAGGTTTCCACAGGATGGAGACTGGGGTTGAGGGGGCTACTTACCACCAGCCCATACTCCTCACTGGGGGCCAGGTGGTTATCTGTGAGCATGTGGGCGGCCTGTAGGACTCGGATGATGCCCTCCATGTGGCACGTCAGGGTGAAGCAATGATGGGCCAGGATCAGGAGCTCTGTGGCTGGGAGGGTGGGCACTGGTAAGATAAGATTATGAACCCTGGCTGCCCACTGTCAACCTCTGCCTGGCAGGAGGGAAAAAGGGCCTGGTGGAGAAGGGGCCTGTCTGGAGAGGGCCGTCCCATCAGCCCTCCGAAGTCCCTGAACTTAGCAGCTGTAGCTTTGAGACAGCCCCTTGATGACATCCAAATCATTCTCTCAGTCATGGCACAATCCTCAAAGACAATCATGTAGTGACTGTTTCCCCAAAAGGCCCCCAAAATGAGAACACAGCACCCTCGCCTTCTAAACATGGAGAAACTTTCTGCAGACAAACTGATGGAGTTCCTGCCAACATGAATCCAAGGGCATTCTCTGCTTGTATCCCAGCAAAAGGTCTCAGGGCCTAATCAAGTGCCATTTGGTGTTCTGGCTTTCTAGAGTAGTGAAAGTCTGACATGTACAGATTTAAAAATACTACAATCACTGTAAGCACAATGAAAAGGCAAACTGGGAAAAACACCTGCAATGTGAGGACTGAAGAAGGTTCTCCATCCTTAAAACATGCTGTAGCCTCTGGGCTTTTGCATCTGCAGGGCCCTCTCCAGTCCTACTGACTCCTAAGCATCCCTGACAATGAATCCTTCAGGCCTTCGTTTGGACATTTCGTCCAGAACTCTATCTTGACCCCATCATTCTGGCTCTTACTGTGTATTAAGACCCTAGTCTGAGCTCCAGGAATTGCTTATACACCATATCCTAGATGCTTATAGTGTCTGGCACAAAGTTGGCACTCAGTAAATACTGTTGAACTGGACCGAGAAGAGATAGAGAAGGCTATTTTTATTTAAATTTCTTTTCTTTTTTTTTTTTTTTTTTTGAGATGGAGGCTTGCTCTGTTGCCCAGGCTGGAGTGCAGCGGCGCCATCTCCACTCACTGCGAGCTCCACCTCCCGGGTTCAGGCCATTCTCCTGCTTCAGCCTCCCGAGTAGCTGGGACTACAGGCACCTGCAACCATGCCCGGCTAATTTTTTGTATTTTTAGTAGAGACGGGGTTTCACCGTGTTAGCCAGGATGATCTCGATCTCCTGACCTCATGATCCACCCGCCTCGGCCTCCCAAAGTGCTGGGATTACAGGCTTGAGCCACTGCGCCTGGCCTTAAATTTCTTTTAGAGATGGATCTTACTCTGTTGCCCAGACTAGAGTTCAGTGTTGCAATCACAGCTCATTGCAATCTCCAACTCCTGGGCTCAAGGGATCCTCCCACCTCAGCCTCTCAAGTAGCTGGGACTACAGGTGTGCACCACCATGCCCCGCTAAGTTTTTAAAAATATTTTTAGAGACAGGGTCTCACTATGTTGCCCAGATTGGTCTCAGACTCCTAGTCTCTAATTATCCTCTGCCCTCGGCCTCTCAAAAGCATTGGGATTACAGGCGTGGGCCACTGTTCCCCATTCTAATATACAGTTTTTCATTATATATAAGAAATCTGTGTAACCATTAGAAGTTATATAGAAGAATATTCAATGCCATGAAAAATGTTAATGACAGCATATTCATAAAGTAAAAAAATTATAAACTATACAGAGTATAATGTCATTTTTTAAAAAAGAGAACTTATCACACATTCTAATGAAGGCCTATAATGAGTTAGACATTATGGAAAATAAACAGGCTTTGAATCCATGGACTGGGTTCAAATACCAGCTCTGCCACTTAACAGATGTAATCAGCTTTCCTAAGGTAAAGTTTGTCTCCCTTCTAGGGGACAATAACGTTCTCTTTGCAGGGCAATATAAGAGTGAAATAAGTATGTTGAGTAAAGGTTACCTTTTTGTATGATTTTAAATTTGGGGGTACTCATCCATAATTTCTAAATTTTCTTCAGTGAAGTTAAGGCTTTCTACCAAGAACTTATAACTCCTGCTGGAGGGCTAGGCATCCAGAGCAGGAACAGGGACCCAAATCAAGTTTTGGAGAGACTGGGAGACCTTTTGAGACCTGTTTAGGGCCAAAATATGTAAGAAAAAGGTCAATAACTTACTGCAAGACAGTTCCCCATGGGGAACGGAGGAAATCTTATCCAACAACTTCATGCCTACCAATGTGCGGTCTTGACACAGAGTGGTCAGCTGAAGAAATGTCTGGCTTTCCTCTGTTGGGTTGAACATCTGCTTATGTCCTGTACAGAGAGGTGTGAAGACAGGTGCTGGTTTTATCTAAGAGAGGCCCACTCTGCCCAGGCTTAGGCACCAGGAGGTAATGCTTATGGAGCTCTGCAGCTCTCCGCTTGCTGAGCTTGAAACCCTTGGCCTATTGGTCATTTTATAGGACAGGAGTTCTTTTTTTTTTTTTTTTTTTTTTTTGAGATGGAGTCTTGCTCTGTCATCCAGGCTGGAGTGCAGTGGGGTGATCTTGGCTCACTGCAACCTCAGCCTCCCAGGTTCAAACGATTCTCCTGCCTCAGCCTCCTGAGTAGCTGGGACTACAGGTGCCCGCCAACACGCCCGGCTACTTTTTTGTATTTTTAGTAGAGGCGGGTTTCACTGTGTTAGCCAGGATGGTCTCTATCTCCTGACCTCGTGATCTGCCAGCCTTGGCCTCCCAAAGTGCTGGGATTACAGGCGTGAGCCACCGCGCCCGGCCAGGACAGTTCTTTAGCTCAGAAAGCCACAGCTACTCCCAGTGTAATCATAAAACAATAAAAAGCAACAGCATGTATTTTGTACATGTATTTTGTAAAAAATAAAGCATGTATTTTGTTTTATTTAAACAAAATACATTACTGCAATCCAGAAACTTGAGAGAACCACATACAGGATGTATATAAGCACAACATCCAAATCCTTAACACTGGGAACTAGAGAATGCTGTCAGAGAGGTTGGGAATCCCCGGGGGGTAGGGCACCTGTTCCCTGTGATGAAGTAAGCAGCTCCCGTGTCACCTCTTCTGCCACGAGTTCAGCCACAGTATCTGGCTTAAGGCCCTGTGTGCTGATGAAGGCCTGGGCTCGTTTGCATCGGTCAGGCTGCTGAGAGGCCAAGATTTTCCGGAGCATGGCTTCACCATCCTGAGCAGCAACATCTGTGTAGGAACAGCCCAACTCCTGAGAGGAAGACAAAGCCAGTCAAGGCCACTTTTAGAAGCCAGGAAAAAGCAAAAGAGCCCTTTCTGAAATCTGATGTGGACAGACTCCACTGTATTCTGAGCTTACAGACTCCTCACCCTCAGCAGGAACCTTAGAAAAAGCAAGTACTGTTTTCTAACCCTTTCTATCATTTCACCAAAGCCAAATCCAGGTAAAAGAAAGGCTTGTATTCAGAAAGCATCAGGTTATTCTCTTGTTGGACACTTATTTTTTTGGCGGCAGGGTTGGGAGGGGTGGCAGAGTTTCACTCTTGTTGCCCAGGCTGAAGTGCAATGGCACAATCTTGGCTCACCACAACCGCTGCCTACTGGGTTCAAGCAATTCTCCTGCCTCAGCCTCTCGAGCAGCTGGGGTTACAGGCATGTGCCACCACACCCAGCTAATTTTAGTATTTTTGGTAGAGATGGGGTTTCTCCATGTTGGTCAGGCTGGTCTCAAACTCCTGCCCTCAAGTAATCCACCCGCCTCGGCCTCCCGAATTGCTGGGATTATAGGCATGAGCCACCATGCCCAGCCTGATTTTTAAAAATATTATGAAATGTAAGAACACCGACTAAAATACGAGAGCCTTTATTATTCCCAGAGCAGCAGCAAAACCCTCAATTTCCAAAGAAGTCTTTGAGTCTTCTCCAAGACGAGGGCTTTAGGGTTTGGCTTTATTTCTCTTGTGCTCTTCTACTTCCAGTCTACTGTTTTTCTCCCCCAAGCAGCGCAAAGGTACAGACGATTTCTGCTTCCTCTGGCTCTTGTCTTTATAGTCATCACATTCCATATGGAATGCTCCACACAATCATAATGCAAAACCCAAGATATTAAGTCTAGAAGAGACCCTCATGGTCAAATCATCATTTATAGATGACGAAACAGGGGCCCACAGCCCTAGCTTTCTGGTTTGCTGAGCTGCAGCCAGGAGTCAGATCGCCCTGGCACCTGGCCTGGTGTCCTCCCCACCATTCCCCAAAGATAAAATTATGAGGGCCAACATCCTGATAAGAGCTCTACTCCCAGGTCATGATTATCATCTAAAAGGCTGACTTGGCAATGTCCAAAATCAACCTCAAACTTCTCATTTCCCTCCCTCTCAGAAAGAGGAGCCCCACCCCTTGGCACATACCTTGGCAAGATCATACAGACAGAGGACCTGTCGACAGTAGTTCTTCCCATGGAGGCATTTGCTTGTCAGCACTTCCAGGTTAGTTACCACTTCATTACTGGAGGGCACTGTCACAAACTTCTGACTATCCAGACTTGAAGCTGGAAGCAAATACAAGTCTGAGGGGCTCTAAGCTGGGAGGTTCTGGCCTCTCCCTAGCTCTCTATGGCTCTACCTCTCTGCTTGAAGCTCCCTGCACTGCACTCCCATTACTCTGACTGGGGATAGGACCACTGCTGACAGGGCCCCACCTCAA
This sequence comes from Homo sapiens, assembly GCF_000001405.40. NCBI lineage: Eukaryota > Metazoa > Chordata > Mammalia > Primates > Hominidae > Homo > Homo sapiens. The sequence continues at coordinate 44,575,197 of NC_000015.10, forward strand.
CTTCTTTCATTGCCCTCTTCCAGGAAATCCCACCCTGGGATACTTCAAAGACCTCATATGCTACAAAGATCAAGGCCACCTAATGAGTGCTCTAGAGATCAGCACCAAAGATGCTTGCCAGAGTCTTCTCTATATGTCCTCCCTCCTGTATCAAATAAGTCACCAAGTATAGCTGACTATCTCCATAACATCTCTCCAGTTGTGGCCTTAGTTCCAGCCTTCATCACTCTGCATTCTGAGGAGCTGTTATCTGTCTCCTGCTGCCAGCCCCTCACCCCCAGTCGGTCTCCAACATACTTTTTTTTTTTTTTTTTTTGAGATGGAGTCTTGCTCTGTCACCCAGGCTGGAGTGCAGTGGTGCGATCTCAGCTCACTGCAACCTCTGCCTCCAGGGCTCAATAGATTCTCGTGCCTCAGCCTCTCGAGTAGCTGGGATTACAGGCGTGCACCACCACACCTGGCTAATTTTTGCATTTTTAGTTGAGATGAAGTTTTGCCATGTTGATCAGGCTGGTCTCAAACTCCTGGCCTCAACTGATGCATTTGCCTCGACTTCCAAAAGTGCTGGGATTACAGGCATGGGCCACTGCACCCACCTGCAAATATGCTTTAATTTATAGTAAAATTAAAATCTATTCCTGATTTTTTTTAAAACGAAGCTCTTGGACGGGTGCGGTGGCTCACGCCTATAATCCCAGCACTTTGGGAGGCTGAGGCGGGCGGATCACTTGAGGTCAGGAGTTCGAGACCAGCCTGACCAACATGGAGAAACCCTGTTTCTACTAAAAATTTAAAGTTAGCTGGGTGTGGTGGCGCATGCCTGTAATCCCAGCTACTCAGGAGGCTGAGGCAGGAGAATTGCTTGAACCCGGGAGGCGGAGGTTGCGGTGAGCCGAGATTGTGCCATTGCACTCCAGCCTGGGCAACAAGAATGAAACTCCATCTCAAAAAAAAAAAAAAAAAAAAAAAAAGCTCTTAGCTTAAAATAGGAGAAGATATTAATTTGATAAAGGGTTTCTATTAGGAAAAAAAAGTAAGGAATATTTATATCACACTTTGTAATGGCAAAAACAAAACAGAAAAATTTAAATGTATATCAATAAAGCATTATTCAAGCTTAGTACATCTGTACAGTGGAATACTCTGCAGCCATTAGAAAGAAGGGGGTCAGGCCAGGTGTGGTGGCTCATGCCTGTAACCCCAGCACTTTGGGAGGCTGAGGTGGGCGGATCACAAGGTCAGGAGATCGAGACCATCCTGGCTAACACGGTGAAACCCCGTCTCTACTAAAACTACAAAAAAATTAGCTGGACGTGGTGGCGGGTGCCTGTAGTCCCAGCTACTTGGGAGGCTGAGGCAGGAGAATGGCGTGAACCCGGGAGGTGGAGCTTGCAGTGAGTGGAGATTGCGCCACTGCACTCCAGCCTGGGCGACAGAGCGAGACTCTGTCTCAAAAAAAAAAGAGAAAGAAGGGGGTCTATCTATATGTACTGAGAGGACAAAAATGTAGATCAATATGATGTAATCTCATTTTTTGTAAAAAATAAATATTGTGTTGCTTACAAGTAGAAAATGCATACCAAGCAAGTAAAAGATAGTTATTCTGGGGAATTTTGTGGGAGTAGTGTTGAATTGGCTTTTTTTGTGTGTGATGAAGTCTCACTCTGTCGCCCAGGCTAGAGTGCAGTGGCACCATCTCGGTTCACTGCAACCTCTGCCTCCTGAGTTCAAGCGATTCTCCTGCCTCAGACTCCAGTGTAGCTGGGATTACGGGTGTGCACCACCACGCCCAGCTAATTTTTTGTATTTTTAGTAGATATGAAGTTTCACCATGTTGGCCAGGCTGGTCTTGAACTCCTGACCTCAGGTGATCTGCCCACCTTGGCCTCCCAAAGTGCTGGGATTACAGGCATGAGCCACTGTGCCCAGTCTGAACTGACTTTTTACTTTATGCGTTTCTATGTTATGTGATTTGCTACACTAAGCACAATTTTTATTTTAAAATATTATTAAAAAGTGCTGTAGGCCAGAGGTGGTGGCTCATGCCTGTAATCCCATCATTTTGGAAGGCTAAGGTGGGAGGATCCCTGGAGCCTAGGAGTTTGAGGCCAGCCTGGGCAACACAGTGAGCCCCCACTGCTACAAAAAATTTAAAAATTAGCTGGGGATGGTAGTGTGCACCTGTAGTTCCAGCTACTTAGGAGGCTGAGGCAGGAGGACTGCTTGAGCCCTGGAGGTTGAGTCTGCAGTGAGCCATGTTTGCACCACTGCACTCCAGCCTGGGCAACAGAGTGAGGCCCTATCTCAAAAAAAAAAAAAAAAACAAAACAAAAACTCTTAAAGATAAAAAAATAAAATAAAATAAAATGCAACTCAGACCATGCTATTCCCCTGCTTAAATCCTTCACTGAGAGTTCCAATTCTAGGTAAGTTGGTTATAATAAGCTCAATCTACTGTGTCTTTCCCACTGAATTCAATACAAAACCTGGACATAATACATGTGGCATACAAGGACTCTGGAAAAGTAAAAAGTAGCAGGCAAACTGAAGATGACCAGAATTATCATTATCCCCCCTCTAGCAAGCTCTGGCCTGAATGCAGCGCTGACTAAAACCTAAGAACTAAGGGCTGAGGTGAAGTGTGAGTGCGAGAGTGTGTGAATTCCAGAAGCTCTCTAGTACCAGTTTGAAGAGTGGAAAGGGGAACTCCTAATTCCTGTTCTTCCTTGTCCTGGCTCCCAAGCAAGCCACTGGCAGTGGTGGGAGAGGCTGCAGTGACAGCAGGCAAGAGCTAAGGCTCTCAGAAAGGGGAGCCTTCTTTCCTTTTTTTTTTTTTTTTTTTTTTTGAGACGGAGTCTCGCTCTGTCGCCCAGGCTGGAGTGCATTGGCGTGATCTCGGCTCACTACAAGCTCCACCTCCCGGGTTCACACCATTCTCCTGCCTCAGCCTCCCGAGGAGCTGGGACTATAGGCGCCCGCCACCACGCGTGGCTATTTTTTTTTTTTTTTTTGTATTTTTAGTAGAGATGGGGTTTCACTGTGTTAGCCAGGATGGTCTTGATCTGACCTCATGATCCGCCCACCTCGGCCTCCCAAAGTGCTGGGATTACAGGCGTGAGCCACCGCGCCTGGCCAGAGGAGCCTCCTTTTCTGAGCAGGGGCGCTCTGGTCTCAGGAGGGCGGAGTAGACCCCTGTTGCTTTTGCATTACCCTCCTGTCACCTGGCCCTGGGTGTAGGAATAGTCAGGGTAGTGCAAGACAGAGTGGGGGTAACTAAACCTTCAGCTTTTGGCCAAATAACTGAAAAGAGAAGCCTCAGGGGGAAAAACTAGCTGGGAGAGCCCCAGGAAAGCAACCCAATACATTTTTATGAACTACAGGGCTCACTCCTGGACTACACATGTATGGCCTTGATCCTAAGTAGCACAGATCACTACCAAGGTCACAGATTGACCACTAGGTGGCGTGCACACACAGGACAGATCTGAATACTACCGCAAAGGAAAATGAACTAATGTTAAAACCACAATGCACAGGCAGTGGTTTGGAACTTCAGCTTGAACCTAACCAGGTCAACTGTCTGCTAAAAAATATCAACATCCTTCATAGGATTTAAATAAGATCCACAGTCTCAAATAGTGTATTTTAATAATACACTATTCAAAATGTCCAGATGCAGCCAGTTGTGGCGGCTCATGCCTGTAATCCCAACACTTTGGGAGGCCAAGGTGGGTGGATCACCTGAGGTCAGGAGTTCGAGACCAGCCTGGCCAACATGGCGAAACCCTGTCTCTACTAAAAATACAAAATAATTAGCCAGGTGTGGTGGTGCACACCTGTAATCCCAGCTACTCGGGAGGCTGAGACATGAGAATCTCTTGAACCTGGGAGGCCGAGGTTGCAGTGAGCTGAGATTGCACCACTGCACTCCAGCCTGGGTGACAGAGTGAGACTCCATCTCGAAAAACAAAAACAAGAAAACAAAAAAACCCAAAATGTCCAGATGCAACCCCAGATTACTCAGCATAAGAAAAAGCAGGAAGAGGGGCTGGGCGTGGTGGCTCACGCCTGTAATCTCAGCACTTTGGGAGGCCGAGGTGGGTGGATCACCTGCAGTCAGGCGTTTGAGAGCAGCCTGGCCAACATGGCAAAACCCCATCTCTACTAAAAATACACAAACACACAAAAATAGCTGGGCGTGGTGGCGCCAGTCCCAGCTACTCGGGAGGCTGAGACAGGAGAATTGCTTGAACCCAGGAGGCAGAGGCTGCAGTGAGCCGAGGTCACACCACTGCACTCTAGCATGGGCGATAGAGTGAGACTCCGTCTCAAAAAAAAAAAAAAAAAAAAAAAGAAAAAGCAGGAAGATTTCAACTCACACGAGAAAAGATGAGATGCTAGCTAGCATTAAAATGATGCAAATGTTAAAATCATCTGACAAAGAATTTAAAGCAGCTATAATACAAATGTTCCAATAAGCAATTCTGAATGGTCTTGAGACAAACAGAAAAATGGAAAGTCTCAGCAAAGAAACAGATATGAAGAATAAAATGAAAATTTTAGAACTGAAAAATGCAGTTACGTGCTGTATAACCATGTTTCCATCAACAACGGACTGCATATACAGTGAGGATCCTGTAAGATTATAATAGAGCTGAAAAATTCCTATCACCTAGTGACATCATAGTCATTGTGACATAGCACAATTACTTAATTTTTAAATAAATTTAGTGTAGCCTAAATGTACAGCATTTATAAAGTCTACAGTAATGTAATGTCCTAAGTTTTCACATTTACTTACCACTTAGTGACAACCAGAGCAACTTCTAGTCCTGCAAGCTCCATTAACGTTAAGAGCCCTTTACAAATTGTACCATTTAAAAAAATTTTTTAAATGAAAATCTCCAATTGTTTATTTCCTGAAGCTAAAAAATCTTTATATCATATTTTTTACTGTACCTTTTCTATGTTTAGATATGTCTAGATACACAAATACTTACCATTGTGTTATAATCAACTACAGTACAGTAGCATGCTGTACTGGCTTGTAGCCCAGGATCGGTAGGCTATATATCATGTAGTATAGGTGTGTAGAAGTCTATACCACCTAGGTTTGTATAAGTGTGCTCTAAGATGTTTACACAGTGATGAAATCACCCAACAATGCATTTCTCAGAATGTAACCTCATTGTTAACGCATGGCTGTAACTGAAATTTTAAAATCATAGAAATAAAATTCAGTAACAGAAATTATCCAATCTGAACAACAGAGAGAAAAAAAGTTTAAAAAAAACTGAACTGGCCAGGCACAGAGGCTCACGCCTGTAATCCCAGCACTTTGGGAGGCCGACGCGGGCAGATCACGAGGTCAAGAGATCGAGGCCATCCTGGCCAACATGGTGAAACCTTGTCTGTACTAAAAATACAAAATACAAAATACAAAAATTAGCTGGGTGTGGTGATGCACGCCTGTAGTCCCAGCTACTTGGGAGGCTGAAGCAGGACAATCACTTGAACCTGGGAGGCAGAGGTTGCAGTAAGCCGAGATTGCGCCACTGCACTCCAGCCTGGTGACAAAGCGAGACTCCGTCTCAAAAACAAACAAACAAAAACTGAACAAAACTTCAAGGACTTAAGAGATAATAACAAAAATTATATATTCATGTACTTGAAGTTCCAGAAAGAGAGGAGGTAGGGTATGGTGCTGAGAAAATATTTGACAAAATTATGGCTGATCAGTACCCAAGTGTGGTGAAACACATAAACCTACATATTCAAGAAGCTCAGTAAACCCCAAATAGAATAAAGCCAAAGAAATACATATCCAGTCACAATATAATCAAACTGCTGAAGACCAACAACAGAAAAAAAAACATCGAGAGCAACCAGAGAAATAGGCACTGTTTATATAGATGAACAATGATTCAACTGACTGCAGATTTTTCATCAGACACCATGGAGGCGAAAAGGAAGTGAACAACATTTTCAAGCACTGAAAGAAAATAACTAATTTTCTTATTTATTTTTTGAGACAGGTTCTTACTTTGTTGCCCAGGCTGGAGTGCAGTGGCATGAACATGGCTCACTGCAGCCTTATCCTCCTGGGCTCAAGCGATCCTCGTGCCTTAGCCCCTCAAGTAGCTGGGACTACAGGCATGTGCCAACACACCTGGCTAATTTTTGTATTTTTTGTAGTGACGGGGTTTTGCCATGTTGCCCAGGCTGGTCTTGAACTCCTGAGCTCAACTGATCTGCCTGCCTCAGCCTCCCAAAGTGCTGGAATTACAGGTGTGAGCCACTGCACCTGGCCTGAAAATAACTAATTTTCTATATCCAGCAAAACATCCTTTAGGAATGAAAGTAAAATAGAGACATTCTCAGATGATGAAAAACTGATTATTAAAAAAAAAAAAAAGGCTGGGCGTGGTGGCTCACGCCTGTAATCCCAGCACTTTGGGAGGCCAAGGCGGGTTTATTAAAATATATTTTTTGGCTAAGAGCAAAAACCTCATTGTTTAATGAGGTTTTCAATGTATGCAGAAGTAATAAAAGACAAGTAGGATGTAAAGGGAGAAGAATAAAGTGACCTAAAATGGTGGTAAGATTCCTCCTACATTCCAGCTGAGGTGGTAAAATATTGATTCTAAGTATACTGTGGAAAGTTAAGGATGTACACTGTCATCTCTAAAAAAATAAAATTAAACTATACAAAGATGCAGAGTCAAAATCACAATAAATTAAAATGGAAGACTAAAAAATGTTCAAATAACCCAAAAAGCAGAAGAAAAAGTTTCCCTTGAAAATCACAAAATGCTAAAACTCACCCAAGATAAGAAAGATAACCTGAATAGTCCTGTAATTGTTTAAGAAATTGAATTTGTGGTTTAAAATCTTCCAAAATGGAAATCTCCAGTCTCAGATAGTTTTACTGGTAAATTCTACTAAGCATTTAAGGAAGAAATAACACCAGTTCTACACAATGTTTTCCAGAAAATAAAAGAGGAGGGAGTACTTTCTAACTCATGAAACCAACATTACCTTGATACAAAAACCAAACAGTATAAAAAAAGGCCGGGCACGGTGGCTCAAGCCGGTAATCACAGCACTTTGGGAGACCAAGATGGGCGGATCACTTGAGGTAAGGAGTTCAAGACCAGCCTGGCCAATATAGTGGAACCCCATCTCTACTAAAAATACAAAAAGTAGCCAAGCGTGGTGGTACACGCCTGTAATCCCAGCTATTCGGGAGGCTGAGGCAGGCGAATCACTTGAACCTGAAAGGCAGAGGTTGCAGTGATCTGAGGTTGTGCCACCACACTCTGGCCTGGGCGACAGAGGGAGACTCCATCTCAAAAACAAAAACAGTACAATAAAGAAAATTACAGAATAACATTCCTCATGAACATACATGTAAAAATCTTTAACAAAACAGCAAATTGATTCCAGCAAAAAATCAAAAAGAATAACGCACCAGGCCCAAATTGGATTTATGTAAATGGGGAATTCAAGGCTGGTCCAATATTAAAAAATCAACTAATGTAATCTACTATATTAATAGTCTAACGAAAAAAAAAACCACATGATCAGATTAACAGATACAGCAATAACATGACAAAATTCAAACTGATTTATGATAAAAATTCTCAGCAAACCAGGAACAGAAGGGAACTTTTTCAACATGATAAAGCCTGTCTTCAAAAACCTACAGCTAATACCATACTTAAATGATGAAAGATCAAATAATTTCCCTTTAAGGTCAGTAAAAAGGTACAGATGTCCACTCTCGCCACCCCTATCCAACACAGTACTGAAAGGCCTAGTCAGTGCAATAAAGCAAGAACAAGAAATAAAAGGCATACAGATTGGAAAGGCAGAAATACAACTCTATTTGCAGATGACATGAATGTCTATGTAGAAAATCTTGAGGAATCTACAAGAAATCTCCTAGAATAAGCAAGTTTAACAAAGTCATATAAAGGTAACATAAAAAACAGATTTCTGGCCGGGTGCGGTGGCTCACGCCCTATAATCTCGGCACTTTGGGAGGCCGAGGTGGACGAATCGCCTGAGGTCAGGAGTTCGAGACCAGCCTGGCCAACATGGTGAAACCCGGTCTCTACTAATACAAAAATTAGCCAGTAATCCCAGCTACTTGGGAAGCTAAGGCAGGAGAATCACTTGAACCTGGGAGGCGGAGGTTGCAGTGAGCTGAGACCACACCATTGCACTCCAGCCTGGGCGACAAGAATGAAACACCATCTCAAAAAACAAAAAACAAAAAACCAAAAAGAAAAACAAAAAGCCATATTTCTATATACTATCAATGTAAGACTGGAAATGATTAAATTTACAGATGTATAGAATATGTAGAATAAATTTCAGTGAACTAGCTACAAATCAGATAGATTCCCTTTAACTTTGAAACATAGCTAGTTTAAAAGACATAGATCTTTCTATTTCATTGCCTAGTTAATTGGCTAGTCTACAGATTACCTGGAAAAAAGTTGTTGTCCCCTTAACTTGGTAGAACTATTCTGCCACAAGGGTCCCTTCCTTCTTGGAGACAGTGCTAACAGTGCCATTTAAGACTCTGGGCCATCTGATCTCCTTCACTTACTGCTGTGGACTCTCCTTAGGGGAATGTCGGGTGCTTCTTCCTCAAGCAGCTCAGCACTTTGTAGGAGAGCATGGATCTCTGGGTGCAGATCCTCCATACTAGCTTCCCCTGAGGCCAGTGCTCTGCAGTGCAATACCAAGGCGACATCTGGATTATAAAAATGAAAATACCGGCATACTCTACTTGCTTCATGCACACAGCCATCATCCAGTAGGCGCCCAATCAAAAAGTTTAGTGACTCCTGCTCTTTCCAATCCAATCTATTCTCGCATGTCTCTTTGGATGGAAGGCTGTTAAGTTCTAAGTATTTTGATGTGTTCAGAGCAGCCAACTTGGAGAAGGAAAACTCACTGGCTAAACTATCAAAGGAAAGTTCACCACTAGTTGAGATCTGTCGAGAAAATCTGGGCTCTGTTTCCTCCTGATTTCTTCCAAGAGTGTGCTGGGTGATGCGGCACAGCCAGATCTGCTTCTCCAGCTCCTCCAGCTTATCCAAGGGCACCACGTCCTCCTGGGCAAGCCAGTGCCCTGCCAAGGTGAGCAGCAGATGGCGCTCCTCCATGCTGCTCCATCCAGTTGGGTGCTCACATGCCACATGGGCCTGGGTTGAGAAAAAGGAAGAAGCTGCTTTGCTTGAAATTGAATTTTTCTTAAAATTCTCATGGCATTTTTTCCAGAAGTCAATTCTTGCTTGTTTTAGTGACCACTGTTCAATGTGTTTTAGGGTCTGCATTTCCTGTGTTATCTGTGAAATTTAACAAAGCAGATTTTAGCCTTTCTTGGATAAAAAAGTATCATAAATGCTAATGTTCCCTAAGTATATCATACTTGTTTGGACAGGGTCTCAGTCTGTCACCCAGGCTGGAGAGCAGTGGTGGCGATCACAGCACACTGCAGCCTCAACCTGCTGGACCCAAGAGATCCTCCCACCTCAGCCTCCCAGGTAGCTGGGACCACAGGTGTGTGCCATCATGCCTGGCTAATTTTTAATTTTTTGTAGAGACAGGGTCTCCCTATGTTGCCCAGGCTGGTCTTAAACTCCTGGGCTCAAGCAATCCTCCTGCCTTGCCCTCCCAAAGTGCTGGGATTATAGGCATGAGCCACTGCACCTGGCCTTATCATACTTGTTAAAACCAAATCAAATCAGAGAACAGAGATTTGGCTACAGATGACCCTAGATATTTTATCTGGAAAGTTATGGTATGAAAAACAATTCTTGATTGATCTCATGGAATGGGGTTTAAGTGGAAGCCCCCTTATATTTAATTCTATTCAAAGGAAAATAGTTGTAGCATATCCTACAAACTAATGTTACATTTGCAGCACACATTTCTCAATCATGGGAATTGTAGGCTCATCCATTTCTGAAAGTAATGTGTGTGTCAAAAGTAAAAAAAAAAGTCTTATCTCCTATAAATTATACATCTCATTTGATTTACTGTTTAATGCTGATTTTAAAAGCTAAGATTTTAAATAACTTAAAAAGACCAATGAGGCTGGGCGTGGTGGCTCACGCCTGTAATCCCAGCACTTTGGGAGGCAGAGGCGGGCGGATCACAAGGTCAGATCAAGACCATCCTGGCTAACACAGTGAAACCCCATCTCTACTAAAAATACAAAAAAAAAAAAAAAAAAAAATTCAGCCGGGCATGGTGGTGGGCACCTGTAGTCCCAGCTACTCGGGAGGCTGAGGCAGGAGAATTGCATGAACCCGAGAGGCGGAGCTTGCAGCGAGCGGAGATCGCGCCACTGCACTCCAGCCTGGGTGACAGAGCAAGACCCCGTATCTAAAAAAAAAAAAAAAAAAAAAGACCGATGATACCTCTTTAATAACCAAGTTGTCCACAGGTAACTCAGCTAATTCTGCTACCCTCCTGGCCAAAGCGAATTGTCCATCTGTCTGCAGTCTTTCCAAAATAGATCTACATTCATGCTGAAGATTCTCAATGCTGTAGCTGGTAATAATTGTATGATTAATGGCTATGGATGTATCCTTCAAAATCTGGCAAAGGATGCAAAGCTTTTTCACATCTGGACCTGTGCCAAAGAGAAAAGGATATAAACATTTAGTCAATAAAATGCCACTACAGCATTTCAAGAGTAATACATATCAGGGGGAAAATATACGTGTTTAACATAGTAATGTGGTTAAAGGAAAAATAAAAAGCTGTTTTTTTTTTTTTTTTTTTTTGAGATGGAGTCTCACTGTCACCTAGGCTGGAATGCAGTGGTGTGATCTCCGCTCGCTGCAACCTGCACCTCCTGGGTTCAAGGGATCCTCCTGCCTCGGCCTCCTGAGTAGTGGGGACTACAGGTGTACACCACCACACCTGGCTAATTTTTGTACTTTTAGTAGAGATGGGATTTCACCATGTTGTCCAGGCTGCTCTCGACCGTGCCCGGACAAAAAAAACTATTTTTCTACTCTGGTTGACTAGCAGAGGAAGCCATAAGGTAGCTGTATACCAAAAAAAATGGTCCTGCAAAATTGTTAGTGGTAAAGTCTGACTGAACTTGCTTGTCATATAGTAAGAGGTGTTACAGATTAATGGCTAGGCGTAGTGGCTCACGCCTGTAATCCCAGCAGTTTGGGAGGCCGAGGTGGGTGGATCACTTGAGGTCAGGAAAGACCAGCCTGGCCAATATGGTGAAACCCCGTCTCTACTAAAAATACAAAAATTAGCCAGGCGTGTGGTGGCACACGCCTGTAATCCCAGCTACTCGAGAGGCTGAGGCAGGATAATCACTTGAACCTGGGAGGCGGAGGTTGAAGTGAGCCGAGATGGTGCCATTGTACTCCAGCCTGGGCAATAGAGTGAGACTCTGTCTCAAAAAGAAAAAAAAAACTGTTAGAGATTAGCACATGAACTCAATCTACACATCTGGCTTTATATACAGGGCAGAGGTTGGTGGCCTTCAATGTAGTAGAAACACAGTAGGAAGATTTTAGTCATTCAGACTGGTCTCTCTCTTTCTGGATTTATCTCCTACCTTGATCAAATTTGTCTGATTTAGTGGTCATTTGTTCATTCAATGCAGGAATCATGTGGATCAAGACAGAGAACTTGTAGGACAGTTAAATCTCCAGCTGGCCAATAGCCTAGGCTCTAATGTGGCACACTGTATTCAGAATGAAGCATCACTTGCACCTCTAAAATTTATCTACTTAACCCAGGGAGACCTAACTGAGCTCCTCCTGATGTCCCTTGGAAAGTATTAGTAACACTAAGAATTCTTGGCCAGGTGCAGTGGCTCACGCCTATATTCCCAGAACTTTGGGAGACCAAGGCAAGAGGGATCGCTTGAGGCCAGGAGTTCAAGACCAGCCTGTGCAACATGGCAAGACCTTTCTCTCTATTAAACAAAAACAAAGAATTCTCTGCCAACAATTTATGTGGCTGAGTTTGCTCCCTTTCCCAAACAGTCTAAGTAGAGTCTATGTGTGTCCTACCATAAGAGAGGGGCATGAGAAACATTCCACAGGAGGTTATTTCCAGTGCCACCTGCTGGGCAGCAGTCTGATTCAGGTAGTTCTGGGGACAGTAAGACACCCTGCACAATCATATAAAACACGTTTTTACAGAACATATTCCTGGCTGGGCACAGTGGTTCATGCTTGTAATCCCAGCACCATGGGAGGCCAAGGCGGGAGGAGTGCTTGAGCTCAGGAGCTTGGGACTAGCTGGGCAACGTGGCAAAACCCTATTTCTAATAAAAGATACAAAAATTAGCCAGGTGTGGTGGTGTGTGCCTGTAATTCCAGCTATTCAGGAGGTTGAGGTGGGAGAATCACTTGAGCCTGGGAGGCAGAGGTTGCAGTTGCAGTGAGCTGAGAACGTGCCACTGCACTCCAGCTTGGGCAACAGAGCCAGACTGTCTCAAAAAAAAAAAAAAAAAAAAAAAAAAACGTATTCCTGTTCTCTAAGCAAATAAATGTTAAATACGCACACATAGTAACACAATTTCTAAAAATATAAAAAATTATAGAATAAAACTATTATAGTCATGTTTAACAATGTAGTCAATTCTTATAATTATTCAAAGATAGATTATGGCAAACAACAGGAAATTCATTTTTGAAAAAAATTATTACTACAGATCAATGAAAACACCTATATGTTAAAAGGACTTATCATTTGGTCTGCACAGTAACTGGTAAGTGCCATCTTATATCCACTACATTTTGGAAACACCTCTTTTTCCTTTTAGTCATCAGATCCACAGCCTGCAACAACTGGCTCTGAGCTCAGGATTCTGTCAGTGTTCTGTGCAAATCTGAGCTCTCCAGCTGAACATCTGTGAGTTTAAATGTGAGAAAATAACCCTAGTAGCCAAACTGTCAGAATATAGTATAAAAGAACAACATTATCATTCAATAAAAAACTTGAAATTATCAAACAAGTGGAAAAGATAGTAAGGCAATATTTGTTTGAGTCAATCAGCAACAAGTTTAGAGACTGCCAACATCTTGAGGAATCTGCAAAAAAAAAAACAAACAAAAAAACAAGCACAATTTTCTCTGAAACTTTAAAAATGAATTGTGCATTTCTGAAATAGGGTTTGTGACCCTGAGCAATGCTAAGGTTACTTGCCATAGAGAAGAAGATAGTGACAGGGTGTGGGAGTTAAGTCAGGGTGGTGGGAAAAATTGTAGAGGAAAAACTATAATAGTTATAGGAAATATTATATAAGAATAATTATATACTAATATAGGAAAAATTATATAAGATAGTTATAGGAAATAAACACAAACCTTCTCAGAAGGCTGGGCCGTTTGCATAGCTTCAGTGACAGATTTGGCTGAAGGCAGCCTAATCCTCTTTACCTTTAGTTGATAGCAAAAAAGCAAATAACAAGGGAATGTGGGGAAGTATATCTAAATAGCTTGTTTACTCATGTGGTCCTAAGACCAACCTTTGATCAACCGCGGGTACATAATTGCTCTCTACTCAGGGGATCGGCAATGTTAATTACCGTCTAATGGTGTTTACTCAAAACCTTTGCCATTTAATCTGTACTAAATAAATGCAAACTTTGCCAGCTTATGAAGCAATGCTCCAGACTCAGAGCAGAGCCCCTTAGCTGGACTGACAGGCAAAATATCTCTGTCAGTGTATGTCTTGATCTGTTGCTAGGTCAGCGTCTGTGGGTTGGACCCCCACAACAGGGTAATGTAGAAGCCAGCCAGGAGGAAATGTGGCTATTTGGTAACTGCTTAGAATGAGATGATTGGTTATATCATTTATGTTTTATGCTGTTGTATTATTTCTTGAATATTTTAACCACAATTTAAAGTTCTCTGTAACTTGTTTACTCCCAGTTGTAGACTGTAAGTTAATGTTACATGCATTTTAATTTCCTAACTACCCCTCTAAAGTATTTTCAAGATTAAGAAAGCTAACTTCTTAATAGCAACTTAACTGTAAGGATTGTCTTACCATCAGAGAAGAGATGCTCTCTTTCAACAAAGAGCTGTAAAAGCTTCCCCAGCTCATACTGGGTCTTACACTGCTGTAGCATAAGCTTCAAAAGGAAACACACCTGATCCTCCAGCCACATGGCAGGGATGACAGGGTGGACCTTTGTGGCTGCTGTGTTAAGCTATGAAAGAAAAAGAGAAGCTTAGGGAAAGCAGTTTCATGAGAATAGCAAATCAAAACCTCCAAATCTGGGAACCTCTAAGAAAGCTAAAATTCCCTCAAAAGCCATCGCCTGTCATGAGGCACTTACTCAGTTCCTTTCCAAATGGCAGGAACTGGTAATGGGGCTCAGAGGACTGGCAAAAACAAGCCCTCCTCAGCAGCTTTGCACATTGTCTCTTTGTGGAAAGTTCTGGTATAGAGCTGCATGTGTGAAAAAGATGGGCAAGAGTCCTAAAGACTGAATGCTAACTACAGAGTTAATGTAAAATATTCCTACTTAGTGACTGTCAAATTAATAGCCCTTTGAGTCACTGTAAAATTAACCAGATGTTTCACTTAGCAGCTTCTTTATTTTTATTTTATTTTTTGAGACGCAGTCTCACTCTGTTGCCTAGGCTGGAGTACAGTGGTGCAATCTTGGCTCACTGTAACCTCTGCCTCCCGGCTTCAAGTGATTTCTCCTGCCTCAGCCTCCTGAGTAGCTGGGATTACAGGCACACGCCACCACGCCTGGCTAATTTTTTTGTATTTTTAATAGAGATGGGGTTTCACCATGTTGGTCAGACTGGTCTCGAACTCCTGACCTGATGATCCGCCTGCCTTGGCCTCCCAAAGTGCTGGGATTACAGGCGTAAGCCACCGTGCCTGGCCTAGCAACTTCTTTAAAGAGGGATGTAGGCCTGCCCTTGAATCCAGAGGATTTTAAATTCACATTATAAAAACCGCTTAGAAAGACGTGCCTAACATTACTTCGCTAGTTCTACCACTTTGCTTGTAGTTTATTCTTGTTAGAGAACGGTCTCAGTTAAGAAGCTTGGATTTACATCATTTCAACTGAATGCTAAAAATATTAATAGGAAGATGAATTCAAGTGGCAGGCTGCATTTCTACAAGTAGGTGTGGCAAAAATATCTTCTAGGATGCTGCAGGAAAAGGCTGATTTCAGAGGAGTGGTGCTTTCTTACCTGCTGCTGCTGTTTTTTTTTCTTTCCTTTGTGTTGGTAAAGAACAGGGTCTTCACTATGTTGCCCAGGCTGGTCGAACTCCTGGCCTCAAGCCATTCTCCCACCTCTGCCTCCCTGAGTGCTGGGATTACAGCTATGATGATAGCGCCCAACAGATGCTTCTTTTGTGACTTCATTCCTGATTTTTACTTTGGTTCTTGCTTCGTATTATTTTTGGAAGACTAATATTTGGTTCTCAGTCACTATAGTCTCGTAGTTCACTCTAGACTTCATACAACATAATCACAAAAAATACTGGGCGTTTTGGTGGAATAGAAACTTAACTGCCGGGTTTCAAAACACGTATATGTTAATAGGCACCAAAAACTTATAATTCAGTACCTCTGTGCCTAGTGCTGAGTTAGGCCCTAGTCTTGGCTGAATACTTCCTGTATACTTCTGAACACACCATAAAAGTCATTCTGAAGGTAAGTTTAACATGCAGGGCTTTTTGGCTGTGACGTAGGTTTTAGAAGACAATATTCCCTTCAATGGAATTCTCAAGACTGCCAAGATCTTAAATTAAGGAATGGTTTATAAAATCATGTGTCACATTACTGCTATCTTCTTACCTCTATTTGGAATGAATTTCCTTCTCTACTGTCTTTCCTATGCCCTATGTGGTCCTCCCTGTCCATTTCTCATCCTCTTCTCTTAAATTCCAATAGGACTTACCTACTCTAAGTAAAAAGATCATTTTGCTTTTGCAGCATCTCCCTTAATGCAAAGTTGTTTAAGGGAATTATTATGAGAAAGAACACTGGTAGTCAGCTCACTAAATTGCTACTATTCCTGCTTAGACACTGTTCCTGAATGTTTTCTATAACCATTCTGACTGGATTTTGATGTTTAGAAGAACAAAAGTTATATAATACTTCTATTCTTTTTTAAAAAATATTTCTCTTCTTGATTCTTTATCCTCCTGAGTGTCCTTGTTAAAATTAGCTGGGATTAGGGCATTAGTGCTTAGTCTTTATTTAATTACTTGTATACCTAACTCTGTTGCTCTAAGAAGAGGAACAAATGTGAACAGATGATGGAACTGGTTAAGCTGGTCAGGCAAGAATAAGAAGATACCTGGGAGGTAGCCAACTGGCCATAGGGAGTAATAGGCTAAGGAAATTAATGTGCCTATTTTCTGTGGTTTTAGAATCCTAGGCATATTCAAATAACTGATTTGGTATTTTCAAATATATAACTTTCAAATCTTCATTACAGTGAAGACCAGTGTGGCCGGACATGGTGGCTCATGCCTGTCATCCCAACACTTTGAGAGGCCGAGGCAGGAGGACTGCTTGAGGCAAGGAGTTCCAAACCAGCCTGGGCAACAAAGCAAGACTTCTTCTCTATAAAAAAAATATTAAAAATGATCGGGTGCAGTGGCTTACGCCTGTAATCCCAGCACTTCAGGAGGCTGAAGTGGGTGGATCACTTGAGGTCAGGAGTTCAAGACCAGCCTGACCAACATGGTGAAACCCTGTCTCTACTAAAAATACAAAACGTTAGCTGGGTGTGGTGGTGGGCACCTGTAATCCCAGCTACTCTGGAGGCTGAGGCAGGAGAATCGCTTGAACCTGGGAGGTGGAGGTTACAGTGAGCGGAGATCATGCCACCGCACTCCAGCCTGGGCGACAGAGCCAGACACTGTCTCAAAAAAAAAAAAAAAAAGATTAAAAATTAGCCACGCTACTTGGGAGGCTGAGGCAGGAGGATCCCTTGAGCCCAGGAGTTCAAGGCTGTAGTGAGCTGTGATCGTAACACTGTGCCTGAGTAACCGAGTGAGACACCAAGTCTTTAAACAAAAACAAAAAAGTCCATGCATGCCAACCAAGTGCAGATCAGTGAGAAAGAGCACCATAATTCCAACTTACCGTTTCAAGGCTCTTCTGAAACTCCAGAAGTTTAGCTTCAGCTTCTTTATAATTCCTGAAGAACATACACAGTTCATACATCTCCATCACCAGTAGTAACGGGGAATCCTTTGACAAAGAGTTTGAAAAAAATTACAAAATTTTGAACTTAATATTTTTTCAATGAATAATGCCAAATAAGAGAATGTTAAAAATGCTATTAATAAGGCAGGGCACAGTGGCTCATGCCTGTAATGCCAGCACTTTGGGAAGCCGAGCCAGTGGGATCACCTAAGGCCAGGAGTTCGAGACCACCCTGGCCAACATGATGAAACCCCATCTCTACTTAAAATATAAAAAAGTAGCCAGGCATGGTGGTGCATGCCTGCAATCACAGCTACTCCAGAGGCTGAGGCATGAGAATCACTTGAACCTGGGAGGTGGAGGTTGCAATGAGCCAAGACTGTGCCACTGCATTCCATCCTGGGCGACAGAGTGAGACTCTGTCTCAATAAATAAATAAATAAATAACATTAGCCAAGTGTGGTGGCATGTGCCTATAGTCCCAGCTACTCGGGAAGTTGAGGGAGGATCACTTGAGACCTAGAGGTTGTAGCTGTAGCTATGATCACATCACTGCACTCCAGCCTGGGCAACAGAGCAAGACTCTGCCTCAAAAAAAAAAAAAAGAAATGCTATTAGCAATAGCTTCACAGATTAAATCATGTACGTTAAAGTTAAATATAATTTCTTTTCCTTTTGGAAAAATGATACTCAGTCCAGTTATACCTACTCAACAATCAATTTTCTGTCTACTCTATACTTGGCCTATTGCACACAGGCAGGAAGCATTCCACTAGATGGTGCTATGACACCTTTATTATTATTTTTTATTATTTTTTTTGAGACATAGCCTCATTCTGTCGCCCAGGCTGGAGTGCAGTGGCATGATCACAGCTCACTCACTACAGCCTTGACCTCAGGTGATCCTCCCACCTCAGCTTCTAGAGTAGCTGGGACTAGAGGTGCGTGCCACCGTGCCCAACTAGTTTTTGTATTTTTTGTAGAGACGGGGTTCACTGTGTTGCCAGGCTGGTCTTGAACTCTTGGACTCAAGTGATCCATCCGCCTAGGCTTCCCAAAGGGCTGGCATTACAAGTGTGCGCTAGCATGCCCAGGCATAACATTTTAAACACACACACCTGGATAATCTGCTCTACTGATCCACCTTACCTACTGTTGCCTGTGGCACTGATTCATACATTTTATTGTTGTCAGTGGGAGTCGCTCAGTCAGATAATAGGAGTTCTGAATTAGAAAGTATGGCTCTGAACTGTAAATACACCACTTACTGAAGTATTTTGAGACCTTGGATAAGTTACTTAAGTTTTGTGAGCCTTGATTTATTAGTCTGTCAAATGAGAGCAACATCACTTCATAATATCTTTTTTTTTTTTTTTTTGAGACACGGTCTTGCTCTGTCACCCAGGCTGCAGTGCAGTGGTGTGATCTTGGCTCACTGCAACTTCCACCTTGCGGGTTCAAGTGATTCTCGTGCCTCAGCTTCCCAAGCAGCTGGGTTTACAGGTGCATCCTGCCACGCCCGGCTTTTTTCTTTTCTTTTTTTTTTTTGTATTTTTAGTAGAGACGGGGTTTTGCCATGTTGGCCAGGCTCATCACAAATTCCTGGCCTCAAATGATCCGCCCGTCTCAGCCTCCCAAAGTGCTGGGATTACAGGTGTGAGCCACCGTGCCTGGCCCATAATATCTAATATTATTTTCACATAGGATTATTGTGAAAACTCACTAAAATAATGTATAAAAAGCACCCTGAGGCTTGGAGCGGTGGCTCACGCCTGTAAATCCCAGCGCTTTGGGAGGCCGAGGTGGGAGGATCACGAGGTCAGGAGATTGAGACCAGCCTGGCCAACATGGTGAAACCCCGTCTCTACTAAAAATACAAAAAATTAGCTGGGCGTGGTGGCACGCGCCTGTAGTCCAAGCTACTCGGGAGGCTGAGGCAGGAGAATTGCTTGAACTCGGGAGGCGGAGGTTGCAGTGAGCCGAGATCGTGCCACTGCACTCCAGCCTGAGTGACAGAGCGAGACTCTGTCTCAAAACAAAAACAAAAACAAAAAACAAAAAACCACCCTGGGCCAGGTGTGGTGACTGATGCCTGTAATCCCAGTGCTCTGGGAAGATGAGGCAGGAGGATCACTGAGCCCAAGAGTTCAAGACTAGCCTAGCCTGGTCAACATGGCAAAACCCTGTCTCTATTAAAAATGCGAAAAAAAAAAAAAAAAAAAAGCCAGGCATGGTGGTGTGTGCCTGTTTTCCTAGCCATCTGGGAGGCTGAGTTGGGAGGATCACCTGAGCCTTGGAGGTTGAGGCTGGAGTGAGCCTTATTATGACACTGAACTACAACCTTACAACCTGGATGACAGAGTAGGACCCTGTCTCAAAAAACAAAATAAAATAAATACGACTTTGCTAAGTAAATGGTACTTTTGTTGTTGTTGTTGTTTTTGAGACAGTCTTGCCCTGTCATCCAGGCTGGAGTGCAGTGGCACGATCTCGGCTCACTGCAACCTCCACCTCCCAGGTTCAAGCAATTATCCTGCCTCAGCCTCCTGAGTAGCTGGGATTACAGGCCCACGCCACCATGCCTGGCTAATTTTTGTATTTTTAGTAGAGACAGGGTTTCACCATGTTGAACAGGCTGGTCTCAAACTCCTGACCTCAAGTGATCCACCCGCCTCAGCCTCCCAAAGTGCTGGGATTACAGGCGTGAGCCACTGCGCCTGGCCAGTAAGTGGTACTTCTAATATTATCATCATTATCTGTTGTTGGCTAAAAAAAAATCCAGGGATGGAAATAAGAAAAAGCCAAGAAGGGATATGCTGAAGTAATCTCTTAAGCTCTGGAAAGAAGTGAAGCAACTATCACTACCTTAAAGAAAAGCTGGAAACCTCTGATGAGAGTTTTGCTCTTTTGTCTTGTTAATAATGTTCTCCAGATGACTGAAAGATCCTCAAGGTTCCAGGTATGGTCCTCTGTTGAGTCCTGAATGTGTCCCATTGCTTCAGTTGCAACATTGTCCTCCACAGAAGTGATGATCCAAACACAGAGACAAGAAATGGCACTGGCACCCTGCCACGGGATAAATAAAATAACAACTAGGCCTGGATTACCTGGCAAATGTACAAATACTACAGATGGATATTTCCTGTTTAGAATAAGTCACCCAACTTAATTAGTTAAAATGGCTTGAAAAGCCTTCAAACATGAAACAAACTAATGAGCAACCAAGGGACTGTTCTAAACTGTCCTGCAGAGTGTTGCAGGTCACAAGACCAAGAAGCAGACAGAAGGGGGTATATGCAAAAGTCAGGGAAGTACTAATCATAAGAGAGTAGGATTGCCCTCCACTGATCTGCTGATTAAAGGACTGTCTGGAATGTCCCTCTTCCCTGCTAAAGAGGGCACTAAAGAAACAGTGGTGGTCAGTCCACCAAAGCGTCTTTCTCTGTGACTGCCAACCAGAAACCAAGGCTCTGATCACTTGAGTTCACTGAATGTCAAGGCACAAGAAAGTACACCAAATGGCCCAGAGCCTAAGCTAGAGAAGCACAAAATGTTGCAGTGAACTTGGAAACACATGCTGGAACCTCACTGTCATCATCACCCCACTTCTGATTATCAGCCTTTCCTGTCCCTCATTACTTATTCTATTGTTCTCTGGGTACTTACTTCAGGCTTCTCATGATCCTCACCTGGAGACATGAGGCCAGAACACTGAGGATAGGGGCCTGTTGTTTCACTGCTTCAACCAGAAGCCAGTGCCAGGAGTCTGGCTCCTCTGAGCATTGGAGCAGAATTTCAAATAAATCGGTCATCTCTTGTTTGCTTCCTTGAAGTTCCTGGGGGCACTTATTGCAGACTTGATCGCTGTCCATTTTGGAGGTGGGCACTGAGGGCAAGTTCTCAAAAGCCAGCCTTAAGTGGTCTTGAATGACTGGGCTGAAGTACTGGATAAGGGATTTCACCTAGAAGGCATATCAGATGATTAAACAGAAACCCAACTTTCAGTTTCAGCTGGAGCTGAAAATGTTAGAGAAAAGCATAGACAAAATTATGCTTTCTCACCCTGAACTAAGTCAGAGTGACTATTATGTAATTTTACAAAGCTGTATGGTGCCTTTTAATGAATTTTCATATTCAATCTGAAGTCACAAAAGCTTTTCAGCTCTTCAGTACTAGTGCCTTGTCTGATGCCAACCCACTGAAATCTTAGGAAAAATAATAGTATCATATGAAACAAAAGCCCATGTATCCAGTACGTATCCTGGTCAAAAAAAAAAAAAAAAAAAAAAAAAAAAAAGGCCTATGTCATGTCTACACAACAGAAAGAATGCTATCTTCTAAGAAGTGTTCCTATTTCCTTTTGAGTGACTGCTAACAATTAGTGGCTTACCTCTGCTGGGTGGTAGTTGTGGAGTTGGCTGTGAATAATGAACTGCAGCCAATCATTTGCTTTGGCACATTCTCTAAGGTAAGATATGCTTAGTTTCATATTGTGTAGCCTGCAGAACTGCACCACTAATGCCCATTGGCTGCTAGATTCACTGGATAACCTATAATCAGAATTAGAGGTGGGGGTGGTCAAGAAAAAACAAAAAACTCATTAAAATATAGCTTTAGCTTGAACTGGAAAATGAGTAAAAATGATATAAATTAAAGCACAGTGTATTCTCCAACAAATACTAAATATTTATTAGGCTACTTTGAAAAAAGTAGATTCTTTTTTTTTTTTTTTTTTTTGAGACAGAGTTTCGCTCTTGTTGCCTAGGCTGGAGTACAATGGTGCGATCTCAGCTCACTGCAACCTCCGCCTCCTGGGTTCAAGCAGTTCTCCTGTCTCAGCCTCCGAGTAGCTGGGATTACAGGCATGTGCCACCACACCCGGCTAATTTTGTATTTTTACTAAAGACGGGGTTTCTCCATGTTGGTCAGGCTGGTCTTGAACTCCCAACCTCAGGTGATCCGTCCGCCTCACATTCCTGAAGTGCTGGGATTACAGGTGTGAGCCACTGTGCCTGGCCAAAAACAGTAGACTTTTTCACCCATAAGGCAGAATAGCTAGCTTAGCATACTGGCACAATTCATTCCTTCCCCAAGTCATCAATCAAGTACCTATTTATACTGGCTGTGTAGCATCCTTAGGAGAACTGAGGAAGTTGTCAGTCAAGAAACTTTCTGAGCACTTATTTCTCTTGCTCTATTCACTTTAGAGTACTCAGAGGCCTGGTGGGTGCCTGGGCCTCCTCACCAGGGGTAGGGTACATGTTCCTGCTGCAAGCAGGATTCTGCCAAGAACAGAATCAGTGATAGGATGTACAGAAAAAGGGTGCGTTCTCAGGGTCTGGAGTGGTTAGGTCAGCCCCAGTGGGGCAGCATAAAGAAGGCATGAAGTGTAAGGAGGTGCTTTTACATACGGTCACTTCAGCTTCCATTATCAACTGACATAATAAAATGAAAAAAGTAAGGACATGACTTAAAGTCAAATTTTGGAAGACCCATCCTACATCATCCTCTTCTTCATTTTTTTCCAATCCTCCAAGACATCTGAACCCACATCTTCTGGCATTTCAACATGTACCATTTAAAAGACTTCTCTGACTAGCAGGGCAGTGGAGGAGACAAAGCTGCTCTCCATCTCTTGGTAAGTCCATCTCTAAAGAGAGAATTGCTATCTTCACCCTCTTTTCACTGATGGCAAGATGCAATTAAAATCATTATTCATTTACTGAGTATCTGCTACATGCTAGATAAAGAAGAAGATAAGGTCTAGGGGGATTTAGTGAAAACACCAGAGTTGTTCAAAGAAAAACTAGGCAAACACAGGTTGGCACAATAAGCTTGTTAGAAAAGAGGCTGAGACTGCAACTCACAAACCTCTTTATTTCCTGTTGCTGAATGCTGTTCCATGTACCTTCTTCTAAGAGAACAAGCAATTCTTCTGTGGTTGTCTTTTCACCATCAGCTAGTTTAGATAGTTTTTCGGCTGTAAGAAATATAAACAACAAAATATGGTGAAGAGAAAAAGTCAAAACCTGAGCATTTCTGTTTGAATAGTGTGGCTCAGGGCCATTTCAGAACCCAATTAAAGTGCCCAAGAAAGTGAGACAAAGAACACACACTCTGCAGGAAAAGGATAAAACCAAGAAGATAACCATTTTCTCCCCAAACACTCACAATTCAATGCCTTAGACCTCGTCACACCTTCTCTAAACAAAGCAGGCCAGATAAAAGGTGCTGTACCTACAGACTCTCTGATAAAGCTGTACTGAGCATCTTCATTTCTGCACTTGTAGCTCAAAATTATATTGGCCACTTTCATATCAACTCTGAGCTTGAGGCTGTCAAGGCCAAGCAATTCTAAGAAACAAACACATGCAGCTCCTATTGAAGGTATGTGGAAGGAGGAGAGCCCTATAACATAGGCTTCATTGCCTACTTGCTGGATCCTGAAAAAGAAAGGAATCAAAATCACATCAGCACATGAAAATTATGTCTCACCAGGAAAAGCAAATGGAATTAAATCAGTGACAGAGGGAGTGCCAGCCATGTGATTTGTGGCCTCCTCTCCCTTACCTTTTGCCCCTTGCACATACCCGTTTAGGTTCCTGGTAGCTTTTCAGTTGTCTTTTGGCCCAAGAGCCCCCCGCTTCCCTTAAGCTGACTTTCTAAAACGCTTAGTCATAGTCTAAACTATTCTTGCTTCCAACTTCATCAAGACATGAAGTACAACTTCTGAAAGACTGCCAACTTGTGATCTTATCAATTATGAGTACGTATACAAACTACGAAGAATATCAATGCCACTTAAATGTAAGTTTGACATCATGAAGCACATTTAAAAAAACTCATATAGGCCTTTTATAGGAATAGAAAATTTGGGAAAGACACAAGAAATTACTATTTTTTATTTTTATTATTATTTTTTTGAGATGGAGTCTCGTTTTGTAGCCCAGACTGGAGTGCAGTGGTGTGATTCTTGGCTCACTTCAACCTCTGCCTCCCGGGTTCAAGCGATTCTCCTGCCTCAGCCTCCTGAGTAGCTGGGACTACAGGCACCCACCACCATGCCTGGCTAATTTTTGTATTTTTAGTAGAGACAGGGTTTCACCATATTGGCCAGGCTGGTCTCAAACTCCTGAGGTTGTGATCCGCCCACCTTGGCCTCCCAAAATGCTGGGATTACAGGTGTGAGCCATCGTGCTCAGCCCACACAAGACATTATTAACCATGTTTTTACCATGTGGAATGGGAAGCTGAGGGCTATCTTTCATTTTCACCTTTCTGAACTACTTGAATACTTTACCATAAAAAAGGTATTACTTTGTTAATTATAAAACAAACCAATAAAGTAAATCTATATTTAGCTGTTCATTATAGTAAATGCTCCTCTCAATTCTGTGCCTTATAAAAATGAATAATTGAATTATTAAAGACATTAAATATAGAATTCACATCTCATCATATAATTCCCTTTTTTTAAAGTTCTGGGATACATGTGCAGAACATGCAGGTTACATAGGTATACATGTGCCATGGCAGTTTGTGGCACCTATCAACCCGTCATCTAGGTTTTAAGCCCCGCATGCATTAGGTATTTGTCCTAACGTTCTCCCTCCCTTAGAATTCCCTCTTTAACTGCTAATATTTGACAAACTCCTGTATGATTTTAAATTTTATTATTTTTCAAAACATATTTATGTTTTTTCCAATTAACAAAAATCACACACACTAAATGCCAAAAACTTAGGACACACAGGGAAGCACAAATGAAAACAACAATAATCACCATCCAAATGTAATCACTGTTAACTGTGGTATGTTTCCAGTATGTTTTTCAATGTACATGTAAAACATTATACAGATATGCCCTTTTTTAGAATACAAATTATATTTTATTTTACTTTTTTTGTTTTAGTGGCAGAGCCTCACTGTCACCCAGGCTAGAGTGCAGTGGCATGACCATAGCTCACTGCTTCCTTGAACTCCTGGGCTCAAGTGATCCTCCTGCTTCCCAAAGTGCTGGGATTACAGGTGTGAACCACTGTACCCAGACAAAATTATATTTTAAATACTCACAGCTGCTTGGGAGTCTTGCTCTTGATTAATTCCTGGACCAGAAAAGTACCAAATGCAAATGATGGCCGCCCATTATGTAAATAATAAGCAAAATTCAGACGTTCCACTATAGCATATTTATTAACCAGGTCAGGGCTAGAGAAATGTGGGAGATGACTCCATGCATCTAGGGGGAAAGTAAAACAATATTAATTATCTGTATATCACCATAATTAATTTCAGATTTGCACATGGAACTCTCTAATGATAAAACTGGTTGCTGTAATTATTTTGCATCACTACGTATCACTTTGAATCTACCAAAATCTGATTTATTTTACTTCAGTGTATAGAGGTAGCCTTCATTTTATACAAAGATGTGTACCTGAGAAGTTGCATAAAAACTCTGGTAAGAAATGATGCTTCAGCCGGGTACGGTGGCTCACGCCTGTAATCCCAGCACTTTGGGAGACTAAGGCAGGCGGATGACCTGAGGTCAAGAGTTGAGACCAGCCTGACCAAGTTGGAGAAACCCCGTCTCTACTAAAAATACAAAATTAGCCAGATGTGGCGGTGCATGCCTGTAATCCCAGCTACTTGGGAGACTGAGGCAGGAGAATCACTTGAACCTGGGAGGCAGAGGTTGTGGTGAGCCAAGATCGCGCCATTGCACTCCAGCCTGGGCAACAAGAGTGAAACTTCATTTCAAAAAAACAAAAAAAAGTGTGAGATTCCTGGTCTTGACACCACTAGCTGCGTGACCTTGAGCAACTTATTTAAGAATTGTATATATTTAAAGTATACAACATAATTGATTTTTTATTTTTTTTTTTAAGACAGGGTCTGGCTCTGTCGCCCAGACTGGAGTGCAGTGGCATAATCTTGGCTCACTGCAATCTCCACTTCCTGGGCTCAGGTGATCCTCCCACTTCAGCCTCCCAAGTAGCTGGGACCACAGGTGCATGCCACCACACCCAGCTTTCTTTAGTATTTTTGGTAGAGATGAGATTTCACCATGTTGCCCAGGCTGGTCTCAAAATCCTGAGCTCAAGCAATCCACCTGCCTTGGCCTCCCAGAGTGCTAGGATTACATGCGTGCGCCCAGCCTCTTCTTTTTTTTTTTTTTTTTTTAAATAGAATCTTGCTCGGCTGTCTAGGCTGGAGTGCCATGGCACAATCTCAGCTCACTGCAACTTCCGCCTCCTGGGTTCAAGTGATTCTCCTGCCTTAGCCTCCTAAGTAGCTAGGACTTAGAGGCACGTGCCACCACACCTAGCTAATTTTTGTACTTACAGTAGAGACGGGGTTTCGCCATGTTGGCCAGGCTGGTCTCGAACTCCTGGCCTCGGGTGATCTGCCCACCTTGACCTCCCAAAGTGCTGCGATTACAGGCATGAGCGTGAGCCACTGTGTCCAGCCAGCCACCGCGCCCAGCCCACCCAGCCTCTTTCACCAATGTTTGATAGTTTAATATGTACAGATCTTTGACCTCTTTGATTAAATTTATTCCGAAGTATTTTGTGTTCTATTAAAAAATAGAAATGGGATAGTTTTGTTCATTATCTTTTTCAGACAGTTTGCTGTTGGTATATAGAAACACTGATTTTTGTATGTTGATTTAATATCCTGCAACTTTCTTAGATTTGTTTATTAGTTCTAACAGTTTTACTGGTAGAGTCTTTAGGATTTTCTATATACAAAATCATGCCATCTGCAAACAATGACAACTTCACTTCTTTCTTTCTGATTTGGATGCCTTTCTTTTTTTTTGCTTAAATGCTCTGGCTAGGACTTCAACTACTATGTTGAACAGAAGTGGCAAGGGTGGGCATCCTTGTCTTATTTCTGATCTTAGAGGAAAAGCTTTCAACTTTTCACTGCTGAGTATATTAGCTGTGAGACTGTCATACATGGCCTTTATAATGTTGAGATGCATTCCTTCTATGCCTAATTTGTTGAGAGTTTTTATTATGAAAGGATGTTGAATTTTCCTAAATGCTTTTTCTGCATCTATTGATATGATCATATGGTTTTTGTCTTTTTTTTTTTTTGAGATGGAGTCTTGCTCTGTTGCCCAGGCTGGAGTGCAATAGCGTGATCTTGGCTCACTGCAAGTTCCGCCTCCCGTATTCACGCCATTC
Source organism: Homo sapiens (assembly GCF_000001405.40). NCBI lineage: Eukaryota > Metazoa > Chordata > Mammalia > Primates > Hominidae > Homo > Homo sapiens. The sequence continues at coordinate 44,602,587 of NC_000015.10, forward strand.
TCCTGCCTCAGCCTCCCAAGTAGGTGGGACTACAGGCGCCTGCCACAATACCTGGCTAATTTTTTTTTGTATTTTTTAGTAGAGACAGGGTTTCACCGTGTTAGCCAGGATGGTCTCTATCTCCTGACCTCGTGATCTACCCACCTCGGCCTCCCAAAGTGCTGGGATTATAGGCATGAGTCACCATGCCTGGCCTGGTTTTTGTCTTTCATTCTGTTAATGTGGTGTATCATTTATTAATTTGTGTATGTTGAACCATCCTGGTTTTAATTCTGTATTTGATGATCCTTTAAGTTCAGAAAGGCAATAGCCAATAACCCTATAGTTGTAAAGTCTTTAAATAACTGCAAAAGGAGCTTTTAAATTCATTCACAAAAGGTCATTATGCAATAAAATCCCTTTTAACATATTTATATGAGTCCTCTGTTCACCAAAGCCAACTCACTGTACCTTTCTCCAACAGGCAATTTTTTTTTTTTTTTTTTTTGGACACAGGGTCTTGCTGTTGCCCAGGCTGGAGTGCAGTGGCATGACCATAGCTCACTGCAGCCTTGACTTCCTTAACTCAAGCAATCCTCTTGCCTCAGCCTCCTGTAGCACTGTAGGCACACACAACTATGCCTGGCTAATTTTAACATTTTTCTTTCACCTTCTTGACCCTTATCTTCTATACCCGGCTAATTTTTTGTAGAGACAGTGTCTTGCTATGTTGTCCAAGCTGGTCTTGAATTCCTCGCCTCAAGCAATCCTTCCACCTCAGCTTCCTGAGTGTTAGGATTACAGGCATGAGCCACTGCACCTGGCCTCCAACAGGTAATTTTAGAACATTTTTCCCTCTACACTAATTACCCTCCTATAACCTCCATTTGTTATCACTTACTTTCTGATGTTGTATTCATAGAGCATGAATATCTTAGAAAGATGGCACCATCCTTCTATTAATAAGACCAGCAGAATAGCTCAGTTTAAAGTTCCTCTAAACCCAAGAAAATATCAAACAAAAATGTCTTTTTTTAGATAAATTTGAAGTCAGAAGATATTTTGATATGAGTCTAGTCATCTCTTGGTATCCATGGGGGATTGGTTCCTGAAACCCTTGGATACCAAAATCCACAGAAGGATGCTCAAGTCCCTGTAAAATAGCATAGTATTTATATATAGCCTATGCACATTTCCCCATACACTTTAGATTACTCTAGATCACTTATAATACCCAATAAATGTAAATGCCATGTAGATAGTTGTTATACTGTATTTTTAAATTGGTATTATTTTTAATTGTTCTATTGTTTTTCTTTTTTTTAAATTGTTTGTTTGTTCTTTTGAATATTTCCCATCTGAGGTTGGTTGAATCCTTGGATGTGGATCCCAAGGATATGGAGGGCTGACTCCAGTTAGAAAGAAATAGTCACTCCTGTCACGTACTATTCAATTGTCTCTTAACCACTTACTACCTATTTTTTAAAAAAGACAACACTGTGATCTGGTTCCAGAAACTAGTTCTGGAAAACAGTGTACCTGCTCTTGTTTTCAAAGTTCAAAGCTTATTTCTGAAATAAAGTTGTGTTTTCTCATGGAATTCCAAGGACTTTTCACATTGTGACCTGATTCCTAAAAAAAAAAAAAAGGCTTGAAGACCCTGGAGGTATCTGTCATCTTACAAAGGTCTTACCTGAAAGTACATTCCCTCTTTGAGATTAAAAAAACTGTCACATGCCCTATTTGTATTCTTGTGAGAACAGAGCGACTTTGACAACTTGTAATTACATATAAAGCCATTCATTAGATATTTGCTGAGCGTTTGTAAGGCACACAGTACTGAAATGAGCACATTTGAGTTTTTTATTCAAATAAGACCATAATTTTTTAGCACGTTGGGGCTTAGTGTGGAGACTGCGTATAAGAGAAAATTCATTCTAGAGGGAAATTTTACTCTGGCCTGGTGCAGAAGCCAAGTCACCACACAGTGTTCTTACATCCCTGTTCAGTGGTAAAACCATAAGAAAAAAGAAGTCAACATTCAAATTAAATACAGGTTTCCAATTTTATAAATATGTATTGGTTGGGTGCGGTGGCTCACGCCTGTAATCCCAGCACTTTGGGAGGCCGAGGTGGGTGGATCACGAGGTCAGGAGATCGAGACCATCCTGGCTAACACGGTGAAACCCCACCTCTACTAAAAATACAAAAAATTAGCCAGGCGTGGTGGTGGGTACCTGTAATCCTAGTTACTCGGGAGGCTGAGGCAGGAGAATGGCATGAACCCGGGAGGCACAACTTGCAGCGAGCCGAGATCGAGATCGTGCCACTGCACTCCAGCCTGGGCGGAACAAGACTCCATCTCCAAAAAAAAAAAAAAAAAAAAAAAAAAAAAGTATTACATTTTCATAACAGTTTCATTTACTTTGTGCTTTATTTCCTCAAGTATGTTTTAAACTTCTAAAAACAGCAGGGAACATGCTTTCAACTTCTCTGTGCCTCTACTCTACCTGGCAGAGTGCTCAATTTCCAAGAGTTAGAATGCCAGGTCAAGATGCCACCTAAGTGATGGAGTTGGAGCCATCACAAGAGGAGAGGGTATTTTGTCTACTCTCTAGTAACTTCACTGAGAAAGAGTATTTCTATTTGATAATGCAATAAGCACTACTTTTTTCAGCACTCAACAAATATTTACTGAACATCTACTGTAGGCTTGGCATGCATTGGACTCTGGGCACGAGGTAAATTCTATATATCAAAATTCGAACTTATAAAACACATACATTAAGAAATTCATTTTTATGTATGTCAATAGATATTGGGTACATACTATGTACAAAGTACTAATGCAAAGCCTAATTTAGGGTAATATAGGCAGAGGCACCACAGGCAACATGATATTAAAGATAAAAGAGAAATAGAAAAAACAGTTTAAGAACAGAAAAAAATCAGAGAAAGTCTTATGGTCTTTATAGGACATCACGATGTGTGTGAATCTGGTACTTAAATGCCTTGCCTCCTTTTATTCTCATAGTAATGTGTTCGGTGGTCACTGTGATTAACCTCATTTCATAGAGAATTAAAGAGGTTAGATCACATGACCAAGGTCATACAGGTATTAATTACATGGTAGGGCCAGGATTTGTTTAATGCTGACACCTATGCTTTTAATTTTTATGATACTATACTGGAAATGAAGAATAACTTTTTGAAAGGAAGAAATATAAGCAAATAGTTACACATTACATTTCTCAGCAAGTACAGCACTAGTAACCTAATACATTCACTTTTAACTCACAATATGTTTTCAATTCTGTCTTTGCGAACTATTTTTCCTTTGGAATACACCTTTACTTTTAAAATAAAAATCAATGAGAAAACTAGATTGGCATTACATGTATTAACTTCTGTAGTTAACACTGCTAAAACATGTCTCAAGAAGTACCCATGATGACTTACCTCCTATAGCTAGTGTGTTAGCAGACTGCCAGCCAAACAATCTGCTAGGATCAAAGGGTGATAATGACTGAAAAAGGGGAAAAGTTAAACAGAATTAGAAGTTCACTGATTATAAAATAGGTAAAAAAAATTATATGAAAGGACTTCAGAGGTAGTCTGCTCCCCTTTTCCAAGGCAATTTAAGGCTTATTCTGGACATAAATTCTTTGAACACAGCTAAAAATAAAATAGAATTATGACATATCTTTATATCTTAATTAAAACAGAACTGGCTATGTTCCTTTTAAAGACTCTCCTTATGTCAAACTATGTCCGCAAAGGCTATACTCTTTTGGTAGAGGGAGCATCAACTATAAAGTAAAATGGGCTTCAGAAATGCTTTTGGAATCAAAAAGCAAGAGGGCTAAAAGACTAGAAAACGTTACCAGGTAAACATGATAAGATGAGCAAAGAACAGGGTAGGCAAGGAAAGGAAAAGAGAAGAAAAAACTAGATAAATGGTTGAAGGAATGTGATGAGCAACAACATGAACAACAAAGAAAAAATAGCGGACCAAGGTGAAGTCAATCAGAAAAGATCTGGCAGCAGCAAGTAGTGGTTGTTTGGAATTTTTCTAGGCCAAATGTTTAGCAAAGTCTATAAACGGATCGTGGGAAAAATACAGGAAAAAAACAGAACAAAAAAAGTCAGGATTTGGATGGCCCAAAATAGAGTAGCTTTGATGTAAAACTAAGGAAGATTTTGTGATCTATTAAAGAAGGAATACTTTTCCTAAAATAACCACTAAAAAAATTAAATCAGTCCACTTGAAAACAGAACAAAGAGCAACATGAAACCACTTGTGTTTCAAGCTGATCCAAACTACTTTACGTAGTGAAACTATGTTTGTTTTGCCTGGGAAAAAACAAGACACAGGGGCATCTGTGACCTGTACTTTCCCAGTAAAACTATGTTTTTACATAATCCACTTTATCATTTATACCAGTGCTACTCAAAGTGCTGGTCTAAAACAAGGTAAGACACTTCTGTCAGTATAAATCCAGAATACTGCTTCCTTCTTCAAAGTCTTGCTACAAAAAAACCCCTACTGAACTAAACAGTGTACTTAGGGACACAGCAGATATATATTTTGGTGCATACTAATCTCACCACGTTCCAGCAACAAGCAGTATACAAGTGCTGACCACACTTTTAAGTAGCACCAGTCAATACCCTAAGAAGTCTCTGCATTAGAGTAAGAGGGAGTTTGTGCCTTTATAGAGTTATTATTTTTTTGAGACGGGGTCTCGCTCTGTTGCCCAGGCTAGAGTGCAATGGTGCGATCTCAGCTTACTGCAACTTTCGCCTCCCAGGTTCAAGCCATTCTCCTACCTCGGCCTCCAGAGTAGCTGGGACTATAGGCACGTGCCACCATGCCTGGCTAATTGTTATATTTTTAGTAGAGATGGGGTTTCACTATGTTGGCTAGGTCTTGAACTCAGTGACCCGCCCACCTTGGCCTCCCAAAGTGTTGGGATTACAGGCATGAGCCACTGCACCCGGCTCCTTTATAGAATTATAAACCTTACGTTGAGTTGAAGATACTATGAGAATATGTGTATTCAGGGAAAAAAGGAAAAGCCTTTTGAAATGAGAAATGGGCAAAGGAAGGTGTTCTTAACCGAGGATCCCTGAATAGGCTTCAGGAAGTCTGTGAATCACTTTGAAATGTAAGCAAAATTATATGCATATGTGTAATTTTTCTGAGTAGAAGGTTTATAGCTTTCTCACATTCTTAGACGTTCTGAAAAAGATTAAAAAGCACTGATTTAAACAAACATCCCTGATTCATTGAGAAGAGATAGTTAGAAGTTAAAAGTGGCAGAATAGAGAAGCTTTTGATGAAAACAGCAGACAGGTATGCTGGTCAACTGTTTGGTCTGACCCACCTCCACCCTTCCCACTCTGCTCAGTATTGCAGGATACTACATTTCCCAAGCTCCTTTGCCCTTCGGCTACCAGATACATATAGCCACAAAGACACTGTGGGAGACTAAAGATGGGAAGAGGGAAGAAGCCAAGATATTCTCCCCCTTCATTTTCCTGGGGCATCTCCGCTAAGTTTCTACCTCTATACTCTATGTTCCTGGTTCCCATTAGGCAGCCTGGTTGTTAGTTTAACTCCCAGAGATGGCTCCAGCTTCTGGGTTCTGGTAACACCACTTTTTTGCATTGTTCTTGCAGCCTTAGGGGTGATGATGGCTTTCTATTTTGTTATTTTTGGGTTGTCTCACTATCACATTTGGTTTCCCCATTCTGCTATCATGCTGTGTAAGTAATTCCCTACATTAAATGCCCTCCGGTTGAAAGATCTAGAGTGATTTCTGTTTTCCTGGCTGAACTCTGATAGACCTAAATATTGGCCACCTAAATACTGTACCTGAATAAGGTGGTAGATTGTAATATCAGATGGCAGGACACTAGGAGGAGTGCACTGTGGGAAGAGAGCAGTTTTTAGCTTGGGGTAAGGAGTTAATGCCATCTTCAATAGCTGGGGATCCACTTTCTTCAAACAGTTTTCATTTTCTTCATTCTGAACAACCTAAGTAAAAAAACAGATAACAGGTTGGACAGTAGCATTTTTCTCTTCTCAAAGTTTCTTTTTTTCACAAGAACCTTGTGAAACAAGATTAGCTTGAGAAGAGTATGTGGTAGTGAATATAGCATTAGACAAGTAGTCATAAGTTAACAGTTCTTGTTCTGGTTCTAAGACAAACTAGCTATGTGACCTTAGCTAGATATTTAATATCGGGTCTTTGTTTCCCCATCTGCAAAATTAGGAAGTTCAGCTAGATCAGTGATTTTCAAGCTGTATGTAAAGAAATTGTTTGAAAAACAGCTCTGCCAATATTTAATTCAATAATATATATTTTAAAATATTTACAAACTGATAAACTAGATGACTTCTTACCCAACTCTAAAGTTATTCTATGACTGTAATTTCTGACAGATGATTAAAAATAGAGGATTAAATAGTCGTGTTTTAAGGTATACTGCAACAATCTAAAAAAGGTGGTACTAAGTTAAGCTAGCACCATTAAGAAACTTTTGAAGATTAGATATTAAACAACATTCTTTTTTTTTTGAGACGGAGTCTCACTCTGTGGGCCCAGGCTGGAGTGCAATGGCGCGATCTCGGCTCACTGCAAGCTCCGCCTCCCGGGTTCAAGCAATTCTCCTGCCTCAGCCTCTGGAGTAGCTGGGACTACAGGCACCCACCACCACCCCCGGCTAATTTTTTTTTTTTGTATTTTTAGTAGAGACGGGGTTTCACCATGTTAGGTCTCCATCTCCTGACCTCGTGATCCGCCCGCCTCACCCTCCCAACGTGCTGGGATTACAGGCATGAGCCACCGCACCCGGCCTTTAAACAACATTCTTAATTTCCCTCTAAACAGGCCACTCTACTTCTAAAAAGCAAAGATGGGCACATTTCCACTAGGTCCCTCAATACAGTTTATATGGGTAGCTGAAGATTATAGTTTCCTTTGACCTAAGAGGGCAAATAGTAGACAATAATTACTAAGCCACAGATCTAAAGTATTCTTACTCCCAGAAGCAAGCAGATCCTAATTGTATTCTGAAAACAAATCTGGAGTATTGGAAAACAAACTAAAGGGAAAAAATAATCTCTATATAACATATTCATTCCCCTCCCTGCCCCCGCCCAGCTTTTTTTTTTTTTTGAGACAAGGTCTCACTTTATCACCCAGGCTGGAGTGCAGTGGTATGATCTTGGCTCACTGCAGCCTCGACTTCCCAGGCTCAAGTAATCGTGTCTCAGCCACCCAAGTAGCTGGGACTACAGGAGCACGCCACCATGCCCAGCTAATTTTTTTTTTTTTTTTTTTTTTTTTGAGACGGAGTCTTGCTCTGTCACAGAGGCTGGAGTACACTGGCGCGATCTCAGCTCACTGCAACCTCTGCCCCCTGGGTTCAAACAATTCTTCTGCCTCTGCCTCCTGAGTAGCTGGGATTACAGGCGTACGCTACCATGCCCGGCTAGTTTTTGTATTTTTAGTAGAGACGGGGTTTCAGCATGTTGGCCAGGCTGGTTTTGAACTCCTGACTTCAAGTGATCCACTCGCCTTGGCCTCCCAAAGTGCTGGGATTACAGGTGTGAGCCACCGCACTCGGTCATGCCCAGCTAATTTTTAAATTTTTTTTTTGTGGAGATGGAGGTTTCATCATGTTGCCCAGGCTGGTCTCAAACTCCTGTACTCAAGTGATCCACCCACCCTGGCCTCTCAAAAGGGCTGGAATTACAAATGTGAGCCACCGCACTTGGCTTCATTCACTTTAAACTGAAGATGACATAAATTTCTTTTCTTTTTTTTGAGACGGAGTCCCGCTCTGTTGCCCAGGCTGGAGTGCAGTGGTACAATCTCAGCTCACTGCAACCTCCGCCTCTCAGGTTCAAGTGATTCTCATGCCTCAGCCTCCCCAGTAGCTGGGATTACAGGCGTGCGCCAAGACGCCCAGTGAAGTTTTTTTAGTACAGATGGTGTTTCACCACGTTGGCCAGGCTGGTCTCGAACTCCTGACCTCAAGTGATCCGCCTGCCTCGGCCTCCCAAAGTGCTGGGATTACAGGAGTGAGCCACTGCACCGGGCCGAGATATAAAATTTTTAAATTCAGCCTTATCCTCTGCTCTTTAATCTAATGAAATACTTGAATATAGTTATATTTTAATATCAGCTGAGATCTAGACAATCCATAGATAATTCTGCTAAATTTAAAAATCAGTCCTATTTTGTCATAAAGTGCTATCCATACCTGACTGACACCCCCAGGAGAATACATTGTAGTAGCAAGGGCCAGGAGGGTATGTCCTTCCAATAGCATACTGCTTACACTGGCCTGATTGGTGGGAATCAAAATCTGAGCATTTGCAAGGCTAGCCTGGAAGATCAGTTTGGGATCTGGAAAATAAAAGACAGTGTTTTTCTCCTTAAGAGGGATAAATACTAAATTAAGGATTACATAAATGTGAGAACAATAACATAAATTTTTAACTCTATCCCCAGTAAAAAAAAAAAAAAAAAAAAAAAAAGGACTTCCTAAATTTAAAAGCAATGGGAAAACATCACAGAGGGAAAAAATGAAAGATTTGTCTACATAAAAATAAAAACTTCTGTTCAAAGAAAATTAAAAGGTAACAATGAACTGAGAGAAAAATTGTAACAAATGACAACCTAAAGAGTTGCTGAGTTTGTTCTCAACAAAGAGCTCATCCAAATCAATGCCAAAAATACTGACTCTAACAGATAAATGGGCAAAAGAAATAACCAATTTATGAAGGAGGAAATATAAATGCCTGACACATAAAACTATATAATTCACTAGCAACAAAGAAATGCAAATTAATTAGATGCCATATACTACCTATCCAATTAGCAGTAATTTAAAAAAACTCATCATCAAGCATTAGAGCTGGTCACAGTGAGTAGAGACTAGGACTTAAAATAAAATTGTACAACTCCCTTGGAAAGCAATCCGGTCCTACAGCAAGAACCTTAAACATGTGTAACCTTTGACCCAATAGTTTTATATCCCAAAACCTATCTGTGCTAAGAAAATAATCTGAAATAAGGACAGTTTTATATTGAAATATATTCAAGACTATTATTTATAATAGAAAAAAATGGAAAATGCCCTCATTGTCGGAAAATGAGAGAACAGAAAATTAAATAATGGTATATCCATACAATGAAATATTATGTAAACATTTAAAATGGTCACTGTCTTTTTTTTTTTTTTTTTTTGAGATGGAGTCTCACTCTCTCACCCAGGCTGGAGTGGAGCTATCTTGGCTCACTGCAAGCTCCACCTCCCCAGTTTATGCCATTCTCCTGCCTCAGCCTCCCAAGTAGCCGGGACTACAGGCACCCGCCACCAAGCCGGGCTAATTTTTTTTTTGTATTTTTAGTAGAGACGGGGTTTCCCCGTGTTAGCCAGGATGGCCTCGATCTCCTGACCTCGTGATCTGCCCGCCTTGGCCTCTCAAAGTGCTGGGATTACAGGCATGAGCCACTGCGCCTGGCCTAAAATGGTCATTGTCTTTAAGAATGTGGGAAAATTCTGTTATAATATTACACACAAAAAAGCAGTATATAAAAACATAGATGTTTCTTGTTGTTCTACTAGCACTTAACAATAGTCTGTCACAAGGTAGGAGCTCAATAAATATTTGTTGGGTGAATGAAATACAATAGAGACTAAGTTTTTAAAAAGTACAGTGAAGATAACTGGAACAAAATACATTAAAATATTATCAGTGGTTACCTATGGGTGGTTATTTTCCTATGTACCTAGGCTATCTACCTATGGAGGTATTACTTTTTAATTAATTAATTATTTTTTAAAAAAGAGACAGGGTCTTGCTTTGTCAACTAGGCTGGAGTGCAGTGACACAATCTCTAATCCCTGGGCTCAAGTGATCCTCCCATCTCAGCCTCCCAAGTTGCTGGGACTACAGGAGCATGCCACCACAGCTAATTTTTAAAAATCTTTTGTAGAGACAGGGTCTTGCTATGTTGCCCAGGCTGGTCTTGAACTCCTATCCTCAAGTGATCCTTCCACTTTGCCTCCCAAAGCACTGGGATTACAGGTGTGAGCCACCACACCTGGCCAGTATTACCTTCTTGATAGTTGTCTGTGGCTTCTAATTTTTTTTTTTAACAATGAACATATATTACTTCATAATCAGCATGCAAAACCAAAAAACAAAACCCACATTATGAAAAAATTCTGCATTTTGAGAGAAACTGGACATTACATGCAACTGAAAGACTACTGACATTCCTTGTCTGTGGTCATTCAGCCTGTCCCCTTTCCCATATTTCTGGCATAACACCAGCTAAGTCCTCAGGGGTAAGAAGCCTTTTCTGTCTGATTACAACCAGAGTAAGCCTCTACATCAGCAGCTCCACTGCAGAGGACACAACAATCTCACACATACTATGGATTTCTTTTAACTCCATTTGGAGTTCCTTACAAAAATTCAAAACAGGGATCTGGAAGACAGACCACTTCTTCATGGAAAAAGGGTGTCAGTCTACCAGAGAGCAGGAATTCAGCCTGTGACAAACTGGTGGGATAAGGGAAATTCTAGAGCACGATGCTAAGGGGAAGGGGACAAAACCACAGAAGCTCTTTGCTCCAGGTCTAGCTTTTCTTGGCTGGCTGATGGCTAACCTTTTTGGCCTTCCTTCTGCTTCTTACCTCAAGTGTGAGCCTAGATTACATTCAGATAGCTGACCACAGCCAAATAATTTATTTAAAAGAGTTCACAAGTTTAATACCATTCAACAGACCAGTGACTGATCCAAAGCAAGTTTCTGTGTTTAATACAGTATACCCATACCTGTTAAGTTACTGGCAACTTGTCGACACTGAACTAAAAATTCAAACCAAGGGTGTGCTTCATGTAACTCTTTTTTTTCCAAAAAGGGACAATTTTCAGGACTAAGTCTGTATATAAAACAAACAAAAACCTTCTTTGATTAACATACAGGATAAGACAATTACAACCATTTTGCTCAGGCGATGATTAGCATTTAAAAAAAGAATCTTGGAATTAAAAAGTAAATATAACACAAAATACTCCCACTCTTGTGTTGTATTTTACATATTCTTCATGATCTGGAAACAATTTTAGAGATAGAGATTTTAGAGACATCATATGTTCACTACCATGATGAAATTTATCCAAATCTTTATCAGATTAATAGATACCTTGTACTTTAAGATACTTCATATTTTATTGGTTTTTACAACAAAAACTTTTTAGCATATTCAAACTTAATAAGAGGCTTTTAAAAAACTCTTACAAGCCAAGTGTGGTGGTGTGCACCTGTAGTTCCAGTTACTTGGGAGGCGGAGGTGGGGGAATTGCTTGAGCCTAGGAGTTCGAGGCTGCAATGAACCATGATTGTGCCACTGCACTCCAGTCTAAGTGACAGAGTGAGACTGTCTCAAAGTAAAAAAGAAATAAAAAGCTTACACAACTACAGAGAGGTTACAACTGAGGAATTATGGCTCAGAATACATACTTTGAAAATACAGCTCTTAAACCTGTTCTCTTGCCAGTAGCTATGGAGACAACATTTCTAAGTAAGACTAATGATATGACATACCAAAAATACAACTTCTCTTGGAACTCCTAGTCTGTTTTTTTTGAGACCGGGTCTCACTGTATTGCCCAGGCTGGAGTGCAGTGGCGCAAACATGGCTCACTGCAGCCTGGACCTCCTAGGCTCAAAGTAATCCTCCCACCTCAGCTTCCCAGGTACCTGGGACTACAGGTGTGTGCCACTATGCCTGGCTGATTTACTTCTTTGTAAAGAAGAAGACCCACTACATTGCCCAGGCTGATCTTGAACTTTTGGGCTAAAGTGATTCTCCTGCCTTGGCCTCCCAAAGTGCTGGGATTAGAGATGTGAGCCACCGTGCCCGGCCAATTCCTAGTCTTTACTACACAAAATAAGTAAAATAAAAATGTTGCCTATGAGTGCACAAATGTGGGCTCCAGAATAAAAATTAAGTAGAATTAAATCAGCTCTTCCACTTATTAGCTGTGTGCCTTAAGTAACATACTTAGTCTCTCTCAAAGCCTGTTTCTTCATCCATAAAATGGACATGGGAGTAACTACCCCATAGAGTTTTTGTGAAGATTAAATGAGATAATGCATATAAAGTACTTAGCTTAGTGCCAACATTGTAAACACTCACATATTAAAGACTACTTCTATTGTTATTGTTATTACTGACCCAATAGCAATTAACACTGGCCACAGATATGATTCTGCGGGTTAATCTTAGGCAGACAGATACTAATGTATTGCTCTCTCTTTCTCTGTGCGTGTGTGTGTCTATAGAAATATAAATTTTAGAGCATATCTAATATACCTTGAAAGTGAAATACAGTTTGCTATGAAATCAAAGTTGCTTAGCATTCTCTTGGTAATCAAAGTATCAAAGAAAACTCCAAGTAAAACTTTAGAATCTTCCTCTCAAACCTTTTAAAGCATTTCTTTCATTGTATTCTAAAGTCAAGTTATTTAAAAGGTTAACAGAGATACTACAGAATTAATTCACCAAAAAACACATAAGCATTTTGCTGAATGTAGTACTGAACTCAAAGATGTACCAACTGTTGAGATGGAGAAAACTACCTCAAAAAGATCAGTATTCCTCGTGTGAATGCTTACTATTTTCCTAAAAGTCACATTCAGGAGTCATATGCAAAGAGAAAATGTGAAGACCTGCTCAAGGACAAATGCATTCTCAGTACTCACTTGTAACAGTCAAGGTAGACATAAAGAAGATGCTGCAGACTGTGCTCCAAACAATAGAGAATGAATTGAGAATGGAAATCCCAACCTTCTTTGGTCTTGTAGTTTTGAACAGGGAGGGTATCCTGTATTACACCTCCAATACGGCTCAGTCTTAGGAGGAAGCATTCAAAGTCTTCCAGTTCAGATGCCAAAAAAACCCCATTCCTATGGACAGATTTATAGGATGTCAAGTTAAAAAGTTGCTATGTTCAGAGTAGACCAAATCATGCCCACAGTTTAGGTCTCAATTACTTAAAAATAAGCATTTACAAATTAATGCTGCCAGTTCTTACTCTATATGTTCTCAGACACATTTTTTGCTGATTTCTAATAAAATTTTCTGCACCACTGTAGTATTTAAAGGTAGCAACGACAGACTCAAGCTATCTTTATTATTTTAAAAACCTAAATCAAGTTATTTCCATTTTTTGGTTTTTGATGGGAGCCATTACCCAGTATAGCAACAGTGGTTAACCCTTGAAGCTAGATGCTCTAAGCACTGAGAAATTCACCAAGATATCCAAACAAAATCATCATGCTACATCAGAATAATTTAAATAGACCTACTGAACAAGAATAGAAATCTGCATGTAAATATTACTTTTTACAAAGTTACTGTTACATCATATATACCAAAGGAGTAAAGAAAATATATACCTGTATATGGAGTTTATAGAAACATCATGGAACCACTAACCTAATTATAGAACATTATAAGCCCTTGGTATATTCCTTCCCAACTGCATGCCCTTTGCTACCTCCAGAGGTAGCCACTATCTTGACTTTTATGATAATCATTCCCATACTTTTTTTTTTTTTTTTTTGGCAGGGTCTTGCTCTGTCGCCTAGGCTGGAGTGCAGTGGTGCCACCTCAGCTCACTGCAAGCTCCGCCTCCTGAGCTCAAGTGATCCTCCTACCTCAGCCATCTGAGTAGCTGGGACGACAGGCATGTGCCACCACACTCAGTTTTTAAATTTTTTGTAGGGACAAGGTCTATGTTGTCCAGGCTGGTCTTGAACTCCTGGACTCAAGCAATCCTCCTGCCTAGGCCTCCCAAAGTGTTGGGATTACAGGTGTGAGCCACTGTGTCTGGCCTTTTTACTTTTATTCATAGTTTTATTACACATATATGCAATCCCAAATAATTTAAGGTTTTACCTATTTTGAACTTTGTATTATGTGGAACATTCTGGATATATTGTTCTCTACCTTATTTCTTCTACCCAACATTGTGTGATTTATCCATGTTGATACCTCTGGGTATAATTTGTTATTTTTCATTATTATATAGTATTCCATTGTATGAATATACCATATTTATCCACTCTACCTTTGAGAAAATTTAGCCATACTTATGATAAAAACTATTGGCAAACTAAGCATAGATGCAAACTCCCTTAACTTTACAAGGGGTATCTAGAAAAATCCTTCTAGCCAACATCATATTTATTAGTGAAACACTGAGGTCCATTTTAGTTGTTCCTAAATTTCGGGTAAAATAAATTTGCATTTCCTTACCTATAAATGAGGAAGAGCATCTTTTCCTATATTGATTAGCCATTTGTGCTTCCTCTTTTGTGAGAAGCCTGTGCTGGTATCCTTCTCCTCAGATCCAAGCTCTACTCTGCGTCACCCTACTCTGTTCCTGGAGGCTCACCTCTATGGGTTCTACTACGAGACCCCAGTGTCCTCAGACTTCTGTTTTAGTTCACTCAATGGGAGGGCTCCATCAGGAGATAAAAGGAAATATCCTGGCTCTCTCTGTGCTGGGTGACTACAGCTTGGCTGACACCCTACACTAAGGGTCACAACTCCTGCCAGGCAGCTCTCTTGGTCTCAGTGCCAGATCTTTGCCCCTTTAGGCCTTTTAGAAAGCATATATCCTACTACTCCCAAGGTTGTGAAGATATTCACTTATAGCATTTTCCATATTTTATACTTTCACATTTGACATTTAGGTGTTAACATCTACCCAGAATTGATGTAATGTACAACACAAGGTAGGGAGGGGAATCTGATTAGATTTTTTTCCCCATATAGCTATTCAGTTATTCTAGCCCCATTGTCAAAAAGATGGTTCTTTCTCCACTCTTGTGCAGGACCACCTCTGTCATATGTAAAATGATCATACAGGTATAGGTCTGTTTCTAGGCTCACACTTCTGTTCTCTACCCCGGCACCAATACTCTGTCTTAACTGCTACAGCTTTAGAATAAGTTTTGATATCTGGTAGGGCAAGTTCTTTTTCAGGGCTCTTCTTAACCCTCTAATTTCTTTTTGTTGTTTTTTTTGAGATGGATTCTCACTCTGTCTCCCAGGCTGGAGTTCAGTGGCTTGATCTTGGCTCACTGCAACCTCCACCTCCTGAGTTCAAGTGATCCTCCTGCCTCAGCCTTCTGAGTAGCTGGGATTACAAGCAAGTGCCACCACGCCCAGCTAATTTTTGTATTTTTAGTAGAGACGATGTTTCATCATGTTGGCCACGCTGGTCCCAAACTCCTGACCTCAACTGATCTGCCTACCTCAGCCTCCCAAAGTGCTGGGATTACAGGTGTGAGCCACCGTGCCCGGCAGACCCTCTAATTTCTATATAAATATTTATGATCGGCATGTCATAATCCACAAAACAAAAAACAAAAAACAAAAAAATAACCGCTGGGATTTTTACTGAGATTACACTATATTTAAAGATCAACTTGGTAAGACTTGATAGCAGGCTTGTCTTGCTCCAAATCTAAAGAGAATGCTCACAATGTTTCACTAGTAAGTATGATGTTGGCTAAAAGGATTTTTCTAGGTACCCCTTTTAAGTTAAGGGAGTTTAGGCCAGGCGCAGTGGCTCACGCCTGTAATCCCAGCACTTTGGGAGGCCAAGGCAGGCGGATCACGAGGTCAGGAGATTGAGACCAATCTGGCTAACATGGTGAAACCTCGTCTCTACTAAAAATACAAAAGAAAAAAAAAAATTAGCCAGGCGTGGTGGCGGGCGCCTGTAGTCCCAGCTACTGGGGAGGCTGAGGCAGGAGAATGAGGAGACCTGGGAGGCGGAGCTTGCAGTGAGCAGAGATAGCGCCACTGCACTCCATCCTGGGCGACAGAGTGAGACTCCATCTCAAAAAAAAAAAAAAAAAAAGGCCGGGCACGGTGGCTCACGCCTGTAATCCCAGCACTTTGGGAGGCCGAGGCGGGCAGAACACGAGGTCAGGAGATGAAGACCATCCTGGCTAACATGGTGAAACCCCATCTCTACTAAAAATAAAAAAAGAAATCAGCCGGGCGTGGTGGTGGGTGCCTGTAGTCCCAGCTACTCTGGAGGCTGAGGCAGGAGAATGGTGTGAACCCAGAAGGCAGAGCTTGTAGTGAGCCAATATCACGTCCCTGCACTCCAGCCTGGGTGACAGCGAGACTCCATCTCAAAAAAAAAAAAAATTAAGTTAACGGAGTTTGCATCTATGCTTAGTTTGCCAAGTTTTGATTGTAAATAGGCTGAATTTTATCAAATGCTTTTCTGTATCTAACAGGGTGGTATGATTTTTCCCCTTTAATCTGGTGGTATAGAGTTCATTAATTTACTAATTTCATAATTCCAAAACCATATATACATTAGTTTAAAAACCAAATGCTAAGCAAAATATTAGGTAAGCACACAAGTTCTATAATATTTACTAGTAGTAAACAAGAGCATTTAGTGCAATGGAGAGAAGAATGAATAGAAAATCAGGGCTAAGGGATTTAAATCTGTAACAAACTGGCTTGGGCAAAGCACTTAACGTCCCTGGATCTGACTCTCCACATCTTTAAGCTGGGGAGGAAAATACAGCTGTAAGTATACCCCAATAAGTGTAAATAGAAAATAATACATAAAAATATGTTTAAGAAACTTAACATACATGTTATTAGCTTTCCTTATACTATTTCAACAGGTTAGAAAGATAGATTAAATGGAGCCGAATGAAATGGTTGATATTCAGTCATTTTTGACCCACACAAATGGCAAGTTCATATGGTTCAATTTAACAGGCTTTTCTAAATGAATTAAAGTTTAAAATCTTCACATCACTTCAAGAGCTACTTCCCCTCATTATTTCTTAATTCAGCAGTTCTCTTAGTTCAAGAACATGCACAACACACATGTAGTGATATGAAGCACAGGAGACAGGATACTAAGGTATCTCCATCTCAGCTCTTGTCACTTGCTCCTTATAGCCCTACTGAAAACTTAACATTTCTATACCAAAGTGCATAAAATGTTTTGGGAGGAACCTGCATCTAGACCTTGAGAGCTTATTTACTACCCACATGATATTAAATGCATATGATTTTTTTTTTTTTTTTTTTGAGACAGAGTCTCACTCTGTTGCCCAGGCTGGAGTGCAATGGCGCAATCTCGGCTCACTGCAACCTCTGCCTCCTGGGTTCAAGCGATTCTCCTGCCTCAGCCTCCCAAGTAGTTGGGAGTACCCGGCATTATGCCTGGCTAATTTTTGTATTTTTGTAGAGACAGGGTTTCACCGTGTTGGCAAGATTTGTCTTGAACTCCTGACCTCAGGTGATCTGCCCGCCTTGGCCTCCCAAAGTGCTGAGATTACAGGCATGAGCCACCGCACTTGGCCAAATGAGTATGATTTTAAAACCTCACTGTAAGATGATGCCCTTTAAATTTTATAGTAATATGAAACAACACTACACTGGATTTATGGCATTTCAAAGGAAAAGCTATACCATTATTTTTTCTTGCTCTTCCCTTGTATTCTTCCCATTGGGTATTAGTTCAACAGTTATAATACCTGGCCAGCTTATCTAAAATTTCATTCCTCATGTAGTTGTTACAGGAAGTATTCTGGTTAATAACATCAACAGTCAGAAGGGGCCATTTGTTCTGCTGAAGTGAAGCATAACTATGCTGGGTTTGAAATTCTCCAATCCATAAGATAATGTTTAACCAATCATGGCGAGCTGTGAGGTATCTCCAGAGGGCTTCAGGGGAATATGATTTGTATTCTACATGAAAAAAAACACATTTTAAAATATAATTAATTATGTCTATTGACATGTAACTCAACACTAAATTACTGAGTAAATATAACAATCTGGACATAGATATTTATACAATATATTAATTATTCAGGTCCTCTGTTTTACTATTTTCCTTTTTTTGAGACAGGATCTCGCTGTGTTGCCCAGGCTGGAGTGCAGTGGTGCACTCGTGGCAGCCTCGACCTCCTGGGCTCAAGTGGTACTCCTACTTCAGCTGCCCAAGTAGCAGGGACTACAGGGATGTGCCATCATGACCAGGTAAATTTTTTTTTTTTTTGAGACAGAGTCTCGCTCTGTAGCCCAGGCTGGAGTGCAGTGGCGCAATCTTGGCTCACTGCAACCTCTGCCTCCCAGGTTCAAGCGATTCTCCTGCCTCGGCCTCCCAAGTAGCTGGGATTACAGGAATGCACCACCACACCCAGCTAATTGTTGTATTTTTAGTAGAGGCGGGGTTTCACAATGTTGGCCAAGCTGGTCTTGAACTCAGGTGATTCGCCTGCCTCAGCCTCCCAAAGTGCTGGGATTATAGGCGTGAGCCACCACGCCCGTCCACCCAGGTATTTTAAAAAATATATATTCTGTAGAGATGGGGGTCTCACTATGTTGCTAGGCTGGTCTTGAACTCCTGGCCTCAAGCAATCTTCTCATCTCGGTTTCCCAAATTTCTGGGATTACAGGTGTGAGCCACCGTGCCTGGCCACATTGTTCATTTTATAATCAATGCTACAGCCAAAGAACTAGATGTAGCTTCTAATTACTCTGGTGGTTAAAATGAAACTTACGTATTAGCTGTACATTTCACTTACCTGTTCAACCCTTTTTTTCCCTTCTCTTTCCCTTAATGTAAATAAAAACTTTGTTTCAGATGGGGAAGGATGAAAAGAAAAAAATAAATTAAAAATAATAAACAAACAAAAACTTCAGCCATAATAGTAAGCCAGAATTTTACTCTCTGAATTGCTACTGTTTACCACTGTTAGTTATGACCCAGATCCCCCATATCAGATGGCATAGATCCCCAATTTACACAAGAAGCTCAAGACTATTTGAAAAAACAGATTGTCACTTTGAAGCTGGAATGAAAACTCAGCCTTGAAATCTCAATTAACTATTTTTTTCTTTTATTAGCACATTATAAATCCCTCCCAGAAACTCTGAGATAAGAAAGAGATCTTAATGCAACGACTTGCATTTTAAAGAACCTGAATATTATTTCCCGAAAGGAATTCTAAAATTGAGACACATCAAAATATTCAAATATCAATACCCAATTTAATCCTCATTCAGTATGTTCATATTTCAGGCTCTCTCACACTTGCCTTCTGGACTTATCCTGGGGAGAAGGATGGATTCTTGTGTTAGTTGATCCCACCACAGAGCCCAATTTAACACAATTCTATGGTCCTGTTTGTTAAATTCATCTTTACAATCATATTTCAGGAATGAGTCCAAAACAGACTTGTGCTTGAAAAAATCTTGTTCCTTTATCCAGTACCTAAAAACAGTGATATAAATTTTTTTTTTTTTAATTTTGGAGAAAAAGGCATCATTCCTTTTTATCTGCTCAAGAACATCCACTCTTTTGGGGAACACATAATTCTGATTATGCAAATATTAAAATGACAGAAAACTCTCGAGTCCCTTCTGTCTGATACAAGTTTTATCTCCAAGGAGAATGCAGGCTCAGTTCCACATAAGAAACTTGTGTTCACTAACAACTATAAATGAAATACTATCTAACGGTATTCTAATATTATCAAAAGAGGACTAATGAGACTACCTGGGAAATGACTGGATTTGCATATTTTCTTGGAAATGTCCCAAATAAAGCTTCTCAACTTGATGCACGAAGTCTATAGTTCTTTTCTCTTTTTCAGAAAAATAATTTTTTTCTTTTAAAATTTCAACCTTGAATAAAAAGTAATTAAAGCAGTGACTTTACAAAAAATCAAGCACTTTTGCAAAAAATGTCATGAGATTATCAAATAAGGTAGTGCTGGGAATTAAAGATTATTAAAAAAAGTCATGAGATAATATGCCATTCAAGAATTATATTTTGAACATTTGAGTTAATGTATGTTAACACAAATTTTCTTTTGCCACAAATGTAAAATAGTCATTGAAGAAAGATGAAGGGGAAAAAAAGATGAAGGGGTTGTCACACTTTTACTTATTAGATATTAGTTGAACATTAAAATTACTTAAGGTTTTTCTTCCAAGGTTTTCTTCCAAGTTTTTCACCCAGGCTTTCTAGAAAATGTATACTATGTAGTCTCACCTTTACCTACCAAAAAGTCACGTATATTTTTATTAGTTGTATAGAAGCAGATCTTGAGCAATTGGCCTTTTACATCAAACCCCTAAAATAAACATAGAAAACCAAAAAAAGTTACATTTTGTAATGGAACTATTTTGAACATAAATATGTGTTAGATACAGAAACACCCTATTATAAACATCTATCTTGTTAGAATTCCATAGCTTTCTGCTCTTTCAAACACTCATTTCCCTACTTTCTTTTTTCTTTTTGAGACAGTCTAGCTGTGCTGCCTAGGCTGGAGTACAGTGGTGTGATCACAGCTCACTGCAGCCTCGACCCCCAGGCTCAAAGCGATCCTACCAACTCAGCCTCCCAAGTAGCTGGGGCTACAGGTGTGCATCACCATGCCTGGCTAATTTTTGTATTTTTTGTAGAGATGGGATTTCTTCCTGTTGCCCAGGCTGGTCTTGAACTCCTAGGCTCAAGTGATCCTCCTGCCTCAGCCTCCCAAGGTGCTAGGATTACAGGCATGAGCCACCCTGCCTGGCCCTCCTACATTCATTATATGTATTTACTGCCTATCCCTAAAGTCCTTAAGCATTTTGTCAGAGCAAAGGCAGCACACAGAACAATTTAAGGCAATGCTAGGCTACCACAGGACCAAAATGACAGCAATCTGGTATGCTGATTCAAGTGGAAACAATGATCAATGCAAACAACATCCCTTTTACACAGTTCCACTCCTCTGCACCTCCTGAAAGTTACCATGGGCAAGACCCCAACCATGCAGGTTAGGGCTAGATCTCAGCTTAGTCTAGGAGCCCTACTTCTAAGGCTTCCCCTTCTCATATGAAGTAAAACCACAGAGCATAAAGCCCAGCAAAGGCATAATTTATTAGAAAGTTCAAGTGGAGATGTTAAGGGGTCACATGAACAATACAGAATGTCCTCCAACAAATAATGAGCTCCTATGCATGCTTCGACAAGTGTGAAGTCTTCTATGAGAAACACTATCTCCTCCTAATCAAAGTGCCAGGTCTAACAGAGTACTTTTCTTTTCTTTTTCTTTTTTTTTGAGACAGGGTCTCGCTCTGTCACCCAGGCTGGATGGAATGCAGTGGTGTGATCTCAGGTCACTGCAACCTCTGCCTCCCGGGTTCAAATGATTCTTGTGCCTCAGCCTCCCGAATAGCTGGGATTACAGGCATGCATCACCCACCTGGCTAATTTTTGGCCTTTTTAGTAGAGACAGCATTTACCACGTTGGCCAGACTGGTCTCAAACTCCTGCTTCAAAAGTGATCTGCCCATCTCGGCCTCCAAAATTGCTGGGATTACCGGTGTGAGCCACTGCACTCGGCTCAGAGAGTACTTTTAAATGCCATTTAAAAATCTCTTCAAGAGATATGGAAATAACCTAAGTGTCTATCAACAGATGAATGGATAAAGAAAATGTGGTGTATATATACAAAGGAATATTATTTGGCCTTAAAAAAAAAAAAAGAAAGGCCAAGTATGTTGGCTCATGCCTATAATCTCTGCACTTTGGGAGACCAAGGCAGGAGGATTGCTTGAGCCCAAGAGTTCGAGACCAGCCTGGGCAACATAGTGAGACCCTGTCTCTACAAAAAAAGAAAAAAAAAAGAGAGAGAGAGAGGAAAACCTGCAATTTTAAACAACATGGCTGAACCTGGAAGATATTATGCTAAATGAAATAAGCCAGACAAAGAAAGACAAATTCTTCATGCTCTCACTTATATATGGAATCTAAAAAAAAGCTGAACTCACAGTAATAGAGAGTGGAATGATATTACCAAGGACTGTGGGGTAGGGGAAAGGAGTAGATATTGGTCAAAAGGTACAAACTTTCAGATATAAGATAAATAAGTTCTGGAGACCTATGTACAGCATAGTAACTAAAGTTAATAATAATACATTGTATACTTGAAATCTGTTGAGAGTAGATCTCAAGTGTTCTCACCATATAGACACACATAACTATGTGAGGTGATATATTAATTAGCTTACTTGTGGTAATTTTTTCACAATGTACATACATATCAAAACATCATATTGTATACCTTAAATACATGTAATTTTTGTCACTCATACCTAAATAAAATTAGGGGGAAAATATCTTCAAGAAAGTTCTCAGGCCAGGCACGGTGGCTCACGCCTGTAATCCCAGCACTTTGGGAGGTCGAGGCAGGTGGCTCACCTGAGGTCAAGAGTTCGAGACCAGCCTGACCAACATGGAGAAACCCCGTCTCTGCTAAAAATACACAAAATTAGCCAGGCATGGTGGCGCATGCTGTAAACCCAGCTACTCAGGAAGCTGACGTAGGAGAATCGTTTGAACCTGGGAGGTGGAAGTTTTGTGAGCCAAGATCGCACCATTGCACTGCAGCCTAGGCAACAAGAGTGAAACTCTGTCTCAAAAAAAAAAAAAAAAAAGCTCTCAGTACCAAAACATTTCTCAGTGTTATTTCTCTTTTAGATTTAGAGACAGGGTCTTGCTCTGTTACCAGCTATTTTTAGGTGCAATCATAGTTCACTGCAGCCTAGAACTCCTGGAGATCCTCCTGCCTCAGCCTTCTGAGTAGCTAGGACTACAGGTGTGCTATGGTTTGGATCTGTGCCCCTGCCCAAATCTCATGTTGAATTGTAACCCCCAATGTTGGAGGAGGGGCCTGTTGGGAGGTGACTGGATCATGGGGGCGGATTTCCCCCTTGCTGTTTTTGTGATAGGAAGTAAGTTCTCACGATATCTGGTTGTTTAAAAGTGTGTAGCACCTCCCCACTGCTCTCTCTTCCTCTTTCTCCTGCCATGTAAGACAGGCCTGCTTCCCCTTCATCTTCTGCCATGACTGTAAGTTTCCTGAGGCCTCCCCAGCCATGCTTCTTGTATAGCCTGTGGAACTGTGAGCCAATTAAACCTCTTTTCTTTCTAAATTACCCAGTCTCAGGTAGTTCATTATTATTTATTTAGTTACTTTTTGAGATGGAGTCTTGCTCTGTTGCCCAGGCTGGAACGCAGTGGCACCATCTTGGCTCACTGCAACCTCTGCCTGCTGGGTTCAAGCAATTTTCCCTGCCTCAGCCTCCCCAGTAGATGGGATTACAGGCGCCCGCCACCACACCCGGCTTATTTTTCTACTTTTAGTAGAGACGGGGTTTCGCCATGTTGGTCAGGCTGGTCTCAAACTCCTGACCTCAGGTGATCAACCCACCTCAGCCTCCCAAAGTGCTGGGATTACAGGCGTGAGCCACCACGCCCGGCTCAGGTACTTCTTTATAGCAATATGAGAATGGACTAATACAAGGTACAAGGTGTAAGCCACCACGTCCTTTTTATTTTTTTTAGAGACAGGGTCTTGCTATGTTGCCCATGCTGGTATTGAATTCCTGGCCTTAAGCGATCTTCTTGCCTCAACCTCCCAAAGCACTGGGATTATAGACATGAGCCACCACACCCAGCCATTCTCAGTGTTATTAATGTCATTATTTCTTAGTGTCATTATTTACTACATAAATTTCTTAGTTTATGAAATAATTATGAATACAAACCAATTTTATAATAACTAGAAATTATATTAAATACATTTTAAGACTTTATGGATTACACCACTCACCATATTCTTCAAAAGTTCAGAGGCTTCCTTTATATTGTTCTTTTTTAAATTGTCAAAGACCAAATTTAGGCCTATGCCAATAAGCTCCTCAAGTTTTTGAGCAGAATGACTATCAATCCTGAAGAAAGTCTGTGCCTCTGGTATTTTGTTGTTTAAAATGGCGCTGGCAATAACTTCCTAGGAAAAGAAAAACGTTTGCCTTTTAAGTTCTTTTTCATTTCCTTATTATGATTATCAACATGGGATTATACATTTATGTAACATCTAACAAAGGAACTTTTATTTAAAATCTATTACTAGATTTGGAGTTAGGTTCAAGGGATATTAAATTGAGTAAAACTAAGACCCTACACTCCAGGAGCTAGTGGAAGACACACCGATTATAGTACTGTATGATAAGGGCTGTGATAAAAGTAACCCAGGGTGCTAGAGAGGAAGGTCTAGAAGAGAAACACCTAAATAAGAAGGATGACCACCCCCACCCCCGTGTCCCCCCACATAGGCTTGCTAGTAGAAGTAACTAGTAACTGATGGGCAAAAAATTTAAAGACCAGTAAGTGTTCCGTAGATATACTGAGATAAGAGGATAAGTGTTCCAAAAAGAGGGAATATCATATGCAGAGGGACAAAGAAAAGAAACTGCATCAAGCCTTCAGGGAACTACAAATTACTCAATGTAACTGGAGAGAGTAGCAGATGAGACTTGAAAGCAAAGCAGAGGATCCATCATCATGAGCCTTGCGTTTGAGGTAGATTTTATCCTGAAACTACGTGGAGCCACTGAAAGACCGTAAAAGCAAGATGTGATGTAATCAGATATATATTTACAGAAAAATATCCAGGCAGCAATATAGAGAGTGGACTAAAAGTGATTCAAGCTCAAGATATTGAGGCATTAGAAGGCTACTACCAATAATCCATGTGAAAAGAAATACTTAAACTGAAGATCTAAACACTAGAGGGAACAGAAAGGAGGCACTCTTAACCTAGGGCTTTAAAGAGATCTGTAAACCCCATTAAGCCATGTATAAAATTTTGTCTATGTGTACACATTCACATGCCTGTTTTTGAAGACAGGGTCTACAATTTTTACCAGAGTAAAATATAACCCCTTCCCCTGGCAAAAGTTGAAAATCAGTGATTTTGAGTAAAAAGAGGACCATAGACAGAGCCTTGCAGAACATTAAAGGAGGGAAACAGGAAGAGAAATCTGTGAAGGAGACAGGAAAAAGGAGACAAAAAAGTAGAAGGAAAAGTAAGTAATTTTTTTTTTTTTTGAGACAGAGTCTCGCACTGTCACCTGGGCTGGAGTGCAGTGGTGCGATCTCAGCTCACCGCAACCTCCACCTCCCGGGTTCAAGCAATTCTCCTGCCTCAGCCTCCCGAGTAGCTGGGATTACAGGCGCCTGCCACCACACCTGGCTAATTTTTTTGTATTTTTAGTACAGACAGTGTTTCACCATTTGGTCAGACTTGTCTTGAACTCCTGACCTTGTGATCTGCCTGCCTCGGCCTCCCAAAGTGCTGGGATTACAGGCGTGAGCCACCGTACCCGGATAATTTCTTACTTTTTAAGGTTACAGAATGAATAAGAGATACAGAAAATGCAGTCACACCACGTACTTTAATCCCTCCACCCCAAGAACAGCAATCTTAACAACCTAGCAGCATCTCCATCTTATCACTTTAATTCCCAATTGATTATGATCATCTGTGTTAAGCTGTTTTAGCTTTTGTTTTTCCAATACCAATACCCTCCAGTGGATGAAGGAATTCTTCCAGTCCCTAAGTCATACAGATGGTAGTAAATTTTAGTTGTATTATAACTTTTACTGTGGTGGGAAAAAAGGCAAACAGATGGAAACAAATTTAACTGGCAAAATGTCTTAAATAGAATTTCAGATAGGACTAAAATTAAGTATACTTCTAAGTAATAATGTCATAAAATAAAAATTTCCAAAGATCTAATCATCAGCAGCAATTCAATTTATCCAGTCAGGCAGAATGCATGTGTCCAAAGCACCAGGCTTGAGCCAATGAGGGAGTATTGCTAAGGAGTACCACTTCACATGGGTTTAGAGTTGGGTGTTTGTTACTGAACCCAAGTGGGCAGATCTAGCATTAAGAGGGAGCCTACCCTTATAGCGAATTAAATAAATGGAGCTTGTAGACATAAATTTGAAGTCATAATCAGAAATCCCCAAACCGATAAAACCTAAAACCTTTGCCAAACATTCTGAATCACAAGTATATAGAGTCTGAATTCTGTTTCTTTCTATTGTTTTCTCAGACCTTCTGAATCTGGCAAATAAAAGAAGTGATGATTATTCGTACTTACCTCAAAGCTGAGTTTCTTCCATATATTGCTCTCCTTTACTTTGGGGACATTTTCATGTACATCATATTCATCTATAGCATCTGTTAGCTTCCAAGGAAACTTTATCATGAAGGTTCGAAGTTCATTAATGTAGCTAGTCAAAATGTTCACTCCTTTTTGCAGATGTTCATCTAGTTCTATGGAAAATACCAATGTGCCAATTTGTGTGTGTGTGTGTAAATATAAACCATGAGCTGTTATAAAGAATTCTAAAGAAAGTCAAAATTCAAACTTGGTATTTTTAAATTTCAAACAATATGTCTGAGGATTTTCCTTTTTACAAGTAAGTAGCTCTGTATTTTAATATAACCCTTTCCTTTTCTTGTCCTTCATGATTAGTCCTGGGTCTTTCTACCAACTTTCTCAGTATCAAAACCCATTTCACTTACTCAACTACACACTGACCTTACCCAAATGTAGTAAATGGCGTGCCACTGGTTTATGCTGTGTCACCCAATAGCAGCACTTGTATCTGTTCTGACACAGGAACAGTAGAATTGCCCCCTTCCTAGCTGCTATTCTTACCTTCAGTGTGAATGAAAAGCTCCTTTATTTGGTTGTTAAGGAAAGACAGTGTAAGATTAAGCAATTGTTCTGAAAAGTGTTTGCTTTGGGGTTCAGAATAACTTTCTCTAATTGCCGAGCAAAGTAAATCCAATGCTGGTATCAGCTCTTCCACATCTGAGAAAGAACCAAAGAAATTAACATAAAGAACACCAGGATACTCACAATAAAATTAACATATCAAAAATATCATGTTACAATATTTTTAAACATAAAACAAGGACCAATGTCTTATTTTCAAAAAGCTCACAAAACTTTTCTGCAGGCTTATTACCTGCAAACTTTAATGATTCTAATTATTAATAGTTATCATTTACTGATATCACTGCTATTACCCTTTTGCTGACCACCTACATCTTAAGTACTGTACTTGTTGTTTTATAAATGCTATCTCATTTATTCCTTTCAACAACTTAAGAGGTAGGTGTGTATTATATTCTCTTTCCATAGATTAAAAAAACTGAGGTTCAGAGAGGATAAGTAACTTGCCCGAGCTAATTTAGAAAGTAAGTGGCAGGGCCGGGCGCAGTGGCTCATGCCTATAATCCCAACACTTTGGGAGGCCAAGGCAAGCAGATCACTTGAGGTCAGGAGTTCGAGACCAGCCTGGCCAACATGGTGAAACCCCGCCTCTACTAAAAATACAAAAATTAGCCAGGCGTGCTGGCAGGTGCCTGTAATCCCAGCTACTCAGGAGGCTGAGGCAGAAGAATTGCTTGAACCCGGGAGGCGGAGGTTGCAGTGAGCCAAGATTGTGCCACCGTACTCCAGCAGCCTGGGCAACAGAGTGAAAAAAGAAAAAGTAAGTGGCAGGGCCAAAATTTGAATTTAAGCCTGTCTGATTGCAAAGCTATTCTGTGCTAAACATTCAAGTGAAAACAAGAAGTGTGGGCCCCTGGATGTTGCATCGGCAGCTGAAGGCTCTAATTAAGTGATTCCTGTTTGTCTCAGCACTCCTCCCGCTGCCCCCCGTGGATTACATCTGTGAGATGTATGAGAATTATGGGAAACGGGTTTTCCCCCTAGGGGAGCAGGTAAGGCTATTACCAGTGCTTCTCATTCAGGTCCCATCTCCACCCTTTAGAGCTGAGCAGTGCAGGTGAGAGTGGAATGAGGAGAAATCACTAACCACCAAACAACAGAAGTGAATAATGACTCTACAACTGCTGATGGAGCCCTGCTCAATATCAAAAACTAGGCCTTTTTCTATAAATTTAAGCAGTTTTTAAAACATCAGAGCATTAGAAAAGCTGGCAATTCAAGAAAGAGGAGACCAAACTCTGCACTCAAAACAAAATAGAATGTGTGTTTTTGTTTTTGTTTTTTTGAGACGGCGTTTCACTTGTCCTCCAGGCTGGAATGGAATGGAGCGATCTCGGGTCACTGCAACCTCCGCCTCCTCCCTTCAAGCGATTCTCCTGCCTCAGCCTCCCGAGTAGCTGGGATTACAGACATGCACCACCACACATGGCTAATTTTTGTATTTTTAGTAGAAATGGGGTTTCACCACGTTGGTCAGGCTGATCTCGAACTCTTGACCTCATGATCCACCCATCTCGGCCTCCCAAAGTGCTGGGATCATAGGCGTGAGACACTGCACCCAGTCTGAGAATGTGTTTTTAAAAGAAAATATCTTTCCACCACATATGAGATTTAGGAAGAAAAAAAAGAAAACATCCAATTCATTTTCTCAGTGAAAGCTAATACTACATCAGTGGAAAAACAGCAGGTTGTAATTTTCTCCATGTAAGCAGACTACAAATTGATACAACTTTTGAAGGACAATTTATCAAGGTGTTTAAAAATATAAATTGTGCATACTCTTAAACCTGGAAATTCCAGGTCTAGAATTTAACAATAAATTCTAGTAATATAAGTAAATGATTATATATATGTGAAATTACACACACATACAGCATTTCTAGCACACTGTTAACAGCTAAGAACTAGAATAAATCTAAATGTCTAACAGGAGTTTGGCTTGGTAAATTATGGTACAGCCCATACAATGAAATTCTATGTCATCATATTTAGTAAGTATATATTATTAACAAGAAAGATGTCTATAGTATAAAGTGGGGAAAAAACACAGATTATAAAACCGTATTTACAGAGTGTCAAAGGACAAAATTACAACAAATTTAGATTAAAGATCTCAATTGGTTTTATTGCAACTCTAGAATGTGGCAACACTTAATTTCATAACATGGAAAAGGTGTTCTAGTGAGCTGAGCAGAAGGGGTTGGCTTTATAGACATGGAAGAGCTGAAGAAAGCAGAAGCAAAGAAAAAAGAGCATATTAGTTGTTTCAAAGCTACTTTTTTTGTAAGATGAAGAGAGACAGAATAATACAAAAAATACTGATTATTTAACATGAAACTGCATCAGGCTTTTTTTTTTTTTTTCAATTAAAAATAGAGGCTGAGTCTCACTATGTTGCCCAGGCTGGTCATGAACTCTTGGTCTCAAGTGATCCTCCCGCCTGGGCCTCCCAAAGTGTTGGGATTATAGGTGTGAGCCACTGCACCCAGCTTTTTTTTTTTTTTTTTTTTTTTGAGACAGAGTCTCACTCTGTTGCCCAGATTGGAGTGCAATGGCGTGATGACGGCTCACTGCAGCCTCAACCTCCCAGGCTCAAGCAATCCTCCCACCTCCCTTTCCTGAGTAGCTGAGACCACACATGCACACCACCACGCACAGCTAATTTTTAAATTTTTTGTAGAGGTAAGGTTTCACTATGTTACCCAGGCTAGTCTCAAACTCCTGGGCTCAAGAGATCCTCCCGCTTCAGCCTCCCAAAGTGCTGGAATTACAGCCATGAGCCACTGCACCTGGCCTACATTACTTCTTTTACATAAGGATTATATCAGAGGAACGTCATTATCACGCTGATTGAAGATTGAAACTGGACTGTTTGGGATTATTGGCTCTCTCCTAATTTCTCCCAATGTCAGAAGACCACCTTATTTTAAGTTTGATGCTATGGAACTTTAGCATAGTTGACTCCATTTTGATTTCTGTTCTGGTCTGATGGGGCCTAGTACAGCTCACACCAAAACAATGGTTTCCAGTAATTTTTATTTAACAAGGGGAAAATATACTTTATTACCCTGTTGTTCTAAGGAGAGAATTTACATGGCTACCTGGTCTAAGAATAAAAGTTAGGCTTCCTATTTATTAAAAAGGAAAGCCAAAATCTTGAAAAGTGTTGGTAATATGGCAAAAAAGCAGAGAAGTCTGGGTGAATTTTTTTTTTTTTTTTGAGAGTCGTACTTTGCAACCAGGCTGAAGTGCAGTGGCACAATCATAGATCACTGCAGCCTAGACCTCCCAGACTCAAGCAATCCTCAGCCTCAGCCTTCCAAGTAGTTGGGACTATGGATGCGTCATCATGCCCAACTAATTTTTAAAATTCTTTTGTAGAATGGGGTCTTGCTATGTTCCCCAGACTGGTCTCAAACTCCTAGACTCAAGCGATCCTCCCACCTTGGCCCCTAAAGTGTTAGGATTACAGGGCGAGCCACTGCATCCCACCAAAAATTCTTATAACAAATCCTAATCCACAACTCAGAAAGCCACACTGTCAATACACATCTCAGATGGTTGCAAGGGCAGGCAATTTTCCAAATAAATGTTTTTCTGTTGTGTATAAAACTGTCTTGAATTTGAAAGATTGCCTCTTCCTTGCATAATAAAAATACAGAGTACAGTAAAAGATATGAGCAATAAATACCCCACATAGTATGGGGACATTTATAGAATCTGATAACACTGCCAAATTTCCACAAAGTTGTCCAGGCATGGTGGCTCACGCCTGTAATCCCAGCACTCTGGGAGGCAGAGGATTGTTTGAGCCCAGGAGTTTGAGACCAGCCTGGCAACACAGTGAGACCCCATTCTCTACAAAGAATAGCTGAGTGTGGTGGCATACACGTGTAGTCCCAGCTACTGTAGTAGGCTGAGGTGGGAGGACTGCTTGAGTCCAGGAGGTGAGGCTGCAGTGAGCTGTCATCACCGCACTCCAGCCTAGGCAACAGAGTGAGACTCTGTCTCAAAAAAAAAAAAAAAAAAAAAAAAAAAAAAAAAAAAAAGAAAGTTTCCAAAAAGTACGTAAAATCCCATGACTAAGTTTTGGCAAGTAAATGAGTCATCAGAAAACACAACATCATACTTTGAAAGTTATTAAGAAGATCAAATGATAAATACAAATGTAGAAATCTTTATTCCACTTACTTCTTAAATATAAATGGGATGACAAGTGATCAAACTGATCAGATACAGAAGATTTTGAGGATGGATTAAAAAGATTTTCCTTGCTCTTCAAAAAGAAATTTACTGTGTCCAGCTGACGATTTTCTATCCCGGCCTGAAATGAGGAGGAAAATAAAAATCAGAAAAAAATTACAATAGGAAAAAAAAATCAGGATTCAGATTTTTAAACAAACTTTAGAATTTAATGTGGTGAGACTACAGGAGGCAAAAGACTGCATGAGTACATGGGCTCCAGTGAGGATTTTGACAATGACTGATTATGCAATCTGGGGCAAGACTCTGTAACCTTTCTTTTCCTTTCTTTTTTTTTTTGAGTCAGAGTTTTGCTCTTGTTGCCCAGGCTGGAGTGCAATGGCATGATCTTAGCTCAATGCAACCTTTATCTCTCAGGTTCAAGAGATTCTCCTGCCCCAGCCTCCCAAGTAGTTCGGATTACAGGTGCCCGCCACCATGTCCGGCTAAATTTTGTATTTTTAGTAGAGACAGGGTTTCACTGTGTTGGCCAGGCTGGTCTCGAACTCCTGACCTCAAATGATCCACCTGCCTTGGCCTCCCAAAGTGCTGG
This sequence comes from Homo sapiens, assembly GCF_000001405.40. Classification (NCBI taxonomy): domain Eukaryota; kingdom Metazoa; phylum Chordata; class Mammalia; order Primates; family Hominidae; genus Homo; species Homo sapiens. The sequence goes on from NC_000015.10 coordinate 44,634,109, forward strand.
GATTACAGGTACAAGCCACTGCGCCTGGCCCAATTTCTGCTTCAATAGAAACAGGAGGTTATTAGACTACAAAACCTTTTCAGCTCTACCATTTTATATTTCTACAACAATTCAAAGCTAAATATTAGGGATTACCCTTACAATTCAGTTATATTCTATTTGAATTAAAATGTTATGGCAGTACAATATAAAGTCCTACTCTGTCACCCAGGCTGAGGTACAGTGGCATGATCTCACCTCACTGCAACCTCTGCCTGCCCAGCTTAAGTGATTCTCGTGCCTCAGCCTCTGGAGTAACTGGGACTACAGGCATGCACCACCACACCCAGCTGATTTTTTTTTTTTTTTTGTATTTTTAATAGACGGGTTTCACTGCGTTTGGCTAGGCTAGTCTCGAACTCCTGGCCTAGAACAATGCACCCAACTCGGCCTCCGAAATTGCTGGGATTACAGGCATGAGCCACTGCGCCCAGCCAGATTCTCAGTTGTCTTTTTTGAGGCAGAGTCTTGCTCTGTCGCCCAGGCTGGAGTGCAGTGGTTTCATCTTGGCTCACTGCAATCTCCGCCTCCCAGGTTCAAGTGATCCTCCCACCTCAGAGTCCCAGGTAGCTGGGATTACAAGTCTGAACCACTACACTCAGCTAATTTAACAGAAACGGGGTTTCACCATGATGGCCAGGCTGGTCTCAAACTTCTGACCTCAGGTGAGGATCCTCCCGCCTAGGCCTCCCAAAGTGCTGGAATTACAGGCATGAGCCATCGCACCTGGCTGCATTCTATATTTTTAATAAACAAAAATAAAATAAACATTTTTTTTTTAAGTATGATGGCCAGGTGTGGTGGCTCATGCCTGTAATCCCAGCTTGGGAGGTCGAGGCAGGTGGATCAGCTGAGGTCAGGAGTTCGAGACCAGCCTGGCTAACACGGTGAAACCCCATTTCTACTAAAAATACAAAAATTAGCCAGGTGTGGTGGCAGGCACCTGTACTCTCAGCTACTCAAAAGTCTGGGGCAGGAGAATCGCTGGAACCCGGGAGGTGGAGGTTGTGGTGAGCCAAGATCATACCACTGCACTCCAGCCTGGGCAGCACAGCAAGATGCTGTCTCAAAAAACAAAAACAAAAACAAAAGAGCATGTGGCCTGAGAAGCCTAAAATATTTACTGTCTGATCCTTTACAAAGTTGTTGGGGCACAGTGGCTCATGCCTGCAATCCCAGCACTTTCGGAGGCTGAGGCGAGAAGACTGCTTGAGCCCAGGAGTTTGAGACCAGCCTGGGCAACATAGTGAGACCTTGTTTCTAAAAAGGTTTTAGTAAAGACCTTGTCTCTACTAAAAAAAATTAAAAAGTAGCTGGGTGTGGTGGCGCACACCTGTAGTCCTAACTACTGGGGATGCTGAGGCAGGAGGGTGTCTTGAGCCCAAGAAGTTGAGGCTGCAGTGAGCTGTGATTGCGTCACTGTACTCCAGCCTATGCAACCCTGTCTCAAAAAAAAAAAAAAAAAAAAAAAAAGAAAAAAGGAAAAAAGCCGGGTATGGTGGCTCACTCCCATAATCCCAGCATTTTGGGAGGCTGATGAGGGTGGATCACCTAAGGTCAGGAGTTCAAGACTAGCCTGACCAATATAGTAAAACCCTGTCTTTACTAAAAATACAAAAATTAGCTGGGTGTGGTGGTGTGCACCTGCAGTCCCAGCTATTTGGGAGGCTGAGACAGGAGAATTGCTTGAACCTGGCAGGCGGATGTTACAGTGAGCCGAGATTGCGCCATTGCACTCCAGCCTGAGTGACAGAGTGAGACTCCACCTATAAAAAAAAAAAAAGAAAGAAAAATTTGCCACCCTTAGCATAAAGCAGTGTGCATAAGAATCACCTGGAGAATTTGTCAAGCTGTGGACTGCAAAACCCTGCCCCTAGACCTTCTAATTCAATAGATATTGGGAGGGGCCTGACAATTTGCATTTCTAATCTACAGGTCATGGTGAGCTGCTGGTCCAGAAACCAGATTTTGAGAGCCAATGGGCCAAAGTTCTGGGTGTTAATATACCAAGGCAGGTGAGACATATTGGTGGGAGTTATGTTGGAGGAAGAAAAAACAGGACAAACCTAGGGTCCATGTGAGGTGACACCCGCCAAAAAAAGATAAACTAGAAAAAATTATTGGCCCGAGAGGAGACTATAAACAAACTATGCCTTCGTTCTGAGTGATGGGAGTAAAAACTAAATTATCAATGAATAGAATATTCTTGTTCTTATGATATATATACTAAAGTACTTAGAGTGAAGGATTATAAAGTTTGCAACTTTAAAATGGTTAAGAAAAAAAAAAAGGTACAATTAAAACAAATGTGGTTTCATCCTGGCTACCATGGTGAAACCCCGTCTCTACTAAAAAATACAAAAAATTAGCCGGGCGTGGTGGCGGGCGCCTATAATCCCAGCTACTCAGGAGGCTGAGGCAGGAAAATAGCGTGAACCTGGGCGGCGGAGCTTGCAGTGAGCCGAGATCGTGCCACTGCACTCCAGCCTGGGCAACAGAGTGAGACTCTGTCTCAAAAAAAACAAAAAAACAAATGTGGTTTGGGAGAAAGGCAGGTCACTTGAGGTTAGGAGTTTGAGACCAGCCTGGCCAACATAGTAAAACCCCACCTCTACTAAAAATACAAGAATTAGCCAGGCGTGGTGGTGCACACCTGTAATCCCAGCTACTTGGGAGGCTGAGAGAGGAGAATCGCTTGAACCCAGGAGGCAGGGGTTGCACTGAGCAGAGATCGCATCATTGCACTCCGGTGTGGGCAACAGAGCAAGACTCCATCTCAAAAAAAAAAAAAAAAAAAAAAAAAAAAAAAACAAAAAAAAAACACAAATGTGGTAAAATGTTAATAGTTGGTGAACTAGGTGAAATTTAACTTAATGTTCATTTTACTAATTTTTGAAGTTTTTCTATAGATTTACAAATTTTCAAAATCACACATATAAAAACAATGCAAAATAGTAATTCTAAAAATAAAAATTTAAATTAGAAACAGATGTGTTTAATAGCAGATTAGACACAGGTGAAGAAAGAATTAGTGCACTGGGAGATATGAAGAAATTATCCACAATGTACCAACGTCTCATAGTGGTTAAGAAGGATTGAGCAAAGTGTCAACAGTCTAACTACTTCTGATTGAAAGACCAATGTGACAAATGGAAGATACATTTTGTTTTCCCTTTTTTCTTTGGAGACAGGATCTCACTCTGTTGCCCAGGCTGGAGTGCAGTTCCTCAAGCTCACTCAGTGCAACCTCCACCTCCTGGGTTCAAACGATTCTCCTACCTCAGCCTCTCAAATAGCTGGGACTATAGGTGTGAGCCACCATACCCGGCTAATTTTTTTGTATTTTTAGTAGAGATGGGGTTTGGCATGTTAGCCAGGCTTGTCTCAAACTCCTGGCCTCAAGTGATCTGCGCACCTCGGCCTCCCAAAGTGGATTACAGGTGTGAGCCACTGTGCCTGGGTTGGAAAATACATTTTCAATTTTCAAGCACATGGAACTTTTATTAAAACTGAGTAGTCATGTGCCACATAACAATATTTCACTCAACAACAGGCTACATTTACAATGGTGGTTCCCATAAGATTATCATAGAGCTGAAAATTCCTACAGCCTATTATTTACTATGCTATACTTTCGTTATTTTAGAATGTACTCCTTATTTCTTTTTTAAGCTGGCTATAAAACAGCCCCAGGTAAGTCCTTCACGGTATTCCAGAAAAAGGCATAGGAGACGATAGCTCCATGCATGTTACTGCCTCTGAAGATTGTCTTGTGGGACAAGATGTAGAGGTGGAAGACAGTGATATCGATGATCCTAGGCCTAGGATATGTATGTGTTTGTGTCTTCATTTTCAGCAAAAAGTTTAAAAAGCAAAATAAATGGTGAAAAATGAACCTAAATACATAATAATGTCTAATGTGGTTAAAAAAATAAAACACAACAATAACATGAATAGGCTATGAGTAAATGAAGTTAAAGCATTCAACGGACCTGTATTATTCAAAACAATTAGTTATTAACTGTAGATCTGAGCTGGGTGTGGTGGCTCACGCCTGTAATCCCAACACTTTGGGAGGTCGAGGCGGGTGGGTCACTTGAGGTTGGGAGTTCAAGAGCAGCCTGCCCAACATGGTGAAATGCCTCTACTAAAAATACAAAAAATTAGCTAGGCATGGTGGCAGGCGCCTGTAATCCTAGCTACTCAAGAGGCTGGGGCACAAGAATCGCTTGAACACAGGAGGTGGAGGCTACGGTGAGCCAAGATCGTGCCACCTGCACTCCAGCCTGGGCGACAGAGCAAGACTCCATCTCAAAACAAACAAACAAACAAACAACAAAAAAAACCACAAAACCCCCCCCCCCAACACACACAACAAAAAAACAAACTTTAGATCTGATAATTTAAGTATGTACATTATATTTCCTAGGATAGCTTCTTAAAGAACAGAAAGTGAATAATTTCTAAACTAGTTTAGGGCACAAAGGAGCTCCTGGAGTGCTTATGATGTTTTATTTCTTCACCTGGATGGTGGTTACAAGAGTTTTTGCTTGATAATTATTTGTTGGCCAAGTGCAGTGGCACACGCCTGTAATCCCGGCACTTTGGGAAACCGAGGTGGGTGGATCACCTAAAGTTTGGAGTTCAAGACCAGGCTGGCCAACATGGGGAAACCCCACCTCTATTAAAAATACAAAAATCAGTTGGGCGTGGGGGTGCATGCCTGTAATCCTAGCTACTAAGGAGGCTGAGGCAGGAGAATCGCTTGAACCCGGGCTGTGGAGGTTTCAGTGAGCCAAGATTGCGCCACTATACTCCAGCCTGGGTGACAGAGTGAGACTGTCTCCAAAAAAAAAATAATAATAATAGTAACTATTATTATTTGTTAAACTGTATCCTGCGTATTTTTTTACACATTGTATTTTACAATACAAAAATAAAAATGTAATAATGTGGTTCATTACAGTAACAAATTAAAGGAGATTATTCATATGATTATCTCAATAGATACAGAATAGGCATTCAATAAAATCCAATACCCATTCATGATAAAACCTCATAGCAGGGAACATAAGGGAACTTAACCTTACAAAGGGTATCTTAAAACACACACACACACACAAAGAGATACACACACACACACACACACACACACACACAGAGATGGAGAGACAGAGAGAGAGCGTGTGTGCTCTACTCAGGAATAAGGCAAAGATTACTTCTGGATCATGTTATACTAGAGACCCTAGTACCCCAATTAAGAAAAAAGGTGGTAGCTAGGCGTGGTGGTTCACGCCCGTAATCCCAGCACTTCTGAAGGTCGAGGAGGGAGGATTGCTTGAGCTAGGAATTGAAGACCAGTCTGGGGCACATGGCAAAACCCTGTCTCTACAAAAAATAAAAAAATTAGCTGGGTGTGGTGGTGTGCAACCGTAGTCCCAGCTACTCAGAGGCTCACATGGGGGTATCCCTTGCAACTGGGAGGCGGAGGCTGCAGTGAGCCAGGACTATGCCACTGCACTCCATCCTAGGTGACAGAGTGAGACCTGGTCTCAAAAAAAAAAGTGCTAAGAAGTACATACAAGGATTTGAAAAGATGAAAGAAAACTATATTATTCTGATGTTATATGTATATTAACTATATAGAAAACTCAATAAAATCTAATAAATTATTAGGATTAATTTAACAAATTTGCTGGATATAAAAATCAATACACAAAAATTAATTATATTTCCTTATACTGTCAATTAACAAAATGCAATTTAAAAAATACCACTTAGGGTCGGGCATGGTGGCTCATGCCTGTAATCCCAGCACTTTGGGAGGCCGAGGCAGGCAGATTATGAGGTCAAGAGATCGAGACCAGCCTGGCTAACACAGTGAAACCCCGTCTCTACTAAAAATACAAAAAATTAGCCAGGCGTAGGGGCATGTGCCTGTAGTCCCAGCTACCTGGGAGGCTGAGGCAGGAGAATCGCTTGAACCCAGGAGATGGAGATTGCAGTTAGCCGAGATCACATCACTGCACTCCAGCCTGGGTGACAGCGTGAGACTCCGTCTCAAAAAAAACAAAAACAAAAACACTTAGAATGAACAATAAATACAGTATTTAAATATACACACAACACACACACCAAAAATAATGGAAAAGATGCCAAGATTTTAATGGAAAAATTGTAAAAATTGTAATGTTTTATTGAAAGACATTAATAAAGACCTGCCCCGCCCCCCAAAAGACAAGAAAGACTATGGATATAAAGATTAAATATCCTAAAGACGCCATTTCTTCCCAACTTGATATATAGATTTAATGTAATTCTAATATAAATCCTAACAATTTTTCATGAAACTTGACAAGCTAATCCTAAAAAGTAAAGATTAAGGAACAGACAACAATAAAGGCACCCCTGAAGAATAAGGGAATTTGTCCTAATTAAAATCCTCGATAATAAAGGCAAGATGGAATTGGCCTAAGGAAAGACCTATGAACAGAATAGAGAGGTCAAAAACAAATTCATGCATATGTGGAAACTTAATATATGACACTCAAGACATTTCAGATCAGCAGTAAAAGACAGGACTTTTTTATTTTTTATTTTTTGAGGCGGAGTCTCATTCTGTCGTCAGGCTGAAGTGCAGTGTCCTGATCTTGGCTCACTGCAACCTCCGCCTCCTAGGTTCAAGTGATTCTCCTGCCTCAGCCTCCCGAGTAGCTGGGAATACAGGTGTGCACCACCATGCCCAGCAATTTTTGTATTTTTAGTAGAGACGGGGTTTCACCATGTTGGCCAGGATGGTCTCGATCTCTTGACTTTGCGATCTGCCTGCCTTGGCCTCCCAAAGTGCTGGGATTACAGGCGTGAGCCACCGCACCCAGCCAGGACTTTTCAAAAAAGTGCTCAGACAAATGGTTATCGGTATGGGAAAAAATTAAAATAGCCCATATCATGTATAAGTTTTAAATGGATAAAGAACTTAAATGTGAAAATCATAATTTATAGCTGGGTGTAGTGGTAGGTGCCTGTAATCCCAGCTACTTAGAAGGCTGAGGCAGGAGAATGGCTTGAACCTGGGAGGCAGAGATTGCTGTGAGCTGAGATCTCTCCACTGCATTAAAAAAAATTCATAATTGAAAAACTTTTAGGAAAAAACAGAAACTATATAATTTAAGGATAGATGTCACAAATAGCATTAGTCATAAAGGAAAAGACTGATTAATTAAATTCCATTAAAATTAAGAACTATATTAAAGATTCCACGAATTAAGTAAAAAGACAAGCCACAGACTAGAATACATCCACCACACAAACAACAAAGAATTGGTATCTAGAGAATATCCAACACTATAAACCAATAAGAAAAAGAAAAATACCCGAAAAGAAAAATAGGCAAAAAACTTGAACGGTTACTTATGAAAGAAAAAAAATCCAAATATCTTACACACACACACACACACACACACACACACACACACACACACACACAAAACCTTAATCAGGGAAATGCAAATGAAAATCCATCATACCATCATACTGGAAAAAACGTTATAAATTAAGTGCTGGCAAGAACATCAAGAACATGCAACAATGAGAAACCATACACTGCTGGTGAGAGCATAAACTGATAAAACAATCTTGGAAAACTAGAGTATTATCAATAAAATTAAACATGTGCATGCCGTATGATCAAGCAATTCTGCTTTCACCCTAGAGACGCTCTTGCCCATGTGCTGCAGCAGATACATGAGAAACTTTACAGCAACACTGCTTAACAGAAAAAAAAAAAAAAAAAAAAAAGGAAACAACTTAAAGCTAGATAAAGACATATTATACAGTGGGATACGATACAGAGGTGAAACTGAATGAACTATAGTTATATACATTAAACATGGATGAATCAAAAAAATCATGTTGAGTCTCAAAAAATATATATACACTGCCAGGCATGGTGGCTCACACCTGTAATCCCAGCACTTTGGGAGGCTGAGGCAGGAGGATCACCTGAGGTCAGAGTTCGAGACCAGTCTGGCAAATATCGTGAAACCCCATCTCTACTAAAATACAAAAAGTTGCCAGGTGTGGTGGCACGTGTCTGTAATCCCAGCTACTCAGGAGGCTGAGGCAGGAGAATCACTTGAACCCAGAAGGCAGAGGTTGCAGTAAGCTGAGATAGCTCCACTGCACTCCAGCCTGGGTGACAGAGTAAGACTCCATCTCAAAAAAAAAAAAAAGAAAAAAAAAAGAAAGAAAGGAAAGAAAAGAAAAAAAAATATGTAAAATATATAATTATATATATACACACACACACATACACAGTGGTTCCATTTTATGCAAAATTCAACATTAGCTACAACTAAATAGCATTATTTGGGGATACATTTATATGCAGAAAAATAAAGAAAATCATGAGAATGGTTAAAAATTTCAGAATGGCTGGGCATGGTGGCTTATGCCTGTAATCCCAGTGCTTTAAGAGACCAAAGCAGGAAGATTGTTTGAGGCCAAGAATTCGACACTCACCTGGGAAACAAAGCAAGATTCCACCTCTACAAAAAAAAAAAAAATAATAAAAATTATCTGGGTGCAGTTGTATATACCTATAGTCCCAGCTACTTGGGAGGCTGAGGCAGGAGGATCACTTGAGCCCAGGAATTCAAGGTTACAGTGAACTATGATCACACTACTGCACTCCAACCTGGGTGACAGAGCAAGACCCTGTCTCATTAACAAATAAATAAATAAAATTTCAGAAGAGTGGTTAATTCTGAGGCCAGGCAAGGTAAGGGAATAGGATCAGGGCAGGGCATACACATTCAAAGATATCCATGATATTCTATTTCTTGCCTTGATGGTGGATACAAGAATATTTGTTTTACTATTGTTATCACTTAAAATATATATTACTCATTCATTTTTATGTAGGAGGAGACCAGGGCCAAAGCAATGTTGTATATACAATGCAATACTAATTAAATTCACACAGAGACATGTGCACTGTTTAAGGGGAGAGGCACTGTGTGAATTAAAATCCTGGTGCTACCACCTATGCCCATGTATAGCTGAGTTAGATTTCCTAACCTCTTTGTGCTTCAGCTTCCTGATCTATAAAATGGGGCTAACAGTATTAATAATAAGAAAATTAATGAGATAACACTTGTCTATTATTAACATAGAAAAAATAACTATAAGGAAATAACACCCAAATAGTAAACATGATTACTTCTGGATGGTAGATTTACAGAAGACTTAATTATTTTTCTTACAATGATATTTTAGAGTATATAAAAATAAGTTTTTCAACAAATGGTGCAAGGACAACTGAAGATCCACAAAGAATGCAAAAGAATGAAGTTGGCTTCCTCCTTCATGCCATATAAGAAATTGAACTTAACGTGCATAATAAACCTAACTGTAAGAGCTAAAACTATAAAAGTCTTGTAAGAATAAATCTGCACAATCTCAGATTAGGCAATGCTTTCTCAGATTCAACACCAAAAGCAAAAATGACCCCCTCATCCCCCCAAAAAAGATACATTGACTTCATAAGACTAAAACACTTTTGCGTTTCAAAGGACACCATCGAGAAGGTGAAAAGCCAAAAAAACTGAGGAGGAACTCCTCCCCAACTCATTCTATGAGGCCAGCATCATTCTGATACCAAAACCTGGCAGAGACGCAATGAAAAGAGAAAACCAGGCCAATATCCTTAATGAATATAGATATAAAAATTCTCTGGCTGGGAGTGGTGGCTCACGCCTGTAATCCCAGCACTTTGGGAGGCTGAGGCAGGCCGATCAAGAGGTCAGGAGTTTGAGACCATCCTGGCTAACACGGTGAAACCCTGTCTCTACTAAAAATACAAAAAAAAAATTAGCCGGGTGTGGTGGTGGGCACCTGTAGTCCCAGCTACTCAGGAGGCTGAGGCAGGAGAATGGCGTGAACCCAGGAGGTGGAGCTTGCAGTGAGCCGAGATCGCGCCACTGCACTCCAGCCTGGGCAACAGAGCAAGACTCCATCTCAAAAAAAAAAAAAAAAATTCTCCACAAAGTACTAGTGAACTGAATCCAGCAATACATCAAAAAGCGAATCCAACAGAATCAAGTAGGCTTTATCCCTGGCATGCAAGACTGGTTCAACATATGCAATCAATAAATGTGATTCATCATATAAACAGAAGTAAAAACAAAAACCATTGCTTGCTCCTCAAGTAGTACTCCCTTCAACATCCCTTCATGTTAAAAACCCTCAACAAACTAGGCATTGAAGAAACATATCTCAAAATATCAAGAGCCATTTATGAAAAACCCATAGCCAACATCATACTGAATGGGCAAAAGCTGGAAGCACTCTCTGTGAGAACCATAACAAGACAAAAATGTCTACTCTCACCACTCCTATTCAACATAGTACTGGATGTCCTAACCAGAAAAATCAGGCAAGAGAAAGAAATAAAAGGCATCCAAATAGGAAGAGAGGAAGTAAAACTATCTCTGTTTGCAGCTGACATGATTCTATACCTAGAACACCCCATAGTCTCTGTTCAAAAGCTCCTGGATCTGATAAACAACTTTGGCAAAGTTTCAGGATACAAAATCAATGTAAAAAAAAAGTCAGCAGCATTTCTATACACCAACAACATTCAAGCTGGGAGCCTAATAAAGAATGCAATCCCATTCACAAAAGTCACAGAAAGAATAAAATACCTAGAAATACAGTTAGAGAGATGAAAGATCTCTGCAATGAGAATTACAGAACAATGCTGAAAGAAATCAGAGATGACACAAACAAATGGAAAAACATCCCATGCTCATGGAGGAAGAATCAATATTGTTAAAATGGTCATACTGACCAAAGCAATTTACATATTCAATGCTATTCCTATCAAACTACCAATGACATTCTTCACAGAATTAGAAATAACTATTTTAAAATTCATATGGATCCAAAAAAGATCCTGAATAGCCAAAGCGATCCTATGCAAAAAGAACAAAGCTGGAGACATCATCACTTCTCGGCCTTTTGTCTAAGACCAATTGTAGCTGCAGACTTCACATCACCTGACTTCAAACTATACTACAAGGCTACAATAACCAAAACAGCATAGTACTGGTACAAAAGCAGACACATAGACCAATAGAACAGAACAGAGAGCCCAGAAATAAAGCCACACACCTACAGCCATCTGGTTTTCCACAAAGTTGACAAAAACAAACAATGGGCAAAGAACTCCCTATTCAATTAATGTGCTGGGATAAAAGGCTAGCCATATGCAGATGATTGAAACTGAACCCCTTTCTTATACCACATACAAAAATCAACTCAAGTTTGATTAAAGACTTAAAAGTAAAACCTAAAACTATAAAAACCCTGGAAGATAACCTAGAAAATACCATTCTGGACATAGGCCCTGGCAAAGATTTCATGACAAAGACACCAAAAGCAATTGCAACAAAAACCAAAAATTGACAAATGGGACCTAATTAAACTAAAGAGCTTCTGCAAAGCAAAATAAACTATCAATAAACAGACAACCTACAGAATAAGACAAAATATTTGCAAACCATGCATCTGACAAAGGTCTAATATCCAGAATCCGTAAGGAACTTAAACAAATTAACAAGCAAAAAACAACCCCATTAAAAAGTGGGAAAAGGACATGAACAGACATGTCCTTTCATGTCCTTCTCTTTTCAAAAGAAGACATACACATAACCAATAAGCATATGAAAAAATGCTCAATATCACTTAACATTAGGGAAATGCAAATCAAAATCGCAATGAGATACCATCTCACACCAGTCAGAATGGCTATTATGAAAAAGTCAAAAAATAACAGGTGCTAGCGAGGTTGCAGAGAAAAGGGAAAGCTTATACAGTGCTGGTGGGAATGTAAATTAGCTCAGCCAATGTGGAAAGCAATTTGGCGATTTCTCAAAGAACTTAAAGCAGAACTATCATTCAACCCAGCAATCCCATTATTGGGTATATAACCAAAGGAATATAAATCATTCTACCATAAACATACATGCACACATATATTCCTCACGGCACTATTGACAATGGCAAAGATATGGAATCAACCTAAATGCCCATGATTGGCATTTAGGTTGGCAAACTAGTGTATTAGTAGTCTGTTCTCACACTGCTACAAAGATACTACCTGAGAAGGGAGGTTTAATTGACTCACAGTTCTGCATGGCTGGGAGGCCTCAGGAAACTTACAATCATGGCAGAAAGTGAAGGGGAAGCAAGGCATGCCTTACATGGTGGCAGAGAGAGTACAGGGGAAAACTGCCACTTTTAAACCATCAGATCTCTTGAGAACTCACTATCAGGAGAACAGCACTGGGGAAACTGCTCCCATGATGCAATCACCTCCCTCCCTTGACACATGGGGATTACAATTCAAGATGAGATTTGGGTGGGGACACAGAGCCAAACCATATCAACTGGATAAAGAATTTGTGATTCATATACATGATGGAATACTATGCAGCCATAAAAAAGAGCGAGGTCATGTCCTTTGCAGCAACACGGATGGAGCTAGAGGCCATTATCCTAAGTGAACTAATGCAGGAACAGAAAATCAGATACTGGGTGTTCTCACTTATAAGTGGGAGCTAAACACAGTACACATGAACAAAAAGAAGAGAACAACAGACACTGGGGCTTACTTGAGGGTGGAGGGTAGGAGGAAGGTGAGGATTGAAAACTGCCTATCAGGTACTATGCTTATTACCTGAGTGATGAAATAATCTGTACACCAAACCCCCATGATATGCAATTTACCTATGTGACAAACCTGCAAATGTACCCCTGAACCTAAAATAAAAGTTAAAAAAATTTTAAAAAGGTGAAATAACAACCCAAAGAACGGGAGAAAGTATTTGTAAATCATGTATGTCATAGAGTCTAGCATCCAGAATATATACACAACTCTTAGAACTCAATAAAAAGACAACCTAATTTGACAGACATTTCTCCAAAGACGACACACAAATAGCCAATAAGCATATGAAAACATGTTCAACATGTTTAGTCATTAGGAAAATACAAATGAAAACCACAATGAGATGCCATTTCATTTTGACTTCACACTGACTAGGATGGCTGCAATAAAAAACAAACAATAACAAGTGTTAAGCTAAGATGTGCAGCTAGCAGAACCCTCATACATTGCTGATGGGAATGTAAAATGGTGCAGTCACTGTGGAAGTTTGGGGATTCCTCAAAAATAATAAATGACCCAGTAATTCCACAGCTAGGTATATACCCCAGAGAAATGAAAACATATGTCAACACAAAAACTTGTACACAAATGTCCACAGCAGGATTATTCATAATGGCTAGAAAGTGGAGACAACCCAAATGTCCATCAGCTGATGAATGGATAAACAAAATGCAGTATATATTGATACAATGGAATATTCAGCCATAAAAAGGAATGAAGTTGTAGTGACATGCTACAACATGGATGAACTTTGAAAACATGCTAGGTCAAAGATGCCTGTCACAAAGGTCACATATTTTATAATTCAATTTACATGAAATGTCCAGAATAGAAAAATCCAGTCAGAAAGTAGATTGGTGTTTAAGACTTGGAGACAACAGGAAATAGGGAGTGGCCACTAATGGTTATGGACTTTCTTTTTGAGGTGATGAAAATGTTCTAGAATTAGTGGTGATGGCTGCACAACTCTGAATATACCACAGGCCATTGAATTGTACATTTTAAAAGGGTGAATTTTATGGGTATGTGATTTATATCTCAATAAAGCTGTCATTTAAAGAAACTGGCACATAACATTATTAACTTCAGGGACTGTGAGTATAGCAGAAGGTACCCTGCCCTTGATTCTAGCTCCTGTCTTTATTAACATGGCTCTGGGTCACCCACTCAATCACTGAAAGCCTAAGTTTCTTCATCTGTAAAATAAAAAGAATATAAACAACCCAATCTGTCTCATATGGTTGTTTTGGGACCAAATTAGATATTCCATGTAAAAGAGTGTTTGTGAATTATAAAATCTTACATAAATTCAGGTTATGCCTCTTCTGAAGTTGGATCAGAATAGTAGGAAGCAGGCTGGGTGCAGTGGCTCACTCCTGTAATCCCAGCACTCTAGGACACAGCGGGTGAATCACTTGAAATTAGGAGTTAGAGACCAGCCATGGCCAACATGGCAAAACCCTGCCTCTACCAAAAAATACAAAAATTAGCTGGACATGGTGGCGCGTGCCTGTAGTCCCACCTACTGGGGAGGCTGAGGTGGGAGAATTGCTTGAACCTGGGAGGCGGAGGTTGCAGTGAGCTGAGATTGCACCACTGCACTCCAGCCTGGGCAATAAAGTGACACCCTGTGTCAAAAAAAAAAAAAAAAAAAAAGTAGGAAGCATAAGGTAGGAATAAAAGATCATTACTGTTCAAGCTTTCCATAGCTTATTTCCACTTCATTTAGTCTCATTAGCTTAATGTTGCCTCCATTTCCTGTACCTTTTTCTTATTATTTACTATAATCTTATATCTTTTAAAGCCAAAAAGGGTAAACTGCTAAGCAGAGTTAGGGTAATGAAACAGCCAGAACTGTTTAAATAGATATACAAAGGCTATAGTTCTTTTTGCTGCTAAATTAAATGAATTCTCTCAAATCCTAAATCGAATAAAAGTATATAACACAAAATAATTAAGTAATGTTCTTGGGCATTTAATTCTGTTACCTCTAGTGCATGTATGGGAATTGAGCACCTTCCCCAGCCATTGAGATGACAAAGAGTGTCCACAGTGCTGGCACTTCCATGGATCATGAGTCTGTTTAAAAACTCTTCTTGAGTCAAACCAAACAAAATCAGAGAGAGTCCATTCTCTATAGGAAAAATAAAAGTTAGCTTTAACAAATTAGATTAGATTTTAGGATTATGATTTAGGAATTGATTTTTAATTACTCAATACTTCAGTACTATAATTACAAATATATTTATATTTACTGGATATCATGTACTATAATGATCTTAACTCATCATGGTTTTTCAACATTTTTATAGGCGAGTTTTGTGGGTTTTTCCTTTTTAGAGACAGAGTCTCCCTCTATTGCCTAGGCCGGAGGGCAGTGGTGTGATCATAGCTCACTGCAGCCTCAGACTCCTGGGCTCAAGCAATCCTCCCACCTCAGCCTCTGGAGTTGCTGGAATTACAGTTTCATGCCATCACACCCAGCTAATTTTTAAAAAACTGTTTTGCTAATTTAAAAAAATTTTTAAATTGTTTTGTAGCAATAGGGTTTCACTTTGTTTCCCAGGCTGGTCTCACACTCCTGGCTTCAAGTGATCCTCCCACCTTGGCCTCCCAAATGTTTTGATTACAAGCGTGAGCCACTGCACCCACCAAGAAAATTTGTCTTTAAAACACTGACCACAAGGCAAATTCTTATAAGAGCAATGCATTTTATGAAATAGCACTAAATTAGCCAGGCACAGTGGCTCCTGCCTGTAATCCCAGCACTTCAGGAGGCCGAGGTGGGCAGACCACCTGAGGTCAGGAGTTTGGGACCAGCCTGGCCAACATGATGAAACCCCGTCTCTACCAAAAATACACAAAAATTTAGCCAGGTGTGGTGGCGGGCACCTGTAATCCCAGCTACTCGGGAGGGTGAGGCAGGAGAATCACTTGAACCTGGGAGGCGGAGGTTGCAGTGAGCCAGATCACACCATTGCACTCCAGCCAGGGAGACAAGAGTGAGACTCCATATCAAAAAAAAAAAAAAGCACTAAACCCCACATTTCTACTTTATATTATCTTGCATAATCAATCCTGGAACCTTTAATCATTTACAGATGTCAGATTTCTGGTTTACTATTATAAAATAATTCATAGCATATTCCTGACACATAGAAATACATGATTACCAAAATTTGGGTATAGAAGAAACACACGGTTAATTCCAATAATCACAACATTCAATACCTTTGCAGAAGATGAATTATGCGGTGAATGAATGCATATCTGAAATATCAAAATCTCCCATGGGTACAGGGGCAAAGCAGGTAGTGAGAAAAGTGCAAGAAAAACCTAATCAGAAATAAAATGGCTCAGGCTAAGCATGGTGGCTCACGCCTGTAATCCTAGCACTTTGGGAGGCCAAGCCGGGATGATCACTTGAGCTCAGGAGTTTGAGACCAGCCTGGGCAAGGTAGTGAGACCTCATCTCTATTAAAAAATAAAAGTACAGCCAGGTGTGGTTGCTCACACCTGTAATCCCAACACTTTGGGAGGCTGAGGCAGGTGGACTGTTTGAGGTCAGGCGTTTCAGACCAACCTGGCCAACAGAGCGAGACGTCGTCTCTACTAAAAATACAAAAATTAGCTGGGAGTGGTGGTGCGTGCCTGTGGTCCCAGCTACTCTGGAGGGAGGTGGAGGTTGTGGTGAGCCAAGATCGCACCACTGCACTCCAGCCTGGGCGACAGAGTGACACTCTGCCTAAAAAAAAAAAAAAGTAAATTAAAAAAAAGAGAAATAAAATGGCCCATCTAAGAGAACAACTGAAACTCAGCTCCAACCCATAAGTTACTATGCAGGAATGCAGATCCAGTGTTGCCAGATCTTACAATTTTTTCTTTTTTTTGAGACGGAGTCTCACTGTCTCCCAGGCTGGAGGGCAGTGGTGCAATCTCGGCTCACTGCAACCTCCGCCTCCCAGGTTCAAGCAATTCTCCTGCCTCGGCCTCCCATGTAGCTGGGACTACAGGTGCCGGCCACCACGCAAGGCTAATTTTTGTATTTTTAGTAGAGACAGGGTTTCACCATATTGGTCAGGCTGGTCTTGAACTCCCAACCTCAGGTTATCCATCCACCTCAGCCTCCCAAAGTGCTGGGATTACAGGCGTGAGCCACCGCACCCGGCAGATCTTATAATTTTTCAGTAACAGCTGGAAATTAGAATTTGTGTGAAATCCTCTCATTCTGAATGTTTATAATCTTTTTTAAAAGCCTAGACAGTGCAAGCCAAGCAAAATAAATATGCAGTTCATACATGGCCCATGAGCACCTTGCTTACAACCTCTGCTTGTGAAGTCAAATGAAGACTCTTTGGGTTAAAAATAATAATAATAATAAACTTCATTTCTCTCAAACTTTCTCTTAGTATCTTAGCATTTAGCTGGGCAGAAATGACGTTAATTAAAAGCCAAACATATGAGACACTATTACCAAGAATAACAAGAAACTTCCTCTATAAACAATTACAATACCACTTAAAGGCAAGAGCAGGCACTGAGGCAGAAGTAAAATACAGTAGGAAAGCATACATCTCAGCAATGGATTTCAATCTAATACAAGACAGTCTCACCTGTCAAAACAAAGCACAGCTGCTGGTCTCCACTACTGTCTACAGGAATACACTTTGTGCCAAGGGAAAAACACTGCATGCCCTGGGTCTCCAAATCCCAGAGGGTAATGGTATAGCCCATCCTTTCCACTTCCCAAGTAAACAGTGCAGTGAATCCTGTCACAGACACACATTTAAGCTCTATGGGTTCCTCTTGTTCACTGATGTGCATTATTTTCCATGATCTTCCTGGATCACTGGTCTTGGCATGATCTTTCTGTAGAACATTATATTGCCCATGCATTATGTCCTGTGGAATGAAGGCCCAGCTCTGCACACTTGTACTGTGGTTACCAGATTCAGGTGACTCCAAATGCAAAATATCCTGGAACCATGGAGCACAACAGGAAACCTCCAGTTTGGAGTTCTTTATTGTTTCATTCAATGATGATAGCTGGGCTTTCCAAGACCTGGAAACAAGGTAAAATATAACTTAACACCTGTCACAGTAAAAGGCACTATGTAAAACACTAAACCAGGGCAAAGATGTTCTTAAAAAAAAAAAGTATCTATCAAATAAAGACCTTTAATGAAAGGGTACAGCGTCAGCATGATAAAAAATAAGAACAATAAACTACATGAAAAGGAAGTTTCTGTACCTATCAATTTGGAAGGAAAACTTGGCCAGTTTCATGTTGTAGGCAGAGTTAACAGGATCATCTTCATCTACGCCCTTAGGTCCTTGAATAGGAAGATCTTCTAGTATTCTTTCACACAGTAGGTGTCCTGGGTGTTGCCTACATTTAAAAATAATGATAGACATATGAAAAAATGATGATCAAACCCAAATTTGTGTTACTACTGCTCCTGTTAAAAATAAGAGATTACAGAGAAGGAATAGTACAACAAATTCCGCAGAAAGGAACTCCTTATCTCCCTTGCTTATGTCACAGTAATAGAGTGAACTCTAAGAATTTTACTCTATTAAGGGCAGTTAGCTTGATAAAGCAGTAAGAACACTTACTGTCTACTATATTTCAGATGTTATGCTAAACACTTCACACAAACTCTTATTTAAGCCTCTAACAACCCTGTGAGGTAAATATAACCCCATCTTATAGAAATGGAAACTAAGGTTCAGAAACACTTTGAAACAGACTAATGTGACTATCAAGTCTAGCTTTTTTTCTTTTTTTTTTTTTTGAGACAGAGTCTCACTCTGTCACCCAGGCTGGAGTGCAGTGGCGCAATCTCAGCTCACTGCAACCTCTGCCTCCTGGGTTCAAGCGATTCTCCTGTCTTAGCCTCCCGAGTAGCTGGGACTGCAGGTGCATGCCACCATGCCTGGCTAATTTCTGTATTTTTAGTAGAGACAGGGTTTTACTATATATTGGCCAAGCTGGTCTCAAACTCCTGACTTCCAGTGATGTGCCTGCCTCGGCCTCCAGTCCAGATTTTAAAATCACTCATTATACTGCCACCACAAAGTAAGATTTAGGCTGCGACCAGAGGAATGCATAAGAACTAGAAGGTAAAGTATGTATGTGGGTATAGGTGGGAGAGTATATGTGGAAAAGGGGGCTGTTACATTTGAGAAACAAAGAAGGCTAGGGTGGCTAATGTACAGAAAATGAGAAGTAAGATGGAATGGGATGAGGCTAGAAAGATGGTTCAGGGCCCCATAGGCTATTAAGAATTTTAAACTTTTATCTGAGGGGGAAAAGGAACCTGAAGAAGGCTTTTAAGCAGAAAAGCAATATGAACAGATGCAGCAGAGTAGCTAGGGGAAGAAGGGGAAGGATTTTATCTCTTTGAACACTTACATTATTAAATATTAATCCTTTAAACAACTTGAAGGTAATTTGTTGACACAACCATATGACACTGTCCCAGGATGATGATGAAAAGAAGTTAGAGAAGGTAGGGCGAAAATGAGAAGATGCATGAGAAAATAGTTCCCCCATCAACAAAATAAAAGGTAGATACCCCTGCCCCAGATGTTAATGACTGGCTACACCTCTGATAAAATATGCATTTTAACAACATCACTCTTAGCTACTCTATTGTGGATGGATTTGAGGGGGTAATAGGCATGAGGAGATCAAGTAGGAGACTATTAAAATAGTTCAGTTAAGAGATAATGGTGGCATAGAGTGACGACAGAAGAGTTGAGAAAAGTGGACAAAGAAACATTTAGGAGACAGAAAGGGTAGGACCTGATGATTAACTGGATGTGGATCTAATACCAAAAAGAAGTTGGAGATACAGTAGTTCCCTCTTATCCACAGTGGATACATTCAAGACACACAGTAGGTACCTGAAACTGCAGATAGTACCAAACCCTATACATACAGTTGACCCTTGAATATCACAGGTTTGAACTCCATGGGTCCACTTATATGATTTTTTTTTTCCAAAAATACATTGGAAAAATTTGTAAAGATTTGCAACAATTTGTTTAAACTCACAAATGAACCATGTAGCCTAGAAATATATTTTTTTCAGACAGGGTCTTGCTCTGTTGCCCAGGCTGGAGTGCAGTGGTGCAATGACAGCTCACTGTAGCCTTGATCTCCTGGACTCAAGCAATCCTCCTGCCTCAGCCTCCGGAGTAGCTGAGACCACAGGCATGTACTACCATGCCCAGTTTAGCCTAGAAATATTTTTTAAAATAAAGATTAAGTCAGGTATGTCATGAATGCATAAAAGTTACATAGTTACTACTCTATCATTTTCTACCATAAATTATGCACAAATTGGCTGGGCACAGTGGCTCATGTCTGTAATCCCAGCACTTTGGGAGGCTGAGGCAGGTGGATCACTTGAGGTCAGGCGTTCAAGACCAGCCCGGCCAACATGGCGAAACCGTTTCTACTGAAAATACAAAAATTAGCTGGGCGTGGTGGCACATGCCTATAATCCCAGCTACTTGGGAGGCTGAGACACGAGAATCACTTGATCCCAGGAGGCGGACCTTGCAGTGGGCCGAGACTGCACCACTGCACTCCAACCTTGGCAATAGAGCAAGACTCCATCTCAAAATTAAAAAAAAAGAAACCCACAAACTTATTATAAAAAGTTAAGATTGGCTGGGCGCGGTGGCTCACGCCTGTAATCCCAGCATTTTTGGGAGGCCAAGGTGGGCGGATCATCTGAGGTCATAAGTTCAAAACCAGCCTGGCCAACACGGTGAAACCCCATTTCTACTAAAAATACAAAAAATTAGCCAGGCGTGGGTGGTGGGTAATCCCAGCTACTCAGGATGCTGAGACAGGAGAATCGCTTGAACCCAGGAGGCGGAGGGTGCAGTGAGCTGAGATTGCACCATTGCGCTCCATCCCGGACAACAAGAGCGAAACTCCATCTCAAAAAAGAAAAAAAAAAAGTTAACATTTATCAGAACCTATGTAATGTACACACTTACGGACTGTACATGATACCATTCGAAGCCAAAGAAAATGTAAACGAATGTCAAGATGCAGTATTAAATAACTGCATATAATTAGCTGTAGTATATACTGTACTGCTGTAATAATATCATGGCCACTTCCTGTTGCCATTGCAGTGAGCCCTAGTGTTGTAAGCATCTGCTTAAAATGCCATGTGGTACTAATAATCTCTGTGTGAGCAGTTCTTCTCTCCAGTAAATTGTGTAACACAGTAAAAAGTGATCTCTTTAGCTGGCACAGTGACGTGAACGTATAGTCCCAGCTACTCGGGAGGCTGAGTTGGAGGACTGCTTGGGCCCAGGAGTTTGAGTCCAGCCTGGACAACATAGCAAGATCCTGTCTCTAAAATAATAACAACATAATTTTTTAAAAGTGATTTCTTGTGGTTCTCATGTATTTTTCATCATGTTTCGTGCCATACCATAACCTTGTATAACACCATGGGACCCATATGAAATGTAATGCTGGAAGTGCTCCCAAGTAGAGAAAAGTCATGACATTGTAAGAAAAACATGAATTGCCTGACATGTACCATGGGTTGAGGTATGCTGCTGCGGTTGCTTGCCTTTTCAGACAGACTACTCATCTTGTAAACAGATTATGTAGAGTATCAATACAGTACAGTACTGTAAATGTATTTTCGCTTCCTTAAAATTTTCTTAACATTTTCTTTTCTGTAGCTTACTTTATTGTAAGAATATAGTGTAATACATATAACATAGAAAATATGTGTTAACCAACTGTTTATGTTATCAGTAAGGTTTCTGGTCAACTGTAGGCTATTAGTAGTTAAGTTTTGGGGGAGTCAAAAGTTACATGTGGCATTTTGATCGTGCAGGGGGTTGGCATCCCTGAGTTGTTGAAGGGTCAACTGTACTGTTTTTTCCTATGCATACATACCTATAATAAAGTTTAATTTATAAATTAGGCCCAGTGAGGGAGTAATAACTAATAATAGGACAATTACAACAATATACTGTAATAAAAGTTATGTGAATGTAGTCTTTCTTAAAATATCTTACTGTATGTAATATTTCCGGAACACAACTGACTGGGAGAAACTGTAACTGTGGATAAAGGCGACAACTATATAAAAAAGAGAGGAAATGGAGAAAGGCCCCTAAGAAGGATGGAAGGAATGGGATCTAAAGCACACACAGAGGGATGGGCCTTCATAGGAGGCAAGGTCATCCAAGAAAAGTTGGGAATAAAGAGATTAATGGAGGTTTGAGGAAAACAGAGAAGGTTTAAAAATACAGTTGTAAAGAATGGGCTCATGAAAAATCACTGTAAAATTTCCAGGCAACATTAAGACCAATTAAAGGTACTAAGTGTGAACCTAGAGTGGTATCAATTTTCTTTTGTTGTTTTCTACAAGTACTCAGCTGTCTGACTGCAGACACTGTGAAGGCAGAAAAAAAGATTTCAATCAGGGTTGAAATTTTGCCAGACCAAGTGCTATCACAGGGCAGGAGCAAGAGTTTAGAGTACATGCAAGAAAGTAACTGTATGATGGATCACAGAATCTATGCTGGAAAGAGAGGGAAGTGAAGACAGGATGGGGTAAAGAGTGGAAGGTCAATGAATTGGAAATTCCAGTTAGGTCAGAGGACAGGTGAAGTGGGAGTACTTGAGTAAGCAAGCTGGAAAGTTTGGGAAGTTGTGGTCAGAGACTGAGATGTAAAAAGTAGTGACTTGGGGGAGGGACGACTTCAAATATTGATAATGCCTAGGGTATGGCTGTGGAGGTGGAAAGCTAAGGTAAACTGGAAGAAAAAGTCATTGACAATGAATTTAAAGAACAAATCATGAACTTGGGTTCTCAAGGAGCTTATAAACTCTATGGGAAACATGAGAAAATTAGGGAAATAACATGTCTATACAATTAAGTGCTAAACTGTGGTTTAAAATTGTGTAATTTTGATTTACATGACATAAACCATATATAAATCAAATCAAAATCAAAACTTTGATGAACATGTAAAAATATAAAAGGTAGCCAGTGGTCAGTTATACATATTATTCAGTAACTACTTTACAATGTATTAGCTAGAACATGATCTAACTGAATAGAAAAAGAAACACTAGTTAAAAAAAAAAAACTAACGAGGATATTTTTAACCTCTTATCAGTCTAACTATTTACCTCAAATTAGAAACTGCAGTCATCTACATACCTGAAATACAAATTTAAGTTAAGAGCAACTGCGGAGTTGGAGGAGCTGACAATCACTGCAACATCGAGGTCTTGAGAAACTTTCAGTGAAGTAAATGAAGAAATCTTGGCTGGCTCCTGTTGCTGCTCATTACACATGTCTTCTTTGTGAAGTGCTAAATCCACATGAGCTACATATGTACCATCCACAACATCAAAAATGTCTTTTAGTTAGAGTTAAAAGAAAATGCCAGTTTTGTAAGTATGCCTAACTATTTAAAGCACAGGTTGGGAAAGAGCTATAGACTTTATCACTCCAATTTTGTAGGTATAACAGAAGAAGACTGAAAACTGAGGCAAGCCCCCATTATAACAACCAGATGACTATGAAGTTGATGCCACAATAAAGAACCTGATACCAAGTTCTTCAACAATACCTGCTGAACATCTGCTCTGGGCCAGGCCCAGAGGCACTGCTATTTTCCAACAGCACTGGCCAAGAGATGAGGTAAACCTACTATTTTATGTAACCCAATACTGTCTATCCAAAGTATTATCAACATGCAGTCAGTATAAAAACTGAGACATTTTATGTTTTTTCTTCTATAAATGTTCAAAGTCTGATATTTTACTTAGAGCACATCTTAATTTGCATACTAAATTTTCATCAGAAATACCTGATCTGTATTGAGACTTCATAAAATTTAAGGTTTAAAGTTGGAACAACTAAAGTTGTAACAAACATCCTTAAAAGTTCTCCAATGACTGAACTGAGTATCAGCTTTTAAATCTAAAGTAACAAAAATTAGCTGGGCGTGGCGGCCCATGCCTATAGTCCCAGCTACTCGGGAGGCTAAGGCACGAGAATCGCTTGAGCCCAGGAGGCAGGGGTTGCAGTGAGCCGAGATCACGCCACTGCACTCCAGCCTGGGTGAGAGTGAGACCCTGTCTCAGGAGAAGAAAAAAAATCTAATTACACAAAATTAAAAATTCGGTTCCCAAGTTATGCTAGCCAATTTCATATGCTTAATAGCCACATACGCTTAGTGCCTACTGTTCTGGACAGTGCAGTTCCATAACCTGGCAACAATAATTGTTAATTTAGGATTTATGACACTTTTGCAAAAATTATATACCTATTACAAAATATAAAAACCATTATTTTAATTCAGAAATTAAAGTTCCAAAATCATATAAGGGGTAATTTGTCAAATCTTCAGAATAATTTTGCTGATGACCAACAGATCTACTGGAGACAAAGAACCCATAATATTTTCTAAGATCAAATTAACGTGGCAAAGCAAACATTTATTAATATGATGGAAACATCATTAGAGACAAGAGGTAGACTATATTTATACATGAAAAGACATGTATCACAACATAAGCTTTTTTTTTTTTTTTAAGACAGAGTCTCAGTCTGTTGCCTAGGCTGGAGTGCAGTGGTACGATCTTGGCTCACCACAACCTCCACCTCCCAGGTTCAAGCAATTCTCCTGCCTCAGCCTCCCGAGTAGCTGGGATTACAGGCATGCACCACCACGCCTGGCTAATTTTTTTGTATTTTTAGCAGAGACGGGGTTTCACCATATTGGCCAGGCTGGTCTCGAACTCCTGACCTTGTGATCCGCCCACCTCGGCCTCCCAAAGTGCTGGGATTACAGGCGTGAGCCACCGCACCTGGCCACATAAGCACATAGTAGATATTCAAGAAATACATTTTGAATAAACAGGTAATGCAGAGAATATACAATTTTAAAAGAACACAGATATGTATGGTTAATACTATTAAAAATGTATATACTGGAAAATATTCAACTAAAATATAAAGCAATATACAATTTAGTATTTTAAGTTTATGAGGATCTTTTTCCATGAAAAGTTTTACTGAAAAACTAACCACACTTCCTATATCCCAGCTCCCAAAACTAAAGCCTAAAAAGGCTCATCTTTATAGGTGTTCTTCTCCTCTACGTATCAATCAACACTTCTACCACCAAGGATACAGATCCAGCCTAAACTACTCAAAACAAAAAGAATTCCTCTGCAGAGCTGCGTGTCAATAATCATGTCCACTGCCTGTGCAGGCAAGGGAAGTGTGAAACAGTTGAGTACTCTAATTGCAGCATCTCTTTCAGGAAATATAATATGTAGGATGACACATTTGTTGATGAACAGTAATGATGTGTTATTGTGAAATGACAGGATTCTCAAAGACAATAAGGAAATACCTACAAAACAAAAGGATATTATTTCAAACTCATTGGTCACAATTTTACAACTGGTACATTTGATTTGATAAACCTAATACAAAAAAGTAAAACAAAAAAGGAACTGGACTTAGTCTAACTTTACGCAGTTATCGTTCACACCCACCTAAGGAAGTAGTCACTGGGAGGTAGGTAAGAGGATGACTAAAGATGGCCTACAATGTCCCTGATTCCATTTATGCTAGTCTGACAGCACACTAGAAGGAGTATTCAAAAAAGCCAACTTACCCATGGGACCCCATAAGAAGACTTTTTCTTTTTTTAAAAGAAAAAAAGAAGAAACCTTATAATCAAGGGTGAAGAGTATGTTACTGCTTTAAAAATAGAGGCCTGAGTGCTTTGATTTCTGCTCCCGGCAGTCAACAGCTCTATAAGCAGTCTAGATCAGCACTGTCCAATAGAAATATAATGTGAGCCACATACATGACTTAAAATTTTCTAGCAGGGGTGGCTCACACCTGTAATCCCAGCACTTTGGGAGGCCCAGGTGGGCAGATCACTTGAGGTCAGGAGTTTGAGACCAGCCTGGCCAACATGGCGAAACCCTGTCTCTACTAAAAATATAAAAGTTAGCTGGGCGTGGCGGCGGGCGCCTGTAGTCTAAGCTACTCAGAAGGCTGAGGTGGGACAATCAGTTGAACTGGGGAGGCGAAGGTTGCAGTGAGCTGAGATGGCACCACTGCACTCCAGCCTGGGTGACAGAGCGAGACTGTCTCAAAAAAATAAAATAAAATAAAAATAAATAAATAAAATTTTCTGGTAGCCACATTGAAACAGGTGAAATTAATTTTAATAATATACATTAGCTTATATTCAAAGTATTTCATATTTTGAAATGTAATTAAATACAAAAAATTGAGATATTTTATTTTTAGTATTAAGTCTTCAAAATCTAATATGTATATGACACAAAGTACATCTTAATTCATATTAACCATATTTCAAGTGCTCAATAGCCCCATCTGCCTAGTGACTACTATATCAGACAGCGTAGACCTGATTTCACCTCTATGACTTTTCCTGAAGTATGTAACTACATGGTAATGTCACAAATTTAAATATGCTGAAAGACCACCTGTAGATACTTACTGATATCTTGATCGTCAATGAGCTTTTGCAATGCCTCCCTACTACAGCTATACAAAATGGTTGCATCACATCTTCCATCTTTCAAATTAAATTCATAGATAAGCAGTTCATAATTTTCACCAAGAGCGAGCAGTTTGGGCTTTTCAGTTGGTGTGCTGCTGTTACGAGAATCCTCCCATAGAAAGCTAAGAAAAAAAGTTTAGATTTATTATATTCTATATCCGCAATAATATTTACCCACAATGGTGGGGGTAGAAGGGTTGAATAAGTAGAGAACAGTTTAGTTGACCTGGTATAGTCATTCTACACTTCAATCTAAGAGAACATAAACTGCTCTAGGACCTCCCTCCTCTTCCCGCTTCCCTTTTACACCAACACGAAAATACAGGAGTGGGTGGTAAAAAACAAAAATGTGGGGCTCAGAGCAAGAAATGATGGCTCCATTTATTCTTTCATCTTTAATCCCAACTAGTATGTTTAAACAAACTGTCATGATCAAGGGTAGGTATCAACAACAAAATATGTATATTATTTATATGAGGTGGTATTCACAATAAAATAGGCTTTTGATAACTTAAATGTTTTGACTTTTAAAAGAAAGTGATTATTTGTATTTATAGACTGACGATTCCAAATCTTGAAAAACTCTGCCTAATAGAACCTTCCGTGATGGAAATGTTTTATATTAGCATTGCCCAATACAGTAGTCAATAGCCACATGCAGCTACTGAACACTTGAAATGTGGGGCAACTGAGGAACCAAATTTTTTACTTTAACAGCCACATGTAGCTAATGACTACCATTACTAAACGGTAGAGTTACGGAATTCTTAAACTGAAATGTCAAAATAACAACACTGGCAAGACTGATGGTGTTTCAGCTTCAAATTAAATATTAAAACTAAATTACACATTACAAATAAAAGCCCCAGATTTGAAAATAACACAATGAAAGAGGTGAGGCTATACCATGCTGATAAAATTTCATCTTTTAAGAAACTTGCTTCTACAGAAGTAGTGTTTTATACTTCTAGAGTAGTATATAAAACTACTGTGGTACATACATGATTTAATTCAATTAGTAATAAAACTAATAAGAGTACATAATAGTATTATGTACTATTATGTATTTTATACTACTATAGTAGTTTTATACTATTATAGTATTAATATGTCCTTATTAGGTAAAAAAAAGACATTTTTCTGACTGTTCATATTGATAAATGTAGAAAATAACCTAAATGTCAAATATACAAAAGGTTAAACTAAGATATACTTAAAAGGTAGAGTACATCATTAGCATAGGGACAATATTGCCACATGGAAAGACAGGAAATTTTCAATGCAATAAACAAGATATATGATGTAATTTCAACAATATTAAAAAGACCTATGTACTTTGAAAAAGTAGGAAGTAAACTCTAAATACTATAAACATGCCCTTATTTTTAACCTATGAAGTATTTTAACTGAATTAAAATTCAATTCAACTAAAAAAGTTAAAAAGTCCTTTCTTGGTCCTCCTCCCCTCTAATTTCATGAACTAGCATATGAACGCCCCCTTTATTTCATCTCGGTCTTACCTTCCCTGCTGGGTTCTCAAACACCTAAAGATTTCGGCTTTTCTTTGCCCCATTCCTCTCTTTACAGAGCCACATTCATAGGTACTTGATACTGCTAAATAAACTAATTTCCCCTAAACTAGTTTATAAATAACTTAGTTTATAATAAGTTTATAAACTAAACGCAGAGATTCCTCTTTCGAGCAACTAGACATCAAGGGTAGAGAAGACAAACCCAGAAGAGTTAAGCATTCACTGATGTATCAAATGAATCTCTAAATGTCAGGAGCTGTTAGAGGAGCTGGAGATTCCAAGATTAATAAGACACCTTTTGGCTACTCATCTTAAAGAAAGAGTTGTGAAAATACTTACTATTAATAATTATTAAAAGAACAGGTCAGGCTCAGTGGCTCACACCTGTAATCCCAACACTTTGGCAGGGAGAGGCGGGATCACTTGAGCCCAGGAGCTTGAGACTAGCCTAGGCAACACAGTGAGACCTCATCTCTACAAAAACTAGAAAAATTAGCCAGGCCTGGTGGTGCACGCCTGTAGTCGTAGCTGCTGGGGAGGCTGAGCCCGGGAGGTCAAGGCTGGCTGCCGTGAACCGTGACTGAGCCACTACACTCCAGCCTGGGCGACAGCGACCTTATCTTTAAAAAAAAAAAAAAAAAAAAAAAAGCAGCAGCCCACTCAAAACACTAAGAGGGCGTTCCCAAACTTTATGATGTAAACTCTTAAGTACTGAACCAAGAGTTACGGAAGTACAAAGTAATGCATTATTGTAATCATGTTTGTCTTCCCCAAACATGCGCGCCTCGCAAGAAAGAAGTGTCTTACTCAACTTTTTAGGCACTGCTCCTATGTAACAGCAAGCACACAATATTTGCTGAATAAATGAAGGGACAAACTGGACTCTGTCCTTGAAGAAGAGGACTACATGTGAAAGAAAACGCTATTCACTTCAAGGACATGAAAAAAGTATCAGGATGATTCAAATTAGAGATGATCCTCAGCTGGCATCTTTAACTGAAAGAAATGGGCATGGGACTCGACCCTGTGACAGTTAATCAACCTGTGTTGAATAATGAAAGAATCAGCGCCTCAGCTGAGACCCGTTCCGGGTTCGCCGCAGGTGGCAATGGAGCTGGGTGCCGTCTCCGCCCACCCGGAACAGGAGAGCTGGGCTGCCAGAATGCAACGAGGCGAGCGTTTCAGGTCGGGGGAAAGGTTCTGTGAGGAAACCACGCTCGCCTCTGGGGCGTTTCCTGCAGCTGGCACCCTTCTCCCGCCACCTCTATGGCTGCAGGGAGGCCTCGGCGTGAGCCCTTGGGGCTCAGTCAGCCGAGCCTAGGCTCTGGACTCCCCCAACGGCCCAACTCTCCCTCAGCACTTACTGCCAGAAGGGGCCCTCCAGGCAGCAGCGACCCCCGCCCCGGCTGCCAGGCGTCAAAGAAAGCACTTGGAGGCTGCCCGCAGCCGTCAGGCTCCCCAGAGCCTCCGGCTGTGTGCGCAGCTGCGCCCGGGAGCCGAGCTGCCCCATCGCCTCGGCGGGGACTGGCACCAACAGCATCGGTAGAACCCGCCCCATGGCCGCGGTGCCCCAGCTACCGCCGGCGGAAGCAGCACTCGCGACCCCTTCCTCTGCAGCCATCTTGGCCCGGCGGTTACTTCCGGTCACTTTCGCCGGAACCTGACTGCGTCGTGGGCATGCGCGGTGTACGTAGCGGCTCCCGCTCGGCCTCGTGACTCCCGCGGAGACCTCTCGGCTGTCTCCGGTCGATTCCATTCGTTTCCTGTGGGGGGCAGTACCAGCCTCTCTAGCAAAGCCACATCTGCCCTGACGCCAGTCCCACTCTGCTTAACTGCTCTGGCATGCTTGAAGGCCTAGCTTAGCGTAGCAGGCCGTTGCAGCCGTTCTCGCTCTGTGGCATTGCTCTTTGCCTTCTTGGTCCAGCTGCCTCCAGCTCCCTTGGAACCCAGTTCCTGCCTCTTTTCTTCGCTTTTCTTATTGTGCTGTTCGCTTACAGGCTCTGGGGTGGTGCCATTTCCTTGGTAGCATGGACCGTCTTACAGTGTGGATCCATAGTAAGGGTGTTGACCCGAAATTTGAAGTCAAATAATATCCATTGTAACAGTCAGAGAGACGGGGTAAGTAAGGGGTGGAGATGGTAGAGAGCTCCTGTCTGTTTTCTCAGGGAAGTATGATCCAAGATCAAGAGAAGGAGAGGAGCAAAGAGTTTGAGGTGAGAAGAGGGGTTGAATAGGTATTTTGGTAAAGTCTCCTAAAAGACAACTGTACCTTCTTAACACATCTTCCACATTCAGAACATTTCAGCATAAATGTAACCTCTATTGACAGGCCTCCCCAAGCCATTCAACCTAAGGTCCCTTCTACTGCAGTCTCTCACCTAGTTTTGTTTTTAATCATAGTATTTATCACTACTTGATATTTTCTGCCAGTTCCTGTCCAATAAGAATGTAAACTTCAAAAGAGCAAGGACTTTGTTGCTCACCACTGTCCTGGCTAGTACCTAAAACAGTGCATGTTTCATGAAAGGTACTCCCGCATTTGTTGATCAATGCATGACCTTATTTGTCAAAATAAAAGCAAACTTTTTTTTTCTTTTGAGATGGAGTCTCGCTTTGTCACTCAGGCTGGAGTGCAGTGGCGGGATCTCGGCTCACTGCAACCTCCGCCTCCTGGGCTCAAGCAATTCTGCCTCAGCCTTCCCAGTAGCTGGGATTACAGGCGCACGCCACACCCAGCTAAATTTTTGTATTTTAGTAGAGACGGGGTTTCACCATGTTGGCCAGGCTGGTTTCGAATTCCTGACCTCCGGTGATTTACCTGTCCCAGCCTGGAAGTGCTAAGATTACAGACGTGAGCCACCGTGCCCAGCTGAAACCAAACGTTTTCTATCACAAGGGAGATATATTCAACCTTCTAAGCTTAGCTGGGGCTGTGTTCTTTCTGTAAAAAATGGCAACGTTAAAGCAATTTCTAAGGTTACACTTGTGTTAGCTACAACAAAGCCTTGTCCCTTATAATCAGGACAGTCTTCTCATGCCTGTAAATCCCAGCACTTTGGGAGGCCAAGTTGGGAGGATCACTGGAGCCCACCCTTGCCAACATAGGGAGACCCTTGTCTCTACAAAAAAAATCAAAAAAAATTTTTTTTGAGAGTTTTGCTCTTGTTGTCCAGGCTGGAGTGCAATGGCACAGTCTTGGCTCACTGCAACCTCTAACCTCTGCCTCCTGGGTTCAAGCGATTCCCCTGCCTCAGCCTCCGAGTAGCTGGGATTACAGGCGTGTGCCACCATGCCTGGCTGATTTTGTATTTTTAGTAGAGACGCGGTTTCTTCACGTTGGTCAGGCTGTTCTCAAACTCCCGACCCTCAGGTGATCTGCCCACCTCGGCCTCCCAGAGTGCTGGGATTACAGGCATGAGCCACTGCACCTGGCCAAAAAAAATTTTTTTTTAATATTAGCTGGGTGTGGTGTCACATGCCTATAATCCAAGCTACTCAGAAGACTGAGGTGGGAGGATCACTTGAGCCTGGAGGTCAATGCTGCAGTAAGCCATGATGGTGGCACTGCACTCCCACATGGGTGACAGAGTAAGACCCTGTCTCAAAAAAAAAAAAAAAAAAAAAAAGAAAAAGGACATTCCTGGAGCACTCACACATAGGATAGCCTTCATTACAGGTTTTAACTTACAAGCAAGTTCCAACACATCATTCTATTATCTCTTTAATTATACCTTATTATGCCATGTCTTATTTTTAGGCACATCATTTAGATTTTTGAAGAAAGGATATGAAAATGGGGAAGGGTTCTCCAATATATAAAGGCATAAGAAATGTCTTCAGACTCTCTGGATCCCTGTAAACATAGTCTATGTAGCTAGTGTCTGATGATTCAACTTCCCACATACACGTATTCCAGAACAAACAGATCAGTAAATCCAGGCAAACCTATAAAGAGAACAGATATTAACTGCAAGCACAATTCTACTTTGCAAGTATTTATATGATTTAATTAGTATCTGACTCTTTCTAGCAGTAATTCTGAGGACAGAGATGACCATGTTATTCATGCTTATATCCTAGAATAGTTGTCCCTCAAGTATTTCTTGAATGAATAATTCAGGTTCTTAAATTAATTCTTGCCCTCAAATAGGTTAGCACTATAAATGACCAAAGCACCTGGAATAAAAGGTTGGCTGAAGACTTAGTCAAGAATGGTTACTCAGTAAATGTCAGTGTGTAGAACCACTTCTAAAAACACATGATCCTTCATGCTCATAATTTAGAAGAAGGAAGTAGTGAAGCAAGTAACAGAACATAGATTGGGCTTGAACAAGGGGCTTTGACCTTGTTTCTGCCATTACTTACTCCATCCTGGCCTCCAGCTGCTGAACCAATTGTTTGTCCACGTGGTGACAGAACAGGGGAAGTAGGTTGCTGGGGAAAGCTAGGGGTTCTGCCAGAGAGGCTGTAGGCATTTGGGCTATCTCCCAGGCAATCAGAACCACCATGTCTGTCCTAGAGAGCATAAATATAAATATAAGCAAATAGATTTGCTTAAGAAACAGACTCAGGGCCAAGGTTTCTTATTATCTTTCCGTTACTACTACCATTGTCCCCCACCCCCAGGTAGCAATTCAGAGGTAACATTTGCATGTTTGGTACGTGCCAAGCAATGCTTAGTGCTTTACACATTTCCCTTCCTATTTAATCTTAAGAACTATGAGGGGTTAATACCATCATCCCTAGTTTGTAGATAAAGAAACAAACTAAGAGAAGTGAGAAGTGAAAGAACTTGCCCTAAAGTTATATTGCTAGTAAGTGATACAGCCAGAATTCAAACGTAGGTCTTTTTAAAATCTAAAGCTTGTCCCCTTAGGTACTATGTTATACTGCCTCCTAGAAGAAACCGAAACTCTAGGGCACTATAGAAAAAAAGCAGAACAGCTACAACACTGCTACTACTTTCTCTATCCAACCTCTTCCTCAGTACTTGAAAATGCCTCAGGAAATACTTCACCTGGCTCAGTCTGCACATCCCGAGGGTACTAGATAGTATTTACAAGGCCTTTATGATCTTACCAAGCTGTATGGTCACTGTTGGGTTCCTCTAGGGAAGAATGCAGCGATACCAGTTGCTCCCCATGGCTCAGCAGGGCATAGAGCAAAGATATTCCAAACTGCAAGGGACATATATATATTCCAGAGCAAAATGAGTTCACACTCGGCATTTGGTGCTTTCCTGACTCTTATCTTCCCAACTAAAGGACAGGTTCACATTTAGAGATAGAGCTCAAAATATCCACAAGTGCTGTCAGGTTTTACACTGGTGAGCCAAAGAACTCTCTAACCCTTTCCATAGGAATCACTGCTCTGAACTTTTCCAAAAGACACTCTTGGAGAGCTGATTAAATGCATACTTCTAGGCTTAACTCCTAGGAGTAGGAGATCGGGAATGCATCCAGGAATCTGAGGCAGGTAGTCTGTGGACCCCACTTTAAGAGGCACTTCTTTAAGCAAAGACCTTCAGTATGGCATACATGAGATAACCCACTGGGATATTAGAAGAGAGCATCAAAATTTTCACATCTAGAGTCTCATTCTTTAAAATTTTCTGTCTTTTATTATATACCTATTGGCTGGGCGCAGTGGCTCATGCCTGTAATTCCAGCACTTTGGGAGGCCGAGGCAGGCGAATCACTTAAAGTTAGGAGTTCAAGACCAGCCTGGCCAACATGGTGAAACCATGTCTCTACTAAAAATACAAAAATTAGCTGGGTGTGTTGGCGAACACTTGTAATCCCAGCTACTTGGGAGGCTGAGGCAGGAGAATGGCGTGAACCCAGGAGGCAGAGCTTGCAGTGAGCCAAGATCGTGCCACTGTACTCCAGCCTGGGTGACAGAGCGAGACTATCTAAAAAATAAAAAAAGAAAATATTTATTATGTACCTATTATTACTAGTGTTACATGTATTTGATTTATAAACACATGGGTAGTGTGGTTTAGAATATTTTTTTACTGAAAGGGGTATACAAGAGTTTGGAGACCTGCTTTAGAGACTCACATCAGCAGCAATCAGGGAGCTTATTAGAAAAGCAGAGCAGGTGCATGGGCCCCACCCCAGACCTACTGAATGACTGAGTGGGACCAAGGAGCTGGGTTTAATAAGCTTCCAGGTGATCATGTGCTTACTAGAAATAGAGAAGCACTGCAGAGGATAAGATTTGTGTAGAGATGAGACTGTCCCCCAACTTACCCCTTATCAGTGATACCAACCTGAAAGCCATCTATGGAAAAAAGCCTCCTAGACATGTTACCTGATTCTGAAGCACCACGGTGACTGGCCGCTCTGAGGAGCCAGGTGGCAACAGCGTTAATCCCTGAAGTCCTTGGAGGAGTTCGTGGAGGGTCAAGTGACTAATACATTTGCCCAGAGGTTTGAATAACATTTGTAGGGCCTGCAAGAAGATCAGTAAGCACCTCCCAAATTCCACTACAACTTCACCTCCCCTTACCTTGCTTCCACAGTCCCTTCCCTCGCTGACCTGTCTTTGGCACGTCCTGGTGAGGTTACTTACCAGGCTTATCACCACTATGACTCTCCATCCCCAACACTGACACCTTCGGTACCTACTTGTCCTAGGAATCCTTCTCTAAGAAAAGTAGATAGGGGCTCAACATTTATCAGGGCGTCCTAATCTTTTACTCAGACCTCCTCAGCACACTGACACCTGTGCAACCATACACCTGTTGCTTTTTGTTCGTCATACCTGAAGATGATCCACTGTTCCTATAATAGTTCTGTAACTTCCTTGCCTGAGGGTGGCAAGGCCAGCATCCCTCGCTGTGCCCAGCACCTTCTCTGGCATCTCTGGGGCATGTGGGGACTGGAGGGGAGGAATGACCCCTAACCTATTCAGGAGACCATCCTCTTCTCCACTCAATGCCACAGTACCTGATCAGCCACATCCCTCCGGACCAGGAGGGGCAGATGGTGGGTGATAGCCAAAAGAATGGTAACAGCCTGATCCTGGGGCAGGAAGGGGAGCAGCCGGGCCACCAGGGCCTTCCCCTTCCTCACAGAGAGCACCTGCAGGAAGCCATCTGCTGCCTCTCTGCAAGGGAGAGAGGAGAACATTTTCAGAGCTCTGCATAGAGGAGAGGGCTACATGCCACAAAGGAGAGGCAGAAGCAAGACCAGTGTCTTTGCTGCTCCTTCCCTTCCTGGGCTGAGGTGGAACCCTCCCACACTCACTCCAGGTTGTTCTGCTCCTGGGTCTTTAAGGTCTGGAAGAGCTTCTCAACCTGGTTGCTTTGCTGCTCAGAAAAGCAGGGCGGTGGAGGCCTATACTTCCAGCCTTCCTCTATTTCTAGTAACTGAAGGAACATCTGGGAATTTGAGGGTGGAAAAAAGAGGTAAATTTGGGTAATATCTCATTCTCAAAGGTAGGTTTGGAACTCGTCCCTAAGGAACTGATATCTCACCTTCTCAATCCGGTATAATACCCGAAGCCTCTGACTGCTTGCAGCTTCTATATCCTAGGAGAAGGGAGTCACCAGCTATCAGCTACACTGCCACTGCCACAGCCCTAGCCCAGGCCCCCAACTAGCTAGAGATTGAGCTGGAAAGGCTAGAAACAAAGTCTGATCACACTTCTTCCTCCTTCTTCGGTCACAGTCTTAAACACAAGAATGTTCTAGACCCTTCTTCCAAAGGGGAGAGAAAAATGTCTGGGAAGATAGTGCTCCCACCTGCTCTTGAGTTCCATGGGGTACCGCATCAATAGCTCGGCGAGGGCTGAAGCATGTCGACACAGCTACCTGGCCCAGGGAACCCTCGATTCGGACCACTGCATGAGAAGAGAGGCACATTTCCTTCCCCCTCCCACACTCTGTCCACCCAGATGCCCAGCCCAAGTCAGCAGGTCAGCCCTGACCCTACCGGACTCATAAGCCTCTGCCTTCGGAATGTAAGGCGTTACCAGCTTGAGGGACTCAACCCGGTTTCTTCGTCCAAGTAGCTCTTCGTCTGCCTGCTTCTTCTCTAGCTTCTGGTAATATTCCTGAGAATGCACGGAATAGGAAACAAAAAAACAAAACACCTTATATTCATCTTTTGAATTTAGAATTAAGTTTCTCAAGTGCAGCCTCTTAAGTTTAGTTTTTTTGTGTGTGTTATAAGTTTTGTTGTTTGAGACAGCATCTCCCTCTGTCACCCAGCTGGAGTGCAGTGGCGCAATCTCTGGCTCACTGCAACCTCCCTGGCTCAAGTGATCCTCCCACTTCAGCCTCCTCAGTAGCTGGGGCCACAGGCACGTGCCACCATGCCCAGCTAATTTTTGTATTTTTTGTAGAGGTGGGATTTCACCATGTTGCTCAGGCTGGTCTTGAACTCCTGGACTCAAGCAATCAGCCCTCCTTGGCCTCCCAAAGTGCTGGGATTACAGGCGAGCCATTGTGCCCAGACAAGCACGGCCTCTTAACACTCTTTCCTACAACAATCATTCCAGAAATGATGCTGGCACCTTAGGCCCTCCTTGCAGTTATTCTAAAGTGTCTTAAGCACCCTGGGCCCCACATCACCCATCTTGGAATTCACATACCAAATACTTAAAGACCAGATACCACCACCAAGTCTGATGAAAGGTCAGAGAGCAAAGTGGAGAGCCAGTGAGCAAACCTGTTCCAGCGTCTGTAACCTTCCTGCATTCCTCATGCTCTAGTACCCACACACTGCATACCACCTGTCCTCCCCACTTCCCCATTTAATCTTGTGATCTCACCTGTGCTTTCTAAAAATCAGTTATCTGATGGTATGAAGGCCATCCAGAGGTTTAAGCACAGAACTAGCTATAGGGAAGTGTTTGTCAGTTGCCCTCTAGGCCAGTTTTATACTTCTGTGGATTTGCTCAGCAGCTCTGACATTTTCTTAAAGTTGAGAAATCCTAAACTAAAATCCACTGACAAGCCAAACAAGGATTTGAAAAAGGCTCTTTTGTTTAGAAGCAATGCCAAAAAGGCAAGAATACAAAACTATTTCACTTTCAGTGACCCTCGCAGAAAAAGGAGGGCTTTTGAAGCTTGGTGGAAAGAAAGGAAAAATACCTAATGTAAATGAGAAGGCAATAAGGATGGGGCACTGGATGGGAGGCTCCCAGATGTTGAGGTGAAAGTGAAACAGCCAGCCGGGCGCGGTTGCTCATGCCTGTAATCTCAGCACTTGGGAGGCCGAGGCGGGTGGATCACTTGAGGTCAGAAGTTCAAGACCAGCCTATCCAACATGGTGAAACCCCATCTCTACTAAAAATACAAAAATTAGCTGCGTATGGTGGTGCATGCCTGTGATCCCAGGTACTTGGGAGGCTGAGGCAGGAGAATCACCTGAACCCTGGAGGTGGAGGTGGCAGTGAGCTGAGATGGTGCCACTGCACTTCAGCCTGGATGACAGAGGGAGACTCTGTCTCAAAAAAAAAAAAAGAAAAAGAAAGATAACAGCCTAGACAACCCAAAAACTTGTGGATAAAGACTTGCCCCATAAATAAAGGCAGAAGGAAGCAGGGGAAAATGAGTAAAAATATCTGCTGTCGTTCTTTCAATTAAACAAACTGAATCCCACTATTTATAACATCCCT
This sequence comes from Homo sapiens, assembly GCF_000001405.40. Classification (NCBI taxonomy): domain Eukaryota; kingdom Metazoa; phylum Chordata; class Mammalia; order Primates; family Hominidae; genus Homo; species Homo sapiens. Next base: position 44,671,657 of record NC_000015.10, read on the forward strand.
GTGCTTTAGATCTAAAAAGTCAAAGTAGATGAATATAACAAGACATTTCTCAGCATACACAGGTGGGAAAATCCATATTTCCTGGGTGAACAGGGAAAATTCTTAGCAAAGAGTAGAGACAAAACCCAAGTGTGTTTGGGGAACTGGAAATAATCTTAGTTGGCTGAAATGTAGGAAGATAGAGAGAAATGAGTTTGGGATGTCAATTTTAGAAATACGGCCCCCATCCTGTAGTGATTCTCTCTCCCACCTGAACAGACATGACCTCTATGAGCCGAAGAGAGGATCAGAGCGGGCCCGGGAGTCCAGGCCCATTTGACCCAAGGTCAGAGGCTGGGCTGAGTACTGCGGGGCTCACCTGGTAATAGTAGTCATCCAGGCGGGGTTTTGCACTCTGCAGCTGCACCATCTGCACTTTTATCACCCAGTCCTTCTCTTTTCTGGTCATGAGGTTAGCATAGGGGTCTGGCTGCTGAGACCAAGGCTTCTTGGCTGGGGGACTTTAAGCCAGGAGGAACAACCCTTTAGACTTACCCACCACTGGCACTTCCTAAGGAGTGTGGTGAGCAGGAAGTGGGGCTCTCTGGGAAGGATGGAGCAAGCACAGAGGTGGGCAACAGTATGAGAGTTTTAACCACCACATGGGAGATTTGAGGGAGACAACTGGTCACAAGGGGAGACCCGGCATGCAAATGGGCTCCCCTCAACCCTGCTCCTGGTCTGGGCTTTACCTTGGTGTTTGACTATGCTGCTGCTGCTGCAAGATTCGTTGGTGCCGAGGGTGGAGCTGGGTCAGATGACTGGGAAGACAAGAAGTAACGAGCTGGGTGGAAGGAAGCTCTCAGTTCTCTGCCCCCTCCATTCATTCAGCCCAGGTCAGCTCTGATGGACATCTAAGGAACCTTATCTGTTTAGGTACTTTCCCAAAGTCAGCCACATGGCACATCATAGTCCTAGACCCACAGGGTTCCCAAGCTCCTCCAACATCTATTTTCCTGCAATTTGGCTGCAGGAAATCTTGGAACAGTAGAAAACATTTTGGCCTGGTCATCAGGAGTTCTGAATAGTAGTCTCAGTTCCATCATGCTACCTGATTGCAAATAAATTTTTATTTTTAATTTTTGAGACAGTCTCCCTCTGTCATCCAGGCTGGAGTGCAGTGGCATGGTCTCAGCTCACTGCAACCTCTGGCTCCTGGGTTCAAGTGATTTTCCTGCCTCAGCCTCCCAAGTAGCTGGGATTACAGGCGCTCGCCACCACGCCTAGCTAATTTTTGTATATTTAGTGGAGACACAGTTTCACCATGTTGGCCAGGCTGGTCTCGAACTCCTGGCCTCAAGTGATCCTCCCACCTTGGCCTCCCAGAGTGCTGGGATTACAGGTGTGAGCCACAGCACCCGGCTTTAAATAAATTTTTAATCTCCCTGGGGCTAATTTGTGAGGGAGACGGAATTAGACTATACCTCAGACTTCTCTTACTAGTTTTCTGTGTTTCCCTGTGGCAACTGGTAGGCATGGTCCCCGCCCCTCCTCAGCCAGCACCTCCTGAGACCTCTGGGGAGAACCTCAAACCAGTACCTGAACCTAGGGGGCCACGAGGTCAGCAGGCTGCAGAAGAGAGTTGGGTCTGGTGAGGGCAGCCGAGGTCCAAAGTGCTGTGCTGGAGAGCTGGTGCTGGGAAATGTAGGCCAGAAAGGGATGGGCGACAGGTAGTCCAAGGTCTGAGAGAGGAATTAAGAGGTCTGGGAGAACGCCATCTCCACCAAAAGAATGCTGCTCTTGTTGTGAGGGCTCAGTTCCTTTCCTACCTTTTCCCCTCAAGAACTTCACCCAACATTGTGCCATCTTGTGAGTCCCTCAAGGCAGCTTTGGGGGCACCAGACTATGGTTCCTGCCCTTGTTTCAACAGGGCTTGACTAGGAAGCAGCTCTTCATTCCCTGACAATGCAGGGTCATGTGCTTTTCCTACCATTTGGAAAGTCAACACTTCTCACCCTCCTCTCTATAATAGTCTTCTCTTGGGCTGTCTTCAGCCGCTGGGGCAGTACTCATCTGTCTTTTCTGACTCACTCAAAGCCCTCCTCAGAGCTCTTAATTCCTTCTAGTTCTCCCTGAAGGATATCCTGGTTCTTGAATTCCTCTACCCCAGGCCATGTTCCCATTACACAGTTAACTGCAGGGCAGGTGCTCTTTCCAGCTAAGCGCTGGCCATCTGCTGAAAGATTGCCTAAGGCAGGAGTAAGGGATCTAGTTTGTCCTTGTTCATACAAATGGCCAGTTGTCCCAGTACCACTTATTAAGGTGTCTATCCATGCCCCTGCTTGGGCACACCACCTCTGTCATTTATCAAGCTCCTCTATGATGGGGCAACTCCCACCTCCCACACCCATACCTCACTTTGGGTGCCTTAACTCCAGACCAGGGTTGGGGGTAGACTGAACATAATAGATGGAATCCTCACTACCCACAGTATGGAGACTGCAGCAGACTCACCTGCCACAGAAAATGCAAGGAGGCAAGTGACATTCCCAGCATACCAGGGGCCTTGACTCCAGGGGAGCTAAGCAGAGCTCTCTGGAACAGGAGGGAGGAAAAACCAGGCTCAAATGGGCCCCTGTAGTGTCTTCTGCATTCACCTGTGTTTTTGAGGTGGTGGGAGGAAGCAGCAAGACCAGGTGTTCCAACATCCAGGGCAGTGGCAGCTTGGCCCTCCCTCAGATTCAAAGTCAGCTGGGCCAGGATCCCTCTCCCTCTCCTGGGAGGAATAAGACTAGTGCAGTGGTCCTCCCTTATTCATGAGACATATATGTTCCGAGACCCCCAAGGGATGCCTAGAACTGGATAGTACTAAACCCTGTGTATAGTGCTTTTTTCTTATATATACATGCCTATGATAGTTTATATATATATTTAAAAAAAATTTTTTTTAGAGTCAGGGTCTTGCTCTGTCACCCAGGCTGGAGTGCAGTGGCACCATCATAGCTCACTGCAGGCTCAAACTCCTGAGCTCAAGCCATCCTCCTGCCTCAGACTTCTAAGTAGCTGAGACTACAGGCATGTGCTACCATATCTGGCTAATTTTTGAAAATTTTTTTTCTTTTTTTTTGTAGCGACAGGGTCTTGCTTTGTTGCCCAGGCTGGTGTGGAAGTCCTGGCCTCTAGCAACCCTCCCAAAGTGCTGGGATTACAGACATAAGCCACTGCCCCTGGCCAGTTTAATTTAAGAATTAGACACAATAAGAAATGAACAATAAAAATAGAACAGTTATAACAATATACTGTAATAAAAGTTATGTGAATGTGGTCTCTCTTAAAATACCTTATTGTACTATACTTGCCTATTTTCAGACTATAGTTGACCAAGGGTAACTGAAATGGCAGAAAGTGAAACCATGGACTACTGTACCTTAGTAGTAGGTTGAAGGAAGTTCTGAAATCACCTCATATCTACATAGGAGTCCTTGTCCTTCTCCACTAGTTATGGGATCCAGGGGAATAAATACCAGGAATGGACTACTGAGACAGAGGGGCCCAGGATCAGGCAAACGTGACTCACCTTTAACGCTAGTAGCAGGGCCACCGCCTGTGGGCGATGCACAGCTCTGCTAGGACCTGGTTTTAAGGCGAGAACAGCATCAGAAATGAAGTGGGAGACAGGAGAAAGAGGGAAGGAGAGAGTCCCTAACTCAAGTTCAAGGCTTAAAAAGAAAGTGTTAATCCAGAACTTGTCTTAGAAAAGGGTAGAAAAGAGAAGAGGAATGTTTAGTGACAGCCTGTGAGCCACAGACAGTTCAGGACAACCCTCTCCCATTCCCTTCTGCCATGGTACCTGGGTGTTGTGGACAGCACCAAGTACAGCTGGATCCCCAAGATCATTCTCTTCCTCCTCTAGGTCTGGGTCCAGATCTGGGTCCAGATCCTCCTCGTCCTCCTCCTCTTCCTCCTCCTCCCCTTCATTCTCTTCTTCTTTTTCCAACTGGCAGGCAGACACCAGCTCCTCCTCAGAAGCCAAGGGGCCACAGGTCTTACCTGGCCCTTGGTTTAAGTGTGGGCCAGAGGAGAAGGTAAGATGGGGCTCAGCTGTGAGTCTTGTCTAGAGAGGCTGCTACTCAATAGCACTTCTGTTCATAAGCCATCTCCAGCACCACCTTTGAACATAACGCCTCCTGTTCTGTGGGTTTAACTCGGCCTCCCTTCTCCCAAGGTGCCCCGAACCATCCCCCAGTAAGTCAAATGGAACCTGAGCCAGGTGTGGTGGCTCGTGCCTGTAGTCCCAGTTACTTGGGAGGCCAAGGCGGGAAGATCATTTGGGCCCAGGAGTTTGAGATCAGCCTGGGCAACACAGTGAGACCCTGTCTCTAAGTAAAAAATTTAAAAAGCAAACAAAAGGAACCCGGCAGATACCAAACACCTTCACTTTCACATCCCCTCTTCAATTCCTTCATTAAGTTCTAGCACAGCCTTTTCCATCTGCTCTGCCCCACCCAACGCCCTTTCTATTGCCTCTTTGAACAAGTTCCACCTGCCCTGACTCACTGCAATTTAACCCTACTGTGTGCCATATACTTTACGTGCATATGTTCATTTAACAGTAATATGAGGCTGTCCTGGGTTGTTGTTGATAATTTTACTAGGTTGGTGAGAAAAATAAAGCCCAGAAGAGTGACCTTTCAGTCACCCATTATGATATAATTAGCAAGTGGAAGAATTTGGAATAACTTCCAGTGACTCTGGACATCCAATCCCATATGTGAAACAGACCAGCAACCTCTGCATGCTGGGGCATTTTATATAACATCACGGCCCACTTGTTGATACCTTCAAGGCAATTCATCTTGGCAGGCTGGTGGACTTCCTTCTTAGCCGTGTCCTCCAGTGAAACAGCATTGCCAGCCTCTGGAAGGTAAACCTGAGACAAGAAAGAGGCCAAGAGGCACCATCCTCAGTCAGTAAGGATGACATGGCACCCTAAAACAGCCATGGAATCCTCCCAGCAAGATGGTTAGAGAATTCTTGGCCATGGTCTTGAGGAGAGAGACCCTGGGGTCTCAGACTGCCATAAACACCCACCCTCCCAGCTCGGCTCTAGGGAGCTGTCCCACAAAGGGACAGAAATGAGGCACAGGCTAGAAGCAGGAAGAGAAGTACTTCCCAACCGACATCACCAGTCACCGTCCGAGTGTGGTGATGCCTTGCTGCCGACACCCACCACCTGACTGTTGCTGTCCTTTCTGTTTAAGTTATTCATAGCAGCCTGGGCCAGGACCTGTTTGCCGCTCCTGGCTTTAAAAGTCCCAGCTCCTCCCCTGCTCACCCATTAAAGGGCTAGCATCCTCCATCCATTGGGGCCTGATGGAAATATGAGAACATAGTTTAATGATTAAAAAAACGCTTGAATGGAGAAAAGACATAAACTGCATTTTTAGCCATCCATGGCTTTTAGTACAGTTTATTGGGATTGATATTTGGGGGCAGATAGTTAAAAAGAGGATCCCTGTTTTCCACACCCTTCATTGGTAGTTTGTGAGGTTGCATTTAATTTAATCCCTAGGTTTTGCTTCAACAAAATTGGATAGGAAAGTCCTGGGTAGATCCTGGGGAGGATGCCTAGCAACCACATTCCTGGCGCTTCAGGGCAGCGTACTTGAAGCCCTCAAGTCCACCTGATGATGCTTGCCCTTCACCGGGTCATGTGAGCTTAAGTCAGCTACTCAGCTCTGACTGATGAGAGACCCCTGTGAATTTGGAAGTCAGATCTTCATGGTAAAAACACTTTTGCATGAGATACACAGTCTTACATCTTCTTGGCTGCTCTAATGGCAAACTGGTCCAGAAGCTCAGGAGTAAAAACAAATCAACAACAACAAAAACAAAAACATAGCTGCTCCTGGTAGGCAAAACCCAACACCCTCCCAAGTCTCATCTAACCCTCAAGCAACCCTGGGTTCTGTGCCCACATCCTGTGTTCAGCTGAAACCCACATGACTTTGTAGAACTTCTGAATAAGAATAAAAACTAAGTTAATTTCCCTACATCAAAAATGAAAGTTAGGACCCTCTTGTCATGGTGATAAGACCATGATTCTTGGTGCCTTTAAAGGAAAATATTTGTTTCAGAAGTTTTACTGCAGGTCATAACTATATGGGTGGGGGAACAAATATAAGTAGCTTGAAAGTTACTGAAAAACTTCTCATATATCTTGAGATAGCATCTTACTCTGTCACCCAGGCTTGAGTGCAGTGGCATGATCTTGGCCCACTGCAGCCTCCACCTCCCGGGTTCAAGATTCTCCTGCCTCAGCCTCCCGAGTAGCTGGGATTACAGGCGGCCACCACCATGCCCAGCTAATTTTTGTATATATATATATTTTTTTTCAGTAGAAACAGGGTTTCGCCATGTTGGCCAGGCTTGTCTCAAACTCCTGACCTCAAGTAATCCACCTGCCTTGGCCTCCCAAAGGGCTGGGATTACAAGCACAAGCCACCACACCCAGCTGGGTTCTGGCCTTTTTGGTAATGTTATTCAGCTGTTTCTCTCAGGAACTTCCTAATAACGTACTTTAGCACTATTAACAAAAGGACCACATGGTGAATTTCAGTGTTCCAGAGGTGATTCATTAGGTTGTTGTAGAGACTAGATCTTAAGGAGAAACTTGTTGCATGAAGATTTTCATTCTGAAGGGACTTCTGGTACTGACTAGTACCAAAGCAGGTGGACTAGGGCTCAGTCTTAAAGATCACAGCCCTGCCCTGGCTGTTTGGAGTTTCACTTGGGACCTACTGTTTTTTATGAAGGTCCCCTACCCTTATCTGAAGTCTCATATGTCTACTGATCCCCTAGATGTTCTAACTTTCCTGCCATCATTTCATTATGTTAAGTTCAAGCCAAGCCTATGTTAGGCTTGGGGTAAACAGTGAATAAAGCAGATGCTTCCCACAGCCTGTTAGAGCTTCTTCTAGAATAAGAAGTACACACAGGTACACAGGATTGTTGGGTCAGATTTTAAAAAGACATTAGAGTGGCTCATACCTGTAATCCCAGCACTTTGGGAAGCTGAGGCAGGAGGATAGCTTGAGCCCATGAGTTCAAGACAAGCCTGGACAACATAGTGAGACCCCATCTCTATTAAAAATTTTTTCTTAAAGAAAAAAAATGACATTAGAAATATTTACATTTGCTACATAAAACACTCTTTTATGGGGAGATTTTTTATCCATTGTTTCAGGTTCTTTAATAGCAGTAGATCTAGTCTGGCTTTCAATTTCTTCTTGAGTTTTAAGTTATATATCTTCTAGGAATTTGTCCATTACTTATAAATTTTCAAATTTGTTGGCATAAAGTTGTTCATAGTATAAGTGTATTTAAAAATCCATGCTATAACTGTACTTTGTCTCTCCTGCCCCCTTTCATTTACTTGTTTATTTTGAGACAGAGTCTTGCCTGTCACTCAGGCTGGAGTGCATTGGCACGATCTCAACTCACTGCAACCTCCACCTCCTGTGTTCAAGCAATTCTCCTGCCTCAGCCTCCAGAGTAGCTGAGAATACAGGTGCACACCACCATGCCTGGCCAATTAATTTTTTTTTTTTTTTGAGACAGAGTCTTGCTCTGTCAGCCAGGCTGGAGTGCAGTGGCACCATCTCGGCTCACTGCAACCTCTGCCTCCTGGGATCAAGCAATTGTCCTGCCTCAGCCTCCTGAATAGCTGGGATTACAGGGGTGTGCCATGCCCGGCTAATTTTTGTATTTTTAGTATAGAAGGGGTTTCACCATGTTGGCCAGTCTGGTCTTGAACTCCTGACCTCAGCTAATCCACTTACCTCGGCCTCCCAAAGTGCTGGGATTACAGGCGTGAGCCACCGTGCCTGGCCAATTTTTTTTTTCTTTTTCTTTTTCTTTTTTTTTTTTTTTTTTTTAGTAGAGATAGGCTTTTGCCATGTTGGCCAGGCTGGTCTCAAACTCCTGGCTTCAAGTGATCCACCTGCCTCGGCCTCCAGAGTGCTAGGATTACAGGCGTGAGCCACTGCGTCCGGCCCTTTGTCTCCCTTTTTATTCCTAATATTATTCATCTCCTCCTTTGTTCTTCTTTCTAGAGTTTGTCTATTTTATTAGTCTTTTTAAAGAACCATGTATGTCAGGTTTCCTTCAGGAAATAGATGGTGTATTCAAACTGGATAATCTAATAAAGTTATATTTATAAAAGTATAGAAAGAGTATAGTGAAACCACAAGTAATAGCAGAATCCCCTGGGACTGGGACAAGAGGATGGAGCAGTCACCAGAACCTGGAGACAGAGAGGGCTGCCTGGCTTCAGATAATGTCAGCATCTGTGCTGTATGAGTTCCAGTGTGGCAGCCCTCTCCTAAATTACCCCAATTCCCTCTGGATCTGGGATCTGCTCCCTCCTCTTGCCCCTGAGGTCTGGGGGTGGGAAAGGCTCCCCACTCTTGCTAGTTCCAGGGTGCTTCACTGGCCTTTATGAGTTTCCCTTCACCCTGTTCACACCTTGGTGAATATTCTCTTCCTGACATGCTCCTCAGTTACACCACTTGAATGTGCCATCTGCTTCTTGTCGGGACCATGACTGACACTGCTCCATCACCAGCCTGCTGAGCTGTTCTTTAATTTGTCCTTGTTTAGCTGCCTTTCCCATACATCCCTCATCAGTGATTCTAAAAAATAGGCATTGTCCTCCTCCAGTCTTCCATACAACTCCCATCTCTACTCTCAGCAGTCAACCTCACCTCTTATGTTATGGGGAAAATAGAGGCCATTGGGGCTGATCCACTTCAATTCATACTTGGAGGAAATTATACACAGCCACAGGCCCCCCACCTTGCACTTCCAGGTGGGGGGCTCTCCTCCTCTTCAAGTCCAGACTCTCTTCCTGGATGCTTGGCCCTTCAGCCACTTTTCTCTGTGTCTTGAGCCTCTCTGTTTTCCCCTTTCTTTTTCTTAGTGTATAGGATAGAAATATCAGGATGTGTCCACTTCTTGGAGACAAATCCCTGTCTTGTTTTTGTTTCTTATTTTAACTGCCCTTCAGGTCTCTCCTACCTAACAAACCAAACTTCTCCATTTCCTCACATCATTCCTTCAACTGTTGCTTTCTGGCTTTTGACTCCATTATAGTGGTGGCAACAGGGACAAACAGACATAATCTCCATAAGCCCCTTCAACACTTTTTCTGGACAATTGACAATTATTTGACGTATTAGTTCTCTGCAAATGCAGGGTCAAGACAAGTCCCCTACCCTTACTTCCACCTAGATGCCACCTATATAATTCTCGGGCTTGAAAAAGTATATCTGGAGCTAACATTACTAGTTACTCCGCAGAGACTTTTCTCAATACCATTACCAGTGATTTTTCTTTCTTTCTTTTTAGTTTTAGAGATGGGGTCTCGCTCTTTCACCCAGACTGGAGTGCAGTGGCACGATTATAGCTCACTGCAAACTTGAACTTCTGGACTCCTGCCTCAACCTTCCAAGTAGCTGGGACTACGGCATACACCACCACACCCAGCTAATTTTTAAAATTTTTATAGAGATGGCGTCTCGCTTTTTTGCCCAGACTGGTCTCAAACTCCTGGGCTCAAGTCGTCCTCCCACCTTGGCCTCCCAAAGTGCTGGGATTACAGATGTGAGCCACTTCTCTCGGCTGTGATTTCTTAACTGTAAGTGCAAAAGACATGTTTCAGTCCTGACCTTAGCTGACATCTCTACAGCATTCAACACTGCTGATCACATCCTCCTTGGATCTCTGTGCTCCCACAGCTTCCCAACACTTGTCTCCTGGCTCTTCCAGTACCTCTTGGGTCATTTTTCTTTGGCCCTTTTCCTGCTCCCCTCATCTTCTTCCCATCCTTTGAATATCCGCTTCCTCAGGCTACTTCTCAGTCCTCTATATATCAAATATTCTTAATCTGAGGATCCCCTGAAATTGTGTATATGTTGGTGTGGTTTTCAGTATGTTTGTTTTTCTGGAAAGAGCATCTGTAGCTTTTATCACATCCTCAAAGGGATCAAGGATCTGCAAAGGTTAAATCCTCTGCAACCTGATATCCCTGGGCAATCTCATCTCATGCTGATGATTTCCAAGTTGTTTTGTCAGATCAGACACCCCTCAACTTACAACACCTCAGTGTTTCTCATGTCCCATTCTTTACATAAAGCATAAGCCCCTTTACAATCTGGCCCTGACTGTCATAGAAAGCAACCAGTCTCCTATCTTAAAGTTCCCTACCTTCTAGATTGAGTTTCAGAAATAGTAAACTGCTTTTAGCTGCATGGAGAAATTAGGGTTCCACTTTAGCCTTCTCTCGTAATCGCTGTGCACCAGGTTGTCCCTACACTGGAGACCTCTCGCCCTTGGTCTGGGAGCTATATTCTGTTGTTGATTAAGGCAGCTTTCTGTTCCAGTTCTGTCTTTCCAATGATATTGAAAGTGTGTATCTTAGCAGGTAATATGCTGTGCATTATGTCATATAAGCAACATGAAGTTACAAAGTAAGAGTTGTTTTAATTGGAAGGTGATTTCAGAATTGTCTTTATTGAATGGTCTTATTCTAATATTCTAGTTATTCAAATGGGAAAAACAAACTCGGCCCAGGATTCATCTCCTCCAGGAGGCCTTCTCAGATAGGCTTTTCCCTTCCAGCCTGGGATAGGCACCCTTATGTGTGCTCACTGATCCTTATGCTTTTTGCTCATTGCACCTACCACACTGTGTCGTCATTCTGTTTCTAAATTTGTCACTCCCACTTGCAAGCAGAGATGTTCCTCATCTCTGTGCCCCTGGCACTTAACACAGTCTCTGGAACAGAGTAGGTTCTTAGTAGATGTTGACTGAGCTGAACTGGAATGGAAAATTATGGACCTTTCCCTGAGAGAGAGACTTCTTCAGAGGGGTTTCTTGCCAGCCACCTGGGTGTGTCCTACTCCAGCTCACTCCTCACGTTCTTCCCAAGAAATTTCATTCCAAGAAACAAACCAGAATATCTAAGCCAGAAATCATAAAAGAAAAGATACGTAGATTTCACTAAAGAAAGTTAAACTTCTATATTGAAGACATATTTATGCCAAAGTAAATGCTAGATGGAGCAAAGATTTAAACATAAAAAAAATCTCAAAACGGTGGCTGGCAAGATGGCCAAATAGGAATAGCTCTGGTCTGTAGCTCCAAGAGAGATCAACACAGAAAGTGGGTGATTTCTGCATTTCCAACTGAGGTACCCAGCTCATCTCACTGGGACTGGTTAGACAGTGGGTGCAGCCCACGGAGGGTGAGCCAAAGCAGGGTGGGGCATTGCCTTACCCGGGAAGTGCAAGGGGTTGGGGAACTCCCTCTCCTAGCCAAGGGACTGTGAGGGACTGTGCCTTGAGGGACGGTGCACTCTGACCCAGATACTACGCTTTTCCCATCCTCTTCACAACCCACAGAACAGGAGATTCCCTCAGGTGCCTATGCCACCAGGGCCTTGGGTTTCAAGCACAAAACTGGGCAGCTGTTTGGGCAGACACTGAGCTAGCTGCAGTTTTTTTTTTCATACCCCAGTGGCGTCTGGCATGCCAGCGAGACAGAACCATTCACTCCTCTGGAAAGGGTGCTGAAGCCAGGGAGCCAAGTGGTCTAGCTCAGTGGATCCCACCCCCACAGAGCCCAGCAAGCTGAGATGCACTGGCTTGAAATTCTCACTGCCAGCACAGCAGTCTGAAGTCAAGCTGGGACACTTGAGCTTGGTGGGGGGAGGGGCGTTTGCCATTACTGAGGCTTGAGTAGGTGGTTTTCACCTCACAGTGTAAACAAAGCCACCAGGAAGTTCAAACTGGGTGGAGTCCACTGCAGCTCCGCAAAGCTGCTGTAGCCAGACTGCCTCTCTAGATTCCTCCTCTCTGGGCAGGGTATCTCTGAAAGAAAGGCAGTAGCCCCAGTCAGGGGCTTATAGATAAAACTCCCATCTCCCTGGGACAGACAGAGCACCTGGTAGAAGGGGCAGCTGTGGGCACAGCTTCAGCAGACTTAAACATTCCTGCCTGCTGACTCTGAAGAGAGCAGCGGATCTCCCAGCATAGTGCTCAAGCTCTGCTGAGGGACAGACTGCCTCCTCAAGTGTGTCCCTGACCCCCATGCCTCCTGACTGGGAGACACCTCCCAGCAGGGGTCGACAGACACTTCATACAGGAGAGCTCCGGCTGGCATCTTGTGGGTGCCCCTCTGGGACAAAAATTCCAGAGGAAGGAACAAGCAGCAATCTTTGCCGTTCTGCAGTCTCCGCTGGTGATACCCAGGAAAACAGGGTCTGGAGTGGACCTCCAGCAAACTCCAACAGACCTGCAGCAGAGGGGCCTGACTGTTAGAAGGAAAACTAACAAACAGAAAGGAATAGCATCAACATAAAAAAAAAAAAAATCCACACAGAAACCCCATCCGAAGGTTACCAACATCAAAGACCAAAGGTAGATAAATCCATGAAGATGAGGAAAAACCAGCACAAAAAGGCTGAAAATTCTAAAAACCAGAACATCCCTTCTCCTCCAAAGGATCACAACTCCTTCCAGCAAGGGAACAAAAGTGGACAGAGAATGAGTTTGATGAATTGACAGAAGAGGCTTCAGAAGGTGGGTAATAACAAACTGCTCCAAGCTAAAGGAGCATGTTCTAACCCAATGCAAGGAAGCTAAGAAGCTTGAAAAAAGGTTGGAGGAATTGCTAACTAGAATAACTAGTTTAGAGAAGAACATAAATGACCTGATAGAGCTGAAAAACACAGCACAAGAACTTTGTGAAGCATTCACAAGTATTAATAGCTGAATTGATCAAGCAGAAGAAGGAATACCGGCGATTGAAGATCAGCTTAATGAAATAAAGCAAGACGACAAGATTAGAAAAAAAAAATGAAAAGTAATGAACAAAGCCTCTGAGAAATATGGCACTATGTGGAAAAGACCAAATCTACATTTGATTGGTGTACCCGAAAGTGATGGGGAGAATGGAAACAAGCTGGAAAACACTCTTCAGGATATTATCCAGGAGAACTTCCCCAACCTAGCAAGACAGGCCAACATTCAAATTCAGGAAATATGGAGAACACCACGAAGATATTCCTCGAGAAGAGCAACCCCAAGACACATAATCATCAGATCCACCAAGGTTGAAATGAAGGAAAAAATGTTAAGAGCAGCCAGAGAGAAAGGTTGGGTTACCCAGAAAGGTAAGTCCATCAGACTAACAGTGGATCTCTCTGCAGAAACCCTACAATCCAGAAGAGAGTTGGGACCAATATTTAACATTCTTCAAGGAAAGAATTTTCAACCCAGAATTTCATATCCAGCCAAACTAAGCTTCATAAGTGAAGGAGAAATAAAATCCTTTACAGACAAGCAAATGCTGAGAGATTTTGTCACCAACAGGCCTGCCTTACAAGAGCTCCTGAAGGAAGCACTAAACATGGAAAGGAACAACCGATACCAGCCATTGCAAAAACATACCAAATTGTAAAGACCATCAACACTATGAAGAAACTGTGTCAACTAACGGGCAAAATAACCGGCTAGCATCATAATGACAGGATCAAATTCACACATAACAATATTAACCTTAAATGTAAACAGGCTAAATGCCCCAATTAAAAGACACAGACTGGCAAACTGGATAAAAAGTCAAGACCCTGCCAGGCACGGTGGCTCACGCCTGTAATCCCATCACTTTGGGAGGCCAAGGCGGGTGGATCACGAGGTCAAGAGATTGAGACCATCCTGGCCAACATGGTGAAACCCCATCTCTATTAAAAATACAAAAAATTAGCTGGGCCTGGTGGCACACACCTGTAATCCCAGCTACTTGGGAGGCTGAGGCAGGAGAATTGCTTGAACCCAGGAGGCAGAGGTTGCAGTGAGCTGAGATTGCGCCTTTGCATTCCAGCCTGGGCAACAGAGTGAGACTCTGTCTCAAAAAAAAAAAAAGAAAAAAATCAAGACCCATCAGTGTGCTGTATTCAGGAGACCCATCTCATGTGCAAAGACACACATAGGTTCAAAATAAAGGGATGGAGGAATATTTACCAAGGAAATGGAAAGCAAATAAAGCAGGGGTTGCAATCCTAGTCCCAGATAAAACAGACTTTAAACCAACAAAGATCAAAAGAGACAAAGAAGGGCATTACATAATGGTAAAGGGATCAATGCAGCAAGAAGAGCTAACTATCCTAAATATATATGCACCCAATACAGGAGCACCCAGATTCATAAAGCAAGTTCTTAGAGACCTACAAAGAGACTTAGACTCCCACACAATAATAGTGGGAGACTTTAACACCCCACTGTCAATATTAGACAGATCAACGAGACAGAAAATTAACAAGGATATTCAGGACTTGAACTCAGCTCTGGACCAAGTGGACCTAATAGACATCTACAGAACTCTCCACCCCAAATCAACAGCATATACATTCTTCTCAGCACCACATCGCACTTGTTCTAAAATTGACCACATAATTGGAAGTAAAACACTCCTCAGCAAATGCAAAAGAACGGAAATCATAAAAAACAGTCTCTCAGACCACAGTGCAATCAAATTAGAACTCAGGATTAAGAAACTCACTCAAAACTGCAAAACTACATGGAAACTGAACAACCTGCTCCTGAATGACTACTGGGTAAATAACAATATTAAGGCAGAAATAAATAAGTTCTTTGAAACCAATGAGAACAAAGACACAACGTACCAGCATCTCTGGGCCACATTTAAAGCAGTGTTTAAAGGGAAAGTTATAGAACTAAATGCCCACAAGAGGAAGTAGGAAAGATCTAAAATTGACACCTTAACATCACAATTAAAAGAACTAGAGAAATAAGAGCAAACAAATTCAAAAGCTAGCAGAAGACAAGAAATAACTAAGATCAGAGCTGAACTGAAGGAGACAGAGACATGAAAAACCCTTCAAAAAATCAGTGAATCCAGCAGCTGTTTTTTTGAAAAGATCAATAAAATAGACAACTAGCCATACTAATAAAGAAGAAAAGAGAGAAGAATAAAATAGACACAATAAAAAATGATAAAGGGGATATCACCACTGATCCCACAGAAATACAAACTAGCATCAGAGAATACTATAAAAACCTCTATGCAAATAAACTAGAAAATCTAGAAGAAATGGATAAATTCCTGGACACATACACCCTCCCGAGACTAAACCAGGAAGAAGTTGAATCCCTGAATAGACCAATAACAAGTTCTGAAATTGAGGCAGTAATTAATAGCCTACTAATCAAAAAAGTCCAGGACCAGATGGACTCACAGCTGAATTCTACCAGAGGTACAATGAGGAGCTGGTACCATTCCTTCTGAAACTATTCCAAACAATAGAAAAAGAGGTAATCCTCCCTAACTCATTTGATGAGGCCAGCATCATCCTGATACCAAAACCTGGCAGAGACACAACAAAAAAAGAAAATTTCAAAGGTCAATATCCCTGATGAACATTGATGTGAAAGTCCTCAATAAAATACTGGCAAACCAAATCCAGCAGCACATCAAAAAGCTTATCCACCATGATCAAGTCAGCTTCATCCCTGGGATGCAAGGCTGGTTCAACATACACAAATCGATTAACGTAATCCATCACATAAATAGAACCAATGACAAAAACCACGTGATTATCTCAATAGATGCAGAAAAGGCCTTCAACAAAATTCAACACCCTTTCATGCTAAAAACTCTCAATAAACTAGGTATTGATGGAACGTATCTCAAAATAATAAGAGCTATTTATGACAAACACACAGCCAATATCATACTGAATGGGCAAAAACTGGAAGCATTCCCTTTGAAAACCAGCACAAGAAAAGGATGCCTTCTCTCACCACTCCTATTCAACATAGTATTGGAAGTTCTGGCCAGGGCAATCAGGCAAAAGAAAGAAATAAAGGGTATTCAAATAGGAAGAGAGGAAGTCAAATTGTCTCTGCTTGCAGATGACATGATTGTATATTTAGAAAACCCCATAGTCTCAGCCCAAAATCTCCTTAAGCTGATAAGCAATTTCAGCAGTCTCAGGCTACAAAATCAATGTGCAAAAATCACAAGCATTCCTATACACCAATAATAGACAGAGAGCAAAATCACGAGTGAACTCCCAGTCACAATTGCTACAAAGAGAATTAAGTACCTAGGAATCCAACTTACAAGTCATGTGAAGGACCTCTTCAAGGAGAACTACAAACCACTCCTCAAGGAAATAAGAGAGGACACAAAGAAGTGGAAAATCATTCCATGCTCATGGATAGGAAGAATCAATATCGTGAAAATGGCCAAAGTAATTTATAGATTCTCTGCTATCCCAGCACTTTAGGAGGCCAAGGCAGGCAGATCACGAGGTCAGGAGATTGAGACCATCCTGGCTAACACAGTGAAAACCATCTCTACTAAAAATACAAAAAATTAGCCAGGTGTGGTGGCGGGTGCCTGCAGCCCCAGCTACTTGGGAGGCTGAGGCAGGCGAATGGCGTGAACCCGGGAGGCAGAGCTTGCAGTGAGCCAAGATCATGCCACTGCACTCCAGCCTGGGTGACAGAGCGAGACTCTGTCTCAAAAAAAAAAAAAAAAACTAGCTAAATAATAATAATAATAAAAAAAATGCTATCCCCATCAAGCTACCATTTACTTTCTTCACAGAATTAGAAAAAACTACTTTAAATTTCATATGGAACCAAAAAAGAGCCCGCATAGCCAAGACAATCCTAAGCAAAAACAAACAAACAAACAAACAAAGCTGGAGGCACCATGCTACCTGACTTCAAACTATACTACAAGGCTACAGTAACCAGAACAGCATGGCACTGGTATCAAAACAGATATATCGACCAATGGAACTGAACAGAGGCCTCAGAAATAACACCACACATCTACAACCATCTGATCTTTCACAAACCTGACAAAAACAAGCAGTGGGGGAAAGGATTCCCTATTTAATGAATGGTGTTGGGAAGACTGGCTATCCATATGCAGAAAACTGAAACTGGACCCCTTCCTTACACTTTATACAAAAATTAACTCAAGATGGATTAAAGACTTAAATGTAAGATTGAAAACCATAAAAACCCCAGAAGAAAACCTAGGCAATACCATTCAGGACATAGGAGTGGGCAAAGACTTCATGACTAAAACAATAAAAGCAATGGCAACAAAAGCCAAAATTGACAAGTGGTATCTAATTAAACTAAAGAGCTTCTGCACAGCAAAAGAAACTGTCATCAGAGTGAATGGGCAACCTACAGAATGGGAGAAAATGTTTGCAATCTATCCATCTGACAAAGGGCTAATATCCAGAATCTACAAAGAACTTAAACAAATGTACAAGAAAAAAGCAAACAACCCCATCAAAAAGTGGGCAAAGGATATGAACAAACACTTCTCAAAAGAAGACATTTATGCAGCCAACAAACATATGAAAAAAAGCTCATCAACATTGGTCATTAGAGAAATGCAAATCAAAACCACAAAGAGATACCAACTCATGCCAGTTAGAATGGTGATCATTAAAAAGTCAGGAAACAACAGATGCTGGGAGGATGTGGAGAAATAAGAATGCTTTTACACTGTTGGTGGAAGTGTAAATTAGTTCAACCATTGTGGAAGACAGTGTGGTGATTCCTTAAGGATCTAGAACCAGAAATACCATTTGACCCAACAATCCAATTACTGGGTACATACCCAAAGGATTATAAATCATGCTGCTATAAAGACACATGCACAGCTATGTTTACTGCAGCACCGTTCACAACAGCAAAGACTTGGAACCAACCCAAATGCCCATTAATGATAGCCTGGATAACGAACATGTGGCACATATACACCATGGAATACTATGCAGCCATGAAAAAGGATGAGTTCATGTCCTTTGCAGGGACATGGATGAAGCTGGAAACCACCATTCTCAGCAAACTAACACAAGAACAGAAAACCAAATACTGCATGCTCTCACTCATAAGTGGGAGTTGAACAATGAGAACACATGGACACAGGGAGGGGAACATCACACACCAGGGCCTGTTGTGGGGTGGGGGACTAGGGGAGGGATACCATTAGGAGAAATACCTAATGTAGATGACTGGTTGATGGGTGCAGCAAACCACCATGGCACATGTATACCTATGTAACAAACCTGCATGTTCTGCACATGTACCCCAGAACTTAAAGTATAATAATAAGAAGAAAATCTCAAAAATACTAAAAGAAAATATATGAATGTTGGCCAAGCATGGTGTCTCACACCTGTAATCCCAGCACTTTGGGAGGCCGAGGTGGGCGGATCACCTGAGGTCAGGAGTTCGAGACTAGCCTGACCAACATGGAGAAACCCCATCTCTACTAAAAATACAAAATTAGCCAGGCATGGTGGCACATGCCTGTAATCCCAGCTACTCGGGAGGCTGAGGCAGGAGAATCGCTTGAACATGGGAGGCGGAGGTTGCCATGAGCTGAGATAGCGCCATTGCACTCCAGCCTGGGCAACAAGAGCGAAACTCCGTCTCAAAAAAAAGTGAGTGTTTTCTAAATGTAAAGACGGACCTTCTAACTATCACCCCAAATCCATAGGCTATGAAGGGTGGCTGACAAATTTGTCTACAAAAAAATTTAAGATTGCTGAGTGGCAAATATAAAACCACAAATAAAGTCAAAATATTTTTTTTTTTTTTTTGAGACTGGGTCTCACTGTGTTGCCAAGGCTGGAGGGCAATGGCACAGTCACAGCTCACTGCAGCCTCCACCTCCTGGGCTCAAGTGATCCTCCCACCTCAGCTTCCTGAGTAGCTGGGACCACAGGCACACGCAACCATGCCTGGCTTTTTTTTTTTTTTTGGTATAAACAGCATCTCACAATGTTGTCTAGTCTGCTCTTGAACTCCTGGGCTCAAGTGATCCTCCCACCTTGGCCTCCCAAAGTGCTGGGATTACAGTCCTGAGCCACCATGCCTTTATTTTTATCTGGTAATCTTAAATTTACCTTTGAAAGTCATTTAAAAAAACTTATGGGTAAAAATTATTTTTGTTGTTTCTGAAGATGTTAAGAGTTCAGAAAAAGAGATATTTATGTTAAGCTCAGATCTTTTTAGCAATAGCTTCTTCACAACTGCTTGTTATCATATATTATCCAATCAGTAACCATGTCAAAATTAACATAATGCTGTTGACAGATAACATAAAAATAAGTTTGCTATTTTCTCTGACATTTACTTTGAAAATTCTTTACTTTAGTTAAGTGTGAATGTCTGTTAACACAGAATGTCTGTGTCCTTATGGAGACTGAGAAATCTTTGACCATGCTTTTTACTTTTTCAAATAGAAAAACTGTCCTAATTTAAATAATAATTTAAATTTATATTTTAATTAATTATAAAAATATGAGCTTTGGGGAATATAGGCTAAGTGTATAAAACTACTTTTTTTAACTGATATTTTATGTTAAAATATATTTGGTTATAAAAAACTCAAAAATGTTATTGTTTTTCAAAACCATGCCTCTATTTACATTACAGGAAAGGTGCACATATAGACAGAGAAAAGTTGAGATTTTGTCTACCAAACCTATGTTCAATCCATAATAGGTAATTGTCCAATGATTTATAACATAACATAAAAAGATTTTCTGTGATTAATCTATAACTGCTACGCTTACAGAGAAACTTCTAGGCAGGAGAAACTTTTAAAACAGATTGTGGCCAGGCATGGTGGCTCATGCCTGTAATCCCAGTACTTTGGGAGGCCAAGGCAGGCGGATCACTTGAGGTCAGGAGTTCGAGACCAGCCTCACCAACATAGCAAAAACCCGTCTCTACTAAAAATACAACAGTTATCTGAGTGTGGTGGCATGTTCCTGTAATCCCAGCTACTTGGGAGGCTGAGGCACAAGAATTGCTTGAACTCAGGAGGTGGAGGTTGCAGTGAGTTGAGATCACAGCACCACTGCACTCCAGCCTGAGCCACAGAGTGAGACTCTGTCTCAAAAAAAAAAAAAAATTAAATTAAATTTAAAAATAATATAAAGTAAACCTGGGCACGGTGGCACACACCTGTAGTACCATCTGCTCAGGAGGCTAAGAAAAGGCCAGCCTAGGCAACATAAAGAGACTCTGTCTCAAATAAATAGATAAATAAATAAGATACAAAGTAAAACAAGGAGATACAATTGATGATAATGACCAGCTAGGGGAAGAGTGTGGGGAGATAAATATCGTCCTTATTTTATAGAGGGAGGATAACCTGGTACAAAGACTCTGGAGGCAGTTTCACAGTGTGTAGCCTGAATTATAATAGGGAAAAACTGCGAACATCTTCAATACAGGATTAGGTAAAAATGTATGGCATGTTTTATACAATGAAATACTGTGAACACATGAAAAAACAATATAGATCTCTATTATTATAGAAATAGATACACTGTCCATGATAAACGGTTAAATAAAAAGCAGTTTGCAGAGAAATCTCTGCACAATGATTGCATCTTTGTAAACATATATATTCATATTCATATCTGTATATAAATAGAGAAAGAATAAACAATGGATTAGCAGTGGTTATCTTTGGTTTATAGAATAACAGGTAATTTAAATGTTTATCTTTATCCTTACCTATTGTCTGAAGTTTTCATAATGGCCATGAATTTTATAATTAGAAAAAATAAAGCTATGTGGATAAGGTTTGTAAAATAGCAAACAAAAAATACCCCAAAGACAAAAACCAACGACAACAACAACAAAAAAACCAGCTCTGTTGGTACCTGCATCACAGTCTAAAGGATAAAGTTCATATTCTTTACCTTGACACTAAGTCTTCTGCAGGCTCCTCCTGATGGGGCTAATTTCCTGGTATCATAATCTATATATTGCCTATAACCAGAGCCTATGAGCTCACCAGAGGAGGAACTTTCCCCAGTGCCGAGGAGCTAGCAGGCACTCAGTAAAGAATCCTTGAACGACTGTGGTGAACACTGAGATCAGATGGATAGGTTGGGGCCAGGTTGTAGAGGCATTTAGGCCAGGCTAAGAAGAAGAAAACCAAAACTTTGGGATATCTTTGTCTTGGGGGCTGGAGGCCCCTCCTCTTACTCTTGTTCCTCTTCAACACTGGCAACAGCAGGTAGAGCAGGAGTGGTCTGGCCCATTTGGAGCGTGACATCTGAGAAATGGCTCAGAAATGGCAGCACTGCCAGGACTCTGGCCTGTGATTCTCATGTGATGTGCTGGGCCCACATCACTGGGGCTAACTCAGCTCAGTTTGTGGCAGTGATAGGAGGGGAAGACCAGGGCTCCTGACCAAGCCAGGCTTTGGCAAAACTCCTACCTTCCTCAGCTATGGAGCTGATGATAACCTGCCTCCAACATGAGTGTGCTCAGAATGCTCTGTGTAGCCAGAGCCTAGTTAACCAAGAGGTAAACTTGACTTGGAAAAGGCAAATATTTATACTGAACTAAGCTCCTGGAAACCAAGGCCAAAATGTCCATGATTCTGGAAAAAGGGGAAGAACTAATTTTCTATTGCTGCTGTAACGAATTTCCAAAAACTTGGTGGCTTAAGAAAACAGTTTATCATCTTGTATTTCTGTAGCTCAGAAGTCTAACACAAATATGATGGGGCTAAAAATCAAGGTGGCAGCCGAGAAGCACTCCTTTCTGGAGACTCTATGGGAGAACCCATGTCTTTGGCTTTTCCACCTTCTAGAGGCCACCTGCATCCCTTGATTCATGGCCTGTTCCTTCATCTTCAAAGCCAGCTTGTGGCATCTCTGACCATTCTTCTGCAGTCACATCTCCCTCTGACTACCATCAGGAAAAGTTCTCTGCTTTAAAGGACCCCTGTGATTACACTGGGCGTACCCAAATAATTCCTGATAATCTCCTTTGTAAAAGGTCCTTAACTTTAATTACATCTGCAAAATCCCTTATACCATGTAAAGTAATGTTTCTGCAGGTTCTGGGGCATTATTCTGCCTACCACAAGGCATGATATAGAGAAAAGTCCAAAAAATGTTTTCTTTTTCTGTTTTTTTTTTTTTGAGACAGAGTCTCGCTCTGTCTCCCAGGTTGGAGTGCAATGGCGTGATCTTGGCTCACTGCAACCTTGGCTCACTTCAATCGCACTTCAAGCGGTTTTCCTGCCTCAGCCTCCCAATTAGGTGGGATTACAGGCATGTGCCACCATGCCCGGGTAATTTTTTTTGTATTTTTAGTAGAGACAGGGTTTCTCCACGTTGGCCAGTCTGGTCTCAAACTCCTGACCTCAGGTGATCTGCCAGCCTCATCCTCCCATGGTGCTGGGATTACAGGCATGATCCACCACACCCAGCCTAAAAATGTCAATAATTAGAAGCCAGTTCTGTATCAAGTGACATGGAAAATATCAATATTTTATTACATTAAGATAAGCAAATTCAATGAATATACATATAAAATAATCCCAATTTTGTGGAACCTTCCCTTCCCCCTACTAAACTCTGAGTTATGTACTGACTGAGCCACCTCCTGCCTGTCATGGCCTGGCTTCCGGGGATAGATGGTGGAACCCACCTCCCCCACTCACACTTGCAGAATGTTGGATGAGCAGAGGGGCAGTCCCACCTCAGGTTTTGCTGTCAGTGGTCATTAGATAAATAGATTTTTGGCTAATTTGACATATGATAAATTGTCTTTTAGCAAACTCATTTGTGGCAAGTTGATCCACAGTTAAAACAATAATAGTAATGATGATAAGAAATCATGAAATAAAAGCAGTCACAGCTTTTTCCTTTCAGAAGTCCCCTCTCTCTCACTAGAGAGAGCTGTTTTCCTTTCTCTTTCTTTTGCCTCTTAAACTTCCGCTCCTAAACTCCTTGTGTGTGTGTCTGTCTCCTACATTTTCCTGGCATGAGACGACAAACCCTGGGTATTTACCCCAGTCAACATAGCCACTTCTTACTGAGGACCTCATCCAGGATACCAAAGTACAGCATTCATCGAAATGAGTCAAGGAAACTTACAAGCTTTTGCCTACATTTTAGACTAACCCTGCTTATTCCTATGAATCAAGTGATGATCTGCAACTTGAAGAAACAAAAAGGGATGGCAACATCTGGTGGAGGCAAACCACTGTTACGACCCATTGGAATGGCTGACACCAATCAAACTCCAAATGGTGCTGCAGACAGAACCACACATGGACATGCCTTTCTTCCGAGGACCCTTAGATCAACCCCAGGAGGAGCCTTAGCTGCTGTTACCCACACAACACCCCTTTTCAGCATGAAGTAGCCAGAAAGAGTCATCGTCCACCACCCCCTAAAAGCAGTTAGGGACACCATCCTGGCCAACATGGTGAAACCCGGTCTCTACTAAAAATACAAAAAAATTAGCTGGGCGTGGTGGCACGTGCCTGTAGTCCCAGCTACTCAGGAAGCTGAGGCAGAAGAATCACTTGAACCCGGGAGGTGGAGGTTGCAGTGAGCCGAAGATTGCACCATTGCACTCCAGCCTGGCGACAGAGCGAGACTCCCTCAAAAAAAAAAAAGCAGTTAGGGTTACCACTCCAGAGGGGGGAATGATACAGGAGTTAAGAAATTAATTAGGGTACAGAAGTTTTTCTTTTAATGAAAAGCAGCCCCAAATTATTTTCCTTTCTAACAAAGAGCAGCCTGCAAAATTGAGCTGCAGACACAGATGCCTGCAGTTGAGCCAATCATGTTCAAGATGGCAGCTCCATCTTCCCTTTTCTTTGTCAGCCACTTTTACAGTAAGGGGCAGACAAGATGGCGCTGGCCAAGGGGAAAGTTCATTTGCATAATAAGATTAGGGTGGGATGGCCAGCCTTCCCCTCACCTCTGTAAATGTCATACCTGATGGAACCAATCTGTGAGCCCTACATAAATCAGACACTGCCTCCTAAAGCCTGAGTATAAAATCCAGGGCACCGGCTGCCGGCTGGCCTTTTCCTCAGAAGTTCCCTCTCTGTCACTACAGAGACAGCTGTTTTCCTTTCTCTTTCTTTTGCCTATTAAGCCTCCACTCCTAAACTCAAAACAAAAACAGTCACAAGCCCACCAAGTTCTGTTTACTCCTGTGGACATACCTGGTCCTTCTGTGTCTATGATGGATCTGTGGACACATCTCTCACCATTTTGTGCTGTTTATTTTGTTTTAAACTTCTGATTCTTTACCAAATAATTCTTCCTGGTTTCCTCACAGTTGTTTTAGGGGAAGAGTTCAGAAAGATCCAAACCACCAGAGAATAGAGAGCACCTGATTGGAAGCAGGTCTAACAGTGTCAGGGGGCAGCCAGAAAGGACCCCACACTAACTGGTCAGAGGCAAGTGTCAGCTCCACAAGCTGGAAAGTGGGAAGCTATGGCTGAGAAGCATTTGTCAAAAGGGAAAAAGAATATTTGGAGGAGAATGTTGATTTTTTAATAGTGCTGCACGGAATCCAAGGCAAGATAGAAAATATCCAGGTTAGAATTCTGCAGTTTTAAGTAGGAACTGAGATGAAGAGCGAAGTACTATACCTACAAGGGAAAACATCCCTAAAGGAAGCTGTGCCAGTAATTTAGTAACTGGGTATAATCTTCCCCAGGGAAAATTCTGGGTCTGTCCTACTACTCCCACACAATTAAGAGATTTTGGCTTCAACATTTACCTAATCCATTTCTGCATTCAAGCTGACAGGTGATGCTACCTCTGATTCCTTTTATGCTTTTAATAGGCTTATAATTAAGGATGAATAATACATTTAAAATTATGGTTATTACTGGGAGAGGATTTGGGAGAAATTAGGATTTTTATATTTCTGTACTACTTGATTTTTTTTACATCAAGCTTATATAATTTTCCCAGTAAAAACAAATTTGGCATCTGATAGACTGCAATGGTTACACACAAGCCTGTGGGACAGGTTCTCTGCCTACTGGATACTTTAATTCCCAACTTTTGTCTTTCCTTTCATTCTCCCCCAAATAAAGATAATAGTACTCGCCTCATATGGATCCTGGGAGATTTTTTTTCCCCCTCCAAGGTATGGTGTCTGACTTGGTAACTGCCAATTAAAAAAAAAATCTCCCTCTTTGTGTTCTATTTTTTTGGGGGCCTGTTGCCCATTATGTAACAGCTCTCAAATCTGAAAAGTCAGTCAGGCTGAACATCTTAGGTAGCTGCTCATAAATTAATTATTGGGCTGATTTTAATTACAGATTGGAATCTCCTGGTGGGCAGGGTCTGGCGTCTTCTGCTTTTAATTCCTTAGAAGTACTTACATTTGCCGCAAAGCCTGCACTTAACCAAAATTTGCTGAATTTAATAGAATTAACACATAAGATTGAGGATTTTGAGTTCCAAAACAGATTTAACCAAGAGGTACTTTGGAGCAGGTAGCAATCTTCAAACTCCTTAAATTATACCATTTAACAATGGTTTTAACTATCTCCTCCTCCTCCTTCTCATCCTCCTGTTTCTTCTCCTCCTCCTCCCTCTTCCTCTTCCCCTTCCTCCTCCTCCTTCTCCTCCTCCTTTCTTTTTCTTCTCCTCTTCCTCCTTCTTCCTTTTCCTCTTCCTCCTCCCTTTTCTTGTTTCTTCTTCTTGCTCCTGCTCATTCTTCTTCCTTCTTCTTCTTTCTTCTTCCTCCTTCTTTTCCCTCCTTCTTCTTCCTTCTTCTCCTTTTTGACCAATCAAGTGAAGCAGTGGAAGTGGAGAAGGAACAAAGAAATCTGTGACTGTGATGAATTAGTTGTAAACACCACTGTACTTGAACCAACCTTAATTTTCTTCTTTATAGTTTTTAGTATGTTCCAATTTTCCATCATGTGCATATATTACTTTTATAAACAGAAAAAAGTAAATGTCAGTTAAAAAAATAATATTACACATCTTGTTGCTGGCTCCTGTGTATCTAGTTCCCCTCACCTTCTCATTTGCTTCATATCTTGGTGCTGGTTGCTCTGTAGCTACATCCCCCTCACCTTCTCATTTGCTTCTATTCTTGCCCTGGTCTCCAAAGCCTCCCAATTACTTCTTATGGATCCCTTCTCGGAAAGTGCCAAGAGTTATTTTCTAGCGGAAAGATTGAGGCCTTTGGAATCCACTAGACCAAGATTTGAATCCCAGCTCAGTGAAATCATGGGAAGTATCTTACCTCTCTGCATCTCGGTCTCCTTATCTGTAAAGGAAATAACACCTACCTTCTAGGTTGTTGTGTAGTTTGGGTCAGCAGCTTTCCCACTTTTTTTTTATTATTATTTTAAAAAATTGAGATGGGGCTCTTGCTATGTTGCCCAGGCTGGTCACGAACTCATGGGCTCAAGTGATCCTTCTGCTTCAGCCTCCTAAGTAGCTGGGACTACAGGTGCATACCACCATGCCTGGCTTGGTCATTTTGTTTAATTTTTTTATTTTTATTTTCTGTCTTTAAATTTTTTTAATTTTAATTTTATTTTTAATTTTCATGGGTACATAATGGGTGTGTGTGTATATATATATATGAAGTGTATGAGATATTTTGATACAGGTATAATAATCACATCAGGGAAAATGGTGTATCCCTTACCCCAAGCATTTATCCTTTCTTTGTGTTACAAATAATCCAATTATACTATTTTAGTTATTTTTACTATACAATAAACTGTTGACACTAGTCACCCTGTTGTGCTATCAAATACCAGATCTTATTCATTCTAATTATATTTTTGTATCCATTAACCATTTCTCCTTCTCCCTCCCCCGACTACTCTTCCCAGCCTCTGATAACCATTATTCTACTCTCTATTTCCATGAATTCAGTTGCTGTAATTTTTAGCTCCCACAGAGAAGAACACACAAAGTTTGTCTTTCTATGCCTGGCTTACTTAACATAATGACCTCCAGTTCCATCCATATTGCTGCAAATGACAAGAATTCACCCTTTAATTCACCCTTTATTATGGCCAAACACACTCCATTGTGTATGTGTACCACATTTTCTTCATTCATCTGTTGATGGACACTTAGGTTGCTTCCAAATCTTGACTATTTTGAATAGTGCTGCAATAAACATGAAAATGCAGATATCTCTTTGATATACTGATTTTCTTTCTTTTGCGTATATACCCAGGAGTAGGATTGCTGGATCATATGATTGCTGTATTTTTAGTTTTTTGAGGAACCTCCAAGCTGTTCTCCCTAGTGGCTATACTAATTTCCATTCCCACCAACAGTGTATGAAGGTTCCCCTTTTCTTCACATCCTCACCAGCATTCATTATTGTCTGTCCTTTGGATAAAAGCCATTTTAATGAGGGTGAGCTGATATCTCATTGTAGTTTTGATTTGCATTTGTCTGATGATCAATGATGGTGAGCACCTTCTCAGATACCCGTTTGCCATTTGTATGTCTTCTTTTGAGAAATGCCTATTCAGATCTTTTGCCCATTTTTAAAATTGGATTAGTAGATTTTTTTCCTATAGAGTTGTTTGAGCTCATTTTATATTTTTATTATTAATACTTGTGAGATGGATTTGTTTGTAAATATTTCCTCCCATTCTGTAGGCTATCTCTTCTCTTTGTTGATTGTTTCTTTTGCTGTGCAGAAGCCTTTAAGGGTATTACTCAAGAAATTTTTGCCCAGTCTAATGTCCTGGAGAGTTTCCACAATGTTTTCTTTTAGCAGTTTCATAGCTTGAGGTCTTAGATTTAAGTCTTTTTATTTTCTTTATGAGACAGGGTCTCACTGTGTCACCCAGGCTAGAGTGCAGTGGTCTCAGCTCACTACAACCTCCACCTCCTAGCTTAAAGTGATTCCCATGCCGCAGTCTCTTGAGTAGCTGGGATTACAGGTGTGCATCAACATGCCCAGCTAATTTTTTGTATTTTTAGTAGAGACAGGGTTTTACCATGTTGGCCAGGCTGGTCTCAAACTCCTGGTCAAGAGATCCACCCACCTTGGCCTCCCAAAGTGCCAGGATTACAGGTGTGAGCCACCATGCCCAGCCAGATTTAAGTCTTTATTCCATTTTTATTTGATTTTTGTATATGGTGAGAGATAGTGGTCTAGTTTCATTCTTCTGCATATGGATATCCAGTTTTCCCAGCACCATTTATTGAAGAGAGTGTCCTTTCTCCAATGTAGGTTTTTGACAACTTTGTTGAAAATAAGTTTACTGTAGATGTATGGATTTGTTTCTGGGTTCTCTATTCTGTTTCATTGGTTTATGTGTCTGTTTTTATGCCAGTATCATGCTCTTTTGGTTACTGCAGCTTTGTAGTATAATTTGAAGTCAGGTAATGTGATTCTTCAGTTTTGTTCTTTTTGCTCAAGATAGTTTTGGCTGTTCTGGGCCTTTTGTGGTTCCATATAAATTTTAGGATTTTTTTTCCATTTCTGTGAAGAATGTAATTGGTATTTTGATAGGGTTTACATTGAATCTGTAGATTGCTTTAGGTAGTATAGATATTTTAACATATTGAGTCTCCCAATCCATGAACATGGAATATCTTTCCATTTTTTTGTGTCCTCTTCAATTTCTTTCATCAGTGTTTTATAGTTATCATCGTAGAGATCTTTTACTTCTTGGTTAAGAAGGTATTTAATATTAGGTATTTAAATTTAATATTATTTGTAAAATAAATGACTGTACGTTGATTTTCTTTTTATTTTCTTTCTTTTTGTTTTTTGAGATGGAGCCTCACTTTGTCACCTAGGCTGGAGTGCAGTGGTGCCATCTTGGTTCACTGCAGCCTCCACCTCCTGGGTTCAAGTGATTCTCCTGCCTCAGCCTCCCTAGTAGCTGAGACTACAGGTATGTGCCACCACACCTCGCTAATTTTTGTATTTTTAGCAGAGATGGGGTTTCACCATATTGGCCACACTGGTCTTGAACTCCTGACCTCAAGTGATCAGCCCACTTTGGCCTCCCAAAGTGCTGGGATTACAGCTGTGAGCCACCATGCCTGGCCTGTATGTTGACTTTGTATCCTCCAACTTTACTGAATTTGTTTATCAGTTCTAATAGTTTTTTGGTGGAGTCCTTAGGTTTTTTTCAAATATAAGATCATATCATCTGCAAATAAGGATAATTTGACTTCTTCCTTTCCAGTTTGGATGCTCTTTATTTCTTTCTCTTGTCTGATTACTCTAGCTAGGACTTCCAGTACTGTTTTGAATAATAGTGGTGGAAGTGGGCATCTTTGTCATGTTCCAGATCTTTGAGAAAAGGCTTTAGGTTTTCCCCTAATTCACTATGATACTAGCTGTGGGTTTGTCATATAGCTTTTACTGTGTTGAGGTATGTTCCTTCTATGTCCAGTTTTTGGGGGGGGTTTTATCATGAAGGGATGTTGAATTTTATCAACTGTTTTTTCAGCATCAGTTGAAATGATCATATGGTTTTTGCCCTTCATTCTGTTGATATGATATATCACATTGATTGATTTGTGTATGTTCAACCATCCTTGCATCTCTGGGATAAATCCCACTTGGTCATGATGAATGATTTTTTTTTTCCATTGGAAAGATATTGCAGATGAGATGAATAATCACTTTAATGTGTTGTTGAATTCAGTGTGCTAGTATGTTGCTGAGGATTTTTGCATCAGGGATATTTGCCTGTAGTTTTTTTTTTTTTATGTGTCTGTCTAGTTTTGGCATCAAGGTAATACTGGCCACGTAGATGAGTTTGAAAATACTCCCTCCTCCTCTATTTTTCAGAATAGTTTGAGTAGGGTTGGTGTTTTGGGTCTTTCTTGCATTGCTATAAAGAAATAACTGAGGCTGGGCATGGTGGCTCATGCCTGTAATCCCAGCAGTTTGGGAGGCTGAGGAAGGCAGATCACTTGAGGCCAGGAGTTTGAGACCAGCCTGGCTAACATGGTGAAACCCTATCTCTACTAAAAATATGAAAATTAGCTGGGTGTGGTGGTACATGCCTGTTCTTTCAGCTACTCAGGAAGCTGAGGCATGAGAATTGCTTGAACCCAGGGGGTGGAGGTTGCAGTGAGCTGAGATTATTGCACCACTGCCCTCCAGCCTGGGTGACAGAGTGAGACCCTGTCTCAAAAAAAAAAAAAAAAAAAAAAGAGAAATACCTGAGTCTGGGAAATTTACAAAGAAAAGAGTTTTAATTGGCTTATGGTTCTGTAGGCTGTACAAACATAGTGCTGGCATCTGCTCAGCTACTGGGGAGACCTCAGGGAGCTTTTACTCATCGCAGAAGGGTGCCAGGCACTTCACATGGTAAGATTTGGAGCAAGAGGTGGTGGGGGGAGGTGTCACATTTTACCAACAACCAGATCTCTCAAGAATGCACTCACTATTGTGAGGACAGCACCAAGCCATGAGGGATCTGCCCCCATGATCCAAACACCTATCACCAGGCCCCACCTCCAATACTAGGGATTACAATTCAACATGAGATTTGGGTAGGGACAAATATTGAAACTATATCAGTTGGTATTAGTTCTTCTTCATATGTTTAGTAACATTTAGCAGTGAAGACATAGAGTCCTGGGCTTTCATTTGTTACTTGTTATTGGTCTGTTCTGGTTTTGGATTTCTTCAAGGTTCGATCTTGGCAGGTTGTATGTGTCTAGGAATGTATCCATTTCTTCTAGGTTTTCCAATTTATTGGCATGTAGTTGCTCATAGTAGCCTCTAATGATCGTTTGAATTTCTTTGATATTGGTTGTAATGTTTCCTTTTTCATCTCTGATTTTATTTATATGAGTCTTCTCTCCTTTTTTTCTTAGCGAGTCTGGCTAAGGAATTGTTGATTTTTGTCTTTAAAAAAACAACTTTTCTTTTTGTTGATCTTTTCTATTGTTTCCTTCATTTCAATTTCATTTATTTTTGCTCTCATCTTTATTATTTCTTTCCTTCTAATAATTTTGGGTTTGGCTTGCTCTTGCTTTTCTAGTTCTTTGAAATGCATCATTATGTTGTTTATTTGAAGTTTTTCTGTTTTTCTTTTTTAATGTAGGTGCTTATGGCTATAAACTTTCTTCTTATTACTGCCTTCTCTGTATCCCATAGGTTTTGGTATATTGTGTTTC
Source organism: Homo sapiens (assembly GCF_000001405.40). Taxonomy (NCBI): domain Eukaryota; kingdom Metazoa; phylum Chordata; class Mammalia; order Primates; family Hominidae; genus Homo; species Homo sapiens. Next base: position 44,702,693 of record NC_000015.10, read on the forward strand.
CATTATCATTTGTTTCCAGAATTTAAAAAATTTCCTTCTTAATTTCTTTGTTGACCCACAGTCACTTAGGAGCATATTTTAATTTCCATATATTTGTATGGTTTCAAACATTCCTCTTGTTATTGATTTCTAGTTTTTTTCCATTGTGGTCAGAGAAGATATTTGATATAATTCCAATTTTTTAAGACTTATTTTGTGGTCTAACATATGGTCTATCCTTGAGAATGATCCATGTGCTGAGGAGAAGAATGGGTATTCTGTAGCCATTGGATAAAATGTTCTGTAAATATCTATTAGATCTGGCCAGGCACGGTGGCTCATGCCTGTAACTCCAGCACTTTGGGAGGCCAAGGCAGGTGGATCACAAGGTCAGGAGATCAAGACCATCCTGACTAACGTGGAGAAACCCCATCTGTACTAAAAATACAAAAAAATTAGCTGGGCATGGTGGTGAGCACCCGTAGTCCCAGCTACTCAGGAGGCTGAGGCAGGAGAATGGTGTGAACCTGGGAGGTGGAGCTTGCAGTAAGCTGAGATCACACCACTGCACTCCAGCCTGGGCAACAGAGCAAGACTGCATCTCAAAAAAGAAAAAATCTATTAGAGCCATTTGATCTATAGTGCAGATTAAGTCTGATGTTTCTTTGTTGATTTTCAGTCTGGATGATCTGTCCAATGCTGAAAGTGGGGTGTTGAAGTCTCCAGCTATTATTGTATTGGGGTCTATCTCTCTCTTTAGCTCTAATAATATTTACTTTATATAGCTGGGTGCTCCAGTTGGAATGCATATATTTTTACAATTGTTATATACTCTGGCCGAATTAACCTCTTTTCATTATATAATGACCTTCTTTGTCTCTTTTTATAGTTTTTGTCTTGAAATCTATTTTGTCTGATGTAAGCATAGCTATTCATGATCCTTTTTGGTTTCCATTGGAATGGAATATATTTTTCTATCCCTTTGTTTTAGTCTATGTGTGTCTTTATGGGTGAAGTGTGCTCCTTGTAGGCAACAAATCACCGGGTCTTGCTTTTTTTTTTTTTTTTTTTTTTTTTTTTTAAATCCATTCAGCCACTCTATGTCTTTTGAATGGAGAGTTTAGTCCATTTAGATTCAATGTTATTATTGATAAGTAAGGACTTACTCTTGCCATTTTGTTATTTGTTTTCTAGTTGTTTTGTGGTCCTCTGTTCCTTCCTTCTTTTGTTCCTGTCTTCCTTTCTGTGAAGGTGATTTTCTCTGGTAGTATTTAAAAATTTCTTGCTTTTTATTTTTTGTGTATCTGTTGTATGTTGTTTTGGGGACTTTTTTTGAGATGGGGATCTCGCTTTGTCACCCAGGCTGGAGTGCAGTGGTGCGATCTTGGCTCACTGCAACCTCTGCCTTTCAGGCTCAAGTGATCTGCCCATCTCAGCCTCCCAAGTAGTTGGGACCACAGGTGAGTGCCACTATGTCTGGCTAATTTTTTTTTTTTTTTTTTGGTAGAGACAAGCACTTTTGTAGAGACAGCACTTTCACCACCGTGTTTTCCAGGCTGGTTTCAAACTCCTGAGCTCAAGCCAAAGGCCTGCTTTGGCCTCCCAAAGTGCTAGGATTACAAGTGGGAGCCACCACTCCTGGCCCCTGTTGTATGCTTTTTTATTTCAGGTTACCATAAGGCTTGTATTTAATATTTTATAACCCATTATTTATTTTATTATTTTTGGCATATTCACAACATAACCCATTATTTTAAACCAATGAAAACTTACCACTGATTACATAAATAAAGAAGCAAAGAAAAAATTAATAAAAACTCTACATTTTAACTTTGTCCTCCTGCTTTTTAATTCTTTGTTGTTTGTGTTTGTGTCATATTGTACTGTCTATGTCTTGAAAAGTTGTTATAGTTATTAGTTTTGACTGGTTCAGCTTTTGGTCTTTCCACTCAAGATATGAGTAGTTTACATACCATGATTACAGTGTTACAATATTCTGTTTTTTTTCTGTGTACTTCCAATTACCAGTGAGTTTTACACCTTCAAATTATTTTTCATTGCTCATTAATGTCCTTTTCTTTCTGATTAAAGAACTCCCTTCAGCATTTCTTGTAGGACAGGTCTGGTGTTGATGAAATCCCTCAACTTTTGTTTGTCTAGGAAAGTCTTTATTTCTCCTTCATATTTTCAAGGATATTTATTTCTCCTTCATATTTCAAGGATATTTCCACTGGAAAGTCTGCTGCCAGACATATCAGAGCTCCATGGTATGTTATTTGTTTATTTTCTGTTGCTGCTTTTAGGATCCTTTCTGTATTCTTGACCTTGGGAGTTTGTTTATTAAATGTTTTGAGGTCATCTTCTTTGGGTTGAATTTGTTTGGTGTTCTATAACCTTCATATACTTGAATATTGATATCTTTCCCTAGGTTTGGGAAGGTCTTTGTTACTATCACTTTGAATAAACTTTCTACCCCATCTCTCTCTCTACCTCCTCTTTAAGGCCAATAACTCTTTTTTTTTTCTTTTTGAGACAGAGTCTCACTTTGTTGTCCAGGCTGGAGTGCAGTGCTGTGATCTTGGTTCACTACAGCCTCCACTTCCCAGGTTCAAGCAATTCTCCTGCCTCAGCCTCCAGAGTAGCCGGGATTAAAGGCGCCTGCTGCCACGTCCAGCTAATTTTTGTATTTTAGTTGAGACGGGGTTTCACGATGTTGGCGAGGCTGCTCTCGAACTCCTGACCTCATGATCTGCCCACCTTGGCCTCCCAAAGTGCTGGGATTACAGGAGTGAGCCACTGCACCTGGCTGCAGCCAGTAACTCTTAAATTTGCCGTTTTGAGGCTATTTTCTAGATCTTGTAGGCATGCTTCATTCTTTTTTATTCTTTTTTCTTTTGTCTCTTCTGATTATATTTTCAAATTGCCTGTCTTCAAGCTCACTAATTCTTTCTTCCACTTGATCAGTTCTACTGATAAGAGAGTCTGATGCACCCTTATGTATGTCAGTATCATTTTTCAACTCCATAATTTTTGCTTGATTCTTTTTAGTTATTTTAATCTCTTTGTTAAAGTTATATGATAGGATTCTGAATTCCTTCTCTGTGTTAGCTTTAATTTCTTTGAGTTTCCTCAAAACATTGTTTTTTTTTAGACAGAGTCTTGCTCAGTTGCCCAGGCTGGAGTACAGTGGTATGATCTTGGCTCACTGAATCTCCGCCTCCCAAGTTTAAGCAATTCTCCTGCCTCAGCCTCCTGAGTAGCTGGGATTACAAGCATATGCCACCACGCCCAGCTATTTTTGTATTTTTAGTAGAGATAGGGTTTCACCATGTTGGCCAAGCTGGTCTTGAACTCCTGAGCTCAAGTGATCTACCCACCTTGGCCTCCCAGAATGTTGGGATTACAGGTGTGAGCCACCGTGCCTGACCAAAACAGCTATTTTGAATTCTGTTTCAAAGGTCACATATCTCTGTTTCTCTGGGATTGGCCTCTGGTGCCTTATTCATTTGATGAGGTCATGTTTTCCTGGCTGGTCCTGATGCTTGTGGATGTTCATCAGTGTCTGAGTTAAATATTTATTATAGTCTTTGCAGTCTGGGCTGTTTGTATCTGTCCTTCTTGGGAAGGCTTTCCAGGAATTCAAAGGAACTTGGGTGTTGTGATCTAAGTTTTTGGTCACTGCAGCTGTATCTGCATTAGAGGGCACACCAAGCACAGAAATGCTGTGGCTCTTTCACAGTCTGTTGTATCTTTTTTGATTTGAGGTTACCATGAGGTTTGCAGATAATATTTTATCACTCATTATTTTAAACTGCTGACAACTTAACACTGATTACTCATAGAGGCACTGCCATGGTGGTCTTGGATAAGATCTGGAAGAATTCTCTGGATTACCAGGCAGAGACTCTTATTGTCTTCCCTTATTTTCCCCCAGGCAAAGTCTGTCTTTCTGTGATCAGCTGCCTGGAGTTGGGGGAGAAGTGACACAAACACCCCTGTGACCACCACTGGGACTGTGCAGGGTCAGACGTGAAGCCAGCATAGTACTGGGTCTTGCCCAAGGCCTATGGTAACCACCGCCTGGCTACTACCTATGTTCACTCAAGGCCCTATGGCTCTAAAATCAGCAGGTGGCAAAGCCAGCCAAGCTTATGTCCCTCTCTTTAGGGTGGCAAGTTTCCCCCAGCCTGGGGTGAATCCAGAGATGCCTTCCAGGAACTGGGGCCTAGTCAGAAACCTTAGGAATCTACCTGGTACTCTATTGCACTGAGGCTGAACTGGCACCCAAGCCACAAGACAAAGTCCTTCCCACTTTTCCCTCCCCTTTCCACAAGCTGAGGAGTCTCTTGCCATGGCCACTTCCACCCCAGGCCTGTGGTGGGTACTGTCTGGCTACTGCTGATGTATACTCAAGGCCCAAGGGCTCTGCAGTAAGCTTGTGGTGAACGCTGCCCAGCCTGGGACTCACCCTTCAGGGAAGCAGGCTCCCCTCTGGCCCAGAGCAGGTCCAGGAATGCTATCTAAGAGCCAAAGCCTGGAATCAGGGACCTTAAGAGGCCACTTGGTATTCTAACCCCACAGTGGCCAAGTCCCCTTTACTCTTTCCACTTCTTTTCTCAAGCAGAAGGAATTTCTCCCCATAGCCACCACAGCTGTAATGTGCTGGGTCACACCTTAAGCCTGCACGTCTCTGAGTCTCACCCAAAGCCCATGATGAGTACTACCTGGCTACTTCTGATTATTCAGGGCCAAAGGGCTCTTTAGTCAGCTGGTGAGGAATCCTGCCAGGACTGGTCCTTCCCTTCAAGGCAGCAGGTTCCCTTCTGGCCCAGGGTGTGGCTAGAAATGTCAGCTTGGAGCTATGGCCTGGAATGTGGGCCTCAGGACTTTGCCTGGTGCCCTATCCTACTGCAGCTGAGCTGGTATCCAATGCAAGACAAACTCATCTTTGTTCTTCCCTCTCCTCTTCTCAAGCAGAGGAAAGAAGTCTCTCTCTGAGCTTTGAGCTGCCCTGCCTGGGGTTGGGAGAGGGGTGGTGCAAGCAATCCCTTGGCCATCCCAGCTAGTGTCTCACTAGGTTGTGTGCCCCCCACATTCACTGGCTCTGAGCCCAGCACAGCACCAGGACTTACCCAGGAATTGCCATCCTTGTGGCCTAGACTGCCTTTCAAGTTTATGTAGAACCTCAGAGCACTTCAGCCCATGGTGGGGAGGCTTACTGGAACTCAGGTTCCCACTGCTGGGATGGGTGATTTGCCTCTAGCTAGGGCTGGTCTAAATGATCCCTCCATGGGACCTGGGTGAGTTCTTCCCAGTGTTGCTTTGTGCTATGACTGGGCAGCACTGAGTTCCAATGCAAAGTCTGAAAATCACTGCACTCTTCCTCTCCCAGAAGCACACATTCTCTCTCCATGCCAGGTGGCCGCTGCCGGCGAATGGGGGAGAGATAGCATTTAGCAATTCAAGACTGTCTTACCCTCTTCAGTTACTCTTTCAGTGATACGAAGTTAAAACCAGGTACTGTGATCACTCACCTGATTTTTGGTTCTTATGAAGGTGCTTTTTTTTGTGTGGATCATTATTCAATTTGGTGTTCCTGCAGGGAGCAGGATTAGTGGAGGCGTCTATTCAGCCATCTTGCTCCACCTCCCCTAGCTATGTCCTTTTAAATATTTATAATCGACATACAATATATTACACTTAAAGTATACAATAAGTTCTAAAATATAACTGAAATCATCATCGAACTCTAGATAATTAACATATCCATCAACCCTAAAGTTTCCTCATGTTTAGATGATCTCCTTTCCCTCTAGAAACCACTCATCTACTTTCTGTCATATAGATTATAGTTTGCCTTTTCTGGAGTTTTATATAAACAGAATCATATAGTATATGTTCTTTTCTGTCTGACTTCTTTTATTTACCATGATTATTTCATCCATGTTACATGTATCAACAGTTTATTCCTTGTTTGTTGATGATAGTATTTCATTGTATGGATATATACTCCAATGGGTTTATTCATTTACCTGTTGATGTATGTTGGATCGTTTCTAGTTTTCAGCTATCACAAATAAAACTGCTATAAACATTAAACATTAATGTCCAAGTCTTTGTATAGACATATGCTTTCATTTTCTCTTGGGCAAATACCTTGGGTGGAGTGGCTGGATATTATGGCCAGTGTATGTTTAACTTTATAAAGAGCTGTCGAAGTGTTTTCCTTTTTCTTTTTTCTTTTTGAGATGAAGTCTTGCTCTGTTGCCCAGGCTGGAGTGCAGTGGTGCAATCTCGGCTCATTGCAACCTCTGCCTCCCAGGTTCAAGCAATTCTCCTGCCTCAGCCTCCTGAGTAGTTGGGGTTACAGATGCCTGCCACCATGCCTAGCTAATTTTTGTATTTTTAGTAGAGACAGGGTTTCACCATGTTGGCCAGGCTGGTCTCAAACTCCTGATCTCAAGTGATCTGCCCGCCTTGACCTCCCAAAGTGCTCAGATTACAGGTGTGAGCCACCACATCCAGCCCCAAATTGTTTATACCATTTTATATTCCTACCAGGATTGTATGAGAGTTCCAGTTCTTCTAAATTCTTGCCAACATTTACTACTTTGAATAAATGTTCATTGTAAAAAAATTTTAAGAGGGTTATATAGGGGAAAAAAAGGCCGCTATTAATCTGTTAATTGCACTACTGGGAGATAAAGCTATTAAACTGTCATATTTGTGGCTGGGCGTGGTAACACATGCTTGTGATCCTAGCACTTTAGGAGGCTGGGGAAGGAGGATCACTTGAGACCAGGAGTTCGAGACCAGCCTGGGCAACACAGCAAGACTCTGTCTCCACAAAAATATTAAAAATTAAAAAAAAAAGAAATTGTCATGTTTGTAGACTTCCCAAATTTGCCATCCTAGGCAAACAGTGCTCTTGTTTTTAAACAAATAGTTGTATACATAATTTTCCCCCTCACTATTCAAAACATGTCATAAATGGTAAGTCCAAGAAAAATACAGGTATTCCCCCCCAAAGAAAACTGTAAAATCGACTTTTTTCTATCTGTACTGTTTTTTATTGGTTTTTAAATTGGTTTTCCAAGTGAGTAAATCAGAATCTATCTGTAATGGATTTTAAATTTAGTGTTTCTCTGTGATGTAGTAAACAAGAAACTAGAGGCAAAAATAGCCCTGTCCCTTGCTAAACTTCTAAGGCACTTTTCTAGTACAACTCAACACTAACATTTCAGGCCTTTAGTGCCTTATATGAGTTTTTAAAAGGGGGAAAAGGGAGGGAGCAAGAGTGTCTTAACTCATACATTTAGGCATAACAATTATTCTCATATTTTAGTTATTGAGAGGGCTGGTAGAAAAACTAGGTAAATAATATTAATAATTATAGCGCTTATTAAACACTACAGAACACTTACTATGTACCAGGCATTGTGGGAGGCTCTCTCTTGTGCATTATCTCATTTCATTAGGTCCATGGAGAGTATTGCATTTTCTTAGTTTAGGCATGGCCTCCACAATAAAGATTATCAAAAGCCTAAAAATATGTAAAAGAAACCTAGAAGTTATTTGTTGTGCTCCTTGGGGAAGCTAGGCAAATCCTTTCAACTGAAAACCATGGTGACTTCCAAGATCTCTGCCCCTCCCCATCGCCATGGTCCACTTCCTCTTCTCACTGTTCCTCTTAGAAAAGATCTGTGGACTCCACCACCACGAAATGGCGGCACCTTATTTATGGTCACTTTAGAGGGTAGGTTTTCTTAATGGGTCTGCCTGTCATGTTTAACGTCCTTGGCTGGGTCCAAGGCAGATGCAGTCCAAACTCTCACTAAAATTGCCGAGCCCTTTGTCTTCCAGTGTCTAAAATATTAATGTCAATGGAATCAGGCCAGAGTTTGAATTCTAGTCTCTTAGCCTTTGTTTCCCCTGTCCATAAAATGAATGGGGGTAATTCTTTCCTCCTACAGTTTATTTATATATTCACTAATTCATTCATTCATCCATCCATTCGTTCATTCGGTTTACTGAGTACCTACTATGTGCCAGCCCCTGTTCTAGGGTGGAAACTAAGAGAATGATGTACCTAGAGGGCGCTGGAAGCTCTAAAGCCCTAGCAGTTACTGCTTTTACTATTAGTGGTCGTTTTTTTCTCCCCCCCGCCCCCCGACAAATCAACAGAACAAAGAAAATTACCTAAACAGCAAGGACATAGGGAGGAACTTCTTGGCACAGAACTTTCCAAACACTTTTTCCTGAAGGGATACAAGAAGCAAGAAAGGTACTCTTTCACTAGGACCTTCTCTGAGCTGTCCTCAGGATGCTTTTGGGACTATTTTTCTTACCCAGAGAATGGAGAAACCCTGCAGGGAATTCCCAAGCTGTAGTTATAAACAGAAGTTCTCCTTCTGCTAGGTAGCATTCAAAGATCTTAATCTTCTGGGTTTCCGTTTTCTCGAATGAAAAATGCAGGTCCGAGCAGTTAACTGGCTGGGGCACCATTAGCAAGTCACTTAGCATCTCTGGGGCCAGTCTGCAAAGCGAGGGGGCAGCCTTAATGTGCCTCCAGCCTGAAGTCCTAGAATGAGCGCCCGGTGTCCCAAGCTGGGGCGCGCACCCCAGATCGGAGGGCGCCGATGTACAGACAGCAAACTCACCCAGTCTAGTGCATGCCTTCTTAAACATCACGAGACTCTAAGAAAAGGAAACTGAAAACGGGAAAGTCCCTCTCTCTAACCTGGCACTGCGTCGCTGGCTTGGAGACAGGTGACGGTCCCTGCGGGCCTTGTCCTGATTGGCTGGGCACGCGTTTAATATAAGTGGAGGCGTCGCGCTGGCGGGCATTCCTGAAGCTGACAGCATTCGGGCCGAGATGTCTCGCTCCGTGGCCTTAGCTGTGCTCGCGCTACTCTCTCTTTCTGGCCTGGAGGCTATCCAGCGTGAGTCTCTCCTACCCTCCCGCTCTGGTCCTTCCTCTCCCGCTCTGCACCCTCTGTGGCCCTCGCTGTGCTCTCTCGCTCCGTGACTTCCCTTCTCCAAGTTCTCCTTGGTGGCCCGCCGTGGGGCTAGTCCAGGGCTGGATCTCGGGGAAGCGGCGGGGTGGCCTGGGAGTGGGGAAGGGGGTGCGCACCCGGGACGCGCGCTACTTGCCCCTTTCGGCGGGGAGCAGGGGAGACCTTTGGCCTACGGCGACGGGAGGGTCGGGACAAAGTTTAGGGCGTCGATAAGCGTCAGAGCGCCGAGGTTGGGGGAGGGTTTCTCTTCCGCTCTTTCGCGGGGCCTCTGGCTCCCCCAGCGCAGCTGGAGTGGGGGACGGGTAGGCTCGTCCCAAAGGCGCGGCGCTGAGGTTTGTGAACGCGTGGAGGGGCGCTTGGGGTCTGGGGGAGGCGTCGCCCGGGTAAGCCTGTCTGCTGCGGCTCTGCTTCCCTTAGACTGGAGAGCTGTGGACTTCGTCTAGGCGCCCGCTAAGTTCGCATGTCCTAGCACCTCTGGGTCTATGTGGGGCCACACCGTGGGGAGGAAACAGCACGCGACGTTTGTAGAATGCTTGGCTGTGATACAAAGCGGTTTCGAATAATTAACTTATTTGTTCCCATCACATGTCACTTTTAAAAAATTATAAGAACTACCCGTTATTGACATCTTTCTGTGTGCCAAGGACTTTATGTGCTTTGCGTCATTTAATTTTGAAAACAGTTATCTTCCGCCATAGATAACTACTATGGTTATCTTCTGCCTCTCACAGATGAAGAAACTAAGGCACCGAGATTTTAAGAAACTTAATTACACAGGGGATAAATGGCAGCAATCGAGATTGAAGTCAAGCCTAACCAGGGCTTTTGCGGGAGCGCATGCCTTTTGGCTGTAATTCGTGCATTTTTTTTTAAGAAAAACGCCTGCCTTCTGCGTGAGATTCTCCAGAGCAAACTGGGCGGCATGGGCCCTGTGGTCTTTTCGTACAGAGGGCTTCCTCTTTGGCTCTTTGCCTGGTTGTTTCCAAGATGTACTGTGCCTCTTACTTTCGGTTTTGAAAACATGAGGGGGTTGGGCGTGGTAGCTTACGCCTGTAATCCCAGCACTTAGGGAGGCCGAGGCGGGAGGATGGCTTGAGGTCCGTAGTTGAGACCAGCCTGGCCAACATGGTGAAGCCTGGTCTCTACAAAAAATAATAACAAAAATTAGCCGGGTGTGGTGGCTCGTGCCTGTGGTCCCAGCTGCTCCGGTGGCTGAGGCGGGAGGATCTCTTGAGCTTAGGCTTTTGAGCTATCATGGCGCCAGTGCACTCCAGCGTGGGCAACAGAGCGAGACCCTGTCTCTCAAAAAAGAAAAAAAAAAAAAAAGAAAGAGAAAAGAAAAGAAAGAAAGAAGTGAAGGTTTGTCAGTCAGGGGAGCTGTAAAACCATTAATAAAGATAATCCAAGATGGTTACCAAGACTGTTGAGGACGCCAGAGATCTTGAGCACTTTCTAAGTACCTGGCAATACACTAAGCGCGCTCACCTTTTCCTCTGGCAAAACATGATCGAAAGCAGAATGTTTTGATCATGAGAAAATTGCATTTAATTTGAATACAATTTATTTACAACATAAAGGATAATGTATATATCACCACCATTACTGGTATTTGCTGGTTATGTTAGATGTCATTTTAAAAAATAACAATCTGATATTTAAAAAAAAATCTTATTTTGAAAATTTCCAAAGTAATACATGCCATGCATAGACCATTTCTGGAAGATACCACAAGAAACATGTAATGATGATTGCCTCTGAAGGTCTATTTTCCTCCTCTGACCTGTGTGTGGGTTTTGTTTTTGTTTTACTGTGGGCATAAATTAATTTTTCAGTTAAGTTTTGGAAGCTTAAATAACTCTCCAAAAGTCATAAAGCCAGTAACTGGTTGAGCCCAAATTCAAACCCAGCCTGTCTGATACTTGTCCTCTTCTTAGAAAAGATTACAGTGATGCTCTCACAAAATCTTGCCGCCTTCCCTCAAACAGAGAGTTCCAGGCAGGATGAATCTGTGCTCTGATCCCTGAGGCATTTAATATGTTCTTATTATTAGAAGCTCAGATGCAAAGAGCTCTCTTAGCTTTTAATGTTATGAAAAAAATCAGGTCTTCATTAGATTCCCCAATCCACCTCTTGATGGGGCTAGTAGCCTTTCCTTAATGATAGGGTGTTTCTAGAGAGATATATCTGGTCAAGGTGGCCTGGTACTCCTCCTTCTCCCCACAGCCTCCCAGACAAGGAGGAGTAGCTGCCTTTTAGTGATCATGTACCCTGAATATAAGTGTATTTAAAAGAATTTTATACACATATATTTAGTGTCAATCTGTATATTTAGTAGCACTAACACTTCTCTTCATTTTCAATGAAAAATATAGAGTTTATAATATTTTCTTCCCACTTCCCCATGGATGGTCTAGTCATGCCTCTCATTTTGGAAAGTACTGTTTCTGAAACATTAGGCAATATATTCCCAACCTGGCTAGTTTACAGCAATCACCTGTGGATGCTAATTAAAACGCAAATCCCACTGTCACATGCATTACTCCATTTGATCATAATGGAAAGTATGTTCTGTCCCATTTGCCATAGTCCTCACCTATCCCTGTTGTATTTTATCGGGTCCAACTCAACCATTTAAGGTATTTGCCAGCTCTTGTATGCATTTAGGTTTTGTTTCTTTGTTTTTTAGCTCATGAAATTAGGTACAAAGTCAGAGAGGGGTCTGGCATATAAAACCTCAGCAGAAATAAAGAGGTTTTGTTGTTTGGTAAGAACATACCTTGGGTTGGTTGGGCACGGTGGCTCGTGCCTGTAATCCCAACACTTTGGGAGGCCAAGGCAGGCTGATCACTTGAAGTTGGGAGTTCAAGACCAGCCTGGCCAACATGGTGAAATCCCGTCTCTACTGAAAATACAAAAATTAACCAGGCATGGTGGTGTGTGCCTGTAGTCCCAGGAATCACTTGAACCCAGGAGGCGGAGGTTGCAGTGAGCTGAGATCTCACCACTGCACACTGCACTCCAGCCTGGGCAATGGAATGAGATTCCATCCCAAAAAATAAAAAAATAAAAAAATAAAGAACATACCTTGGGTTGATCCACTTAGGAACCTCAGATAATAACATCTGCCACGTATAGAGCAATTGCTATGTCCCAGGCACTCTACTAGACACTTCATACAGTTTAGAAAATCAGATGGGTGTAGATCAAGGCAGGAGCAGGAACCAAAAAGAAAGGCATAAACATAAGAAAAAAAATGGAAGGGGTGGAAACAGAGTACAATAACATGAGTAATTTGATGGGGGCTATTATGAACTGAGAAATGAACTTTGAAAAGTATCTTGGGGCCAAATCATGTAGACTCTTGAGTGATGTGTTAAGGAATGCTATGAGTGCTGAGAGGGCATCAGAAGTCCTTGAGAGCCTCCAGAGAAAGGCTCTTAAAAATGCAGCGCAATCTCCAGTGACAGAAGATACTGCTAGAAATCTGCTAGAAAAAAAACAAAAAAGGCATGTATAGAGGAATTATGAGGGAAAGATACCAAGTCACGGTTTATTCTTCAAAATGGAGGTGGCTTGTTGGGAAGGTGGAAGCTCATTTGGCCAGAGTGGAAATGGAATTGGGAGAAATCGATGACCAAATGTAAACACTTGGTGCCTGATATAGCTTGACACCAAGTTAGCCCCAAGTGAAATACCCTGGCAATATTAATGTGTCTTTTCCCGATATTCCTCAGGTACTCCAAAGATTCAGGTTTACTCACGTCATCCAGCAGAGAATGGAAAGTCAAATTTCCTGAATTGCTATGTGTCTGGGTTTCATCCATCCGACATTGAAGTTGACTTACTGAAGAATGGAGAGAGAATTGAAAAAGTGGAGCATTCAGACTTGTCTTTCAGCAAGGACTGGTCTTTCTATCTCTTGTACTACACTGAATTCACCCCCACTGAAAAAGATGAGTATGCCTGCCGTGTGAACCATGTGACTTTGTCACAGCCCAAGATAGTTAAGTGGGGTAAGTCTTACATTCTTTTGTAAGCTGCTGAAAGTTGTGTATGAGTAGTCATATCATAAAGCTGCTTTGATATAAAAAAGGTCTATGGCCATACTACCCTGAATGAGTCCCATCCCATCTGATATAAACAATCTGCATATTGGGATTGTCAGGGAATGTTCTTAAAGATCAGATTAGTGGCACCTGCTGAGATACTGATGCACAGCATGGTTTCTGAACCAGTAGTTTCCCTGCAGTTGAGCAGGGAGCAGCAGCAGCACTTGCACAAATACATATACACTCTTAACACTTCTTACCTACTGGCTTCCTCTAGCTTTTGTGGCAGCTTCAGGTATATTTAGCACTGAACGAACATCTCAAGAAGGTATAGGCCTTTGTTTGTAAGTCCTGCTGTCCTAGCATCCTATAATCCTGGACTTCTCCAGTACTTTCTGGCTGGATTGGTATCTGAGGCTAGTAGGAAGGGCTTGTTCCTGCTGGGTAGCTCTAAACAATGTATTCATGGGTAGGAACAGCAGCCTATTCTGCCAGCCTTATTTCTAACCATTTTAGACATTTGTTAGTACATGGTATTTTAAAAGTAAAACTTAATGTCTTCCTTTTTTTTCTCCACTGTCTTTTTCATAGATCGAGACATGTAAGCAGCATCATGGAGGTAAGTTTTTGACCTTGAGAAAATGTTTTTGTTTCACTGTCCTGAGGACTATTTATAGACAGCTCTAACATGATAACCCTCACTATGTGGAGAACATTGACAGAGTAACATTTTAGCAGGGAAAGAAGAATCCTACAGGGTCATGTTCCCTTCTCCTGTGGAGTGGCATGAAGAAGGTGTATGGCCCCAGGTATGGCCATATTACTGACCCTCTACAGAGAGGGCAAAGGAACTGCCAGTATGGTATTGCAGGATAAAGGCAGGTGGTTACCCACATTACCTGCAAGGCTTTGATCTTTCTTCTGCCATTTCCACATTGGACATCTCTGCTGAGGAGAGAAAATGAACCACTCTTTTCCTTTGTATAATGTTGTTTTATTCTTCAGACAGAAGAGAGGAGTTATACAGCTCTGCAGACATCCCATTCCTGTATGGGGACTGTGTTTGCCTCTTAGAGGTTCCCAGGCCACTAGAGGAGATAAAGGGAAACAGATTGTTATAACTTGATATAATGATACTATAATAGATGTAACTACAAGGAGCTCCAGAAGCAAGAGAGAGGGAGGAACTTGGACTTCTCTGCATCTTTAGTTGGAGTCCAAAGGCTTTTCAATGAAATTCTACTGCCCAGGGTACATTGATGCTGAAACCCCATTCAAATCTCCTGTTATATTCTAGAACAGGGAATTGATTTGGGAGAGCATCAGGAAGGTGGATGATCTGCCCAGTCACACTGTTAGTAAATTGTAGAGCCAGGACCTGAACTCTAATATAGTCATGTGTTACTTAATGACGGGGACATGTTCTGAGAAATGCTTACACAAACCTAGGTGTTGTAGCCTACTACACGCATAGGCTACATGGTATAGCCTATTGCTCCTAGACTACAAACCTGTACAGCCTGTTACTGTACTGAATACTGTGGGCAGTTGTAACACAATGGTAAGTATTTGTGTATCTAAACATAGAAGTTGCAGTAAAAATATGCTATTTTAATCTTATGAGACCACTGTCATATATACAGTCCATCATTGACCAAAACATCATATCAGCATTTTTTCTTCTAAGATTTTGGGAGCACCAAAGGGATACACTAACAGGATATACTCTTTATAATGGGTTTGGAGAACTGTCTGCAGCTACTTCTTTTAAAAAGGTGATCTACACAGTAGAAATTAGACAAGTTTGGTAATGAGATCTGCAATCCAAATAAAATAAATTCATTGCTAACCTTTTTCTTTTCTTTTCAGGTTTGAAGATGCCGCATTTGGATTGGATGAATTCCAAATTCTGCTTGCTTGCTTTTTAATATTGATATGCTTATACACTTACACTTTATGCACAAAATGTAGGGTTATAATAATGTTAACATGGACATGATCTTCTTTATAATTCTACTTTGAGTGCTGTCTCCATGTTTGATGTATCTGAGCAGGTTGCTCCACAGGTAGCTCTAGGAGGGCTGGCAACTTAGAGGTGGGGAGCAGAGAATTCTCTTATCCAACATCAACATCTTGGTCAGATTTGAACTCTTCAATCTCTTGCACTCAAAGCTTGTTAAGATAGTTAAGCGTGCATAAGTTAACTTCCAATTTACATACTCTGCTTAGAATTTGGGGGAAAATTTAGAAATATAATTGACAGGATTATTGGAAATTTGTTATAATGAATGAAACATTTTGTCATATAAGATTCATATTTACTTCTTATACATTTGATAAAGTAAGGCATGGTTGTGGTTAATCTGGTTTATTTTTGTTCCACAAGTTAAATAAATCATAAAACTTGATGTGTTATCTCTTATATCTCACTCCCACTATTACCCCTTTATTTTCAAACAGGGAAACAGTCTTCAAGTTCCACTTGGTAAAAAATGTGAACCCCTTGTATATAGAGTTTGGCTCACAGTGTAAAGGGCCTCAGTGATTCACATTTTCCAGATTAGGAATCTGATGCTCAAAGAAGTTAAATGGCATAGTTGGGGTGACACAGCTGTCTAGTGGGAGGCCAGCCTTCTATATTTTAGCCAGCGTTCTTTCCTGCGGGCCAGGTCATGAGGAGTATGCAGACTCTAAGAGGGAGCAAAAGTATCTGAAGGATTTAATATTTTAGCAAGGAATAGATATACAATCATCCCTTGGTCTCCCTGGGGGATTGGTTTCAGGACCCCTTCTTGGACACCAAATCTATGGATATTTAAGTCCCTTCTATAAAATGGTATAGTATTTGCATATAACCTATCCACATCCTCCTGTATACTTTAAATCATTTCTAGATTACTTGTAATACCTAATACAATGTAAATGCTATGCAAATAGTTGTTATTGTTTAAGGAATAATGACAAGAAAAAAAAGTCTGTACATGCTCAGTAAAGACACAACCATCCCTTTTTTTCCCCAGTGTTTTTGATCCATGGTTTGCTGAATCCACAGATGTGGAGCCCCTGGATACGGAAGGCCCGCTGTACTTTGAATGACAAATAACAGATTTAAAATTTTCAAGGCATAGTTTTATACCTGATGGCCAGCTTTGTTTATTTGACCAAGAATCTGAGTTAGCTAGTTCTAGGTACTGACAGGATAAATAAAACACAACACTGCTCCCGATCTTCTCAGTTTAGCAGAGGGACAGATATGCACTCAAATAATTAAAATATATCCTGATAAGAATATAGCATAGGTACGCGCGAAGAACTTGGCAATCGAAATTTTGTTGTTCAGGCTGGGCGAGGTGTCTCATGTCTGTAATCCCAGCACTTTGGGAGGCCATGGTAGGATGATCGCTTGAGCCCAGGAGTCCGAGACCAGCCTGGGCAACATAACAAGACCCTGTCTCAATTCAAAGAATTGAATTAAAAAAAACAAAAAATAATTTTTTTAAAAAAGAAATGTTGTTGTTCAAGGAACAACAACAAAAATCTAGGGAGGTGTTAGAGAAGCCATTTGCCTGAGCTGAGAGTAAGTTGCTAGTGGTTCTCTTGATTGGTAGGTGGGGCCTGGGTTTCCAGGCATGGTAGCCAGGAAGGACAGCCACATGGCAGGTTTGGGTAATTCCAAACAGTGGAGGAAGGGTGTCTGGGGGAAGACTTGTAGGAACTCAGCTGAAAAAATTGGGGGATGATACTCTGAAAGAAAAACAAAGTTTTAAAATTTCTACTCTTACACTTAACACATAATGCTTCTGTGACCGGATATTTAGGGGTTTTCCCCCCACACTCTGTTAGGAGAAAAATTTTAGACAGATTAAATTTAACAGAGTTTAACTGAGCAAAAATGATTCTCGAACCAGGCAGCTGCCGGAGCCAGAATAGGTTCAAAATGACTCTGGGGGTGCCACATGGTTGGATGACATTTAGGGACAGAAAAAGGAAAGTGATGTGCAGAAAATGGAAGTCAGGGGCAGAAGCAGCCAGATTGGTTGCAGTTCAGCATTTGCCTCATTTAAACAGGGTTTGAAGAGTTGGCCACCTGTGATTGGCTGAGACTCTGTGGTATAAGAGTAAGTTACAGTCTGTTTACACATCCAGTTAGGTTACAGTTCACTATGCAGAGAGAAATCTTTAGCCTGAACTTACACAGGGAGGCAGTTTTATTTATTTATTTAATTTTTTTTTTTTGAGACAAGGTCTCACTCTGTCACCCGGGCTGGAGTTCAGTGGTATGATCATGGCTTATTGCAGCCTCGACTTCCTGGCCTCAAGCAATCCTTCCGCCTCAGGCTCTAGAGTAGCTGGGACTACAGGCACATGTCAGCATGCCTGGCTAATTTTGTTTTTTAATTTTTAGTAGAGATGAACTCCTGGCCTTGCACAATTCTTTCGCCTCAGCCTCCGAAAATGCTGGGATTACAGGTGTGAGCCACTGTGCCCAGCTAAGGCAACTTTAGGCTAAACCTTTTTTTGAGACAGAGTTTCTCTCTTGTTGTCTAGGCTGGAGTGCAGTTGCACCATCTTGGCTCACTGCAACCTCCACCTCCAGGGTTCAAGTGATTCTCGTTCCTCAGCCTCCCGAGTAACTGGGATTACAGGCATGCGCCACCACGCCTGGCTAATTTTGTGTTTTTAGTAGAGATGGTGTTTCACCATGTTGTCCAGGCTGGTCTCAAACTCCTGGCCTCAAGTGATCCTCTGGCCTCAGCTTCCCAGAGTACTGAGATTACAGGCATGAGCCACTGTGCCCTGCCTAGGCTAAACTTAATTTAACAACACCAAACAATCTCCAGCAGACACCAACTGGGTATCCCATAATTCAATTCGATTTTGATTGGATCTACCTGGAGATGGTGTCAGATCCCGCTGGTTGAGGGTTCAGTCCCACAAGACTGCCCTCCACTTCAGATGCCAATCACACATTGTAGGTTGTTACCTCTACTTCTGACTGACCAGCTGGAAACCAGAACTCCCATGACTGCCTCCTTGACTTTGGTTAATTTGCTAGGACAGTTCATATTTACCAATCTATTATAAAAGATTAAAGGCTACAGACGAATAACTAGATGAAAAGATGAATAGGGCTATATGTAGGGGGTTGTGGTGGTGACAGTCCATGCCCTCTCCAGGTGTATGCCACCCTCCCAGCACCTCCACACATTCAGCAAACAGGAAGCTCATCGTTCAAGAGTTTTTATAGAGCTTGATCTCCAGCTCCCCTTCACCTTCCCAGAGGTGGATGGGTGGGGGTGGAAGTTCCAACACACTAATCTTCTCATCACTTGGTCTTTCTGGTGACTAGCACCATCCTGAGGCTATCTAGGGGCCCAAACCTATGAGTATAACCTCATTAGCATATACTCAAGGGTTACCAAAGAGGCTTATTATTAATAATAAAAGACACTCCTATCACTCAAAATTCAAAGGATTTTAGGAACTTCTGACAGGAACTGGGGACAAAGACCAAATGTGTTTCATATTATACCACACTTACCTAGGCCATTCATTAACTCTTCACCTGGCTGCAAACTAAAATTACATGTAGAGTTTGTAAGAACAAAACAAACACACACACAGACACACACACACACACACACACACACACACACACACACACACAAAACAACAAGGCAGGCACGGTGGCTCACGCCTGTAAGCCCAACACTTTGGAAAGTCAAGGTGAGCAGATTACGAGGAGTTCAAGACCAGCCTGGCTAACATGGTGAAACCCTGTCTCTACTAAGAATACAAAAATTAGCCAGGCATGGTGGCACGTGCCTATAATCCCAGCTACTCAGGAGGCTGAGGCAAGAGAATCGCTTGAACCTCGGAGGCAGAGGTTGCAGTGAGCCGAGATCATGCCATTGCACTCCAGCCTGAGTGACAGAGTGAGACTCCATCTCAAAAACAGCAACAACAACAACAACAACAACAACAACAACAACAACAACTCACCAGCTTCCCAGACTCCCATCCAGGCCAATTAAACCATAATCTCTCGGTATGGAGCCCAGGTATAGTGTTATTTTTTAAAAAACCTCTAGATAGTTTTAATGTACATCCAAGATTGACAGACCCATTGAGTTCAGTCATAAAGAACTCTCTCTCCATTCCATATCATTCAACAGAGCTATTTTGTGAGGGGCTGCTCTGCTGGCTGATATTACAAGGTAATACTATGTCAAAGTCAAATGAAATATAGAGTTGAATCTCTGAAATTAAAATGTTTTATTTGGGAGGAAAGAATTGCAACTCAGGGCATACACACAGACCAGCTGGTCTTTGGCATGTCTGAAGTACAAAAAGGTTTTATAAAATGGGAAAATGTTACTTATCGCTCTGAGAAAATTTCACTGGTGCTAGTAAAGTTTTGAGGAGCTGGCAAGTTTTGATTGGCAAATGATGACAATAAACAGAACTAGTCTCAGAGTTGTAGCAGGTCATTTCAGTAGCCATTAGTTAAACCTGGTTTCAGATGATAGCAGGCAGTTTCAGCTTCCAGGCTTGCAGAAAATCGCATTTTTGGAACAATGTTTTGTGCCCTGAGTGCTTCTCCCTGGCTTCTTGACTCTGTTTTAGTTGAGTAAGACAAAAATGACCCAGTTTGATGACCAACTTTCACAGTTCCTTTGGAGCATGCCTTAGTTTCTCTTTTTAGAAGAGAGCAAGCAAAGAGGAGGAATACAGGAAGCTTAATTAACCTTATTAAATATAATTGTGCAATGCAAATTAAACTGAAAAGTCCCAACATCAGTAATAGAGAAGTAGATCCTACATACTGACATGGAAGCATACCCATACTATATTGCTGAAACAAAAATTAGTTTCTACAAAATATGTGTAAGAAGCCACTTTAAAAAAACAAACTAGGTGGGGCATGGTGGCTCACACCTGTAATCCCAGCATTTTTGGAGGCCAAGGTGGGAGGACTGCGTGAGCTAAGAAGTTTGAGACAAGCCTGGGCAACATAGTGAGACCCAGTCTCTCTCTCTATTTATGTATTTATTTATGTATGTACATATTTATTGATTTATTTATTTGAGACGGAGTCTTGCCCTGTCACCCAGGCTGGAGTGCAATGTCGTGATCTCAGCTCACTGCAACCTCCACCTCCCAGGTTCAAACGATTCTCCTGCCTCAGCCTCCTGAGTAGCTGGAATTACAGGCACCCGCCACCATACCCAGCTAATTATTTTTTGTATTTTTAGTAGAGACGGGATTTCATCATGTTGGTCAGGCTGGTCTCAAACTCCTGACCTCATGATCCACCCGCCTCGGCCTCCCAAAGTGCTGGGATTACAGGTGTGAGCCACCGCGCCCGGCCGAGACCCAGTCTCTTTAAAAAAAAATGGCTAACATGGTGAAACCCCATCTCTACTAAAAATACAAAAATTAGCTGGGTGTGGTGGTACATACCTGTAATCCCAGCTACTTGGGAGGCTGAGGCAGGAGAATCACTTGAACCCAGGAGGCGGAGGTTGCAGTGAGCGGAGATTGCATCACCGCACACTAGCCTGGGTGACAGAGCAAGACTTTGTCACACACACACACACAAAAAAGTGGACGCTTGCATCACTTGAGCCTGGGAGGTTGAGGCTGCAGTGAGCAGAGATCAGGACACTACACTCCAGCCTGGGTGATGAAGCAAGTCCCTCAAAAAGGAAAAAAAAAAAAAGTAGACCCTTGCACCCCAAATCTGTATTGTTCAAAGGTTAACTGTATCCTCCTTTAAAAAAGGGGTTACTGTTAAATAATAATTTTTATATCTTACTTTTTTTCATGATCCCTAAGGAAAACATGTCACAAATGGATATGTCTTTCTAGTTTTGTCAACAACCACTTTCACGGTATTTTTGGGCTGTTGCTTTTTACTTGTCATTTTTGTGTTGTAAACCCTTGAAGCAAAACTCAAGGTCTTTTCTTTTTTTCTTTTCTTTTCTTTTCTGAGACAGGGTATTACCCTGTCACCCAGGCTTGTGTGCAGAGGCACAATCTTGGCTCACTGCAGCCTCAGCCTCTTGGACTCAAGCAATCCTCCCATCTCAGCCTCCCAAGTAGCTGAGACCACAGGTGTGCACCACCCATTCCTGGCTAATTTTTTTTGTGTATTTTTTTGTAGAGATGGGGGTCTCACTATGTTTCCCTGGCTGGTCTTGAACTCTTGGGTTCAAGCGATCCTCCAGTCTCGCCTCTCAAAGTGCTGGGATTACAGAGCCACCACACTCAGCCATTTCCTATAATAAAAAAATATTTTGTCTGTGATGTAGCCATCAAAGTTTTAGGGGGAAAAATTGGCATTGTCTTTCCCTGGAGTCTAGACCTATAGGAAAAAAATTGAAGGCTAATATTTGGGTTCTAGATAACGCAAAATAAATAATAAAACATCTGTGATTACCTTGATTGAAAAGTTTGTGCATAGAAATTATTCTGGTACTTTGGAGAGCTACAAGAAGGCCTAACAGAAAAAAAAACTGATAAATACAATTAAAATAACAGTCGAGCATATATTAAAGCACTTACTATGCACTAAACTCTATATATCTCCTGTCATTAGTTGGATGCAATTATTAGACATCTTTGGTCCTCCACAACATAGGTGATTAAAAAGCCTAAGAAACTGAAGCGTTATCTATGTCTTTGGTAAGACACACAGGCCCAAGTGAAGCCTGCAATGATGTGCAGGCTTCCCCTCCCCCACGGACCACATGGACCACTTCCTCTTTTTTTTTTTTTTTTTTTTTCTTTAGACAGAGTCTCACTGTATCGCCTAGGCTGGAGTGCAGTGGCGCAATCTCGGCTCACTGCAACCTCTGCTTCCTGGGTTCAAGTGATTCTCCTGCCTCAGCCTCCCGAGTAGCTGGGAATACAGGCATGCACCACCATGCCTGACTAATTTTTTTATGTGTGTGTTTTTGGTAGAGATGGGGTTTCACCATGCTGGCCAGGCTGGTCTCAAACTCCTGACCTCGTGATCTGCTCGCCTTGGCCTCCCAAAGTGCTGGGATTACAGGCACTTCCTCTTTTTACTGTTTTCACTTAGAAAAACTGAGAGGACTTTTGCTGCCACTGAATGACACAGCATAGTTGAAGTGGTTTTCTCGTCATTTATTATGGCTCGAATGTTTGTCCCTTCTGAAATTCATGTTGAAACTTAATCCTGGCTGGGCACAGTGGCTCACACTTCTAATCCCAGCATTTTGGGAGGCTGAGACTGGAGGATCGCATGAGCCCAGGAGTTTGAGACCAGCCTGGGCAACATAGTGAGTCCTCCTCTCTACAAAATCAAACAAACAAAAATTAGCTGGGTGTGGTAGCACACACCTGTGGTCCCAGCTACTTGGAAGGCGGAGGCAGGAGGATTGTTTGAACCCAGGAGGAGTTTAAGAGCAGTCTGGGCAATATAGTGAGACCTCATATCTGTCTATCTATGTATCTATGTATCTATGTATCTATGTATCTATCTATCTATCTATCTATCTAAAATAAATTAAATTAAAAAATAAAAAATAATGAGGCAAAGAAAAGAAAGTTAATCCTCAATATAACAGTATTAAGAAGTAGGGCATTTAAGAGGTGACTGGGTCATGAGGGCTCCTTCATGAATGGATTAATGGATTAATGGGTTATCCTGAGAATGGGTCTGTTATAAAAGCCAGTTTCGCTCTTTCTCTTGTGCCCCTCTAAATCTTTATCTTTAGCCATGTTATGATGCCTCTCTGATATCTTTACCCATGTTATGATGCGGAACAAAGCCCTCACCCAAAGCAAACCAGATACAGCCCCTCAATGTTGAACTTCTCAGCCTCTTCCATACATTTTTCTTCCTTTCTTTTTTTTGAGATAGGATCTTGCTCTGCCATTGTGCCATTGCAGCCTCAAACTCTTGGGCTCAAGTGATCCTGCTGCTTCAGCATCCTGAGTAGCGGGGCTTACAGATGCACACCCCCATGCATCACTAATTTTTTTTTTTTTTTTTGAGATGGAGTCTTGCTAGGTCACCCAGGCTGGAGTGCAGTGGTGCGATCTCGGCTCACTGCAACCTCTGCCTCCTGGGTTCACACCATTCTCCTGCCTCAGCCTCCCAAGTAGCTGGGACTACAGGTGCCTGCCACCACGCCAGGTTAATTTTTTGTATTTTTAGTAGAGACAGGGTTTCACCGTGTTAGCCAGGATGGTCTCGATCTCCTGACCTCATGATCCACCCATCTTGGCCTCCCAAAGTGCTGGGATTACAGGCATGAACCACTGCGCCCGGCCGCATCGCTAGTTTTTAAAAACTTTTTGTAGAGACAGATTCTTACTATGTTGCCAAGGCTGGTCTCAAACTCCTGGCCTCAAGAGATCCTCCAGTCTTCGGCCTCCCAAAAAGATGGGATTACAGGCATGAGCCACCTCACCTGGCCTCTTTTTTTTGTATATTACCTGATCTCAGGTATTCTGCTATAGCAACAGAAAGACGAAGACAGAATCCTTAGCTGTCTGCAAGTGTGCATGCCATTTTCATCATCTGAAGAGTCAGCGAGTGTCTTAGGTGGAGTCTTGCAAAAGCAGGCCCTGAGCCAAAGATTTGGATGCAAATGACTTGTTAAGAAAGGGCTCTTCGAGACCGTGCCATTGCACTCCAGCCCGGGCAAGAAGAGTGAAACTCTGTTTCAAAAAAAAAAAAGTGGGGGGCTCCTAGGAAAAGAACAGTAAAGGAGTGGGGGATGAAGGACAGGGAATGGGAAGAAGCCAAGCGAGAGCATGATTTCCGAAGTCCTACACTCAGCCTGATCACACGGGAAGCTTTAGAACAAAGAACACACCTCAGAGTTTTTCCTGCCTCAACACAAAGGAGCTGGGCTTTGGTGCTCTTCATCAGCCTGTCTTTGGCTATCCAGGGTTGTGGAACGAGGTGAAACATAAAACTCCGAGGTACTTCCGGCTCCCTCCAGTGTCTGAGGGTAATCTGCAGGACTGAGGGTAATTGCAGATGCTAGCTGTTAGCAGCAAACTATGCAAAAGCTGAGGACTGGCTTATAAAGCCAGATCTGGGTGAGTCATGTTTCCTGTCAACATCCTCTGCTGGGCCCATAACACATGCAACCCCAAACTTCCATTACAAGTTCAAAGTTTCTAAGGGGATAGCATTACAGTGTGTATGATATTGGACTCAGACCTGAGTTTGAATCCTAATTCCACAAAAGAAATTGGAAAAGAGTCATATTGCTGACTTGACCCTTTGTCACCATATCCATAAAATGGGATAATTATTCCTATATCATAAATTTACTTATTTATTCACTTAGTCATTTGTTAAATAAATATGGAGTGTCTACTTTGTGCCGGGCACTCTTTTTAGGGTGGTTCTGAGAAGGGGATGGCAATGAGAAGGGCTCTCTAAGATGCAAGACTCCAGGCAACTGCTTTTACTTCCAGTGGTTCTTTATTTTCACAGCTCATTAGAGCAAATTACCACAGCAGGGAGATACAGGTTGAGTATCCCTTATCCGAAAAGCCTGGCACCAGAAGTGTTTTAAATTTTGGATTTTTTTTTGATTTTTGGAATATTTGTTAATTATCAGTTGAGCATCTCTAATGTGAAAATCTAAAATCCAAAATGCCCCAGTGACCCTTTCCTTTGAGCATCATGTTGGTGCTCAAAAAGTTTGAGATGTTGGAGCATTTAGGATTTCAGATTTTTGGATTAAGGATACTCATTTTGTACAATGGAAAACTTCTTGGCACTAATCTGATGAAAGAAGAAACTACGGGAGAATCCCTTTCCCTAAAAGGCTTTCAGTAACAAGATGGCCCTGACTCATTCTGGACAGTTCCTCCAAAGGTAGGCCTACAGGTAGAACTCTTTTCTGGCAGCATAGGGGTTTTCCAGAATGAAGGTGTATTTTTTTTTTACTGAGGCCAGGAAAGGTGAAGAGAATGAAGGGTTCCTAGTGACGATGCAGCAACCAAGTCATTTATGTAATGGAGCCTTATCTGACAGATTTCTAGGATAGAAACTCAGTATCCAAGCTCAGGCTTGGCAGACTGAGGTGGGCACCGTCCCCAGGATTGCAGTGTGGATTAGAGGTTTCAACCCCAATCATATTCAACAGCTCCCTTTCCCCCAACAACCCCTTTTTATAACAATTGTTTTGTGGTGATTCTTTTACTAATATGATCATGAAAATTAAGTAATTTAGCTTGTGAATGCTCTAGCTTGGCTGCACTGCTGGTATAAAGAAGTGCCAGACACTTGCAACTGCCTAGGATCTCTGTGAACCAGCGGCATGGAAGACTGAGAGGCACGCTGGATTGATGGCTCAGATTCAAGTATGGTATTGCAGGTTCTGGTGTAATTTTCTAAAATGGCGAAAATCTCTAGGTAAAACTCCAAAAATAAAAAACCAACATACATCTTCCTTTGAGTTACCTGGTAGTTATATTCCTGGAAAATTCAGTGTATATGAGCCTGAGGTAGTAGATGGTCAATAAATACTCAAGAAATAAAAAAATAAAAAAATATAAAAATATAAAACACATTTCTTACATGTCCTTGGTGCTTGTAAGCCCAGATTATATGCAGGCTTTTTTTTGGACGGAGTCTCTGTTGCCCAGGCTGGAGTGAAGTGGCGAGATCTGGGCTCACTGCAACCTCCACCTCCTGGGTTCAAGCGATCCTCCTGCCTCAGCCTCCTGAGTAGCTGGGATTACAGGCACGCGCCACCACCCTCAGCTGATCTTTGTATTTTTAGTAGAGAAGGGGTTTCACCATGTTGGCCAGGCTGATGTAGAACTCCTGACCTCAAGTGATCCGCCCACCTCGGCCTCCCAAAGTGTTGGGATTACAGGCGTGAGTCACAGCGCCCGGCTGCTTTTTTATACATTAAGTGTGCTTGCAGAGGACTGCGACCTCTGGCCCTCGGCCTCTTAATAAATACTCCAAGTGACTTCATTGGAACAACCACTGAGAATCACTTATCTAGAGAGTGGGAAGTTGCTGATCTCATCACTGCATGGGGTGGGGTGAGGGAAGCAACCCTGCCCTTCCCCTTTCTCGGAAAGCAGCTGGCTTTGAAGAAAGAGAAACCAGGACGGGAAAGTCCTGATTTCTAATCTGAAACAGCGCTTTTTGTCCAGAGACCGGTGACGAGCGACCCTGGGCTCGGGTTTTGATTGGGCAGTTCGGAAACTGTAAAAGCGAATTAAAAGGGTGACAAGCTAGTGTTTTAGCCTATCCAGTTCCGGGAGTTTGCACGCAGACGCTCTGCTT
The DNA here is from genome assembly GCF_000001405.40 of Homo sapiens. Lineage (NCBI taxonomy): Eukaryota > Metazoa > Chordata > Mammalia > Primates > Hominidae > Homo > Homo sapiens. Next base: position 44,729,038 of record NC_000015.10, read on the forward strand.
CGTGACCTTGGCTCTGCTCTGTGGGCGCCGCCCCCAGCCTGGGCGCGTCCATCGTCGAGTACCTTCTCCTCTGCCTCCCCCTCCCTCTGCTTCTATCTCTCTCCAATTGCCCTCCCTGGCCTGCGGCCGCCCGGTCCTCCTTCCCAGCCCAGTGCAGCCAGGCACCCGGGTTCGGCTTGCTCAGGTCTCTGTCCGGGACTGGGAAGCCACGGAGGGCCGGGAAAGTGGCACACTCCTGGAGCTCAAGCTTCCTACTCTCTCATCGCTGAATAACTACCGGGCAGGACTGGGTGGAACAGACAGCATATTTAGGTCATTGATGGGCTGCTGGGTGGATGGAGCTGGAAAGTGATGGGCACTGCTTTCTGGGGCTGCCCAGGTTCCTTCCGAGGGCTCGCTTTTCCTGGGCAGAGCGGGAAAGAGGAGGGGCAGGCCGGTCGCGAAACGCAAATAGTCGAGAATAGCGATCCGGGGAGAAGCAGGTGTCTGTGGGGCCCAAGAGAAGTACCATCTCGGTAAGTAGGCCGGTGCATGCAGGGGAGCGCAGAGCCCTAAGCCCTTCTCTGGGGTCCGCCCGTTTTCCTGCTGGGCTTCTCATTTCCTCACTAGGTTCTACGGTTTGCCGATCTAAATCCAGTTCGTGTCCTATTGTATTGTGTAACATTTTTGGCAGCTTACATCTTTGTTTATTGAGATATAGTTCACAAACCATACAATTAACATATTTAAGTGTACATTTCAGTGGGTTTTAGTATATTCACAGGGTTGTGTAACCACCTCAATTTTAGGACATTTTCGTCACTCCCAAAAGAAATTTTGTACCAGTTCGGTGTCACTCCCATTTCTCCCAAACCCCTAGTCCTAGGAAACCACCAATCTTTCTGTCTCTATGGGTTTGCCTATTAGTATTTCATAGAAACAGAAACATATAATATGTGGTCTTTTGTAACTGGCTTCTGTTTTCAAAGGTCGTCATATTGTAGCAAGGATCAGTTCTTCATTCCTATTTATTGATGAATATTACTCTACTGTATAGATATACTAAGTTTTGTTTATCCATCTATAGTTAATGGGCATTTGGATTGTTTCCACTCTTCGGCTACTGAGAATAAAATGTGGTTATCAATATTCATGTATAAATTTTTGGTGTGGACATAGATTTTCAATTCTCTTGAGTATATATGCAGGAGTGGAATTGCTGGGTGATATGGTAACTCTATGTTTAATCTTTTAAGGAACTACTAGGCTGTTCTCCAAAGCTGAATGTACCATTGTGTATGAGAGTTCCAATTTTTCTACATCCTCACCAATACTTTTAATCTTTTTTTATTATAACCATTCTAGTGGATACGAAATGGTATCTCTTTATGGTTTTGATTTGTATTTCCCTAATGACTATGCATTATTTTAAAATTATAAGCTAATTAATTTTTACAAAGATTTACATGCTGTGATTTTGACAACTTAACTTCTAGGTCACATGCTCAAAAGTCACAGAGCCTAGACCCAAACCAAGCCTTTCTATGGCTAATGCTCGAACTCCATCCTCTCTTTCCTAGAAGGCAATCTGGGATAAATTTTTCAGAACTCCATTTGTTGCCTCTGTTAGAAAGAAAACACTGGGCAAGATGAACCTGCAAGTAGAGTAAATGGTTTATTTCTTATTTGCTTTTAGGAGTATGTAAGGAGATTTTTTGGTCTCCCGTTTTTACTTTATAAAAAATGAGTGAGTGGGCCAAGCGCTGTGGCTCATGCCTGTGATCCCAGCACTTTGGGAGACCGAGGCAGGCAGATCACCTGAGGTCAGGAGTTTGATATCAGCCTGACCAACATGGCAAAACCCCATCTCTGCTAAAAATACAAAAATTAGCCGGGTGTAGTGCCATGCACCTGTAATTCCAGCTATATGGGAGGCTGAGGCATGAACATTGCTTGAACCCCGGGGAGACGGAGGTTGCAGTGAGCCAAGATTGCACCACTGCACTCCAGCCTGGGTGACAGAGTGAGGCTCTTTCTCAAAAAAAAAAAAAAGGAAAGAGAAAGCTCTTAATTGAAGTAGTAACCCTTTCTTGGGTGTTCAATGATATTGTGCTTCTCTTCATGTAAGTGCCCCTTAGATTCCTCCTCCTCACTACCATCAGGTCATAGAATAGGGAGGGGCACTCAGTTTCAACAGCAGTGGCCTCCAAATTTTGTTCAAATGCATAACTATAAAAAGTTTTTTGTATACATTCTCTATATATAGCTATACATTTTATACATACACTACTATCAGTCTTGATTTAGACATTACTAAAGCTTAATTTTTCTCTCATTTTTTTTCAGTTAAAAATTCAGATTGAACTATCTTACAAATGGCTCCCAGAAGATCCACTCCCTGTGGGAACACAGCAGTTGTGGAAGTGAAGACAGGACTGGACCCAGAATAAGGGTTCAAATATGTGGGGAAATCTGACCTCTAAATTCTTATAAGTCAGAGAGTGACTGAACAACAGCAGTGAGACATCGAAGAGTTTTAATATCTGCTGTAAACCTTGGCACAGATCATTTACTTCTCTAAGACTGAATCCAAAAAGCACAATGGAATACTATAATAAGCTGAGACAGCATGGTGAATTCCAGACAAGCCTGAGCATTCCCTATAGCCAGAGAAGGAGGCCCAACACCTAACATAGCCTTGGATGCAGAACTGATAGAACTTGGGGAAAGTGATGAAGTAGTTGACCTCACCTGTGAATCTCTAGCACCTGTAGTGATTGACCTAACTCACCGTGACTCTGTAGTGATTATTGAACAAAGGAGGAGGCCAAGAGCAAACACAAGGCCACTCCAAGACCACACTGGCAGTTGTGTGGTGAACAATGATGAGGAGGGAGTGAAAAGGGACAGAGATGTATGTATAACCAACAGTGCCCACCATAATTCCCTGCAAAAAAATTTTTTTTGTCATATACTACCTGGTTATATTCAGTGTCAAGTTTGCATGGATGGATGCTCAGAGATTGAACTTAGTATACAACACATCTACTCTATAGAATGTGGCCACATCTGTAGTCAGTGCTTCTGCACTTCCTTTACACATACTAACACTGCCCAGTTTGTTTGAAAAAAATCAGCCTCCATCAGTATCACTGCAGTTATATATGATGTATGCCTTATTGCTCAAGACAGATCCTGTGGCTGGATTTTTCCATGTCTTTGTGCAGGAACTATGGGTTGTTGGCATCCAATGCTCTGAGCTTAAAAATACTGATTTTTAAAATTGCTATCTGCAGTATATAAGAAACTCTTTGATTTCTCATATGCTCTGAGACTGCTTTTTGTTTCCTTTGGTTTTATGCTTCAGCTCTGGACTTCAGTTGCCAGAGTGTGCCAGATACTGGGGTCGTCCTTAAAGCAACTTTCCCTTTCTTATAGTCATCAATTTTTAGTTGGCCACATGTGGACATTCTGGACCACATAAATAAAGACAACACCCTAGAGATGGTGAAGTAAGTTGTAAACTAAAATCCTAAGCCCCCTAATTGACTGAATGGAACCCCTCTTGACCAAAGTGACCCCAGAAAAACCTTAAAACTGAGTTCCTGGCCATGACGGGATGGGAGGTCAGACACGCTTCATTATATCTCCGTCTCTTTTATGGTTTAGACACAACAACTGACCAGCATTAATGTCAAAATAAAGATCATAAGGCTGACAGAATAGACCCTTTGTGGCAATAACAAATTATTCGTAAGATCTAAGGTCATGCCAGGCAAGTGTTATGTCATGCACTCCTACACTTAAAGAATAAACTATGTTCTAACTGCCACAAGATTTTCTATTTATTTATTTATTTATTTATTTTTTGAGACGGAGTTCTGCCCTGTCAGTTTTTCTTTTTGTTTAGCAGCTAAACAAGCACCAGCTGAGATAAGCAATTTTTTTTTTTTTTTTTTTTTGAGTCAGAGTCTTGCTCTGTCGCCCAGGCTGCAGTGCAGTGGCCCGATCTCGGCTCACTGTGAGCTCTGTCTTCTGGGTTCATGCCATTCTCCTGCCTCAGCCTCCCAAGTAGCTGGGACTACAGGCACCCACCACCACGCCCCGCTAATTTTTTTGTATTTTTAGTAGAGATGGGGTTTCACCGTGTTAGCCATGATGGTCTCCATCTCCTGACCTTGTGACCTGCCTGCCTCGGCCCCCCAAAGGGCTGGGATTACAGGCGTGAGCCACCGCACCCAGCCACTTTCTCTTGATAAGAAGACCACTGACTATGGGCTGGTTCTGGCCAGTTTATAGAGGCTAAGCACCCTTGTTCCTTCCTGTCCTGAACAGGCATTTTGACTTATAGGGTCTAATTGTTATGCATTTAAGTGTTAAGTCTCCACCTTAGGCCTGGCGTGGTGGCTCACGCCTGTAATCCCAGCACTTTGGGAGGCTGAGGTGGGTGAATCACTTGAGGTCAGGAGTTTGAGACCAGCCTGGCCAACATGGCAAAACCCCGTCTCTACTAAAAATACAAAATTAGCTGAGTGTGGTGGTGCACGCCTGTAATCCCAGCTACTTGGGAGACTGAGGAAGGAGAATCATTTGAACCTCAGAGGCAGAGATTGCAGTGAGCTGAGATGGCGCCACTGCACTCCAGTCTGGGTGACAGAGTAAGACTCCGTCGCGAAAAACAAAAAACAAACAATAACAACAACAAAAAGAGTTAAGTCTCCACCTCAAAGTGAACATGGGTTGTATGTTACATGCATGTTTGTTCAATAAGCATGAGTCAGGATGACCTTCATAATTATTCATAGCTCCTCCTGTAACCTGTTGAATATGTATGTTTAGCCAACCTATTCAGCATCAAGTTCCTACCCCTGCTCCTCCTTTGAAGTGCCTGTCTCTGGTCTTTGCCAGAGATTGTACTTCCTGGCCTGTGGGATGGCCACCTTGCAGGCCTTTAACGCTTTATAAGAAATAAAGTCTCCTCTCCAAATTTATGGATGTTGTGAGTTCTGTGTTAACAAAGTAGAGAGAAGGAATTTGGGAGACTGACAACTTTGCAAACCAGAGCCACTATAGAAGTTTGGACTTTTACTTAAGAGAGAAATAAATTTCATTCTTGCTTAAGCAACTTTTATACTGGGTATATTAGTCAGGTTGACATACAAAATTAACCATCACTCTGGGTCTCGTTTACAGCAATGGAATTTTTTTATTTTTTATTTTTATTTTTTGAGACAAGGTCTTACTCTGTCAACCATGCTGGAGTGCAGGGATATGATCATGGCTTACTGCAGCCTCGACCTCCTGGGCGCAAATGATCCTCCCACCTCAGCCTCCTGAGTAGCTGGCACCACAGGCACGTGCCAACATGCCTGGCTAATTTTTAAATTTTTTGTAGGGACAGGGTCTCGCCATCTTGCCCAGGCTGGTCTTGAACTCCTGGGCTCAGGTGATCCTCCCACCTTGGCCCCCCAAAGTGCTGAGATTACAGGCATGAGCCACCATGCCTGGACACTGTTTTTAAATAGTGAAAAAAAGACTTGAAGTACTCTTTGTGAAGATTGAGACTTCTTGCTACATAGGATTTGGAATCACAGGCTTCTAGAGACAGAAGGGGGTCTTAGGAATTCACATTTTAAAGAAGGAGGAACTGACACCCATAGGAGTTAAATGTCTTAGCTAAGGCTATTCAGTGCTCTGGTGGTGAGAGACAAGGCTTCCATCTTCTAGGCCAGTACTCTTACCCCTAGGCTAAAGGTTCAAAAATGTGCAGGCGCTGGCTTTAGTAAAATCAGCTATACTAAGCATTGTCAAATGTTTTAGCCAACAACAAAAACAATCAAGATGAAACAAAATTACTTTTTTGACTAAGTGATCACCAGCATTTCATAGACATTTATCTGACAAAGGTTTTGATCTAACAAATGCCATGTATTGCCAAGGTGAGCAAGATACAGTACTACCTATCCTGTGGTTTGTTCACAACTTAGTGGAGGGGCAGACATGCAATCAAACAATTAGAATACACTCTGTTAAAGCCACGTGTACAAAGATCTAGGGTGCTATAGAAATGTGTAAAACTAGGCCAGGCGTGGTGTTGCTCACACCTGTAATCCTAGCACTTTGTGAGGCTGAGGTGGGAGGACAGCTTGAGCTCAGAAATTTGAGATCAGCCTAGGCAACATAGTGAGACCCTGTCAGAAAGAAAAGAAAAAAGAAAAGAAAAGAAGGAAAGAAAGAGAAAGAGAAAGAAAGGGAGAAAGAAAGAAAGAGAGCAAGAGAGAAAGAAAGAGGAAAAAGAAAGGAAGAAAGAGAAAGAAACAGAGAGAGAAAGAAAGGGAGAAAGAAAACAGAAAGAGAGAGAAAGAAAGAAAGAGAAAGAAAAAAAGAAAGAGGAAAGAAGGAAGGAAGGAAGGAAGGAAGGAAAGAAGGAAGGAAGGAAGGAAGGAAGGAAGGAAGGAAGGAAGGGAGTAAAGCTGTGTTTCTCAACTGGGGAGTGATTCCAACCCCTGCCCCCAGGAGACATTTGGCAATGACTGGAGACATTTTTGTTATGACTGGGTTTGGTGGGGGGGGGGTGGCTACAGGCATCTAGTGTGTAAACGCCAGGGACACTGCTAAATATCCTAAAATTCACAGGACAGCCCCTCTAACGTAAGACTTAGCAGGCCCAAAATATCAATAGGGCTGAGGTTGGTAACCTCTGGTATAGAGCCAGCAAAATATCTTCTACAAGAGACAGGGAAGTGGGTAAAGCTTGGTTTGGGGATGAGGGGGTGGTTAGGGAAGAGTTTAGTAAAGAGATAATGACGGGGGTGTGGGGGAAGGGAAACTCCCATCCGAAGGGACAACATATACAAAGCTGCAGAAGCGTGACATATTTGGGCGATCCCAAACACTGGGGAAAGAGCTGTGGTCATTAAGTCTGGACAGCTAGGCAGGAGCTAGACGTGCAAGAAATCATATTGAGTTAGAGGAACTACTGTAAGAAAAACTGTTTGGCTCTGTGGTGGCTCTTTATAAGTCACTCAGGAGCACAGTGTTGGTACATCTCTCTGCGAGCTAAAACTGCTGAAGAAAGCTGTATGAAATGAAGCTTTTTTCATCCTGCTTTCTTAGGGCCTGGTGTTTCCCAGGCCTGTGTTACTGTCTCAGAGATAAAATCAGGGCTGCTTCATTGGAATATGAGAGGTGAACTAGCTCTCTATTAAAGCCACTCAGCTGGTGTCTTGATGGTGTGATGGGATCATGAACAGGGGTGAGGTGGTTATTTTTCATGAGTTAGGCTTAATATAGGCTGCTGCTGACGTGTATTTCCTCTTTCATAGAGCATCCTTAGTCCAGAAATGGGGAGCTATGAACCTTAAGATTAGACCACTAACTCGAATCTAAATGAGCTGCCCTTGTCTCCTACAAAAGAAAAGTTGGGCAGGTAGGGTATTCTAATGAGGGTTTCTCTTTCTCTTAAGCAAATGATGATCAAAGTTAACTGACAAACTGTCACGGAATCTGCCAGACCTCACTCTGGCCTTGCTGCTTCTCTCCAGCTCCTGAACTTTTCTTTCTTCCATCATGCTCTGAGCCCATTCCTTGAAAACTAAAAGGTCCCTGACTCCCAGTCTGCAGCCATCCTGGGCCTGCTGAGCTCTGATTCAAGTGCCTGCCTCTGCCCCTTGGTGGGCTGAAGCTTCATGGAGGTGAGTGACCCTTTTTTTTTTTAACTTAGCAGGGCTTCTAGGAATAGTGTGGAAAACAGGATCATAGAAGAGGATATGGATTTAGGAGCACAAAAGGAAATTCATGAAGGGAAGTATTTAACTTGTGACAGCTGGTAGCTACTATACTCTCTCCAAGCCTTGGAATAACTGATAATTTATACTAGAGAAGCTGGTAGGAAAGTAATGAAATCCACCAAAACATTTTGAGAAAAAATAAACTATATACTATATACAATTTACTTTCATTATCAATGTAATCATTTTATTTTAGATTTAAAAATTATTATGTATAACTTGGTTTGCTTACAATACCTTCACATTTGATTATTTTATATTTAAGGCAGAGTTGATACTTAGATAGTAAACATTTTTAATTGAATTCTTCCTTTAAGACCTCTTCAGAGCTAAAATAAAGGAAGTTATGTTCTTCTGAACTTAGTGTTTTCCTGATTGTCAAACAAAAGAAAATGGTTATTTACTACATGAAAGCTTGAAAAACTCACTAAGGGTTTTTCAGGGGCCCTTGAATCCTGAGTTATCATCCATTTCCACTAGTTTCCACTTCTTATAAAGTTTAATTTCATTATATTAATCATTAAGATCAGTTTCTAATTTCCTCTATCATAGGACCTTTAGGTTTGCTGCTACTCATCTCTGTGCTTAGCTATTGAAGCAAACAGGGCTATAAGCATTTTGTTTATAATTTCTAGGGCAAAAATAAACACTATTGCCTAAACCTACTATATTCTTATTACTTTAAGGCCAAGTCAGTGAAAATAGACACTTTTCCATAATAGTAAAAAAATTGTTTGTGTGATAGTGAGTTTCCCATTACTTCAGATGTTCAGGCAGAGGTTGGAAAGGAGTGAATTAAATGGCTTAAAATTTCTTTCAACTCTGGGAAGCTCCAAGAAGTCAGAAAGTTCAGAATCTTGCCTTCTTATGTGCAAATGGCTTGACTCGTGAAGCAGGAGTGTGTCTTGCTCTTAGGTTTAAGCTGGCTGTGCTATATAGTTTGTCTCTGTGGATGAACTGTATTTTTCTGCTCTCAAAGTTAATTCTTCATAAAAACTGCCCATCAAAGTTTAAAAATTACTTTGAAGGAATAAAGGTTGAAAAGCAACAAATGAACTCTCCTTAGATATCTTAACTATGATTTCAAAAATTTACAACACAAAACTTCTCAGGAAAAAAAAATCTCTGGTAAAAATTAAGGATTTCTTATGCAAGCTTCCATGGACTTCATAGCTCTTTGCCTTTTCTCTGCTCTTTGAGAATGTGCACAGTGAACTGAAGGAGGAAGATACATACTTTCTTTCTTTCTTTTTTTTTTTTTTTTTTTTTTAGGACAGAGTCTCACTCTCTTGCTCAGGCTGGAGTGCAGTGGCACCATCTCAGCTCACTGCAACCTCCGCTTCCAGGGTTCAAGTGATTCTCATGCCTCAGCATCCCAAATAGCTGGGACTGCAGGGACGCACCACCACGCCTGGCTAATTTTTGTATTATTATTTTTTTTTTTAGTAGAGATGAGGTCTCACCATGTTACCCAGGCTTGTCTCCAACTCCTGACCTCAGGTGATCCTCCTGCCTCAGCCTCCCAAAGTGAGGCTAAGATTACAGGCCTGGGCCATCGTGACCTGCTGATGTGCTTTCTTATAAAGTGATTCCTGCCAGCCAGGGCTTTATAAGGATGAATATCAATTCCTGACTCGAGTTTCTCTCTCTCTGCCTTAAGGTTAGACTTCTTCCCCTAAAAGGGGCTGGCAGTAGATGTGTTTCCTAAAAGATTTCCAGGTCCAGAAATTTTAGACTCTCATTTGGTTTCCAATTCTATAGCTCCCTCTAGAGCAGTAGGAAGTTATTGCAGATATTTTGCTTCACAAATTTGATCCATTTAATAAATTCAATTCCACAAAACATATTGATGGGCTCTCTGCTGACTCAGTGGTTAATAGGCTTTGGGGTCAAATAAAGAGTTCAAATCTGAGACCCACTACTTAATAATTGTGACTCTGGGAAGATACTTGAAGCAATCTGAGCTTCAGTTTCCTTAAAATATGTAGTAATAATACGTATTTCATAGGGTTGTTCTGAGATTAAATGAAATAATGTATGTAAATCCTCTTCCACAGTGAATGCTCAGTAAATATTAGCTAATATAATTAATCCCTTGTTTTACAGAAAAGGATATATTATTGAAAGTCAGGGGAATTGGCAAACCCTCAGCTAGCAAGATGAATTAACCATATAAAACCAGTCAATCATATAATATCAATAATTAATAACATTAAATATATTTTCATATCATATAACTCACCCTTTTGAAGTTTACAATTCAGTGATTTATAGCATATTCACAAAGTTGTACAATTATCACCACTATCTAATTCCAGAACATTTTCATTATCCCCAAAAGAAATTCCATACCCATTATCAGTCACTTCCCGTTCCTCTTTGCCCTGCCTTGGTAACCGCTATATATTTTAAACATACTTTAAAAACACACGGAGGGGGCAGCCAAGATGGCTGAATAGGAACAGCTCTGGTCTACAGCTCCCAGCGTGAGCGATGCAGAAGACGGGTGATTTCTGCATTTCCATCTGAGGTACCAGTTTCATCTCACTAGGGAGTGCCAGACAGTGGGCGCAGGACAGTGGGTGCAGCGCACCGTGCGTGAGCCGAAGCAGGGCGAGGCATTGCCTCACTCGGGAAGCGCAAGGGGTCAGGGAGGTCCCTTTCCTAGTCAAAGAAAGGGGTGACAGACGGCACCTGGAAAATTGGGTCACTCCCACCCTAATACTGTGCTTTTCCGACGGGCTTAAAGAACGGTGCACCAGGAGATTATATCCTGCACCTGGCTCGGAGGGCCCTACGCCCATGGAGTCTCGCTGATTGCTAGCACAGCAGTCTGAGATCAAACTGCAAGGCGGCAGCGAGGCTGTGGGAGGGGCGCCCACCATTGCCCAGGCTTGCTTAGGTAAACAAAGCAGCCGGGAAGCTCGAACTGGGTGGAGCCCACCACAGCTCAAGGAGGCCTGCCTGCCTCTGTAGGCTCCACCTCTGGGGGCAGGGCACAGACAAACAAAAAGACATCAGTAACCTCTGCAGACTTAAATGTCCCTGTCTGACAGCTTTGAAGAGAGCAGTGGTTCTCCCAGCACGCAGCTGGAGATCTGAGAATGGGCAGACTGCCTCCTCAAGTGGGTCCCTGACCCCTGACCCCCTAGCAGCCTAACTGGGAGGCACCCCCAAGTAGGGGCAGACTGACACCTCACATGGCCGGGTACTCCTCTGAGACAAAACTTCCAGAGGAATGATCGACAGCAGCATTCGCGGTTCACGAAAATCCACTGTTCTGCAGCCACCGCTGCTGATACCCAGGCAAACAGGGTCTGGAGTGGACCTCTAGCAAACTCCAATAGACCTGCAGCTGAGGGTCCTGTCTGTTAGAAGGAAAACTAACAAACAGAAAGGACATCCATACCAAAAACCCATCTGTACATCACCATCGTCAAAGACCAAAAGTAGATAAAACCGCAAAGATGGGGAAAAAACAGAGCAGGAAAACTGGAAACTCTAAAAAGCAGAGCGCCTCTCTTCCTCCAAAGGAACGCAGTTCCTCACCAGCAACAAAACAAAGCTGGATGGAGAATGACTTTGACAAGTTGAGAGAAGAAGGCTTCAGATGATCCAACTACTCCGAGCTACAGGAGGAAATTCAAACCAAAGGCAAAGAAGTTAAAAACTTTGAAAAGAATTTAGATGAATGTATAACTAGAATAACCAATACAGAGAAGTGCTTAAAGGAGCTGATGGAGCTTGCTGTATTCAGGAAACCCATCTCACATGCAGAGACACACATAGGCTCAAAATGAAAGGATGGAGGAAGATCTACCAAGCCAATGGAAAACAAAAAAAGGCAGGGGTTGCAATCCTAGTCTCTGATAAAACAGACTTTAAACCAACAAAGATCAAAAGAGACAAAGAAGGCCATTACATAATGGTAAAGGGATCAATTCAACAAGAAGAGCTAACTATCCTAAATATATATGCACCCAATACAGGAGCACCCAGATTCATAAAGCAAGTCCTGAGTGACCTACAAAGAGACTTAGACTCCCACACAATAATAATGGGAGATTTTAACACCCCACTGCCAACATTAGGCAGATCAACGAGACAGAAAGTTAACAAGGATACCCAGGAATTGAACTCAGCTCTGCACCAAGCGGACCTAATAGACATCTACAGAACTCTCCACCCTAAATCAACAGAATATACATTTTTTTCAGCACCACACCACACCTATTCCAAAATTGACCACATAGTTGGAAGTAAAGCTCTCCTCAGCAAATGTAAAAGAACAGAAATTATAACAAACTGTCTCTCAGACCACAGTGCAATCAAACTAGAACTCAGGATTAAGAAACTCACTCAAAACCGCTCAACTACATGGAAACTGAACAACCTGCTCCTGAATGACTACTGGGTACCTAACAAAATGAAGGCAGAAATAAAGATGTTCTTTGAAACCAATGAGAACAAAGACACAACATACCAGAATCTCTGGGACACATTCAAAGCAGTGTGTAGAGGGAAATTTATAGCACTAAATGCCCACAAGAGAAAGCAGGAAAGATCCGAAATTGACACCCTAACATCACAATTAAAAGAACTAGAAAAGCAAGAGCAAACACATTCAAAAGCTAGCAGAAGGCAAGAAATAACTAAAATCAGAGCAGAACTGAAGGAAAAAGAGACACAATAAACCCTTCAAAAAGTTAATGAATCCAGGAGCTGGTTTTTTGAAAGGATCAACAAAATTGATAGACTGCTAGCAAGACTAATAAAGAAGAAAAGAGAGAAGAATCAAATAGAAGCAATAAAGAATGATAAAGGGGATATCACCACTGATCCCACAGAAATACAAACTACCATCAGAGAATACTACAAACACCTCTATGCAAATAAACTAGAAAATCTAGAAGAAATGGATAAATTCTTCGACACATACACCCTCCCAAGACTAAACCAGGAAGAAGTTGAATCTCTGAATAGACCAATAACAGGCTCCGAAATTGTGGCAATAATCAATAGCTTACCAACCAAAAAGAGTCCAGGACCAGATGGATTCACAGCCGAATTCTACCAGAGGTACAAGGAGGAACTGGTACCATTCCTTCTGAAGCTATTCCAATCAACAGAAAAAGAGGGAATCCTCCCTAACTCATTTTATGAGGCCAGCATTATCCTTATACCAAAGCCGGGCAGAGACACAACCAAAAGAGAGAATTTTAGACCAATATCCTTGATGAACATTGATGCAAAAATCCTCAATAAAATACTGGCAAACTGAATCCAGCAGCACATCAAAAAGCTTATCCACCATGATCAAGTGGGCTTCATCCCTGGGATGCAAGGCTGGTTCAATATACGCAAATCAATAAATGTAATCCAGCATATAAACAGAACCAAAGACAAAAACCACATGATTATCTCAATAGATGCAGAAAAGGCCTTTGACAAAATTCAACAACGCTTCATGCTAAAAACTCTCAATAAATTAGGTATTGATGGGATGTATCTCAAAATAATAAGAGCTATCTATGACAAACCCACAGCCAATATCATACTGAATGGGCAAAAACTGGAAGCATTCCCTTTGAAAACTGGCACAAGACAGGGATGCCCTCTCTCACCACTCCTATTCAACATAGTGTTGAAAGTTCTGGCTAGGGCAATTAGGCAGGAGAAGGAAATAAAGGGTATTCAATTAGGAAAAGAGGAAGTCAAATTGTCCCTGTTTGCAGATGACATGATTGTATATCTAGAAAACCCCATTGTCTCAGCCTAAAATCTCCTTAAGCTGATAAGCAACTTCAGCAAAGTCTCAGGACACAAAATCAATGTACAAAAATCACAAGCATTCTTATACACCAATAACAAACAGAGAGCCAAATCATGAGTGAACTCCCATTCACAATTGCTTCAAAGAGAATAAAATACCTAGGAATCCAACTTACAAGGGACGTGAATGACCTCTTCAAGGAGAACTACAAACCACTGCTCAATGAAATAAAAGAGGACACAAACAAATGGAAGAACATTCCACGCTCATGGATAGGAAGAATCAGTATCGTGAAAATGGCCATACTGCCCAAGGTAATTTATAGATTCAATGCCATCCCCATCAAGCTACCAATGACTTTCTTCACAGAATTGGAAAAAACTACTTTAAAGTTCATATGGAACCAAAAAAGAGCCCGCATCGCCAAGTCAATCCTAAGCCAAAAGAACAAAGCTAGAGGCATCATGCTACCTGACTTCAAACTATACTACAAGGCTACAGTAACCAAAACAGCATGGTACTGGTACCAAAACAGAGATAGAGATCAATGGAACAGAACAGAGCCCTCAGAAATAATGCCGCATATCTACAACTATCTAACCTTTGGAAACCTGAGAAAAACAAGCAATGGGGAAAGGATTCCCTATTTCATAAATGGTGCTGGGAAAACTGGCTAGCCATATGTAGAAAGCTGGAACTGGATCCCTTCCCTACACCTTATACAAAAATTAATTCAAGACTGATTAAAGACTTAAACATTAGACCTAAAACCATAAAAACCCTAGAAGAAAACCTAGGCATTACCATTCAGGACATAGGCATGGGCAAGGACTTCATGTCTAAAACACCAAAAGCAAGGGCAACAAAAGCCAAAATTGACAAATGCGATCTAATTAAACTAAAGAGCTTCTGCACAGCAAAAGAAACTACCATCAGAGTGAACAGGCAATCTACAAAATGGGAGAAAATTTTCGCAACCTACTCATCTGACAAAGGGCTAATATCCAGAATCTACAATGAACTCAAACAAATTTACAAGAAAAAAACAACCCCATCAAAAAGTGGGCAAAGGACATGAACAGACACTTCTCAGAAGACATTTATGCAGCCAAAATCACATGAAAAAATTCTCACCATCACTGGCCATCAGAGAAATGCAAATCAAAACCACAATGAGATACCATCTCACACCAGTTAGAATGGCATCATTGAAAAGTCAGGAAACAACAGGTGCTACAGAGGATGTGGATAAATAGGAACACTTTTACACTGTTGGTGGGACTGTAAACTAGTTCAACCATTGTGGAAGTCAGTGTGGTGATTCCTCAGGGATCTAGAACTAGAAATACCATTTGACCCAGCAATCCCATTACAGGGTATATACCCAAAGGACTATAAATCATGCTGCTATAAAGACACATGCACATGTATGTTTATTGTGGCACTATTCACAATAACAAAGACTTGGAACCAACCCAAATGTCCAACAATGATAGACTGGATTACGAAAATGTGGCACATATACACCATGGAATACTATGCAGCCATAAAAAATGATGAGTTCATGTCCTTTTTAGGGACATGGATGAAATTGGAAATCATCATTCTCAGTAAACTATTGCAAGGACAAAAAACCAAACACTGCATGTTCTCACTCATAGGTGGGAATTGAACACTGAGAACACATGGACACAGGAAGGGGAACATCACACTCTGGGGACTGTTGTGGGGTGGGGGGAGGGGGGAGGGATAGCATTAGGAGATATACCTAATGCTAAATGATGAGTTAATGGGTGCAGCACACCAACATGGCACATGTATACATATGTAACTAACCTGCACATTGTGCACATGTACCCTAAAACTTAAAGTATAATAATAATAAAAAAAATGGTGGAGTAGAGAAGTCCCAAAGTCCATCCCTCCACAAAAACTGGCAAAAATTTTGAAGATCGAGTTTTTTAAAACTTGAAACTAATCAAAAGCTTACAGCAACCAGGGAAATATTTAATAATAATTAAATAAAACCTTGAATCTCTGTAAAATAACTTTTTAACACTTTAACTTACTCAGGTTTTCCTCATTTCCCATCTTGGTGGTGGTTTTAAAGACAGCTGACATTCCAACTACAGGTACATAGTACAAGTGGGAGCAGCATGGACCTTATTCCCAAAGAACTGTGGCTTTGACCTGTCTGGTGCTTCCATGAAGTATTACATAAAAGGCTTGCCATTAGTTTGTTTAACTCAGAACTTTTTCACAGATGAGATGGCTACCCTGGAGGTATAGTTTGGAAACATTTAAAAGCAAATGTTTTTATTGCTGCCACCTGGGGAAAGGCATAATAGTTGGGGCAAACAATAGAGTAACCAAAAAGCTGAGAAAGAAAGGCTGGGGAAAGAGTTATTTTGGGGAATACCCTTTGAAAAGTACCCACATATTCCTGGTAATCTAGAAGGCCAACTGCATGCCCAGGACTGAGTGCATACTAAAAAAAAAAAAAAAACCTGAGAAAGACCCCAAGTTTTCTTCTCGGAGTGACTTTTAGGATCTGTGTAAGCAGGAACTGAGGACTAAGGAAGTTGTAAACTGTGTGTTGAAGGCATGCTCAACATATACGAAGCCCATTTACAAAGACTGGGAGGTTTTTGTTGTTGTTGTTGTTTGATTTGGGTTGATTCTAGGCATTTAAGGAAATCTCTGTTGAACTATTAGATGACTACTAAGTTCATGGGACAGAATTCAGTAGCTACATGTGACGAAGAATACAGACTTTACAAAATTTGTTTAGAAAAGTCACTAACTAAACAAAACAACTACAACAAGAAGTAACAAAAAACCCCAGAGAAGGTGGAAGATTCTGATTTCCAGAGATTTCACATTATACTTGTCAAAGTATCGGATATTCAACAAGTATAAATAAATAAGAACATATGGCCCATGGACAGGAGAAAAGGAAATTAATAGAAACTATTCCTGAGGAAGCTCAGACATTGGACTCACTAGACAAAGATTTTATATCAATTATTTTAAATATTCTCAAATAGCTAAAGGAAACAATTTGCAAATAAGGAAACCATGAGACTGATGTCTCACCAAATAGTGAATACCAGCAAAGATGTAGAAGTTATAAAAAGGAACCAAAGAGAAATTATGGTGTTGAAAAGCATAATAACTGAAATGAGAAATTCGCAAGAAGTGTTCAAATCAGATTTGAGCAGGCAAAAGAAAGAATTCATGAAACTGAAAATAGGTCAATTGAGATTATGCTGAAGATCAGGGAAAAAAAAGAATGAATAAAAATGAGCAGAGCCTCAGAAACCTGTGGGACTGTTATGCATAGTTGGAGTCCCAGAAGAGAGGAGAGAAGGGGACAGAAAGAATGCTTAAGGAAATAATGGTTTAAAACTTTTGAAATTTGACAAAAGGCATAAAGCTATACATCAAAGAAGCTCAACAAACTCTATGTAAGTTAACAGAGAGCCACACCAAGTTATAATTAAACTATTAAAAGCCAAAAATAATCTTAAAAGTAGCAAGAGTGAAGTGACTTATGTACAAGAGAGCCTCAATAAGTTAACAGCTAATTTTTCATCAGAAATCATGGAAGCCAGAGAGCAATGGGATGACATCTTCAAAGTAATTGAATAATCCACAAAGAATTTTGTATCTGGCCAAACTATCTTTCCAATATGAAGAAGAATTTAAGACATTCTCAGACAGACAAAAACTGAGCTTATCTCTAGTAGATCTTACCTACAAAAAATGACAAAGGGACTTCTTCAAGCTGAAATGAAGGGACATTAGACAATAACTTGAACCCAGACAAAGACATAAAAAAAGCACTCATCAAAGAACTACCTATTTTTGGTTTGTAACTCTTCTTTTTTTTCTAAAGTTTTAAAAGATAATAGCATAAACCAATAATTGTATATAAAAAAAGAAATCAATCTTAGTTTAAAACTCAAGTGTGCAAAGAATAGCACATAGTATTTTCTATAACACTAAATATTGGCTTTGCATTCCCATTCCTGTGGGCTGGAGGTAAATTTGTTATCTTTCAGGAAAGGCATCCACACTGATTAATGCTGAAAGTCCATTACCCAGTCTAGTCAAATTCATATATTGAGGACATTTGAAATATTCTGCCCACTCCCAGCACGTGCACGTGCACACACACACACACACACACACACACATCTTTCTTTAAATATATAGAAACGTTAAAGTGTCAATAACAATTTAAGTGTTAGTTTTTAAATGGTGGATTAAAAACTAATTTTCTCCCTTCTCTTAGAAACTCATCCTTCTTTAAGTCAAAAACCACAAGGAGAATGAAAAATAGACAAATAATTTGCAATGAAACTAGAGACATCAAATAGCTTGGACTACAATCTATGAGGAAGGACTGCCAAATATAGTGAAAGTCAAGCAGGAATGTGAGAAAGGATGCCTAGGGAAGCAGACCTTACATGAAGGGAGGTGGTACTTTTCCAAAGAAAGTACCCCATCCTGTTGGCCACAACCCACAAGCCCTGGTACAGAACAAAGAGAACAGGCAAGCAGGCTTAAGCTGGAGTAACCCATTTGTTATACAGATTTGAGATATGGGAAAGGTGAAGTTGAACAAGGACAAATATGCCATATTTTCAGAAAGCAGTCTGTTGCTGAGGTAGAATGGAGGAGAGAGACTCTGCATTGCAAACAACCCTGCAGTGTTGATCATGGGGAAAAAAGAACCCATGCAAACATTGTTTTATAAAGAAAATAGCCTCAAATATAACCCTGCCTCCATCCTCATACAAGTCTCTTGCAAATAGCTGATTCAGGAAGAACTCACCTCATTCAAAGGTGTTTAAAGAAATACAAAATAAATAGCATCTATAAAACAACAAAATGGGAGAAAATGTCCAAAGCAAAGCACAGAAAGTTATGGAGTTAGAAGATATGAAAAAGAAATTAATAGAAATAAAGACTGGAGTGAGAAGCGTCAACATCTGTCTGATAGGAATTTCAGAAAAAGAGGCTACAGAGAATGGTTGAAAGGCAACATTCAAAGAGAAGATGGCCGTATTAGGTCCAGACAGGCAAGACCCAGGTTTGGGGAGATCAGGCATCAGCAATAGGGAACACAGGCTATGTGAGAAACTATGGAGCAAAGGGCTACAGACTCAATCAAAAGCATTTTCACAACAAAAGTGAGAATGTAGACATGGAATGAGGGCAATATAAATAGTTATTAATGAGAATGGAATTTGATCATGAGGCAAAGAATGTTTAGCCATGTTCCCCTGGCTAGAATAAATCTGAATATAAGGGAAACTAAGCCCATAAGGAGAGGTAAATGTAAACTTCTAACGAGGAATGGGCAGGGTTAGGAATGAGGAACAGAGCAGTTCTGGATACTCCAATTCTCAAGTGGATATATAGCAGATGGAAATTGCTCTGGCCTTCAGGATAGAGTTCTTTGAATTCCCTGATTTCACCAGTGACTTGAGTGTCAGAGCAAGTTCGTACTCCTCTGAGCTCCAGTTTTCCTCTCAAGAACAGAAGAGTAACCTCTGGACAAACTCTCAGGGATTTTGCCTCAGAATACATCTTCTGTCTATATTTAAGTTTTTTATCCTTCAGAGGAAGATGATATGCAAGTTGAAAAGTAGAAGCTAGGGACTTCTAGTTGCACTTTGTCCTGGTCCCATAAATGTAGTGGAGGTCCAGATGTGAGCAGCTCTTGGGCAGAGCCTCTATGTTATTCATTTCTATGACCCAGGAAGTATGGGCATAGAAACAAAGCTGCCATCACTGAATGTTTATTTACACCATTAGACCTTTAGGCACTGAGATTGAAGCCACTTCTGGTGGCCACTTCTGGTGGCTATTCATCAAATAGTAGCCCACCCTGGAAGGCATTATATAGCATTCTGCAAAGCAGGATATTATTCAGTATAAAAATTCTGGCTCTGGGCTGGGCGTGGTGGCTCATGCCTGTAATCTCAGCACTTTGGGAGGCCAAGGTGGGTGGATCACTTGAGGTCAGGAGTTCGAGACCAGCCTGGCCAACATGGTGAAACTCTGTCTCCACTAAAAATACAAAAAATTAGCCAGGCATGGTGACGCATGCCTGTAATCCCAGCTACTCGGGAGTCTGAGACAGAAGACTCGCTTGAACCTGGGAGGCAGAGGTTGCAGTGAGCCAAGATCATGCCATTACACTCCAGCCTGGGCGACAGAGTGAGACTTTGTCTCAAAAAAAAAAAAAAAAAAAAAAAAATTCTGGCTCCGGAGTCAAATGGCTTCAGTTTAGTATTATTAATTTTTTGAGATAGGGTCTTACTTTGTCGCCCAGGCTAGAGTGCAGTGGCATGATCTAGGCTCACTGCAGCCTTAACAGTCCAGGTTCAAGCGATTCTCCAGCCTCAGCCTTCCGAGTAGCCGGGATTACAGGCACGTGACACCACACCCAGTTTTTGTTTTTGTTTTTGTTTTTTCCGGTAGAGACAGGGTTTCACCATGTTGCTCACGCTGGTCTCAAATTCCTGGGCTCAAGCGATCAAGCTTTGCCTTGGCCTCCCAAAGTGCTGGGATTACAGGCGTGAGCCATCATGCTTGGCCTACAGCTTCCATTTTTTCAAAAATTGAGGTAAAAGTCATACAACATAAAATTAATCTTTTAAGATGTACAATTCAGTGGCATTTAGTGCGTTCACAATGGTGTATAATAATCACCTCTATCTAGTTTCAAAACATTTTCGTCCTCCCAAAAGGAAACCCCATGACCAGTCACTTCCAGTGATATGAGCAGTCACTCCCCATATCTCCTTCTCTCCAGCCCTGGCAACCAATGATCTGCTGTCTCTATAGACTTACCTATTCTGTATATTTGATATAAATGGAATCGTGTAATATGTGACCTTTTGTGTCTGGGTTTTTTCACTTAGCATAATGTTTTTGAGGTTCATCCATGTTGTAGCATGTATGAATACTTTATTCCCTTTTCTGACTGAATAATCTTCCATTGTATGAATATGGCACACTTTTCCATTCATTAGTTAATGTGCATTTGGATTGCTTCCACCTGTGCCTATTGTGAATAGTGCTGCTATTAACATTTAGGTACAAGTTTTTGTTTGACTATCTGTTTTCAGTTCTTTTGGGTATATTCCTAGAAGTGGAATTGGTAGGTCTGTCTTATGGTAGTTTTTTGTTTAATTTTTTGAGGAACTGCCAAACTGATTTCCACAGTGGTTGCACCAATTTATATTCTCAATTAACAATGTACAAGAGTCCATTTCTCTGTATCACCAATACTTATTGTTTTCCATTAAAAAATTACGGCAATACAAGTGAGTGTGAAGTGGTATTTCACTGTGGCTTCGATTTGAATTTTCCTAATGACTAGTAATACTAAGTATCTTTCCATGTGCTTGTTGGTCATTTGTTTATCTTCTTTGCATAATTGTCTATTCAAGTCCTTTGTCCATTTTAAAAATTGGGTTGTTTATTTTTTGCTATTGAGTTGTAAGAGTTCTTTATTCTGGATAATAGACCTTATCTGGTATAGGATTTGCAAATATTTTCTTCCATTCTGTGAGTTGTCTTTTCACTCTTTTGCAAAAAGAAAACTAAAAATAGTTTGTTTTTTGTGATGTCTTTATCTGTCTTTAGGACCAAGATAAGCTATCCTCACAGAATGAATTAGGAAGTGTTCCCTCTTGTTTTTTTGGAAGAGTTTGAGAAGGATTGATATTAATTCTTTAAATAGTGGGCAGGATTACCAGTGAAACCGTCTGGTCCTGGGCTTTTCTTTGTTGGGAGGATTTTGATTACTGATCTACTCTCTTTACTTTTGTAGGTCTGTTCAGATTTTCTGTTTCTTCTTGAGTCAGTTTTGGTAGTTGGTGTGCTTCTGGAAATTTTCCATCTCATCTGGGTTGTTCATTTGTTGGCATACAATTGTTCATAGTTTCTTATAATCCTTTTTTATTTCTGTAAGATCTGTACTAATTTACCCACTTTCATTTCTGATTTTAGTAATTTAAATCTTCTCTCTTTTTTTCTTCATCAGTCTACTTAATGGTTTCTAAATTTTGTGGATTTTCCCTCCAAAGAATCGCATTTTTATTTCATTACTTTTTCTTTTTTTTTTTTTTTTTTTTTTTTTTTGAGACGGAGTCTCACTCTGTTACCCAGGCTGGAGTGCAGTGGCGCGATCTTGGCTCACTGCAAGCTCTGCCTCCTGGGTTAACTCCATTCTCCTGCCTCAGCCTCCCGAGTAGCTGGGACTACAGGCGCCTGCCACCACGCCTGGCTGATTTTTTATCTTTTTAGTAGATTGTTTTTCTATTTTCTATTTTGTTTCTTTTCTTTTGCCTTTTTTTTTTTTTTTTTTTTTTTGAGACATGGCCTCACTCTGCTGCCCAGGCTACAGTGCAGTGGAACAATCATGGCCCACTGCAGCCTGGACCTCCCAGGCTCACGTGATTCTCCCACCTCAGTCTCCCAAATAGCTGGAATTACAGGTGCATGCACCACACCTAACTTTTTTTTTTCTTTTTAGATGGAGTCTCGCTCTGTCGCCCAGGCTGGAGTACAATGGCACGATCTCAGCTCACTGCAACCTCCCCCTCCCAGGTTCAAGCAATTCTCCTGCCTCAGCCTCCCGAGTAGCTGGGATTACAGGTGCTCGCTACCACGCCCAGCTAATTTTTGTATTTTTAGTAGAGATGGGGTTTCACCACATTGGCCAGGCTGGTCTTGAACTCCTGACCTCAGGTGATCTGCCCACCTCGGCCTCCCAAAGTGCTAGGATTACAGGCATGAGCCACCACACCTGGCCTTTTAAAAAAATTATTATTTATAATTTTTAGTAGAGATGACATCTTACTGTGTTGCCCAGGCTGGTCTCAAACTCCTGGGTTCAAGTGATCCTTCTGCTTTGGCCTCCCAAAATGCTGGGATTACAGGCATGAGCCACCATGCTCTGCCTCTATTCTTTACTCTTTCCTTCTGCTATCTTTGGTTTAGCTTGTACCTCTCTTTCCAGTTCTAGGGAAAATTTTGGCTATTGATTTGTGGTCTTTCTTTTTTGATGTAGGTGTTTATAGCTATAACTTTCCTTGTTAGCACTATTTTCACTGTATCCCATAAGTTTTGACATGCTGTGTGTTTTTGTTTATTTGTTTTTGAGACAGGGTCTTGTTTTGTCACCCATGCTGGAGTGTGTAGATGTGATCTTGACTCACTGCAACCTCCACTTCCTGGGTTCAGGTGATCCACCTACTTCAGCCTTCCCAGTAGCTGGGACCACGGACATGTTCCATTATGGCCAATTTTTTTTTTTTCTTTTTGTATTTTTGGTAGAGACAGGGTTTCACTAGGTTGCCCAGGCTGGTCTCAAGCTCCTGAGCTCAAGTGATTGGCCTGCCTCAGCCTCCCAAAGTGCTGGGATTAGAGGTGTGAGCCACTGTGCACAGCCTGTATTTTTGTTTTTACTCATCTCAAAGTATTTTCTAATATTACTTATAATTTCTTCTTTGACCAATTAGTTAAGAGTGTGTTGTTTAATTTTCACATATTTATGAATTTTCCAGTTTTTCTTCTGTTATTGATTTCTAGTTTCATTCCATTGTAGTCAGAGATATTTTGTACGATTTTTTAGAACTATTTCTATCTTCACATCTGTCTCTTTTTGCTACACGTATTTTGAGGCTCTGTTGTTGGGTGTGTATATGTTTATAATTGTTTTATCTTCTTGATTGATTGACCTTTATATCATATCCTTGATAATATCCTTCTTTGTATTCTTGTAACAAGTTTAACAATTTTTATCTTAAAGTCTATTTTACTTGATATTAGTAGAGCTACTCCATCTTTTTTGGGTAACTATTTGTATGGATTGTCTTTCCAACTTTTTACTTTCAACTTGTTTGTGTATTTGGTTCTAAGGTGAGTCTCCTGTAGACAGCCTATAGTTGGGTCATATTATTTTTATCCATTTTCCTAATCTGTGCCTTTTAATCAGAAGTTAATCTATTTCGTCTAAAGTAATTACTGATAAAGACTTACCTATGCCATTTTGTTATTTTCTGTATGTGCTTTTTTGTTTCTAAATTCCTTCATTACTTCCCTTTTTTGTGATTAACTGATTTTTTTCTAGCATAACATTTTGATTCTTCTCTTTTCTTTTTCTTTATATTGCTTAGTAGTTTTTTCTTTAGTAGTTACCCAGGGGGTTATAATTAGTCAACTTTATAACGATCTAGGGTGAATTAATGCCAACTTAGTTTTAATAGTACAAAGCAAAAAATTTTACTATAAAAACTCTGCTCCTTTTCAGCTCTGTTTTCTCCTTTTTGTTGTTATTATCACCAATTATCTCTTTATACATTGCATATCCATTAACACACATAACTATTGTTTTGTGCATTTGTCTTTTATATTGAATAGGGGAAAAAGAGGAGTTAGAAACCAAAAACTGCAATATTGGACTTTACCTATGTAGCTACTTTTTCACTGGTCTCTACTTCTTTATATGGCTTGGAGATACTTCCTAGTTTCCTTTCATTTCAACATGTAGGACTCCTTTTAGCATTTCTTCTAGAGCAGATCTACTAGCATTTTTTGTAGATTAAGACTACTAGACAACTCCTTCAGTTTTTGTTTATCTGGGAATGTCTTAATTCCTCTTTTCATGAATATATAATTCTTTATTTTTAAAAAATTTTAATTAAAAAAAAGTAGAAACAGGGTCTTGCCATGTTGTTCCTGGGCTCAAATGATCTGCCCACCTTGGCCTCCCAAAGTGTTGGGATTACAGGTGTGAGCTACTGTGCCTGGCTGGATACAGAACTCTTAGTTAACAGTTTTTTTCTTTCGGCAGTTCAGATATGTCATCTCTCTCCTTCTTGGCTTTCATATTTTCTGAAAAGAAATCAGCTAGTAATCTTACTGAGAATCCCTTGTATGTGAAGAGTCATTTCTCTCTTGCTGCTTTCAAGATTCCTTCCTTGTCATTGGACACTTCAATTATAATGTGTCTCATTGTGGATCTCTTTGAATTTATCCTGCTTGGAGTTTGTTGAGCTTCTTGGATGTAAAATTTCATCATATTTTGGAAGTTTTCAGCCATTACTTTTTCAAAAATTTTTTTTTTTGAGACAGAGTTTCACTCTTGTTGCCCAAGCTGGGGTGCAGTGGAGTGATCTCAGCTTACTATAACCTCCACCTCCCAGGTCAAGCAATTCTCCTGTCTCAACCTCCCAAGTAGCAGGGATTACCAGTGCCTGCCGCCATGACCAGCTAATTTTTTGTATTTTTAGTAGAGACAGGGTTTCACCATGTTGGCCAGGCTGGTCTCTAACTCCTGACCTCAGGTGGTCCACCTGCCTCGGCACCCCAAAGTATTGGGATTACAGGCTTGAGCCGCAGTGCCCGGCTGCTTCAAACATTCTTTCTGCATTTTTCTCCTTTCTTTCTGAAATTCTTATTATGTCTGTTTGATAGTGTCTTGTGGATCTCTTAGGCTCAGTTCATTGTTGGTCATTCCTTTTTTTTTTTTTTTTTCTGAGATGGAGTGTCATTGTTGTTGCCCAGGCTAGAGTGCAATGGCGTGGTCTTGGCTTACTGCAACCTCTGCCTCCTGGGTTCAAGCAATTCTTCTGCCTCAGCCTCCCAAGTAGCTAGGATTACAGGCGCCTGCCACCACACCCAGCTAATTTTTGTATTTTTAGTAGAGATTTTTAGTAGAGATGGCTAACCATCCTGTGTTAGCCAGGATGGTCTAAATCTCCTGACCTCGTGATCTGCCCGCCTTGGCCTCCCAAAATGCTGGGATTACAGGCATGAGCCACTGCGCCTGGCCTGAAATGTGTTTTTTTAAAAAGGAGTGAAGGGGACCCTGGATGGTTGACGATATCACACTACTGACTAAGGAATCTGATTGATTTTCCAATTCTTTGTATATAATTTCTAGAAAACAAAAATAAAATAAAGGTAATAACTAGTAGAGCAGAAGTTGAAAAATAAAACTTTCAAAAGACACTTGGGGAAAGTGGGTAAAGAGAGAGATGTACAACAAAGTACATTTCTTTGATTTAGTACTGTTTCTTCCTCTGCCTTGATTCTTTATTAAAGTTTAAATAGCATCATACGCTATAATTTCAGAAAACACTCAAGTTACTGGTTCACTTTCAAAGGAGAGATTATGTGCTTTTACTTTAGTTGTACCAATTTTCAGCTCCTTTAGGAATGGCGCCATCATCCTGGAGTGTTAAAATGGGCAACAAGAAAGATAAACTCATTTTAGCTGTTCTTTTCTAAAGGTATCCACCAACCCCTCCTCCAACATCGATCCAGGCGACTATGTTGAAATGAATGATTCAATCACCCACCTACCCTCTAAAGTGGTGATACAAGATATTACTATGGAGCTACACTGCCCTCTGTGCAATGATTGGTTCCGAGACCCACTGATGCTAAGCTGTGGCCACAACTTCTGTGAAGCCTGTATCCAAGACTTTTGGAGGCTGCAAGCAAAGGAAACATTCTGTCCTGAGTGTAAGATGCTATGTCAGTATAACAACTGTACATTCAACCCTGTACTGGACAAGTTGGTAGAGAAGATTAAGAAGTTACCCTTACTCAAGGGCCATCCACAGTGCCCAGAGCATGGAGAGAACCTGAAACTGTTCAGTAAACCAGATGGGAAACTGATCTGCTTTCAATGCAAGGATGCTCGGTTGTCTGTGGGGCAGTCTAAGGAGTTCCTGCAAATCTCTGATGCTGTCCATTTCTTCACGGTGGGTGAGCCCTGGGCCTTGAACAATCCCTTAGAAAAACTAGGAAAAATATTTCATAGGGCTTCTTCTTTCTTCCAACCCCATCCCTTTATTCAAATGATGATTAGAAAGCCCAGACTGCTCAGAAAGTACAACGTATCTTGCAAAGTTCTTTTTCTAGAGTTGCTGCTTATAGGAAAGGAACAGTGGAGGAGCCCTGGCTTACTCCCTCAATCAAATCTGTACCTAAACTCTGCCATGGTAGCACTCTGCTAAACACTGTGTAGAATATGGATAGATAAGATATTGCTCTTGTTATAAAAAATTCAAAATTTGGTTAAGTTTAAAATGAAGAAAACAACAGAAGCAATATTAAGATAGCCTCGTGTTAAAAGTTAAATTTTGTCACATTTGTAATTCTTAAGGGTTTAGAATTTCTGAGACTATTAGAGAAAAATGAAATAGGGGACATATAGTGAAAGAAAGGGAAAGGACTTGAACTGGGAAATCATTTGGATTTTGAAGGGCAGAAGGAAGAAACAAATGTTCCAAGTGAGAACAACACAAGTAAAATGATAGATGCTGAGAACAGTATATAACTAGAGTGGAAAATGTGTAGAGTTCTATTCCCTTCTTCAAATCCCTGTAGCTAGCTACTAAGAGAGAAAAACTAAGTTTTAAGCTGTAATTTACTCCATAATTCTTTTTTTTTCTTTGTTTTGAGATGGGTCTCACTATGTTGCCCAGGCTGGTCTCAAACTCCTGGGCCCAAGTGATCCTCCCATCTCAGTCTCCCAAAGTGCTGAGATTACAGATGTGAGCTGCCACACCCGGCCTTTTCTTTTCTTTTTCACAATTCTTGAACGAGACAAGAACTATGATACAGGGGAAGGGGAAGATTTTTGCAGCAAGAGCTTGCTTTTTTCTTGCACACTGGGGCCTTGGGGAAGATGTCCTTTATGGTCCTTCATCTCCCGAGTTAGTCTGGGTTAATTCTATTTGATATTCCCAGGAGGAGCTTGCCATCCAACAGGGTCAACTGGAGACAACTCTGAAGGAGCTTCAGACCCTGAGGAACATGCAGAAGGAAGCTATTGCTGCTCACAAGGTGAGGAGCAAGAAAGAGGGGTTATGAGATAGAACTGGAACACACCCTCCATGTAACTTCAGCTATGGGTACAAAGGTGCCTAACATATATTATCTACACACTAAATGGTACCTAGGCTATGGAATTGGAAAACTGAGTCTGTAGGGTGGAAAGGAATATGGTGGTGGAGTAGGTTCCTAATAGCTGATCAACAGAGCAGATTAACCTTTCCCCTAATATGCTGATCTTTTCGATAGTTCAGTCACCAGGTGACTGTCGTGGCGTTGAAATGTGTCTGGTCTTTGGCTTTATCTATGGCAAAAAAAAAAAAGGAACTTATTAGAAAAAAATCAATCACTAAAGATTGCTATGTCCAAAGAAATACCTTTATTTCCTTTGAGTTTATAACCAGACACCTCTGGACTAGGTCTCTAAGGTCATAGGCTTTTCCCAGCTGATTTGATCTTCTTAGCTTCCTCCAAGCTAAATAAAGCTATTGTCTGCACTTTCAACTTCATAGGCACTCTAGGACAACATTAATGGCTAGAGCTTTGGCAAATCAGTCCCTAGATTGGGGGTGCTAAATTGGAAGTTCTGTTTCTTTATTCATTATTCTATGGAGAAGAGCCTTCTCAGGTATTTGGCATCTGGAAGAAAAAAATATGCAGACTCAGGGAAAGAAGAAGGATATATGGAAGTAATGATGTCTTCAGAAAATCTTGTTCCTTTTGTAAAAGTTCCTATTAGTGTGAGCATTCATTCATTCATTTAACAAATATTTATTGAGTGGGTCAGGCATAATACTAGATATTGGGGATGGGAGACAGCTGTTAATTAAATAATCCCATGAGTAATAATAAAATAACAACTGTGATAAGTACTATAACTGAAAGTATAGGGTATGATGATAGCATATAAATGGAGAACATAATCTAGACTGGGGGAGGGGTGTTCTCTGAAGAAGTCACATTAAAAATTGAGAATTGAAGGATAAGTAACTTATCCAAGTGAACTGGGTGAGTGGGGATATGAAGGAGGTAGCCTGGAGAAGAATGTTCTAGGAATAGAAAAGAGTATCTGGAAAAGTCCTGAGATGGAAAGTTAGCTGCTATGTTAAACAGAGAAAAGGCCAATAAAGCTGGAACATGCTAAGCAAGATGATATTGATGAGGTGGATATGGGCTCACTGTAACCTCATACTCTTGGGCTCAAGAGATCTTCCCACCTCAGCCTCCTGAGTATCTGGGACTAGTTTGCCACACATGGCTAATTATTTTATTTTTGGAGAGACTGGGTCTCACTATGTTGCCCAGTCTTGAACTCCTGTTCCAAGCAATCCTCCCAGCTTGGCCTCTATAAGTGTTGGAATTACAGGTATGAGCCACTGTGCCCAGCCAAGACTATCTTAAGGTGCAATAATAATTATGGACCATGGGATCCAAGCTAGATAAGAGAGGACATGAAGGTAGAAGTTCCTGAATAGAAATGGAGGGATCGGTGAATAGGAGGTTTCAATGAGATCCAATAATTGTTGCAATAGGAGTATCTGAGTGAGCCTGGTGCATAAAAAGTTATTTTGGAGATGATACAATTGCTGGGGGTGATAAAATCCTAGGTGAGACTATAGGAATGAATCAATAAATGTGGAAATCACTAGAAATGAGGAGAATGAGGAACTGAGAAGCCAGGATGTCAAATAGTTTAACTGTGAGGATGTTGAGGTAACCCAAGGAAAAAGCTGCAAGTGTAACAGTGGCATTCCCCCAGTTCTGATTTCTAGGTAAGGACAGTTCTTCCAGCCTCCCAATACCCCCAGTCTAACAGTACCACTTGGCAGCTTTTGGATTACCAATCTAGGAGGGTATTATCTTTCATTCTAGAATGTTTGACTAACTCCACAGTCTTATTTAATATGGCATTGGTTACCATCTCAGTACTGCAATAGGAAACTGGAGGTCACTTTTGCCTATTTCATCCTGAACTATTAAATTAGTTGGAAAAGGAGTAAGTCTCCCAAAGGACTCATTTTAGTATGACTGAATTTGATATTCAGTAGCCATTTGTATGCATTTTTCTGTGATGGTATTTACCAAGTGTGTGAGTGTTGGTGGTGTGGGCCCCCATCCCCAAGCACTAGTCTCTGCAATAACCATGGTGATAATCATGGAGGTTTCCAGGAAAACAAGCTACATCTGCAGCAACATGTGTCCATGGAGTTTCTAAAGCTGCATCAGTTCCTGCACAGCAAAGAAAAGGACATTTTAACTGAGCTCCGGGAAGAGGGGAAAGCCTTGAATGAGGAGATGGAGTTGAATCTGAGCCAGCTTCAGGAGCAATGTCTCTTAGCCAAGGATATGTTGGTGAGCATTCAGGCAAAGACGGAACAACAGAACTCCTTCGACTTTCTCAAAGTGAGAATCCACACCAATATGATTATGGGTACCTTCCTACCTAGAGGGGGGAAGAGGTTTGGAAAGAATGCGGAAGTGGCTTTTCACATCCAGGGAAAACAAAACAAAACAAAACAAAACTGTTATAGTGCTTTTAAGATTCTCTGGAAGAAAAGGAGGAGGCTGCTTCAGCTATACGCACAGCAGAAAGCTTTACTTTCATCCTCTTAGGAAATACGATTTTTAAATTCCATTAATAATAGTATATAGTAATGGTTTAATATTTTTCCATAAAGAGCTTGATGCTTTATTTCTCAAAAATAAAAATGTTGCAGCCTGAGTTGTATCTTTGGCTCTCAGCAATCATAAGCTGACCTGTCTGAAAAGCTGTTTTCTAACCTTTGCTTTCTTAAGCTTCACCTCTAAAGAAGCGTTGGTTACCATCTCAGCACTCAGAAGTTTAATTAGCTAGAGTAAGGAAAAGTGGCCTTGGGACTGGGATACCTAATGTGTTTTTCTTCTGAGACTATTTGAAAGTATAGGTAAAGATAGCTTAACCTTAAGTATTGTCTTATTGGCTTCTGTCTTGCTCCCTGTAGAAGAGAACTCTAGAAAGAGCAAAAGATCAATTTAACCTGGGTTAGGATCAGGGATGAAGATTAGAAAAAGTGTATGAAGGATGAAAGAAGTTGGTAGAGATGAGTTCGGGACCATCTGCACAAATTCTGGTGGTGGCTGGTATCACCAAAGAAATTTTGAGAGTTGATGAACGGGCATCTGATGTCTCTCTTTCTCCTTTCTTCTAGGACATCACAACTCTCTTACATAGGTAAGTGTTTCCCTATGGTACTATTAATATCATTCCTTGAGTCTCTGGAGGATGTCTAAGGATAAATGATTTATGTGCCCTGCAGCTTGGAGCAAGGAATGAAGGTGCTGGCAACCAGAGAGCTTATTTCCAGAAAGCTGAACCTGGGCCAGTACAAAGGTCCTATCCAGTACATGGTATGGAGGGAAATGCAGGACACTCTCTGCCCAGGTATCAGTGGGTAGTAACTATTGGTTCTTGAGGCTCCTAATCTACGTTTAATCTGTGGGACTTCTTCTGTGGCCCTAATTAAGTTTTTACAGTCTGGGATAGGGAAGGGGTACAGTTTGGCCAAAAGGAGGCTAGTTGGTATGACTGAATTTCTTCTAGTACCATGACCTAAGAATTTATGACTTTGTGCTGGTAAATAGATATGAGTTTGATATCAGGATTACTTCTTAGCATATGATTTTGACTGATTTATGAAATGTGGCAACAGCCAAAATTTTATCTTGTTTTGCTAAATCAGCTATATGAATCCCAGGGGCTTCTCTGAAGAAGGAGGAGGTTTCTGAACATACTCTTTTTATGTACACTGGGTCTTTACAGTTTCTTTTGTGCTTGATGTTCATAGCGTAGAACATTTTAGAAGATTGTTTAGATCTTCAGTGCTTCAGAAGAAAACCAATAATTTAAATAAACATACCTAAGAAGGACACTAAGTTTTTGTGTTCCTGTAGATACCAAAGGACTGAGCAAGATAAAATAACACACATGGCATTTCAAGAACATCAAATAAAGTTCTAAATAAAAATCTTTATAGAAATAAAATTCTAAATAGAGTTTTTATAGAATTCATAGACTCATCATTATTATTATTGTTTATGGTTATTGATTTAATGAGAAATCACAAATATATCCCTGATTTAATGAAAAATCGCAAATTTTTCCAGGTAATTGACATTGAAGAAAAATCAACTATACTGAGATATAGTTAACATAGAGTAAAATTATCCAATTTTAAGGGCACAATTTGATGAGTTCTGATGTATATATACACTTAGGTAAACCTCTCCATAATCAAAATATAGAAGATTTTTATCACTCCAAAAAGTTCCTACATGCCCCTTTGAAATCAATCTCTTCCTTCTACTCTCAGCCTCTAACATTCACTGACATGTTTTATTTCACTTTAAATGTGTCTTTTCTAAATTTTTGTCTAAGTGATAGCATACATTATGTAGTGTTTTGTGTCTTCTGGTTTTTTTCACTTAGCATAATTTTTTTTTTTTTTGAGATGGAGTCTCGCTCTGTTGCCCAGGCTGGAGTGCAGTGGTGCCATCTCTGCTCACTGCAAGCTCTGCCTCCAGGGTTCATGCCATTCTCCTGCCTCAGCCTCCCGAGTAGCTGGGACTACAGGCGCCTGCCACCATGCCCGGCTAATTTTTTTATATTTTCAGTAGAGACGGGGTTTCACCCTGTTAGCCAGGATGGTCTCGATCTCCTGACCTCGTGATCTGCCCGCCTCAGCCTCCCAAAGTGCTGGGATTACAGGTATGAGCCACTGCGCCAGGCCGCATAATGCTTTTTGAGCACTTATGTTGTTCCATGTATCAATAATCATGATTATTTATTCAGTTTACTTATTCATTTCCCAGTTGATGGACATGGGGTAGTCCATGGTAGTTTTATCCATCCTGCAATTAGTGAAAATCCCAGTTTCTCTATATCCTTTCCAAAACTTGATATTGTCAATCTTTTTAATTTAAACCATTTTATTGAATGTATAGTAGTATCTTATTGTGGTTTTAATTTGTATATCTCTTGTTTTGGTGGGAGGGTGGGACAGAGTCTCACTCTGATGTCCAGGCTAGAGTACAGTGGTGCATCTCAACTCACTGCAACCTCTGCCTCCGAAGCTCAAGTGATTCTTGCGCCTCAGACTCCCCAGTAGCTGGAATTACAGGCGCGCACTGCCATGCCTAGCTAATTTTTGTATTTTTAGTAGAGATGAGGTTTTGCCATGTTGGCCAGGCTGATCTTGAACTCCTGGCCTTAAGTGATCCATCCACCTCAGCCTCCTAAAGTGTTGAAATTACAGGCATGAGCCGTGGTGCCCGGCTGCATATCCCTAATGAGCAATCCTGTTGAGCGTCCTTTCAGGTGCTTCCTTGCCATTCATATATTTTTTTGGTTGTGTTCAAACTTTTGTCTATATTTTTGTTAAATTGTTGTATTATTAAGTTGTAAAGGATACAAATCCTTTATCAGATATATGTTTCTTAAATATTTTTTCTCACTCCATGGCTTGCCTTTTCAATTTATTTTTATTTATTTATTTTTTTGAGATGGAGTCTCACTCTGTCACCCAGGCTGGAGTGTGGTGCAATCTCGGCTCACTGCAAGCTCCGCCTCCCAGGTTCACGCCATTCTCCTGCCTCAGCCTCCCAAATAGCTGGGACTACAGGTGCCCGCCACCACGCCCGGCTAATTTTTTTGCATTTTTAGTAGAGATGGGGTTTCACCATGTTAGCCAGGATGGTCTCGATCACCTGACCTCGTGATCTGCCCGCCTCGGCCTCCCAAAGTACTGGGATTACAGGCGTGAGCCACCGCACCTGGCCATCTCTGGCTAATTTTAGGACTTGCTTTTTGTCACTTGCTTCCATCAATTTGATTATACGTGGTCTTGGTGTGATTTTCTTTGTATTTATTCTGCTTGTGCGTCATTGAGCTGCTTGGATCTAAGGGTTTATAATTTTCATCAAATTTTGAATAATATCAGCTGGTATTTCTTCAAATACTTTTTTACCAACCCCTTTTCTCCTCTCCTTCTTGGAGTCTAATTTTACATATTTTAGACAACTTGATATTGTCAAGTTGTCTCATGTCATCGATATTCAGTACTTTTTTAGCCTTTTTTCACCTCACACTTTATTTTAAATGGTTTCTATTGTTATTCAAGTTCTCATCTTTTCTTCTGCATGGTCTAACCTTCTGTTAATATTGTTCAAGATATTTTCATTTTATATACATTTCATTTCTAGAAGTTTCATTTGGGTCTTTTTATATCTTTCTTATCTCTTCTCACCATGTTCATGCCTTCCTCTACATTCTTGAAAAAATGGAAGACATTTATCCATTTTAATATCCTTGTCTGCTAATTCTATCATCATTGTCATTTCTGGGCCTGATTTTATTGTTTGATTGTTCTCCTGAGAGTCATATTTTCCTGCTGCTTTGTATGGCTAGTAATCTTTTTCTTTTTAATGGGCTTTATTTTTTAGGACACTTTTAGATTTTTTAATTTTACAGAAAAACTGAGAAGATAGTATAGAGTTTTTTATATGCCCCATCCTCACTTTTCTCTATTATTAACATCTTAGATTTAACATTTTTAACAACTAATGAACCAAATTGATACATTATTAACTGAAATCCATAGTTCCTTTAGATTTTCTTAGTTTTTACCTAATGTCATTTTTCTGTTTTAGGTTTCCATCTAAGGTGCCACATTACACTAAGTTGTCATTTTCTTTAGGTGCCCCTTGGCTGTGACAGTTTCTCAGGCTTGCCTTATTTTTTATGACTTAGATAGTTTTGAGGAGTACTGGTCATATATTTTGTAAGGATGCTGCACTATTGCAATTTGTTTGATGTTTTCCTCATAAAATTTGGGTTATTAATTGGGAGAGGAAGACAGTAGCATTAAAGTGTCATTGTCATCACATCACATTAAGTGTTCATACCGTCAACATGATTTATGACTATTGATGTTGACTTTAATCACCTGGCTGAGGAAGTGTCTGTCAGGTTTCTCCACTGTACTCTTTTTCCCTCCTTCTATACTTGTATACTTTGGAAGGCAGTCATTGTGCACAGCCCACGCTTAAGGAGGGGATAGTTATGCTCCCTCTCCCTGAGGGTAGTGTATTAATGTAAATTATTTGAAATTTTGCTGCCCTGGAGATTTGTCTCTTCTGGTTGGTAATTTTTTACTGGATGCCAAATATGATGAATTTCATATTGTTTGTACTGATGAATTCATATTGGTGAATTTTGTATTTGCTGGATTTTGTTGTAGTTCTTTCAGTTCTATTGAATTTAACTCTGGCATGCAGTTAACATGGTATGACATCATTTTGTTCCTTCTGAGGCTTAAATAAAGCCTAGTTAGAGTGGCTCAAGAGCAGCCTTTAATCTAGGGCTAACTTAGCCCATTTTCTAAAGTAATATACCCTTCTGATTACCCTACCTGACGTTGACATATTACGACATTTTTCCATTCTGGTTGGCAAGATTGAAAATTATTCCCAGCCTTGTGTGAGCTCCAGAAATTGTTCAGTCTATTGATTTCTGGAGGTTCTTTCTCTGGCCTTGACGAGTTTCACTGCATGCATGTGCAGATTAGTACTCAGCCACAGCCTTGAGAGAATCCCTTTGTAGATGTTTGTAAGTTTCTGTGAAGTTCCCTCCTCTGTGTTACTCTGCTTAGCAAATTGTAGCTGCCTTGGTATGACAGAGTTTTTCTTCCTGTATACTTTGCTCTGTAAAGCCAAACTTCACTTCTAGCAATCTTTTAAAATGCAAACTGATTTTTAAATTTTTGGTATAATTTTACATCAAGAAAACCAAATGAGATTTATTTAATATATGACTATTTATTAATAATGTATTATTTATCCATATACTCTCCCTCTATACAGAGTGGGAAATTGTTTTTCTATGGTAACTGTGGTCAGACCTTTGTAAAATATATTCCATACTTTTTATTTCTAAGTCTTTGCTTATTTTGTAGATCCATATATTCTCCTTTTCTGCCAGCCTTATAAATTAGGCTGTTGCTTTAGAGCAGGAGCTGGCACTTTTCTGTAAAGGTTTGAAGAGTAAATATTTTAGGCCTTGCAGGTGTATGGTCTTTGTTGCTGCTACTTAACTCTGCTCTTGTAGTGAAAAAGAAGCTACAGACAACATATAAATGAATGGTCATAAATGTGCTCCAATAAAACTTTACTTACAAAGTAGGCAGTGGGTCAGATTTGACCTGTTGGTTGTAGTTTGCCTACTCTAGCTTAGGGAATTTTTCAATTTAAAATATTTGCATGAACAAATGCCCAAATAATGTGGAGTGAACCATATGGGGAAAAAGCATTCTAGGACAAGGGAAGAAATTATAAGGACCCTGAAGTAGGAATGATCTTCATTATGTTCAAGGAACTGCCAAAAGACAAGGGTGGATGAATCAAAGTAAATGAGGGAAAGTGTGGTAGGAGATGAAGTAGAGAGGTAGGTAAATCATGTGGCTCTTTTTTCCTCTATAAGGACTCTGGATTTTATCTCAGATGTGATGGTAAACATAAGAGTATGCTGAGCAGGGAAATGGCTTGATCTCATTCATGATATGTGTAGAATAGGGTGCAGATGGGCAAGAGAGGAAACAGAAGAGTAAAAAGCTATTGCAGTAGTTCCAGGCCAGTGATATTTCTGGAAGTAGTCAGAAGTGTTTGGGCACAAGATATATTTTGAAGGTGGAGCTGACAGAACTTTTCGTTATATGAACGTGGCATGAGAAGGAAAGAGAGGACAAAAAGCTGACTCATGGGAATCTTCAGAGCCAGTGCAGGCTGAACTAGCTAGAGATGTGTCAGAGGCTTAGCAAAGAGAGCAGAGTGGGATTCCAAAACGTTGCTAAAAAGTCTTTATGGTACCTCCAAAGAAAACCCAGTCCTCACATCAGAAAGATTAACAACCCAAAGTGAATGGGGATATGTAAGGGGATAGGGATTTAGCCTATATGGAAAAATTCAAGATTCTTAATTCTTCAAAGCCTCTTGTTGGAAAGAGAAGTCCCTGGGATAATGGAAAAGACTCAGGCTTTTCTGAGAAGATAGAGTTAGACTAGAGTTCATGACTAGCCTGGCCAACATGGTGAAATCCTGTCTCTACTAAAATTACAAAAAATATCAGCTGAGCGTGGTGGTGCATGCCTGTAATCCTAGCTACTCAGGAGGCTGAAGCAGGAGAATTGCTTGAACCCAGGAGGCGGAGGTTGCAGTGAGCCGAGGTTGTGCCACTGCACTCCAGCCTGGGGGACAGAGCAAGAATCTATCTCAAAAAAAACAAAACAAAACAAACAAACAAACAAAAAAAAAACAGAGAGAGAGAAACTAGATTGATTCTGCTTCCAAGGATAAATAAATCCAATAACAACAAATGCATGCATACATGTATCTGTGTCCATGGTGTGCACACACATAGCTATTAGGTCTCCTTTATCAAATTTCATGTCAAGGTCCAATGATCTCACATCTGGAATTTGTGTCATCCTCTTGCTGGTCAGCTTTCAACCTCTCTTCATTTAGTTTAGATATTCTTTTTTATACTGCTGCCCTTTGAATTGTCTAAACCAATGCTTGTAAAATTATCTGTGATGAAGGGCCAATCAAAAAAATCTCAATCTGTCATGGACTGATACTTTTGTAGAATACAATATAAATTACTTGAAAAAGTAAAATTAAAAAAAGCAAAGATTACAAAGTACAAGCCCAATTTTGTAATTATTAGATTCAACTGACATAAAATTACTGTCAATTTGCTATGAAAGTTTTTAAAAGTTTACTGTTAATTTCTATACTATCTTTGTCCGAGACTGTTAACCACATGGTATGTGGACCACATTATGAGTAGCAATGACATAAACCACTCTAGATCTCAAAAATCTCATTATCTGTTAAACCAAAATAAACCTCTCACTATTGTCCTCTAAACTCTGTACCAGTTAGTTCAGTCTTGCCTGTGTCTAACAGGCAAGCTCTTGTGTTCTCTTCCACACAGGGGACTGTTTTTAATCCATTTCTTTCTTTCCGTTTATTCAAAACATCCTAAATACATCTCATGTATATACAACTGAATACTTACCTTCCTCAGAAAGCTTTCCTAGAACATCCTTACCTAATTTTTACCCCTTTGGCATTTGTATTTTCTTATATTTATTAGTATAGGTTTATATTATTTGTATTGTTTCCTTTAGTAGAGCATAAATTACTTCTGAGTAAACCCTGATTTTTACCCTAAATATAAAAATGTCTAGAATATAGTAACATGGATACCCAAACAATAAAAAGCATGTAAGTGGCCAGGTGCGGTGGCTCATGCCTGTAATCTCAGCACTTTGAGAGGCCTAGGCAGGTGGGTTGCTTGGGGCCAGGAGTTCAAGGCCAGTCTGGCCAACATGGCGAAACCCTGTCTCTACTAAAAAATTACAAAGATTAGCCAGGTGTGGTGGCACACACCTGTAATCCCAGCTATTTGGGGGGCTGAGGCACGAGAATTGCTTGAACCCAGGAAGCGGAGGTTGCAGTGAGCCGAGATCGCACCACTGCACTCCAGCCCTGGGCAACCTTGTCTGCCTCAAAAAAAAAAAAAAAAAAAAAAAAAAAAAAAGCATATAAGTAATTGCTTGCCTGTCTAAGAGTCTATGTGTATGGGGAGATAAAGTACTATTGAATATGAAATACTATCTTTTACTGTGGGAATTTGTGTTTACCCCCCTTTCTCCCATGCTCTGCTTTCTTTTATTTTCTTACTAGGCCTGTCTCCACTAACTCTGGACCCTAAAACAGCTCACCCAAATCTGGTGCTCTCCAAAAGCCAAACCAGCGTCTGGCATGGTGACATTAAGAAGATAATGCCTGATGATCCTGAGAGGTTTGACTCAAGTGTGGCTGTACTGGGCTCAAGAGGCTTCACCTCTGGAAAGTGGTACTGGGAAGTAGAAGTAGCAAAGAAGACAAAATGGACAGTTGGAGTTGTCAGAGAATCCATCATTCGGAAGGGCAGCTGTCCTCTAACTCCTGAGCAAGGATTCTGGCTTTTAAGACTAAGGAACCAAACTGATCTAAAGGCTCTGGATTTGCCTTCTTTCAGTCTGACACTGACTAACAACCTCGACAAGGTGGGCATATACCTGGATTATGAAGGAGGACAGTTGTCCTTCTACAATGCTAAAACCATGACTCACATTTACACCTTCAGTAACACTTTCATGGAGAAACTTTATCCCTACTTCTGCCCCTGCCTTAATGATGGTGGAGAGAATAAAGAACCATTGCACATCTTACATCCACAGTAATGAGTCATAATATTATACAAATTCAGAGTGTTATTAAAGAGGTATTGAAATATTTTACCAGTCTCACTGGATTCTCTTCTCAATTTTTGGGGAACTATGGAATAATGAAAAGAGGATGCGCAAATCAAATTCCATTCTTTCAGTATCCTAAATGGATTTCACTGGAGGCTTTCAAGGTATCATTCTTCTCTGGGGTCTTTTATGACACAGGAGCCACTCTCATGAGAGTGATCATCATGCTACTGTTACTGGAGCAAACTGCAACTTGAGTTTGTGATGTTTGGGAACCCTTTTCAAATATGCCCAGAAATGATCATGTTGTCATATTTTCCAGCTTAATGACCCTTAGCAGATGAATTTTCAGGTGTTCACTCTTCTTACTATTTTTTGATATACATTTTCATCGTATTTCTTTTTTTAGAACTTACTGCTGTAATTTTATTTTTTTGAGACAGAGTCTCGCTCTGTTGTCTAGGCTGGAGTGCAGTGGCATGATCATGGCTCACTGCAGCCTCAACCTCCTGGGCTCAAGCAATCCTCCCATCTCAGACCCTGAGTAGCTGGGACTATTGGCGCACGCCACCACAAGTAGAGATGGGGTTTCATCATGTTGCCCAGGCTTTTCTGGAACTCTTGGGCTCAAGAGATCCTCATGCCTCAGCTTTCCAACGTGTTGGAATTATAGGTGTGAGATACCATGCCTGTCCTGTAATTTTAAACCATGCTCCACAGGCTTAAATAAAAAAGTAGGAAATGATCTGGACTAGTTTATAATCTTGTCTTGAATTCTCTCAAGATACATTTTAGTCCAGCAAATCTGTAATTCTTTCCTTTCCTTTCTCAGTTCCATTTCCCTGCTTTATCTATCTGCAGGAGACATGCATATATATATATATGTATGCAGTCTGAGAGATGGGGTCTCACTATGTTGCCTAGGCTAGTCTTGAATTCCTGACCTCAAGCATCCTCCCACCTTGACCTCCTAAAGTTCTAGGATTACAGATGTGAGTCACCACACCCAACCTCCATCTACTTTTGACTACGTCCTTTTTCATCATTCCTGCCTATAATTTAAGTAGTATTTTGCATCTTGTTCTCTCCAATATACTCATCCTTGAGCTTTTTCCAAGTCTAAAATTCTTAACATCATTGATCTCAGCAGTACTCTTGATTGACTGTCCCTATTTCCTTTCTTTGGAAGTCCTCATCTAAATGGGCTTTATTCTCTATAGTTGACAGTTTTGGGGGGACTTTTTAGGACCTTCAGCATTGGCCCTCTAAAATTATAATTAGCACAGTTTTTTTTTGGGGGGGGTCAGGGCAAAAGCTTAAATGTATGTATGGGAAAAATAATGCAAATACTACAGACAATATTCATGTAGTTTGTTATATACAATATGCATACATTTACAACTGATTTGGATAAACAGCCATAACAGGATTAAGACTACATTTAAGAAACTGCCTTGTTTTTTTTGAATTCACTTCAATCAGAACGTAGTAAGAACATATTTTGTGCCTGGAATCTTGCTTAATGTCTTAAAGGGTATAAAAGCAGCATAAAAAGAAAAAGAAAGGCATGCCAATAGAAAGTAATCTGACTAAAAATTAATTCACTTCTAAGGTATAAAAAGTTACAGCTGAAATATATTATTTTTTAAGACAAAGTCTTACTCTGTCACCCAGGCTGGAGTACAGTGGCACAAACACGGCTCTTTGCAGCCTGGGACTCTTGGATCCTCCCACCTCAGACTCTCGAGTAGCTAGGATTATAGGCGCAGGCAACTACGCCCAACTAAATTTTTATTTTTAGTAGAGACGAGGTCTCACTATGTTACCCAGGCTTGAAATATGTTATTCTTAAGATGCAATGGTTCTTAACCCTGGATACACATTAGGTTCATGTAGGAAGCTTTAAAAAAATTTAGATGCCTGGAATCCAGCCAAGACCAATTAAGGAAAGATCTCTATCAAGTGAAACCCTGCTAGAGTCCCAGTGTACAGTAGCTACAAGCCACTAGTTTCTAAAAGCTCTCAGGCGATTCTAATGTGTGGCTGGGGCAGACAGCCACTGAACTAAAGCAACATGTTTTATTTATTTTTACTTTAAAAATTTTTTTCCACAAGTTATTGGGGTATAGGTGGTATTTGGTTACATGAGTAAGTTCTCTAGTGGTGATTTGTGAGATTTTGGTGCACCCATCACCTGAGCAGTGTACACTGCATCATATTTGTAGTCTTTTATCCCTTGCCCCCCTCCCACTCTTCAAGTCCCCAAAGTCCATTGTATCATTCTTATGCCTTCACATCCTCACAGCTTAGCTCCCATATATCAGTGAGGACATACAATGTTTGGTTTTCCATTCCATGAGTTACTTCACTTAGAATAATAGTCTCCAATCTCATTGAGGTCACAGCAAATGCCGTTAATTCATTCCTTTTTATGGCTGAGTAGTATTTCAGCATATAAATATACCACAGTTTTCTTTATCCACTTGTTGATTGATGGGCATTTAGGTTGGTTCCATGATTTTGCAATTGTGAATTGTACTGCTATAAACATGCATGTGAAAGTATCTTTTGCATATAATGACTTCTTTTCCTCTGGGTAGATACCCAGTAGTAGGATTGCTCGATCAAATGGTAGTTCTACTGTTGCGGGAAGTCAGGGATCCCAAACAGAGGGACCGGCTGGAGCCACGGCAGAGAAAACATAAATTGTGAAGATTTCATGGACATTTATCACTTCCCTAATAATACTCTTATAATTTCTTGTGCCTGTCTTAATCTCTTAATCCTGTTATATTCATAAGCTGAGGATGTACGTCACCTCAGGACCCTGTGATGATTGTGTTAACTGTACAAATTGATTGTAAAACGTGTGTTTGAAGAATATGAAATCAGTGCACCTTGAAAATGAACAGAATAATAGCGATTTTAGGGAACAAGGGAAGACAACCATAAGGTCTGACTGCCTGTGGGGTCAGGCAAAAAGAGCCATATTTTTCTTCTTGCAGAGAGCCTATAAATGGACGTGAAAGTAGGAGAGATATCGCTAAATTCTTTTCCTTGCAAGGAATATAATATTAAGACCCTAGGAAAAGAATTGCATTCCTGGGGGAGGTCTATAAACAGCCGCTCTGGGAGTGTCTGTCCTATGCTGTTGAGATAAGGACTGAGATACGCCCTGGTCTCCTGCAGTACCCTCAGGCTTACTAGGATTGGGAAACCCCAGCCCTGGTAAATTTGAGGTCAGACTGGTTCTCTGCTCTTGAACCCTGTTTTCTGCTAAGATGTTTATCCAGACAATACGTGCACTGCTGAACATAGACCCTTATCAGGAGTTCTGATTTTGCCCTAGTCCTGTTTCCTCAGAAGCATGTGATCTTTGTTCTCCTTTTTGCCCCTTGAAGCATGTGATCTTTGTGACCTACTCCCTGTTCATACACCCCCTCCCCTTTTGAAATCCCTAATAAAAACTTGCTGGTTTTGCGGCTCAGGTGGGCATCACAGACCTACTGATATGTGATGTCACCCCTGGCGGCCTAGCTGTAAAATTCCTGTCTTTGTACTCTTTCTCTTTGTTTCTCAGACTGGCTGACACTTAGGGAAAACAGAAAGAACCTACACCCCCGATATTCTACTTTTAGTTCTTTAAGGAATCTCCATACTGTTTCCCATAGTGGCTGTACTAGTTTACTTTCCCACCGGCAGTGTAGAAGTGTTCCCTGTTCATTGCATCCATGCCAACATCTACAGTTTTTTTTATTGTTTTGATTATGGCCATTCTTGCAGGAGTAAAGTGGTATTGCATTCTGGTTTTGATTTGCATTTCCCTGACCATTAATGATGCTGAGTATTTTTTTCATATGTTTGTTGGCAGTTTGTATATCTTCGTTTGAGAATTGTCTATTCATGTCCTCAGCCCACTTTTTGATGGGATTGTTTGTTTTTTTCTTACTGATTTGTTTCAGTTTGTTGTAGATTCTGGATATTAGTCCTTTGTCAGATGTATAGATTGTGAAGATTTTCTCCCACTCTATGGGTTGTCTGTTTACTCTGTCGACTGTTCCTTTTGCTGTGCAAAAGCTCTTTAGTTTAATTAAGTCCCAATTATTTATCTTTGCTTTGATTGCATTTGGTTTTGGGTTATTGGTCATGAAATCCTTGCCTAAGCCAATGTCTAGAAGGGTTTTTCCAATGTTATCTTCTAGAATTTTTATAGTTTCAGGTCTTAGATTTAAGTCCTTAATCTATCTTGGTTGATTTTTGTATAAGGTGAGAGATGAGGATCCAGATTCATTCTCCTACATGTGGCTAGCCAATTATCCCAGCACCATTTGTTGAAAAGGGTGTCCTTTCCCCACTTTATGTTTTTGTTTGTTTTGTTGAAGATCAGTTGGCTGTAAGTATTTGGGTTTATTTCCGGTTTCTCCATTCTGTTCCATTGGCCTATGAGTTTTTTTTTTTTTTTTTTTTGAAATACAGAGTCTCGCTTTGTCTTCCAGGCTGGAGTGCAGTGGCACGATATTGGCTCACTGCAAGCTCTGCCTTCCAGGCTCATGCCATTCTCCTGCCTCAGCCTCCTGAGTAGCTGGGACTACAGGCACCCGCCACCATGCCCAGCTAATTTTTTATTTTTTTTTTTAGTAGAGACGAGGTTTCACCGTGTTAGCCAGGATGGTCTTGATCTCCCGACCTTGTGATCCACCTGCCTTGGCCTCCCAAAGTGCTAAGATTACAGGCGTGAGCCACCATGCCCGGCCCTATGTGCCTATTTTTATACCAGTACCATGCTGTTTTGGTGACTATGGCCTCATAGTATAGTTTGAAATCAGGTAGTGTGATGCCTCCAGATTTGTTCTTTTTGCTTAGTCTTGCTTTGGCTATGTGGGCTCTTTTTTGGTTCCATATGAATTTTAGAATTGTTTTTTCTAATTCTGTGAAGAATAATAGTGGTATTTTGATGGGGATTGTACTGAATTTGTAGATTGCTTTTGGCAGTGTGGTCATTTTCACAATATTGATTCTACGCATCCATGAGCATGGGATGTTTTTCCGTTTGTGTCATCTATGTTTTTTTCAGCAGTGTTTTATAGTTTTCCTTGTAGAGGTCTTTCGCCTCCTTAGTTAGGTATATTTCTAAGTTTTTTTTTTTTTTCTGTAGCTATTGTAAAAGAGGTTGAGTTCTTAATTTGATTCTCCTCTTGGTCGCTGTTGGTGTATAGAAGAGCTACTGATTTGGGTACATTAATCTTGTATCCAGAAACTTTGCTGAATTCTTTTATCAGTTCTAGGAGCTTTCTGGAGGAGTCCGTAGGGTTTCCAAGGTAAATGATCAAATCGCCAGCAAACAGTGACAGTTTGACGTCCTCTTTACTGATTTGGATGCGCTTTCTTTCTTTCTCTCGTCTGATTGCTCTGGCTAGGACTTCCAGTACTATGTTGAAGAGGAGTGGTGAGAGTGGGCATCCTTGTCTTGTCCCAGTTCTCAGAGGAAATGCTTTCAACTTTTCCCTACTCGGTATTATGTTGGCTGTGGGTTTGGCATAGATAGCTTTTATTACATTGAGGTATGTCCCTTGTATGCCACTTTTGCTGAGAGTTTTAATCATAAATGGATGCTGGATTTTATCAAATGCTTTTTCTGCATCTATTAAGATGATCATGTTATTTTTGTTTTTAATTCTGTTTATGGGTGTATCACATTTATTGACTTGCATATGTTAAACCATCCCTGTATCCCTGGTATGAAATCCACTTGATCATGGCGGGGTTATCTTTTTGATATGTTGTTGGATTTGGTTAGCTAGTATTTTGTTAAGGATTTTAGCATCTATGTTCATCAAGGATACCAGTCTGTAGTTTTCTTTTTCGGTTATGTCCTTTCCTGGTTTTGGTATTTTAGGGTGATGCTGGCTTCATAGAATGAAT
The DNA here is from genome assembly GCF_000001405.40 of Homo sapiens. Lineage (NCBI taxonomy): Eukaryota > Metazoa > Chordata > Mammalia > Primates > Hominidae > Homo > Homo sapiens. Next base: position 44,773,707 of record NC_000015.10, read on the forward strand.
TAGGGAGGGTTGCTTCTGTCTCTATCTTGTGGAATAGTGTCAAAAGGATTGGTACCAATTCTTCTGTGATGTCTGGTAGAATTCTGCTATGAATCCATCTGGTCTTGGGCTTTTTGTTTGTTTTTTGGGTTTTTGTTTTTGTTACTTTTTTTTTTTTTTGAGACGGAGTCTCGCTCTGTTGCCCAGGCTGGAGTGCAGTGGCACAGTCTTGGCTCGCTGCAACCTCCACCTCCCAGATTCATGCGATTCTCCTGCTTCGGCCTCCCAAGTAGTTGGGACTACAGACATGCATCACCATGCCCAGCTAATTTTTGTATTTTTAGTAGAGACAGGGTTTCGCCATGTTGGCCAGTCTGGTCTCAAACTCCTGACCTCAAGTTATCTATCTGTCCATCTTGGCCTCTCAAAGTGCTGGGATTACAGGCGTGAGCCACTGCATCCAGCCTCCTGGACTTTTCTTTGTGTTGGTAATTTTTTAATTACCATTTCAGTCTTGCTGCTTGTTATTGGTCTGTGCAGGGTATCTAATTCTTCCTGATTTAAGCAATGAGGGTTGTATTTTTCCAGGAATTTATCCATCTCTTTTAGGTTTTCTAGTTTATGTGCATAAAGGTGTTCATAGTAGCCTTGAGTGATCTTTTGTATTTCTGTGGTGTCAGTTGTAATATCTCCTGTTTCATTTCTTAATGAGGTTATTTGGATTTTCATTCCTCTTTTATTGGTTAATCTTGCTAAGGGTCTGAAATTTTATTTGTCTTTTGAAAGAACCAGATTTTTGTTTTACTTATCATTTGCATTTTTTTGTTTGTTTCAATTTCATTTAGTTCTGCTCTGATCTTGGTTATTTCCTTTCTTCTGCTGGGTTTGGGTTTGGTTTGTTCTTGTTTCTCTAGTTCCTTGAGGTGTGACCTTAGAATTAGATGTCAGTTTGTGTTCTTTCAGTCTTTTTTTTTTTTTTTTTTTGAGATGGAGTTTTGTTTTTGTTGCCCAGGCTGGAGTACAATGGCGCTGTCTCTGCTCACTGCAGCTTCCGCCTCCCGGGTTCCAGTGATTCTCCTGTCTCAGCCTCCTGGGTAGCTGGGATTACAGGTGTCTGCCACCACGCCTGGCTAATTTTTGTATTTTTAGTAGAGACAGGGTTTCACCATGTTGGCCAGGATGGTCTCAAACTCCTGACCTCTGCCCACCTGAGCTTCCCAAAGTGCTGGGATTACAGTCGTGAGCCACCATGCCTGGCCAAAATTTACTTTCTTATTTACATTTTTCCATACTGCTTGATGTTTTAGTTTGTGAATATATCATTTTACCAATATAATTTTTAATATTTAACTTTTAAAAGAACGAAAAAAGAGAAACAAAGTGACTCTAGATTAACTTTACTTTTTTTTTCTTTTTTGTTTTTTGTTTGACACGGAGTATTGCCCCGTCGCCAGACTGGAGTGCAGTGGCGAGATCTCGGCTACTGCAAGCTCCGCCTCCCGGGTTCAAGGGATTCTCCTGCCTCAGCCTCTCGAGTAGCTGGGACTACAGGCATGCACCACCACACCCGGCTAATTTTTGTATTTTTAGTAGAGACGGGGTTTCACCATGTTGGCCAGGATGTTCTCGATCTCCTGACCTTGTGACCCACCTTCCTCGGCTTTTCTGATTATAAAGAGAAAAACACTTATGAGACTATTATTTTAAAAATCTACAAAACAAAGAAGAGAGAACACTCAAAGTTTGCACAATGTCTTTGGAGATAATCTGTTAGTCCAGAATCAAATTTCCTAAAAGTATTAGGTGACCATAAAAGGAGAGAGAGGAAGCATGACCTCATCATGAGATGAGAAAAGTTGGCAATTAAAATTTACTGCTGATAAAGGGACAGAAAACATGTTAGAAGGGTTCATTACAAGATAATTTAATAAAAAATATTGAAAGCAGCAAAGAAGAAATCCAATGTTACAGAAATTTCATCTGTCCTGCAAAGGACATACCTGAAAAGCTGAGGAGCAATTCTGAAATATAAAGAAAAAACAAACAAACAAAAAAGAATAAATATCAAATAAATATGAATATAAGTAAAATAGGACAACTCACTAAATACCACGAGATAAATAAATAATATCTTCAGTTTGTAAGGGATCGTGTCAGAAATTCTGCATGCTATAGTAGACTGGTTTGCTAAAATGGCAATGAGCATCCCCTTGTTTTATGAGTCCCCTTTTGCAATGTGACTTTGCAGCATCTCCCATTAGGAGGTGGAGTCTATTTTCCCACTCCTGCAACATGAGCTGCTGGTCTCAGTTCCTTGCTTTGGACAATAGAACATGTTAGATGTTATGCTGTGCCAGTGGCAAGCCTAGGCCTTGCAAATGCATGTAATTTGCATGTTCTGTGCTTTCTCTTGGAAGCCTGCCAAGCTGCCATAGAAACAAGCCTGGCCTCGCCAGCTGCAGGATGAGTCCACAGAGGACAGAGCCATTCCAGATGAGGCCAGGCCCTAGGCAACCCGGCAGCTACTACAAATACATAATTGAGACCATCCTAGACCAGAAGTTTTCAGCAGAGCTCAGCCCAAATTGGAAACCTGCAGAATTCTGAGCTAAATAAAAGATTATTGTCTTAAATCGCTGATTTTTTTTTTTTTTTTTTTGAGACCGAGTCTCGCTCTGTCGCCCATGTTGGAGTGCAGTGGCGCGATCTCGGCTCACTGCAAGCTTTGCCTCCCAGGTTCACACCATTCTCCTGCCTCAGCCTACCCCGCAGCTGGGACTACAGGCGCCCGCCACCATGCCCGGCTAATTTCTTTGTATTTTTAGTAGAGATGGGGTTTCACCGTGTTAGCTAGGATGGTCTTGATCTCCTGACCTGGTAATCCCCCTGACTCAACCTCCCAAAGTGCTGGGATTACAGGCGTGAGCCACTGCGCCTGGCCAAGTTGCTGACTTTTTTTTTTTATTTGAGAAGGAGTTTCGCTCTGTCGCCCAGGCTGGAGCGCAATGGCGCAATCTCGGCTCACTGCAAGCTCCGCCTCCCGGGTTCAAGAGATTCTCCTGCCTCAGCCCCCAGGGTAGCTGGGATTACAGGCCCGCGCCACTACGCCTGGCTAATTTTTTTTGATTTTTAGTAGAGACGGGGTTTCATCGTGTTAGCCAGGATGGTCTCGATCTCCTGACCTCGTGATCCCCTCGCCTCGGCCTCCCAAAGTGCTGGGATTACAGGCATGAGCCACTGCGCCCAGCCATGAGTCGCTGACTTTTAAAAAATATTTTTAATTGACAAGGAAAAATTATATTTATGGTGTAGAACATTATATATATGTACTTTTATATATACATATATATACCTTTTTATACATACCTTTATGTTTATATAACTTTATAGATATATATACGCCTTTTTTGTGGTAAGAACACGTATAGTCTATTCTCTTAGCAATATTCAAATATATAATATATTGTTTTTTTTTTTGAGATGGAGTTTCGCTCTGTCGCCCAGGCTGGAGTGCAGTGGCACAGTCTCAGCTCACTGCAAGCTCCGCCTCCTGGGTTCACACCATTCTCCTGCCTCAGCCTCCCGAGTAGCTGGGACTACAGGTACCCACCACCACGCCTGGCTAATTTTTTGTATTTTTAGTAGAGACGGGGTTTCACCGTGTTAGCCAGGATGGTCTCGATCTCCTGACTTCGTGATCTGCCCGCCTCGGCCTCCCAAAGTGAATATATTGTTCTTAACTGCAATCACCATGGTGTAAGATAAATCTCTTTAACTTATTCCTTCTTTCTAACTGAAACTTTGTGTCCTTTGACCAACATCTCCCCAATACCCCCACCCCTCAGCCTCTGTTAACTTCTGATGTGGCTTTTAAGGCATCAATTGCTAATCAACACATTCACATTGACCCTAGCTGTCATTTATATGGGAAGGCAAAGAAAGATAATCTCAAGAATGAAAGAGACTTGAAAATACATTATCTTTTAAAAATTACTTGAAGATGGACATGAAACACTGACAAAAGATAAAGCAAAATTCAGATACCAAGACAGGAGAAATCATAATATAAAATTATTGGTAGAGACTAGTGATAACGACTAATACAAAATGACTAAATTATTATAAATATGACTTAATACAAATGATAATATGCTCATGAAATACATAATACAAAACTATGAAATTGCATAAAGCTAAATTAAAATGTAAGTTTGTATAAGTAAATAGAAAAGAAAAAGAGAGTACATAAAAGTATGTTCAAATTCTTATTTTAAATTATAAAGGGGACTTAAGGGAAACCAATTGTTATATCAAATAGATATACGTTATCACGTTTGAAAAAAATTTAAAGGATTAAAAATGTGGTGTTAAAATAGACTGAAATTAAAGTACCCAAACTGCTGGAGAAAAGAAAAACAATGAATGCATCTAACATACAGCAAAAGACAGAAATGACAAAAAAAGCAAAGCATGAACATCAACAACCAAATAAAAACAAAATGACAGAAGTAGGAGCAAATATATCATTTATTGCAATGAACATAGAAAGATTAAAATTCCGTATTAAATATAATTGATACAAAAAGAATCCAACTAAGCAAAAAGCCTAAAGTTGAAAAAATACATCAGACAAACACAAATAAACTGAAAGCTACAATTGAGTAATAAAATCAGACACTGCTGAATTCAGGGCAAATATATTAAAAAGGATTCTTAATGACTTTATAATTAACATTTTATAATGAAAAGAATAAAATATGTAGTTACATTATAAATATCCACAAATATGCATCAGTCAACATTGCTTCAATATATAGAATGAAAAGAAGTATAAAAACAAGACAAAATTGTTAAAAGCACAGTTATAATGCTATTGACAGATCAAATAGATATAAATAAACAAACATAAAACAAAAATTAATCCTGTAGTTGTTCATCTTTTTAGACTCTTGGACCCCTATGGGAATCTCATGAATTTTCTCTCCTCACTCAGAAGCATGTGCATATTGCCTGCATGTCAGGGAATTTATGGATACCTTGAAGCCCATTCATGAACTTCTTTGTGGCCCCCTATGGTTTACTAATACTAGATAAAAGGCTTTGAGTTAAATAATAAAGGTTGGTCTAATAATTACCAAACTTTAACTCTATGGAGAATAGATTTCCAGTGCCCATGGCTCATTCACATAAATCTATCATATTAGACCACAAAGACAATCTATAATTCTAAAAAGTATATATTATGCAGACCACATCTCTAAGCAAAGTGCAGTAAAACTAGAGACTAATAAGAACATATTAACCCTAAAAATAGAGTCACTTTGAGTTGTTAAAAGTCACTCTCTAAAATAACTCTTTGGTTAAAGAGGAAAAGAAAATGATGACTAGAAAAAAATTAGCAAAACTAAGAACACTACATACTATATCTTAGAAATGTAGATGAGTGATTAACACCACATTAGTTATTAAAAGCTAGCTCTTTCAATAAACTGCGTTGGGACAACAAGCTAATAAATTGGCACTGAGGATACAAAGGAAGAATAGAATTCATGAAGAGCTAAGTCAGTTTTGAAATAAAAGAGGAAAGATGAGGTGGGGAGAGCACATTATTCTTTATGATATTAAGATGTAGGAAAGGCCATTGTTATATAAACAGTATGGACTAACATGGATAGAGATAAATAGAACAAATCGGAACAGAATAGAGACCTCAGAAATAGATTTGTTTGCGTGTGACTTTGATTCACAGTAGATGTGACTCTTTAAAGCAATAGGGAAGGGATGATTTGGTTGGCATATAGCATTGAGAAAACTGATTCCCTAGGACATGAGGAGATGATGCAGAGAAGGGATTCCTGAATGGCCAAAATACATATAAGGAGACTCTTACACACACAAGTATATAGATAAATAAAAACTAAAATGACAGTGAGATACCATTGTATATCCATTATAATACAAAAATTAGAAAGATGGTGAAGATGTCAGAAAACCGGCTCCTCATGCACTACTGACAGTTGTATAAACTGGTACGGCCCTCCTAGAAAGCCGTCTGGTTGTGTCCTCAATAAAATAAGTATGCACACATCTGTGATCCATAAGTCCCTCTCTTGGGCATATATCCTAGAGAAATTTTCCAGCAGGTTGGTAAAAATGCATTTTAGAAGATGTTTTAATGCATATTTTTGGTATTGGAGAGAACGTAGGTATCCAACAATTGGGGAATGGGTAAGTTAAAGGTAGAAAATGTAACGCAACATTATTTAGCCTCAAAAGTCATGAATGAGACAGCATTCAGCACCATGGACAATCATTTAAAACATGCTGGGTGAAAAGTTTTTAAAAAGACAGAAATTTATAGTATAATGCCATTTGCATAAACTTGTTTAAAATTTTGTGGGTACATAGTAGTTATATATATTTAGGGGGTACATGAGATGTTTTGATACAGGCATGCAATGTGAAATAGGCACATCATGACGAATGGGGTACCTGTTCCCTCAAGAATTTATCTTGTGAGTTACAAACAATCCAACTTTACATACAACAAACTATTTTTCAAAGATAAATAAATTTGATTATATATAAAGTGTATGTAACAGATACCTATGGAAGAAGATAAATGAGACAGTGAAACAGGGATAAAGGAAAAATTAATGGATTCACACAAGAGAGGGGCCTTACATGGATGTATGATTACAATGTGCTATGATTAACTCAACATTGTGATCTATTTCTACTTATTAAAGTATGTTTTAAAACACTAGCTTGCTTCTCCTCTAATTTAGATTCAGTTAGCATTTGCAGAGCATCTACGAGTGCCAAGTACTTTCACATTCTTTCTTTCATGTAATGCTTACAAGAAACAGGGATGTTTGCTATGATTGTCTACATTTTGCTAAAGGGAAACAGGCACCTGAATTTAAAGAATTTACCCAAGGTCACAAAGTTAGTAAGTAGAAAAGAAGGGATTGAGACCTGGGTCTGTCTGACGCATTGTGTTCCCTCTAACATAATCTACAGTGTCTGTGTGTGGTGTTACAGTGTTGAGACATCATTTAAACTCATGAATCATAAATCATGCTACTAGAACTATAGACAATAGACTGGATACTGACTCCTAAGAACAATAAACAAAGATATTGATTCTGCTGTGATGACAGAAATCACAACACAACAACACAAGAATGCATAAATCCTGCCATGACCTCTCTTCCCAGTGGGGTTCCTCACCACAGGAAATATACACAAGAAACTAGAGGGGCTTGAAAAATGCAGTTGAAGGTTATGGCTCAGACCTGTCGGCCTACACTAAGCTTCCTCCTTTCTCTCCTTGAAATAAAGATAACCAGGCCCTGAGACTACTTAAACAGAATCCTACCCTCTTTGGAGAGTCATCAGAACATAAGATAGTGATCTTCTCTATCACAAGGCACAACAAGATTTTACATAATAATTCTGACTTTGTACAGAAGCTTCAGCTGAGACTCCAAGATTTGTAAGAAGTCAACAGAAAGTGTGTCCATTGCCCCAGAAAAATGAGTAAGTGCTTATGACGGGGATCCACCGATATCCATGTCCTCTGCCTCTTCTGGTTACACTGCTGGACTACATTTTATAGTCTCCTCTTCCATGTAAGGGAGGCCTGATAACTAGCTTTCAGCAATGCAACGTAAGTGAAAGGAACTATCTCACCAACCAGCCATGTCAATTAAAAGGAAAGTTATCTTCCTTGTATCAGTGAATTATTTCTATGAAACAAACCACCCCAAACGTAGTGGCTTAAAATAACAACCATTTATTTATATCATAATTCAGCAGGTCAGCAACTTAGGCCAAGCTTGTTGGGTGATTCGTCTAGTCTTGTCATGGCTCCCTTTTGTGTCCACAGTCAGAGGCAGGTCAGCGACCTTCTCTCCTTCTGGAGTTTGGCTAGCTATAGGCTGGGGTGACTGCACAGCTGGCCACGTGTCTCTCATTTTCCAGCAGACAAATCCAGGCTTGTTCATTTGGAAGTGGCAGGATTTGAAGAAAAAGAGCAGAAATGTGCAAAGTTTCCTGAGTCCCAGGCTCAGAACCAACACAATATCATTTTTAACCACACTCTATTGGTTTTAACAGACTACCAAAGGAAGCCATGGCACAAAATAAGACCATTCACATAGAATACAGCAAATACACTAGTGAAAGAAGTCTAGATACTGAGCAACTACACAGAGCAGAGCTCCTCTACAACCACCAACATATTGACCACTTTCGTCAATGACATGACCATTTAAAGCCACTGAGGTGTTTGTTATAGCATTTAGCCTATGCTGACTTGGCTCACTAAGCCACCAAACTCATTCAGCCCATCTTTAACATCCAGCTTACGTGAAAGAAGATTTGTGTTAATTAAAGGGGGAATCATTAGAGAAGATTCTTGCCCCTCACCTACCCCAAAACAACAGACGGAGTTCCCAAAAACTAATTTTTGGGGATTGGCATTGTCAGATAGGAGGAACAAGTTGAAACTTCCTCCCTGGCTGAAGGTTTGCACAGCCAGAGAATCTTGTGATGAGGCTGGAATGTGAGAGAGCTGTTGGGAGAAATGGACATGGTTTCCCTAGAATCTGGGGAGACATGAACGTGAAGGGCTAGCTGGAGCACCACCTGAGGGCAGAATAGAAATGGACTGTACCTTGAGAATTTAGTGGATCAATGAAGCCAATTTTTCATGTGGACCCTATGAAGTTTAGTCCACGCTTAAGCTATCTTGAGAGGACCTCATCAAAGACACTGCCTGTGTCCCCAGCCATGGAAATCTTCATACTTTGTTTTAATGAGAGTAGACATATCTGAGGACAAGAGATCTTCTGAAACCAGATGAGTTTGGCCACACATTCTCTGCGTTTTGCATCTTTCTGAAAGCATTCCTTTGAAAATTTTTGGTGTTGGTTAATAGGGTGATCATCATTCAGGAGGAAAATGTTCAGAGAGGGAGAACAGATGCAAGCATGTGACTCATCCCATGAAGCCAAAGGTATGCGAAACACCCAGACTCAGAATTAACTGTGACAGATGGTGCCTAAACATCTGCCTCCGGTAGGAACCAGACTACTGCTCCACCTGCTACTAAGAGAGCTTGCAATCATCTCCCCCAATACCCTTCTCCCCAGGGAAGCCTTCTCATCCAGCAAACTCCTCTCCACTTGCCTCCTTCACTGTTTTTTCCTCTTTTGAAATCATAACCCCGTAATCACACCTGTCCTCTGGGGCTTCCATTCCCCTGTAGGGCCATCTGACTTTCCATATGTGTGCTTCATCTCCTTTCTGAAAAATGTGGCTTAGTATTTCAACCCTCCTCAACATGGCACCAAGAGTATATCTACTTTGTTCTGTAGTTCTTGAAGAGCCTTAAATCTAAACCATGACATCAGCCAGAGTTTATAGGATTACTTGATAGTTTGCAACGAAAGTCATACTCATTGACAATAATAACAACAACATACATACCAATTGCTATATGCTGGGCCTATAAGGTATTATTTTCTCTACTTTATTGATGCAGAAACTGAGGCAGCAGAACTGTAAAAGGACTTGTAAAAGTTCATACAGTAAGTATATGGCAGAGCCAAGATTCAGGGCTGCCATGTATGGCTGTGCAGGTTATGCTTTGCACTGTATCAGGAGGTACCATTTGCCTCGGCTGATATACAGCCTGCACAACACTACACACCAGAATCTGAATGTAGGCAGACTGTCTCCAAAGTTCTTACGGACTCTCTAACAAAGGGAGTTAAAGCATAGCATAAGATTTATGTATGAAGACCTTCATCACAGAAGTGTTTATCCTAGCAAAAAAAAAAAAAAAAAATATTGAAGCAACAATAGAGGAATGACTAAGCTAATTACATTTAGGCCACTTCACAAATAATTTTAAAACTATTAAAAATAATGTACAAAAATGATGTAATATTGAAAGATACCTTAAATTATAGTGAGGGATGAAAAGAATCAACATATGAAAGTCAAAAACAGAAACACACCACCCACCTTGAGCTCCTGAGATGATACTATACCTTCTGGGACCAACTGAATACCTTCTGACAAGTCAATTATATTTTACTCCTGTCATCATGTGCAGGAGAGCAACTAGTCCTCAATGGAATAAAAATTGTTTCTAGCTGAAGTTTTCTTTTCCTGACATCATGCTTGTTCCTGCAAATCCACGATGTCCAATCAGGGTATCTCAAACAACATTGCGCCTGGCAATGGAACTCACCTCAGAGTAAAAGAAAGCAGGTAATGACTAATACCAATGGAATTTACCAGGCTTACCATTACTTCATTATCCAGAAGTAATTAGCCTTACAGACCAAGCAAAATATTTGCTTTCTCCTTCAGATCATAAAAGTATTACACTAAAAATTATTTCCAAAACTTAACTCCTCCATTTCTGACCTGGATAAGATGGCAGACTCTTGCCCTCTCTAGTCCTCTCCACAATGCACAATAGCAAACTGTAGAGACTAGCCGTACACGGTCTGTGGGTCTTTCTCCCTGTGTGCGGAGAGGAGAGATCATAGAAATAAAGACACAAGACAAAGAGAAGAAAAGACAGCTGGGCCCGGGGGACCACTACCACCAAGACGCAGAGACTGGTAGTGACCCCGAATGCCTGGCTGAGCTGTTATTTATTGGATATAAAGCAAAAGGGGCAGGGTAAAGAGTGTGAGTCATCTCCAATGATTGATAAGGTCACGTGAGTCATGTGTCCACCGGACAGGGGGCCCTTCCCTGTTAGGTAGCCCAGGCAGAGAGAGAGAGAACAGCTTACGTCATTATTTCTTCTATGCTCTTTTCAGAAAGATCAAAGACTAATACTTTCACTAATTTTGCCACTGCGATCTAGAGGGCGGAGCCAGGTGTACAGAGTGGAACATGAAAGTGAAACAGGAGAGTGACCGCTGAAACACAGCATCACAGGGAGACGGTTAGGCCTCCGGATAACTGCGGGTGGGCCTGACTCCACAAGAGGTGGTGGAGCAGAGTCTTCTCTAACTCCCCCGGGGAAAGGGAGACTCCCTTTCCCGGTCTGCTAAGTAACGGGTGCTTTTTCTAGGCACTGACGCTACCGCTAGACAAAGGTCCGCTAGGCAACCGGCGTCTTCCCAGGCGCTGGCGTTACCGCTAGACCAAAGAGCCCTCTAGTGGCCCCGTCCGGGCATAACAGAAGGCTCACACTTGTCTTCCGGTCACTTCTCACAGTGTCCCTTCAGCTCCTATCTCTGTATGGCCTGGTTTTTCCTAGGTTATGATTGTAGAGTGAAGATTATTATAATATTGGAATAAAGAGTAATTGCTACAAACTAATGATTAATGATATTCATATATAATCATATCTATGATCTATATCTAGTATAACTATTCTTATTTTATTTATTTTCTTTATTATACTGGAACAGCTTGTGCCCTCGGTCTCTTGCCTTGGCTCCTGGGTGGCTTGCCGCCCACAACAAACATTGCAAAAATAACTCAAGAGACAATGAAAGGGGAACTCTGAGAGGTAGAAGACGAGGGTGCATCGGTTTGAGACCCCAGGCAGGACTGGAGAAGCGACACAGTGTCAGGGCATCCTATGTCCTTCCAACCTACAAAAGAGGTGATCCAGGTCAAGCATTTTCTGATCTGAGCCTAGCAACAGAAGGCAGCCCAGGTAGGCTAAGGTCTCCCCCACATTGAATAGGAGTCTACCTATACCACCACCTGAGCCCAGCAAATAGGGTGGATCAGAAGCCCACTTACATACTAAGGGGCCAGGGAAGCTTTCTTCTTCCCTGATGGGCCTGAGACTCTCCTCCTCCTCCACCCAGAGACACCATGCAGTTGGAAGGCACCAGAAAGGGAAACACACCAAAATAAGAGAGCGTCATGACTAACTGAATTCGTTTTGCAGACAACAATGAAAAAGAAAATCCAAAAAGAAATAAATTTTTTGAAAGCATTTACATTGCCATCAGACACAAGAAGGTCCTGTCAGGCATGGACAAAGTCTATACAGTCATAACTCATGGCCTAGAGAGCCCTTGGAATGTACAGCTACAGACAGCTACAGATACCCCATATCCTTGCCCCTAGGGACATCAGGAAACAGGGTTTCATCTGCCAGACTGTGGTGACCATGACTGAGGATTACTTCCCTTCAATCCCCTCAGAGACAAAATGAAATGAAGGGAAAGTCATCCCTGACTTTGTTTAAAACACAGCATCCTACACAGGTTTTACAAACATCTTATTTTTTACGACCTTTTTCTGTTATTTCATTTTTAAGAAACCCACCGCTCACCTATTCATCCCCTGAGAGAAGCTTATTTAAAGCTCATGAGAAAGCAGAGAACTATTTCACAACATTGAAGCAAAATAATCTGACTGAACCAAGCTTTCACAGGGGAACTGGGGAAAGAGTGAAGAACCAAGCAAAATAGACGAGTCAGGAGACTAAAGTTGTAAAATAGTTTGGTTTTGAATTCTTATTTCTAGTTTTTCCAAAGTAGCATTATAACTAAGAGATTTTCCTCTAAGTTGCTATAAAAAGCAAAAGTGGGCCCAGATGTTACCAGGGAGCTGTCAAGGCTCTCCTGCCTCAAGAAACACACCTTACCCTTCCTAGAGAATGACTTTGGGAAGAGGTCACTCTCAGAGTATTTACCAAGAGAGAGAAGGAAGTCAGTACTCCACAATTCTCCTGGATTTGTAATCCCTTGCTCTTCTGCTGGCTTTTAATTTCTATCTGGATGGCCTACTATGAGGCTGCCCTGACCAGATTCTTCCCCAGAACAAGGAGCTTTCAGTAAGTGAGAAGAGAGGAGTGACGAATCACACTCCACTTTCAGAGTGTCTTGTTATGGAAAATTTTCTTGCATCGCATCCGAGAGCATTAACATAAAATAATTGCACTAGGCCGGGCGCAGTGGCTCATGCCTGTAATCCCAGCACTTTGGGAGGCCAGGGCAGGCAGATCATGAGGTCAGAAGATCGTAGCCATCCTGGCTAACATGGTGAAACTCCGCCTCTACTAAAAATACAAAAAAAATTAGCCAGGTGTGGTGGTGGGCACCTGTAGTCCCAGCTACTCGGGAGGCTGAGGCAGGAGAATGGCGTGAACCCAGGAGGTAGAGCTTGCATTGAGCAGAGATGGTGCCACTGCACTCCAGCCTGGGTGACAGAGCGAGACTCTGTCTCAAAAAAACAAAACAAAACCAACCAAACAAAAACTGCATTAATGTTAGAAAGAACTTATGAGAACATTGTAAAAGTATCAGTAGAGCACACATTCATTCATTTCTTTAACAAATAAGTATTGAGCAACTTCTACATGCCAGATATTGTCCTAGCCACAGGAAACACAGCAATAAAAGAAAAAAAAAATCCTGCTTTAGAAGGCTTACATTGGAGTGAGAAGAAACAGACAAATAGTTATCGGCATCTGACCATAAGGTAGGTTAAGGAAGAATAAAGTAGATTAAGGAAGACAGAATTAGGAATATAGGGAATGAGAATACTGTTTTAAATGCTGAAAGATAATCTTTCTGAGGAGGTGACCTTGAGTAGAGACAGAAAGAAATGAGGGGAAAGTATGCAACAAATGTGGAAGAAAAGCACTCCAGACAGAGAAAAAGCGCATGGGAACATGCACGTTCATGGAGAGTGAAGAGGGGAGGGTGGATGAAGAGTCGTGTGCTGGCAGCGAGAGCAGGGGTGGTGGGAGCAGCCCACAGAGCACCTATGGCCAATGGAAGGATCAGACTTTCACTGTGTGCAATATAAGAAGCCACTGGAGAGTTTTGAACAGAACAGCAACATCTTCTGGTCCACGTTTCTAAAGGGTCATGTGGATTGCTGTTGCAGGATAGGTGGTGGAAGGGGCAAAACCAGGTAGGAGGCTATTGCCACAGTCAAGACCAAAGATGGGGGTGGCTTGAATCAGGATGGGAGCAGTAGAGATGATGAGACATGGTCAGATTCTGAACAAATTTTGTAGGTAGAGCTGACATTATTTGTTGATAAATTGGCTACATGGACTGTGAGTGGGAAATAGGAATCAAGGCTGACCCCAAGACTGCTGACCCAAAAAGCTGATAGAATTTACTGAAAAGCAGAATACTGCAACAGAAGTAAATCAGAGGTAGGTATGAAGCGAATTAAGAGTTTGATTGGAGATGTATTCAGTTTGAGATGCATGTTACACGCCTCAGTGGAGCTGGCAAGTAGGCAGTTGGACTTAAAAGTTGGACACTTACAGGAAACGTTAACTGCTGAAGTTACTTTTGGAAGTTATTACCCAGATAGCTGGTACTTGAGCCATGGAAGTGAAGTTTACAAAGACAGAAATCTTCTTGTTAAGGCCCCTTGGATTTCAATAATCTACCAGATTTGTGCAATAGTAGACCAAATCAAAAATAAATAGAACAATAAAAATCTGTCTCTGGAGCCTACATAGTCAAAGTAGAAAAGCCTTTGGACCTTTAAGACTTGCAGTTTACTAGCTCTGTTCAAGTAATTCAATGACCACAAAACATGTGTGAGCATATGAGGATGCCCAAAGAAGGGAATTTAGACCAAGATCATAAAAAAGTTTTCATAGAATACATCAAAAAGACATCTGATACACACACAAACACATACACACTAAATGCAAGATAGATAGAGGTAGATATAGACTTACCATGGACATTTATGCTTAATTATCCATAAGGAATAGAATCAAGTTCCATTAATTTTTTTCAATTCTTTCTCTAACTCAAGACTTTCAAACCTCCTCTCTCTTTTGTTGTCCCTTCCTTGCTCATCTCAAATCAAAATCACAATTTATAAGATCACTCTTACCAAACCAAAGAGACTTGGGGGGAACAGTAATTTTTATGAGCTAACTTGGGATCTGTTATCATTTTTAACAGATGACACTTGATTTCTCACCTGATGTACTAAAGAATGGCAGAACGAAAGCCTCTAGGGAGAAAATGAGATTTTCATAACTTAAACACTAAAAACAACAGCCCCATAACACTGAATGTCATTATCAAGCAGCGAACACTCTCGCCTCTCTTGTCAACTGTGGTGTGCACGAGATGCCTTTCAGAAGGCCACACGTTCGTTTACACTCATGCCTACCCACCACGCCACCCCCATCACAATCAGACACACACACACACACACACACACACCCCACCAGCAATCATGCTATTACCTCTGGCACACTTGGAAAACATGTGTCAGAGCTAGAACCTTCTCTTGTCACATTATCATAAATTACTGCACAGGATATGAGTCTGTGGTTGCAGACCATTTTTTTCCTTACGTGGTGAATTTGGCCAGAACTGGTGAGAATAATGAATGCAGCTGTACATCCAATGTGCAAGGAGGATAGATATTCAGACCCAGGGTGAATTAGAGAAAGAAAAATCCCCAGCAAGAGGGACGACCCAGCTCACTCAAGCTTTGTCAGTCACTGTTTACTTCATGTTCACCCATAAAATAGATAATGACAATATTTTCCTATATATTTCTAAGCTGCTGGTCTCTGGGGAAGTCTAAAAGTTCACAGTGGACTTAAAAATATGTACCAAATCTTTAGCAGACAATAAAAGAGATGTGGAATCAGCATTTTATCAATCACTGGATTAGACCTTCCTACACCCCAGGCAAGGGACTATTTGCAAGGCTACCAAAAAGCAATGAGCCTTGTCCTACTCCACTGTTTTGTCCTTAAATTCTGTTGTAAGTCTTTTGGGGGAAGCTTTACCTCCGGAATCTTGTCGTGGAGTATTCTAGAGGGGAAAAAGACAGCATAGCACACCACACCACACCAGACTACACAAACTCACCTCTCTCTCTCTTCCTACCCCACCAAGCCCCTTCTTCAGTGCCTTCGGGAGGGCTGCCTTTCTTATCCTAGCATGGCCTGGAATTAGCAGAATACAGGATTAACACTTTATGTGCTAGGCTTCAAGAAGAGTTTCAACACCCACGGTGCATGTTAGAGTTTGAAAATGCCTTCATGCCCTTTACCACAGTGAATACTTCCAACAAGTCTCTGGGAGAAGCAATGTGGGCATTATTCTCCCGTTTCATAATTGAGAAGGGAAGGCTCAGAGTTAAGGCAGCACAGAGGCCAAGGTAGGAAAAGGCTGGCAGCAGGATATGACCTGGAGGCTCATGAATTGAGGTCCACCTGCAGGAACTATATTCACTTGTCTTTCTCTATAGGAAAAGATTCTGGTCTCAGGCAGACCCTACTGCCACTCAGACAAACTTATTAATTCCTCTAAGCCAATTCATTCATCTCTAAAGTTAATTTATTATACCTGCAAAGGCAGTTATGATTAAGGAAAATGGAGAATAGAAAGCACCAGGACCAGGACCGAGCATGTGTTCTGGGGATGTTAGTTTCCTATGTGTCTCTTCTCCACTCCTCCTGCCCCAGCTACAATCCTCACAACACTATTACCATTACTATAATTGTTACTTTGATGTGATTACACCTAACCTGTTCTCTGTGCTTACTACATACCAGCCACCCCATACTTAATTCTTGCCACAATGCTATGAAGTACCACTATTATCCACCTTATTTGAAAGCCTGAAAAAAAAACTGATTGACAGGACAGTTGTACAGAGTTGAGAATCCTTCTCTGGTCTGAGTCCCATGTCACAATCTCAGCCACTTTGGAACACTGCCTGGATGCTCAGGCCTCCTGCTCAGCCCACTTGTTCTCACTAGCTTTGAACGTCTGCCCTCTCCCTCTCCATTCTCATGCCCTGGTTCTCACCTGACCTAAACAACCTTGTAACTAGATTAATAAACAGCTTGTAGGACCTGGCCCCTGGTGCCATTCACGTCTCTCACCTAGGTTTGTCAGATATAGTAAAGAAAAATATAGAACTCCCAATTAAATTTGAATTTCAGATAAATAACCATGTTTAAGTATAACTAGGTCCCAAATATTACACGCTATGCAGACTTGCGTGAGACATATTTGTACTAAAAATTATTCATTATTCATCTGAAATTCAAATTTACATTGGTATCCCATATTTTATCTTGATAACCCTAGGCACTTCCCAATCCCCAGTAGACTCTGCTATTCTGTGTGTCCCATGTCTATAAACCCTGCTGTAGTGGTTATTACATCAGTGGATTTTGAAAAATCACACCTCTATTATTCACAGCTTACAGAGTTCCCTCCCTTTGAATCTCAACTAATTTATGACTTGCGTTAGTAAAACTGCAATGGCAGAGTCTCTTCTAAGCCTAGGTTTTAAGAAGCCCTAGAAAATAGTACTGGGGCATGTATATCAGCTATCTATTGCTGCATAACAATTTCTGATTTTGCACTCTTATAATCTCTGAGCTCTCAAATAAGAAGTCTTACTACTCTGCTGGAAAGACTATATGTATTACTTTACTTCACAAGGTTTTTATGAAATGCAAATGAGAATGGGATGATTTAGATCAGCTTCCTCAGGAGTAGAACTCAAGACCAGGACACACACACACATATATATGTTATATATGTTTAGAACGTGGGGTGGCGGGAATCATTCCAGCCTTTCACACATTGCAGTCAAGACACATCTTTCAGCTTTCTCTCACTTGCAGCTCAGAATCGTGTTGTATAGCAATAGACTGAGACTCTCACGCGTGCAGGGAAATCCACCCAGGACCCAGGAAGAAAAGGGAATATGAATCACTAATACTCTCTAGTGGGCTATGGCCCACTAATCCCTCAGTTTCTTCTCCAGCAGCTCCTTATTAGACCAGGAGAGTCTCCCTCACCCCTGTCTTACTTGCAAGACAGGAAGTAACTAAACAAGGGACAAGGGGACAAGGTGGGAAGTGTTGGTCACATCCATTCTAGGCACTCAGCAGTTTCTTGCCCCACTGAGAGGCACTGGTGTCATGTACTCTAGTGGCTGAGTTTTTGTACCAAGAGGTGTTTTTTTTTTTTTTTTTTTTGAGATGGAGTTTCACTCTTGTTGCCCAGGCTGGAGTGCAATGGCACCATCTCTGCTCACCACAACCTCTGCCTCCTGGGTTCAAGCAATTCTCCTGCCTCAGCCTCTGGAATAGCTAAGATTACACACATATGCCACCACATCTGGCTAATTTTTGTATTTTTTTTAGTAGAGATGGGGTTTCTTCATGTTGGTTAGGCTGGTTTCGAACTCCCGACCTCAGGTGATCCGCCCACCTCAGCCTCCCAAATTGCTGGGATTACAGGCATGAGCCACTGCACCTGGCTGAGAGGTGCTCTTAACTCCCACTCTGTACAGGGAGAGTGGCTGGGCCTAGACATTTCTCTCAGGAGCAACCTCCCTCCCAAAAGCTGGACCAGACCTCTCATATCTTGGGAAGAGTTGGTGCCCAAATAAAGGATCTTTAAGAACCACCTGGCCTAAGCTAGCACATAGTTCAAAGGAACGTTCTGCCCTCAACAAGGAGGAAAGAAAGGGGTCAACACAAATCTGGGGCCAAGGGGCCTGAGGAAATCTACTGTCTATTGAGAATATGATATAGGCCATGATCTCTATTATTTATGATTTTACAAACTCATTTTAATGGCTGGAACCAAATATCTTATGAAAAAATAATTTTTGCTTAAGGAAAATACTTTGCTAGACTGCGTTGACTGGAGAAATTAAAACCCCAAAAGTTTGGTGCATAAGAAGACAAGGAAATTAAGATAACTCAATTGTTCTACCTAATAAATTAAGTTTTTGGAGATTGGAGTAAAGATGGGATGAATCTGAAATAGGGAGAGAGAGAAGATGTAAGTCTAGGAGTCTACTCCTCACTAGGACTAATGTTAATCTATTAGTCTCTTTATCTTTAGTCTCTTCTCACAGGGATGGCTTCTACCCCTAATGTTGTAAAAATGACCATCCCCCTCCTAAGAAATTCCTGCCCAGCCCTGCTTCCACTTTAAGTCTTAGCCTTATGTTTCCTATTCACTTCCCACTGGAGCTCCTTGAGTCACCCCTGAGGTGGCCCAGGCTCTGGGCTTCATTGTATCTGGCCAGGATGCCTAAGCTGCCCATCACCCCTAAGCACTGTCAGGAACCCCACAGTCAAAGGCTCTGCAGAGTCAAGTAGCCTCCCACTTATCCAAGTCCTCATCTGTCACTCTTGACATCTGATGAACTTCCAAAGATGCCCCAGTTATCAATGAACAGGGCAACTGCCTCCCACCTCTAACATCACACCAGGCTGAAGTATCCATAAAGGCCTGTCTTATCTACTTTCAACAGCACCGTGAGAAATGACCCATGTCCAAGGCCCCCTATAGACAAGCAGACTGTGCCTATCTTCCTGCTGACTCTCTAGTATTGAGGATTTTTTTTATTCTTCTTTGCTTTAAAATGAAGTGTTTATAAAATGTTGCTAAACCCAGGACTGTAAGCTACTTGAGAACATGAAATGTGTTGTTTCCATCTCTGCCCCTGCTACAGCCCTCATGCTGTCAGCAAGTGATGCTGCTTCCAGGGCAAGCCAGGGTTCTTGCCCTGTTCTGAGTAACTGGAGTCACTGATCAAATTGACATCTTCTAAATTATAGTTCCATCTAATGGTGAGAATGTGGGGAAATGGGCATGACCAAACACCACTGGTGTCAAGTGAATTGATCTACTCTCTGTAGAGGTACTGGCAATAATAATCAAGAGCCCTGGTGTCCATGCCTTTTAATCATATAATTTCACTTTGGGAAATGTACCTAGAGGAAAGTACGAAGCTTCATGTGTAAGAAAATTCTCATAAGGAAATATTTGTAATATTTGGAAATAGCCAATATGCCTAAGATTTTAATATATATGATGAAATATTTTGTAGGCATAAAATATTTCATAGGCATTGGCTGGGCACGGTGGCTCATGCCTGTAATCCCAGCACTTTGGGAGGCCGAGGCAGGCGGATCATGAGGTCAGGAGATCGAGACCATCCTGGCTAACACGGTGAAACCCCATCTCTACTAAAAATACAAAAAAATTAGCCAGGCGTGGTGGCGGGCGCCTGTAGTCCCAGCTACTTGGGAGGCTGAGGCAGGAGAATGGCGTGAATTGGGGAGGCAGAGCTTGCAGTGAGCTGAGATGGTGCCACCGTGCTCTAGCCTGGGCGACAGAGCGAGACTGTCTCAAAAAACAACAACAACAACAACAAAAAAATATATATCATAGGCATTGAAAAACAAGGTTTGAAGAGTATTGATATGGGAAAATGTTCATTTTAGATATATGAATATATTTATGTGTATTAAAATTTAATCCCTTTAAAAGGACAAGTACACTAAAACACAAATTTATGAATGATCTTTTTAAATTTTCCTTATTTCTTATGACTATACTTAGTATAATATTGCTTCATAATTAGAAAACATAAATAAATCTATCAAGTTTGTAATCAAAAATCAAGTGTTTGTGTCAGAGTCATTAAAAGGCAAAAGACTATTATGTTATATTTATTCCATAGCCAATTATCAAGCAGCTCCTACATAACCAGGCACCACGGTTGAAGCTGGGAATTCTAAGATTACTAGAACTCACTTTCTATTTTTAAAAGTTCACTCAGTGCAATAGGGGTTTATTTGTCATCTGCCAATGACCATAAAATGTGGTTGGTGTAATGGGAGCACAAAGGAGGGAATTCTGGCTCTGTTGGAAGAAGGATTTTAAGTTTCATAGAGGAAATGATACTACTTCAACTATCCTCAGTCACTCATTCATTTATTCATTCTGTCAACAACCTTGTTTCAAACACCTACCATGTCCCAGGCACTGTGCTAGCACTTTGGGAGGCCGAGGTGGGCGAATCACGAGGTCAGGAGATCGAGACCATCCTGGCTAACACGGTGAAACCCTGTCTCTACTAACAATACAAAAAAGTTAGCCAGGCGTGGTAGGCACCTGTAGTCCCAGCTACTGGGAAGGCTGAGGCAGGAGAATGGCGTGAACCCAGGAGGCGGAGCTTGCAGTGAGCCGAGATCACACCACTGCACTCCAGCCTGGGCAACAGAGTGAGACTCTGTCACAAAAAAAAAGAAACAAACAAAAAAAAAGAAACACAGAATCAAGCACAGACAGGCCACTGTGAAGATTTAGTTCATGGTTAGCAGGAACAGATCTTCCCAAGTAGTTCTGGAAATGAGGCCAAACCCATTTGTTTCCATATGGTCCCAGACAACCAAAAAAAAGACAGAAAAATTTCAAAGGGTAATGGAAAAACTTCCAGGCATCGTATGGTCATTCATCACATCTAACTGGCATCTTGACTCCTGAAATGCTGGATAAATCTCCCTTGGAAGTTAGCCATGTAACTGTCCTATACATGTGGACTTTATTTTTCAAAGTAAAGGAATAACTTTTTATTCAAGGATTCCTAAGCCATGTCCCCTAACCAAATTAAATATTCTTTCCCCACTGCAGTCATTTATGTTATTAGTAGTATTATTTTTCTTTCTTGTATTATCCATTTAACAATATTTCTGGAGAACCTACTGTTCACCGAGCTTTTTTGTGGACACAGGAATAGAGTACTGAGTAAAACAGTCCCCTCCTTTCATGGAATATATATTCTAGTTGGGGTTTTGGGTGAGACAAATAATAAACAAAAAAAGAAGTAAATATATATGACATATATTACAGTATAGATACATAAAAATACACATACTGAATATATGATATATAATGGTGATTAGGGAGAAAAATAATTGAAAATTGTGGAGATACAGAGTTCCAGTGATGAGAGGAGTTTGCTATCACACATAGAATACTCAAAGAAGACCTCACTGAGCTTGTGACATTTGAGCAGAGAGCTGAAGGAAGTGTGGAAGTTAACTGCACATACCTGCGGAAATAAAGTTCTGGGCAGAGAAAATGCATGTACAATGGCTCTGAGGCAAGAAATGCTTGGTATGTCCTAGGAAAAGGAAGGAAAACAATGTCTCTAGACTGGAATGAGTGAAGGGATGAGTATAGGACACGAGGTCAGAGAGGTGTACATAAATACTTGCTACTAGACCTCAAGTTCTAAAAAGTGAGGACCAAGTCTTAATCATCTTTATACCTTCCCTAGCTCTTACTAAAGCAACTGGCACATAGAATGCTTTAATAAAATGTTCATTGTAGTTATAATGAATGCATAGTTTATTTATGTTTTATGTCATTTCTAGAGCATTCCTTTTATTATTATAAAGAAATTGGCCAGGCCCGGTGGCTCACACCTGTAATCCCAGCACTTTGGGAGGCCAAGGCAGGCAGATCACCTGAGGTCAGGAGTTCGAGACCAGCCTGGCCAAACCCTGTCAAAACCCTGTCTCTACTAAAAATACAAAATTAGCTGGGCGTGGTGGCACATACCTGTAATCCCAGCTACTCGGGAGGCTGAGGCAGAAGAATCGCTTGAACCTGGGAGATGGAGGTTGCAGTGAGCCGAGATCACGCTATTGCACTCCAGCCTGGGTGACAAAAGCCAAACTCCTCACCAAAAAAAAAAAAAAAAAAAAAAAAGAAATTAAATTTAGTTTTCATTTCTATTAACTAGGTTTAATTCGGAAATCAGTAGATATAATTCTGTTAGATGGATGGATGGGTGGGTGGGTGGGTGGGTGGATGGATGGATGTGTAGATGGACCAACAGATTTAGATATACAGATGTCAGATTTGAGCAAAACCCTAGATCCTGGCCATGATCATACATCTGTACCCATGGCCAGGATCCAATGGGCCTCTCAATTTATCCTTAACTTGCTTATTTGCAATTTTATCCATCAAGTGATGCCACATGAGGAATTTAAATATCTGGACTAAGTAGGAGAGGTTATTGTTTGCTAAAGCACCACTGTCCCAAGCTCAAGAATGTTATGCTATTGGCATTTATAAGCCCAGTTCTAGGCATCATTATCTCAGTGGCCTTGAGACATTACCAGTCTATCTCAGAGATTCAGACTTGTCTCCTGATTGTATCTCTATCTCTTTCTCACTTCTTGGATGATTTACAATTACTTTCTCTCTGTCTGTTCCAGCACAACACTAACAAGTAAGGGCTCAGCTGACTTAGTCACACTTGAAGTCCATGAGAGGACTACAAGCCATTGATATCCAGTGCGTTCTGGATCAAGTTTTTGTTCCTTTTTTCATTTACCTGGGTGCTAGTCAAGCCTGAGGCTTAACTAATATGGGACCAAATTAAATGCTAAATGAATAAATTAATGAGCAAGGCTTAGATCTCAGTCAGACCTTGCAAGAAGGAAAGAGAGACCATCCATTAAGTTGAAGTTTAACAAATTTTAAGTTTGTTGTAAAATTTTTACTCTGATATTTGAAGAAGTAAGAGATTCATTCTTGGCACATACCTTCAGTTGTTTCTGTGAGGTTGGTAAATCCATTTTCCATGTTGTTATTATAACAGATCTGAGGACATTAATTGATATGTTTCACTAGAATGTGAGTTCTGATAAGGATGTCAGAGATGAATACAACACATTCTCCTGCAAATGCACTTTGGAAATGCCTTGTCTCACATATGGTATAAATTCTAATTGATATCTTTCACCAAGTATTCATTTACACCATGCTGTTTATGGCAGAAATTCCCTATATACTATAACTGTTGTCCAAATATAAGACTTCTCATGATAAATTTCTCTTGGCTTTGAATGTCAGGGGAAGTTTATGTCTTCTACACAACTGGTCTATGTGTTTTCGTCTGACAATAATAACTAGACAAACCATTGGATTTCCCTTTTTCTGTCTTGTCTTTTAAGAATTTCAAAGTTTGAGCATTAGGCTCCATTTCATTACCCCTCACTCCAGACTCCTAGTATATATTCCTACTGCTGACACTGCATGATTTCTGATCTTCATTTAGCTTTATTTCAGCTTTTCCATTGTTTTGAGCTTTACACTGAGGTTTGGAGAAGTTTGAGGGATGCCTCCATGAGAAACAGGAAGAATATATATTGTTAGCAAAGAGATACGTAACTTATTGCTTGAAGAGATTTGACAGTCATGTAGACTTGAACTAAAATATCAGCTTCAGTACTTGTTAAAAGTGTGAACCTGACTGAGCAAATTGCTTAAATTATCTGAACTTTAGTTTCTAAGAATAATAAAATTTTGTGAGAATTAAATAAGATAATGCATAGAGAATGCTTAGAATCCTATCCAGCACCTTGTATGTGCTTAATAAATGATATTTCTACGTAACAAATAAAAGCCATTGAGAGACAACTTTAATTTATACAAATAATTAAACAAGGAGTGTTTCTTGAATATAATAGAGTAGCTAAAGGTTCAGACTTAGAAATCACGTTATGTGGGTTCAAACCCCTACTCCATTATTTTCTATCTGTAACCTTAGGCGAGTTTTATTATGCCTTCATTTCCTTATATTAAATGACAATAAAAACAAAATCTACCTCATAGGGTTATTTTAAGGAGGCAACACAGTATAGATGCTTAAAAGTTTCCAGCACACAAGCATGTAATAAATGCTATTACTGCTTTAACTAGTATTATTATTAGTTGACTCTAGATTCAAACTAAATTTTTTAGAGATTTCTACTCCATTTTGGCCTCAAGAAAAACTGAATATAATAAATAATGAAAACTGAATTGGCCTGGGAATACAAAGATATTTTTTCTGGGTTTATTTTCACTTCCACACTGGGAGCTTTATTGATAACTTTAGAGATAAACATTTATGTGGAAGTAAATACACAACACAAGCCCAGAAAGGTACACACTGTAACTTTTTTATAACAGAAAGGAATTGTTGGGGATAATGTATTTCTCTCATGCTTCTGAGTCAAAAACCAAGCAAACTGAAATAGCCCAACACCATCATGATCGATTCCTTGTTTTTATTTCATTTTACTCTTTGCAATATGTTTTCATATTTAGTCATATCTCTTTTGATCCTCAAAGTGAGCCAAATAAGAGGACAGGACAGGTAGTTATTATCAATGATAAAGTGAAGAGTTGAGTGAAGTGACTACTCAGGGCCACCCAGTTGGCAAGTGACTGAGCTGGATTCAAAACCAGCTGTCATCCTTTTTCCTCACACTACACACATTGCCCTAAGTCAGACTTCCACACTGGAACTGTTTAATCTGTTAAAAAAAAAAAAAAGAAAAGAAAAAGAAAAGAAAAAGCTGATTCTGCAGTGACCACTGAGACATCTAAACAGAAGCCTCACCTTACCCCCCCTCAGGAGACAGGGCCATTGGACGGTCAGAGTGCCCCTTTCCTGTTGTTTCTTGTGCATCTGGATTCAGCACACAGCCCTGTCATCCCCCAGCTGTCCACTAAGCACCGCCATCAGCAATAAAGGAGTTACCACTTAATCTCTGGTACTTAAAATGGGAAATTGAAGCATATAATCACAGGATTAGAAACAGCTGAATCTAGGGACGCTGAAAAACCCTTTAGAACAAGTTGCCAAATAGTTTTGCTCTTTGCCAAAATATCTTTTCTCTTTATTTAACCCTTTCTGAGTTATAAGAGAAATGCAATTACAACCATGATATTCTCTACTAAAATGAACAGCTTCTGCTGTCTAAGAAAAAAAGGAAAGATTCAAAAATATACCTGTGACTATAATAGCTCTTGGGAGGAGGAAAAGCCCTCTTGAGTCATCCAGAGTCAGGCCACTTGGAAATTGACTATACATGTAGGTTGGGAACTAGGCTGGTTATTAAGCTACTGTATCTTAGCACCACCCACTCACCTGTTACTCTGTTACATGATTTTGAGGCTGGACTCCACAAATAAAATTTATCCTTTGCCATCTGGTTTCCTGTTAGGCTCTGCCAATAAAGGGTATTAGAGGAAGACTGCAAACCTAGAGGATGGCAAAGGGATTTGCCCCTTGCTCTTTGCTTTCTGTGTCTGTCAACATCCCCTCAGCAATAGTTCTTCACCCTAGCAGCAGCATTTGGGTCTAGGTCTTTTTTTTTTTTTTTCTAATTTCCAGAATCAGCCTCATTGGAGTCCCTGCAGAGACACCAGCACCAGCCAGGTGGCACCTCCTGCTCCGTGGTCTTGTTCTCAACTTTATGGGGCTCTTCATCCAAGCTTCTAGGTTCAACTAATCCACTCTACCCTTTGCTCCCCTGTTCTAACGGTGGAAGATATTTCCTGTAGTTTGCATATCTTTCTGGAGTTATAGTTTTCTAAATACCTGTTTAGCAATTCGATTCCCTATATTAAATTATCCCTGTTAAAATAACTGGAATGGTTTCTGTTTTCCTGATTGGACCTTGATGGATACAGGATCTAACTTTATTTGTATTTCAGATATAGGTTGGAATGGTCACTTTCCCAAAACTTTTATTAATTTATTAATCCAAGAGAACATATGATATGTCTGGCATTCTGCTGAGGACTGGGAAAAGAAATATAAGTGTCTTCTACTAATTTAGTCCAACAAACCATGAGAATACCCAGATAAACCCTATGCAATCTGAAGTGCTAAAAGAGATATATAAAAATTGCTGTGGATTTTTTAAAAAGAAAGGAGTATGCTATAACAAAAGTATCTTAGAAAAAAAATTTTTTTGAAACAAAAAAATGGGCTGGGTGCGGTGACTTACGCCTGTAATCCCAGCACTTTGGGAGGCCAAGGCAGGTGGATCACAAGGTCAGGAGATCGAGACCATCCTGACTAACATGGTAAAACCTCGCCTCTACTAAAAAATACAAAAAATTAGCTGGGCGTGGTGGCGGGCGCCTGTAGTCCCAGCTACTCGGGAGGCTGAGGCGGGAGAATGGCGTGAACCCGGGAGGCGGAGCTTGCAGCGAGCCGAGATTGTGCCACTGCACTGCAGCCTGGGCGACAGAGCGAGATTCCATCTAAAAAAATAATAATAATAATAATAAAATAAATAAATAAAAAAGGAACAATTAATTTTGTTAAGGAGGATTCAAAGACAGATAAATAAAAGAACCATACTGAAAAGATTGAAAATGAAGGTTTTAACATAGACACAGGGAAGGGAACAACACACACTGGGGCCTGTGGGGGAGAGGGAAGGGGGAGAGAGAGCATTAGGAAAAATAGCTAATATATGTTGGGTTTAATACGTAGGTGATGGGTTGATAGGTGCAGCAGACCACCATGGTCCACGTTTACCTATGTCACAAAACTGCACATCCTGCACATGTACCCTGGAACTTAAAATTTTAAAAAAGAGAGAGAGAATAAAAGAAAAATAAAAAAAGAAAAGAAAATGAAGGTTTTAAAGGGCCACGTGAATTTACTGTTTTTTCATTCTCCGCAAATTATCACAAGGACAAAAAAACCAAACACCGCATGTTTTCACTCATAGGTGGGAATTGAACAATCAGAACACATGGACACAGGAAGGGGAACATCACACACCGGGGCCCGTTGTGGGATGGGGGGAGTGGGGAGGGATAGATAGCATTAAGAGATACACCTAATGCTAAATGACGAGTTAATGGGTGCAGCACACCAACATGGCACATGTATACATATGTAACAAACCTGCACGTTGTGCACATGTACCCTAAAACCTGAAGTATAATTAAAAAACAAGACAAAACTGTAGTTGTTTTTAGTTTAAAATAGTTTAAAAACAACTATTAGCACTCTCAATTTTCATTAATTATATCCATAACTTAAAAACTATTAAACCAATCTGGCCTGTTGAATCTCTGCGTAATTCTTCCAGCCATTCAGATTACATTAATTTGTAATATACCACCTTCCACAGGAGTTGTATTTCATATTTCATAACCCTCCCCCACAAACACGCACACAAATGGTAAATTTGTTAACTCTCTTTTCAAGGAACACACACTCTTACAACATGGATTACGCAACTATAGAGCAAGCCCATGAAACCTAAAGTACATTCCATGATACGTTACTTCACTGGGGGCATTAGTAGGTAGTCCATGAATGAAGGGTACAATATATAAATAACTTTGAGAAATGCTGGACTGAGCAGACAGATTTACTTGCTGCAGGAATTTTCAAAGCTTTTAATATCCTAATATGTTTGTGAATCCCAAAGACAACGTTACAAATTGCAGCCAGCTCTCCAGATCACATTTGCTTCATCTTTCACTTATCCATCATATCCAATCAGATATTTAAGTTCCCTCTAGTTTCTTCCTCCTCCTTCCTTCTTCCCCACTGTGACCATCCAAGACTTTGTCCTGGTCTTTTTTATCTACCACCCTCCTACCTGACCACCTTGCCTTACTGCTCATCCCCCAGGTCAGTCTTCCACAACAGTCAGACTTCCACTGCAATCAGAAAACTGCAGCCCACAGACCAATGCCAAACAGTTTATTCATAGACCAATGCCTGTTTATTCATAGTTGATAAGCTAAGAATAGTTTTACATGGTTATGTTTTAAACAGTTATATAAGCACCTACATAATATCATTTTGTGTCTTTTGCAAAGCCTAAAGTATGTACTATCTGGCCCTTTTAGAGAAAGTTGCTGACTCCTGCTTGACACCCCTGTCAGATGCATTTATCCTAAATCACCTGTACTTTTTATGGTTTCTTATCACAAGTTATAATGGCTCCTGCTTGTTTAGCCTCAATGACAGAAAACCATGAACAAGGAAAACCCTCTCACCAAGCAGGGAAGTGGGGTCCTTCTTTTAGGTTTTGGCAAAGAGAAAAATTGTTGTCATCTGCTGACTCCAGTGCAAAATCAGGGAACACTAGAAGTATAGAAAGTCCCTTTCTGGGGATACAAAAATGTGCATGCACCAGAGAGTGGTAAACAGAAAGAATGACCAATTTTGTCAAAGCAGAATTACCAAACAGGAAGCAGAAGGTACAGGCAGTGATGCACTGACAAATGTCTCACAACTGGCTTTCCACTGAGATGCAGGAAAGATTTTAATTAGAGGTGAGAAGCCTTGATGTGTATCATGTGCCAATTTCCATGGTGTAAATGCTCCCACCACGCTTGTTTCAAGTTACAAATAAGACATCATGGAACAGAGTTGGGAAGAGACACACTCAATGGGCTTTCACCCTAATACAGCAGGAACAGAGCAGGAACCAAAGCAGGACCAAAAGGAGCAGAGTCCTGTTTCTCCGGGCTTCTGTACCCTGATCACTCAGGAGAAAGGCAAGCCACCCAGGATAGTGGTTAGAAATCAAGTCGACAGCTGATCCTTGACACTAGCCCGAAGTTTGGGAAAGTATTTCATCTGCTCCCTTTGTGATATGACTTTTTTTCCTGGGGGCTGGGGAGGTCCACCTTGCTCCTATGCTGAAATTCCTTCCGCTTCTTTCACAATGAGGAAAGCTCTTGAGAAGGAAAGCAAGGAAATACACACTTATCCACCCCATAGGCCAAATGTCTGATGTCAGACCCTTTCCTCGGGTCATGTTTGGTTAGGAAGACGTAAAAAAATTTGAAAACAGTATATAAGAGGAGGCATCAGAAAGAGAAAATTAGAAGAAAGGGAATTAACTACTATCAAGTGTTTGTTTTTTCATTAAGCAAGAGGTTCAGGGTTCCATCAACTTGGAAGGAATAAAATTCATCTTTATTTTCACTCTTTAACAAGTAGTTGGCATTTTCTTCATTTACAAATGTAGGTTATAAACCCACAATGTGATTTTGCCAACAATAGAAATGAGATATTTTCATGTACAGTGTTACAGTTTGGCAGGTAAATCAAAATATCATTTATGTGCTTCTTTACCTCAAAATTATCGTAGTTATCAGACCCTCAGCTTAATCTCTTAATTTTTAATACATGAACAAAGAAACATATTACATTCTAACACACATTTTAAAAAAACATTTTGATAAATGTATTATAGTGTTACCTTTGTAATTCCACATATTTTGTTTTATGAGTTTCAAGTACTTGTTCTAGGAGCCCATAGCCTTCACTAGACTGCCAACAAATATGGTCAATAAAAGATTGAAATCCCCATGAAAGACATTTTAAATATGTTACTTTAACCATCACAATGATGCTATAAGTTTTCTTGTTCTCCTTTCACTGGTGGAAAAAAAAATTGAGTGTTAAAGAAGTTAAATGACGACCCCAAGCTTATTCTGCCATTACATGGCAGGGCCAGTAATTGAACTCCAATTGGCTTGATGCTCTATTGCTCTTCCAGGCCCTTCACCCTTCTGATTGCTCCACTGGTAAAGGGAAGGAGGATTTGCTCAATGGTCTTGATCAGGCCCCAAGTCTCTGAAAAGGTCTTTTGGTTGCTACAAAGTCAAGAGCCCCAGAAAGCAGGCCAGCAGGATGTTAACAGAATGGGCAGAAAAGTAGACTTTCAGTGCTACCATTATTCCTCCTGGAGTGGCTCAGCTAAATTAAGCCAGGCCTCAGTGACCCTGTCCTCCAGATGTGCTACAGGGACCTAGCCTATGTGCAAAGGCCTGGAGGGTGTATGCATCTCCATTATACAGACAGGTCCCATGGGTTTCGTTGCATACCTCAGCTCAGTGCCAGGGAGCAGGAACACTGTGAGAAGGAGGACTTCCAGGAGAAAAGATGGGGAGGAAATAAATTCTCTCTGAGCTTGTGCCTCTGCCCTGCAGAGTGACTTTACTTCTGTCCAACTATCATCTATTGGGTCCTCTATGCCAATATGGTGTGAAATAGTATTGAGATTCAAAAACAAACAAGTTATAGTTTCTACCAACAGGAGCTCATGACTTAGGGGCAGTTACATGTCCTGTTAGGTACTTCCAGGATTCTTTGATGCTGATTCAGAAATCCCAGGGGAAGGCAGAGATGAAAACAATCTCAGGACAGTGAGATAAGAGGAACAATACATGGAAGTGCAACGAGGATGACAAAGAAGGATTTATACTGGTTACTTAGGAAAACAACAGAAGTGTTCACCAAGGGACTGAAAAGATGGATAGGAGTGTTCCCTACAGGGTGGAGGGTGGAACGGTGAACAGGTGGAGAGAAGACTGTGGACTAAAGCACAGCTTACTTTCAGCAAGAGTGCTGAGTTCAGATTCCCCCAAAGGCAGAGCTGAGGCAAAGACTTGAGTGCAGGTGGTTTATTTGAGAGGATGTGAAATTGAGGGAGTAGTGAAAATAAGACAGAGAAGGAAGAAAAGCCAGCAAAGAGTACATTTCTGAGTTGTTTACCACTGTAGGCAACAAGGGCTCAATGTACCAGGGGCCTGCTATGAAACCACATGGAACTCATCTCAGCACTGTTCCACTGGGGGAATGGGAGGCCAGAGTGGTTGAGATGAGGTTTGCTCTCAGGGAAGTTAACGCCATCATACTTTTCACGTTCTGCCTGCATGCAGCTGAGTAGCCTTTGGTGGTTTCTCATGTCTTTCTCCTCTTATAAAGACACTAGTCCTAATGGATTCGAGCCTCATCCTGATGACCTCATTTAATCTTAATTATCACTGTAAAGGCTCTGTCTCCAAGTCAGTCAGGGCTTCAACATATAAATTTTATAGGAACACAATTCTGTCCATAACAAGTGCCTTTATGAAAGGAAGGGAGAAAGAGCCATTTTAAGGGTCTAATTTCAGGATGTTGCTAGAAATAACTTGTATGTGTATTTACCGGGGCATGTTGCATGAGAAATCTGGCATAAAACACATTTCGTTGTCTGTACAGTGTTGTCTCTGTGAAAACAGTTAAATAAAAATGAAGAAAATTACTTGTCTTTCCATTCTTCCCTAACCCCTTCCTCAAGAGAGATGAGCCATCTTTAAGGAGGCCAGCATCCATCTAACAATTGTTGACTCAGTAAAATCTCTTCTAAACAATAGTGGCACCTTGGGATGAGTGACTTTTGACCTTCCATAGCCTCCAATAACCCTCAAGTCATGCGTGTCAAGTACTCATATACCCTAAATAAAAACAGTGAACCTACTACAAGCGAAGAGTTTCAAAATACATTTCCTCTCACCTCTTTCCAGTTAGAACACCACTTCTAAAGCCGAAACTGACAAAAGACCTCAAGCCATTGCTGTTTTCAATCAACTGTTATTCATAATACCAGTAATACCAGACGAGCATTCTGTTCAGAATAGAAGATTGAATGCATGGAGTTATCTCTCTACAACATTCCATTAAAAGTCCCATTAAAATTCCAATGATTGTAATAAAGAAGTTAAAAAGTGAACAAATCCATATTAGCACCGACAATGGGGAGGACAGAAGAAGCACCAGCAGATCTGAAAGTTTAGCAAAGTAATGGGAGAGAGAAAACATATGGAATCATATCGACAGATAAAACAGGATGAGGAAGCTGTATTGAGAGAGTAACCTCACTTGTGTACATACTCTGCCTCATGCCTTTAAGTGAAACCTGTTAACTGCTATGACCCACAGAACTTACAGACAGCAAGAAGGAAAGAAGGAAATTTCCCAGAACTAAGGTCCCAAACACTTGGGATGAAAGGCCCAGGCCCACCAAATGCTGAGCAAAATGAGAAGGACACATCCTCATAAACCATGAGCACACCAAGCAGGGCTATGCCTCTGGATGTACAGGCTTTACTCTGCGCAAAAGCTCCCAGCCAAAGGGTTGAGTGGAGATCAAATCCAACCCACACTTACCAAGCCAGGCTCTCTGGTGCAGAGCTGCACCCACCTAGAGCAAGGACACTTTTTGTACTCCACATAAATATGTCATAACAGCAACCCTACCGCCAAGGGAAAATAAAGTGTCCTAAATCTTATAGAGAAAGCGAAAAATTTAAAAAACGGATTTTTATAAGAATACCATGGATCATTGCTATGGTAGACATAGAGATGCACTACCTTGATCCCCTTTCAAGGAACACCTGCTACCCGATGCATGGACTACAGTGAGCAGAGCCTCCAGCTGTCAGCTCCTTCAGGGTCAGCTTCAGCCACCTCTCCCAAGGTCATTCCCTTCCCAGAGCAGCCTGTATCTGGTGTCAGAGAGAAGGAGGGCATAAAGGTTCAACCATTTCTGCCCAGCAAATAATATCCATGGGTATTATGCATACCCATGACCCAGAGCACCTGCCATGTCGGCTGAGGCATTTTCAAGCCTGTGTTTCAGTTCAACTGCTCAGTCAGCCCAATCTTGCTGTTGCCGCCTTCCTTTCACAGGTGTTGATCCTTAATAAATATTTTGTTCCCTAAACTCCATCTCTACTTCTGGAGAACTCAACCTGCAGCAAATGGCTTCAATGCTCTGGAGGAAAAGTAACCGTAAATCTCTAGTCTTAGACAA
This sequence comes from Homo sapiens, assembly GCF_000001405.40. Classification (NCBI taxonomy): domain Eukaryota; kingdom Metazoa; phylum Chordata; class Mammalia; order Primates; family Hominidae; genus Homo; species Homo sapiens. Next base: position 44,806,930 of record NC_000015.10, read on the forward strand.
AAACTTGTTACTCAAATGTGAAGGCTGAATATTAAATCATGTGAGACTCAGAGATGTCTCCTTATACACCCTGAGGGGGAAAAAAATACTTGAGGATAAACTTGAGACCAAAAGAAAAACAAAAACAAATAAAACAGAAACCATGAAAACAGTAGGCCAAAGTGACTAGTTTTGAAAATAAAAACCAGAGACAGAACTATGCAATTGGCTGTGACAAATAAAAAGCCCCAACAACATTTAGATCGAGTTCCAAGAAAAAAGTCTCCATTAAAAAGTAGATTCCAGGGCCGGGCGCGGTGGTTCATGCCTGTAATCCCAGCACTTTGGGAGGCCGAGGTGGGCAGATCATGAGGTCAGGAGTTCGAGATCTGTCTGGCCAACATGGTGAAACCCCGCCTCTACTAAAAATACAAAAACTAGCTGGGCATGGTGGCAGGCACTTGTAATCACAGCTACTGGGGAGGCTGAGGCAGGAGAATCATTTGAACCCAGGAGGCGGAGGTTGCAGTGAGCTGAGATCATGCCATTGTATTCCAGCCTGGGTGACAGAGCGAGACTACATCTCAAAAAAAAAAAAAAAAAAAAAAAAAAAAAAAAAAGTAGATTCCAATTTGATAGGTAATGTGATGAAGCAGGAACATCTTTGTAAAATGGTGAAGAATTTGTTTCTTTTCCATAAGAAAAATGAAAGAAAATTAGAAACTTTGGACAAAAACAAAATCTATACAAAAAGCTACAAATATGAAGCAAATTCATATGTCATGTTTTTGAGATGCTGAAGCAAACTGAAATAAGTTTGGGTGTTGAGAAAGCATTGGCTGTAAGCTGCACATGCTCTGTGCTATTTCTCATCTCAGAAGGGCAAGTCACTCTATTTGGTCTTGGGGTGAATAATATATAATCATTATATTGCTAATGACTTGCATTGGTGCTTGATTTTTGAATTCAAGCTACAGGCAAAGCATATTTATAAAATAGAATGAAAAAGTAATAAACCTTGATGATGTTTAATGATGTTGTTGGAAGACTTTGAGAATTGGTAAGAGGAAAAGTGAAAATTCAGGGCTTCTAATTTCATCTTACATTTCTCATAGCAGCAAATCAAATTTGTTTCAAGTTAATGGATCAAGATGTAGCATTTGATGTATACTTTTTACAACTATTAACATACCAATAGAAGAACCCGAACTAATAATATAAAAAATAGGATGAGGGAAGAGAAAATGGGAGAAGACAGTTCTTTATCACTCATAACAGGGAGTCTATAACTGATGTTTAAAATTAATAATTGGAGAAACAAAGATTTCACATACTATTTAGAATTATATAGGTAACCACTGGAAGAATTAAAAGCAGAAAGGGCTCATCTGTGGGAAGTGGGTCAGAGGAGAAAAGGGATGGGACAAGGAACAGTTGATTTTCATTGTATGTGCTTCTGCACTGTTTGCATTTAAATTTCTGTGTGTATAAACATTTCACCTGGCTTCTGTTCTTCCTCTGCCCCTTGGACAACCTCTCATTTGTTACTGTCTTAACTCTGATGTTTCTGTCACCTTCAGAGCAGTTTCCCCTTGTGTCTACCTGTTCCACATAGTGCAATCCCAGGACCCAGGAAAGAGATAGCTCAGCCCTCCATTACCCCCTCTCCTAGGTACCAGCCTCTGCCTGATAGGAGAGGAGTAGCTAACAAAACCTTGCCTCCCTAAGTGGCTTACAAATGCCTTCATTAACTCCCTCTGTGTACCTAGAAAGTCCAGTATAATCATACACGCATGGACCAATTCATAGTTCTCGACTGCACTGAATCAGTTACCAGTCATGTGACGTTAAGCAGGCCACTTTCACCTCTTGGGATCTGTTTCCTCATCTGTAAAATGAACAAGAATAAAATCCAGCCTTCTGTGTCAATGATCAATTTAGTCCACGTGGGTAGACAAGATTTAAGACATACCCCTTGAAAAAGAAATTATAGATCTTAAAGACATTTCAATATTCATCTAATCACAAGTCTGAGTAGGATGTGAAAAAAGGTTTTTGGCAGCTGACTAGACACTGGAGCATTTTTCTGTGTCACCTGGAAGATCCAGCAGAGTAAACTTTGCCTGGACTGAATATTTTTGAGCTGTGTGAGCTGGAACAGGCCACTTCACTAATCTGATTCTCAGTTTCCTCATCCACAAGATGATAGAAACATAACAGATGTTCTTTGGAGACCCTGAGCAAGTCTAGGGATGTGGAAGGCTGCGGAAGGCTGCCTGGCTTGAGCATCTTAACAGCGCCCAAGTTTATGGTTCAGCAGTGCAGCCCCGGCAGTCCAAGAAAGAAACAACACCATCTTCTCTGCCCCCAGAATTTCCAAGATCTCTGCTAAATCTGACCCAAAGAAACAAGATGGTGCTTCTGGCCACTTCTCTTACTGATCCTTTGCCTCATGTCCTGGATTTGCTCTTTATCTGCTTCATTGGATTCAGTGTCTTAGGCCATCCCTCCTTCCCTAGCCACCTTTTCCCAGAAGAGGAGTACCAGTTCTGTGCCCTATGCCCCACAGCCTTGGGTCAGCCACAGGGTCACTCTGGATAGTGAAGTTCTGAATAACCCTACTATTAAATTAAAGTGATTTTTCAAGCAATGAGTTGTAGTAAAATCCCCACCCAAAGAAATCCACAAGTGAAACACCCAATACATAATTGGTATTATCATTAAAGGTTGAAAATCAGTCATCAATGAGGAATGCAACAATTATTTGGAACTAAATCTCCACCAGCACATGGGGACCAGGAAAGCTGTCTGGCACAGCATCAGGGAGTCATTCGGCCTGGAGAGCTCATTGCACTGACAAATGAGAATTAGATCCTAATTATCCCATTGGCAGGTTTCCGATATTTTAATATACTTTCTACCACTGTCACACTGTCAAAACAATCATTTGCCTCCTTAAGCAGGTGTCAGGCATTGTAAAGTGTGTATGTCCTTGTAAAATTAAACAGGAAACTTTCTGAAATTGGAGATGTAATCTGGGGCCCTAATTATAGCATACATAGATACCTAAAGTCAGGAGGCAAAGAGAAAGGAACACTGATTTTCCTTTTTCTCTTTTTTTCCCCTGAGGCACTGAAGTCTGAGTCCACACACAGGTGAAGGTAAATTACGCCACCTGAGTATCAGGGAGGGATTCCAAGCCGTTTTTCCTGCCATCCTTGCCTCTTAGCCAACATTGGTTATAAACATGTATTAATTTTCTCTGCACAATCTGTAGAGTTAACCTATCTTGTCTCCTTTGACTCTCAACAATAGCTCCGTAAGTTCAGCCAGGCAGCACCTTTGTGCCATTTTATAGCTGCACAAACTGACTAATGAGTGGTGCTTCAAGCCGCCTGATTCTAATAAACCTGTTTCTTCTACGTCCCCTCCACCCCCCCCCCCCCACCCCCGCCGCCGTGTAGCTGCCTTTCTTCCTGGTCCAGTAACTAAACCTCTGCTGGAATTACCTCGAGGTTCACGTTCCTGTTGCTGTTTCGTGGACTCTGAGACTCTTGGACAGGTGGTCAGGAGGTGAAACTGGCAGCCACCAACACAGGGCCCCGTGAGCTATTCACAAATAGACATTGTATTAATGCTGAATGACTGATTGACCAAAGTAATAGCACCAGGAAAGGCTCCCCAAATTCAAGGAGTACTGAACTCAACAGATGTTAGTTCGTAGCCTACTATGGACAAAGCATTGTGTACAATGCAGGGGTGTTATACATGAAAGAAGGCAAGATTTCTTCCCTCAAGAAGCTCACATTTGAGTCAAGAAGATAGATATGCTCTTATTTTCTAAAAATTAGGCAACCATTTTGAAGGTATAAAGTGCTCGAAAACCAAACGGGAAAGGACATCATCACAGGTTGGGGTCAAGAGACTTCATAGGAGATAAAATATGAGGCCGGGCGCGTGGTTTACACCTGTAATCCCAGCACTTTGGGAGGCCGAGGCGGGTGGATCACGAGGTCAGGAGATCGAGACCATCCTGGCTAACACGGTGAAACCCCGTCTCTACTAAAAATATAAAAAATTAGCCGGGCGTGGTGGCGGGCGCCTGTAGTCCCCGCTACTCAGGAAGCTAAGGCAGGAGAATGGCATGAACCCGGGATGCAGAGGTTGCAGTGAGCAGAGATCGCGCCACTGCACTCCAGCCTGGGCGACACAGCGAGACTCCATCTCAAAAAAAAAAAAAAAAAAAAAAAAAGAGATGGTTCTTGAAAGACAAGGAAGTTGTTGACAGATGGTAGTGGGGGAAAGGATGGTACTTTCTGCTCAGTGATACACTCTCAATACTGGTTGACCCCTTCTCAGATGGAAACCTTCCCTGGACCCCCAAATCTGGGCACTCCATCGCATACTGAGACTGTATTAGTTTGTTCTCACACTGCTATGAAGAAATACCTGAGACTGGGTAATTTATAAATAAAAGAGGCTTAATTGGCTCACAGTTCCACATTGCTGGGGAAGCCTCAGAAAACCTCCAGTCATGGCAGAAGGTGAAGAAGAAGCAGGCACCTTCCTCACAGGGTGGCAGGACAGAGTAAGTGCAAGCAGCAGAACTGCCAAGTGCTTATAAAACCAACAGATCTCATGAGACTTACTCACTATCACGAGAACAGGATGGGAGAAACCACGCCCATGATCCAATGACCTCCACCTGGTCCTGCCTCTGACACGTGGGGATGATGGGAATTATAATTCAAGATGAGATTTGGATGGGGACACAGTCAAACCATATCAGAGACCAAACCCCTGCTCACCCTTCCCCTTTTCTCTCCCACCCCATGCCTCCCTGGAGGTTTCTTTTGATAGCACCCCCTCAAAAAATCCCATAAACCCAGATCCTTGTGTCAAGCTCTTGGATATAAGCCAGTTACCTAAGAAGCTCTTCTGGAGCTGCATTTCCTCACCTGTAAAACCCTGATAATACATCACAAGTGGCTGTGAAAACAAGGTGATGTAGTTTTAAGTTCCTTGTATAATTCTGGGTTCAATAAATCATGGCAAGGATTTTTTTTCTTCTTTACATTTCAAGAGAATTTCTGGTCTCTGGGATATGAAACAAAGAGACCCCAGGTAGCACCATCAGGTGTCAGCAGCAGCTGAGGGACTAGAGCAACTAGGAGTTTGTAAATGCAGGAGGCGCCAATCAGCCCACGCCTACTGATGGGCCAGTCAGGACTTGTGCCAACCAAGTGCACTTTGTACCCAATTTACCACAACTGGTGGGGGCAGGGAGCTGGAGAGGAGGTGGTGGAAGGGGACAGGTGGCAGGGCAGTGGGGTGCCATTGGAGGAGTTTCAATTCAGTATATTTGTAGGTTAGCGTTGCTGTTTACCTTTTAAGCAGAAGGGCAAACAGATAGTCTACCAGATAAAATCGCTCTCTCTGAAATATTGCTTCCTGACTCCACTGTTTCATCTCCATTGGCTTCTGCTTCCCTCTACCCTCTCCTTTCAGGCTGGCTTCCCACAATCACTGCAGGGTGAGCCCGAGTTGATGAGGGCACCTGGCTTTGGCAGCAGCTCATCAAAGCTAGAGTTCAGGTGTGTTTCTAGGATTTAATTAAGCTAGAAATGAAATCCAGCCCTGCAGTGGCTCATCCTCTTTATTATCACATTTCTTACTGCTTGTCAGGCCACAATGACTGCAGGTCTTGAAAAAGAAGAAGCGGCATGTTTCCTAGGCAGGGCTCAGTTAATCTATTTCACATGGCATTTCAGGTACATTCCTCCATTTTAGGATGGGAGAAAAAGTATTCTCAGGGATCTTTCTGGGGAAAGGGATCACTTTTACATGAATAAAGGTAATTCTTGTTATAATATGTGCCCACTATAAAAAAGTATAAGATATAACAGAATGTTAAAAATCACTTGTAATCTTACCAGCTAGAGATAAACATGGCTAGTATTATATCTCCTTCCTGCCAAGTTACAGGTTGTAAAAGAGAGAGTAAAAGAAAGAGTTCTGATGCTGTAGAAGGGGGGGTTCTGGTTCACTGTATAAACAAATCATATTTTTCACTTATATATATACTCACTAACATTGATTTATATAGGACACTCATTCACTAAGATCAATGTTCCCCCACTTTCAAACAGTGTGGAACTAGAAAAAAAGATCAGGACTTAAAGGAATTTTCATGCTCAGTAATACTAGACTATCACATTGCAGTCATGTTTTCTGTCCTAGTAACATATTCTATAGTCTCTCAGATTAATCAAATGAGATGAGGGGATTTATACACTGCTGTGCACTGAGAAGGGGGCTTAACAATCTCCCAAAGTAATATCATTTGACATTTGTTGCTATTTGACTGCAACTGCAAAAGGTATTCATTTTTTAGCCTGATTTGTGTTCTGCGGGTGGCAGTCCCCTTCATGTCCCCTTAGTGTGGTGAAGTTTGGCAGCTAGATGGCACTGACCTTTCTCACTCTGGAAATGTGATTGCTTTCACAATGATTGCGTAGAAACACTTAGCAAATCTCACACTGTTAACTCCACCCCACACCCGCAATGTTGGCATTTTCTGACTGTCAGGTGGCATTAGCCAGCTGAAAACTCACTAAGATGAGGAAGCTGTGCTGAGTTAATAACTTCTGAGATAGTCATTTAGTCAGTTTTCATGAAATTAATAAGTTCCACCTTGGCAATGGTAAAAGTCACAAAATCATGAACTGTCAAAGATGGAAGGAACCTTCAAGAACTCGTAGTTCAACACCTTCATTTTACAAGTAAAGGGAAATGAGCACTAAAAAAAGGAAGGGATTTTTGTTTTTAAGATCGTAGAGCTAGGATGGAGTAGTGGTTTTCAACCTGTGTGGTGACAGCTTAGATCTAAATGGAATTCTGCATGCATAACTGCAATATATATGAAACATCTCAGAAAGAAGCACCGTGATTGAAGCAGGGTGGGAATCCATAACCTCACCCACTCCTTGTCCATCTCAGCTCTCAGATACCTTGGGGAAGCCCTGAGTCTCCATGAGGCACAGATCAAACCACTTTCTTATGGCATGCTGGCTTCAGTTACATTTCTCACACCTCCAAATGCTCTTTATGTGAACAAATAATCTCTTTTAGACTGATAAATAATTCCAAATGTAAAAGTGTGATCTCAGTTCTCTCATTTGCTAAAGGAAGACAATAATGATCTCTGCCACAGCAAAGGAAATATCCATTAGAAGTTGAAAAGATAATGAAAATGAGTAGACATTGTGATCTCCTCCCTCAGCATCAATTTCAGCCCTGGTCCACTGTAGAACTGCTATGTGGTTTAGGCAGGCACTGACGCCAGCTCCAGCTTCAAGGTGGTCCAGCACTGGTCTAAAGCAGTTAGCTATAGGTAACCACTGAATTGGTAAATGTCAATAGTAGGGTAACTATATGATAGTTAATTTTGTAAGTCAAGTTGACCGGGCAACAAAGATGCCCAGGTATTTGGTTAAATGTTTTTTCTGAATATGTCATTTCTGGATGATAGTAACATTTGAATCAGGAGACTGAGCTCTCATCCAACCTGATGAAAACTTAAATAAAATAAAAGGATGAGTAAGAAAGAATTTTTTTGTGTCTCTGACTGTCTTCAAGCTGGGACATTGGTCTTCTCCTGCCTTTAGACATGGACTCAGACTGGAACTTACACCATTGACTCTCCTGGTTTTCAGAGTTAGACTTGAAATGGAACTTACAGCATCAGCTTTCCTGGTTCTCAGGCCTTTCGTCTCAAAATTTAACTATACCATCAGCCTCTTGCGTCTGGACTTCTCAGCCTCCATAATCATATTATGAACCAATTCTTTTTTTTTTTTTTTTTTTTGAGACAGAGTCTCGCTTTGTCTCCCAGGCTGGAGTGCAGTGGCGCGATCTCGGCTCACTGAAAGCTCCACCTCCCGGGTTCATGTCATTCTCCTGTCTCAGCCTCCCGAGTAGCTGGGACTACAGGCACCCGCCACCACGCCCAGCTAATTTTTTTTTGTATTTTTAATAGAGATGGGGTTTCACTGTGTCAGCCAGGATGGTCTCAATCTCCTGATCTCGTGATCCACCCGCCTTGGCCTCCCAAAGTGCTGGGATTATAGGTGTGAGCCACTGCACCCAGCTGAGCCAATTCTTTATAGTAAATCTAGATAGATAGATAGATAGATAGACAGATAGATACATAGATACATAGAGACATATAGGGATATATACATGCATATACGTTCTATTGGTTCTGTTTCTCTGGAGAATGCAGATTGATTCAAGGAACAAACACGGACCTTAGTTTGGGCAAATCAAACAAGGTTTACTAATTGAAAAAGTACAGAAGGAAGTCAGAGTGGTAAAAATATACAGCAGAGAGGTCAATGCTGCTCTCCAAAGGAGTTATAAAATTCCCAACAATAGACCCACAGTTGCAAATGATAACTTTGAGAGAGGATCACATTAGACTTTCTAGACACCCAACTATCCCCCTCTGTTAATAAGGGTGGACTTGCCCTGCATGTTAGGTAGCCTGAATAAATATTGGGATGCCCTCATTTGGGTCAGTTGCACACCATTACTTTTGGGACTATACGATTTATGATAAAACTAAAGTTGGTGTCCAGCTCAGTACAATATACTTGGACATAAACATAGCCTTATTCATCATTCTCAGCCTTCCCAAGCTAATATAGCCTGGTCCAGTGACTCTCTGAAGTAAAGATTGTCAAATCAAAAGGAGCTCTGTTACCCAGGTATCCTTACCAGTCAGCTAATAATGTCCATGCAATAGAGTTGTTATAAGGTATAAATAAAATACTGGGGGTGTGGCCAAGATGACTGACTAGAAGCAGTGGCAATCAAAGGCTCCCATCTAAAAGAACCAAAACAGCATCCAAATCTTGCACTGGCAACTGAGGTTATCCAAGTTCTATCATCAGGATTGACTAGGTGGCTGGTGTGACCCACGGAGAGGAAGGAATAGCAGTGTGGTGAGGTGGCCCACCTGAAAGCTACATGGGGGAGGTGAGCCCCCAGCCAAGAGAGGCCGTGAGTGAGCGTGCTACGCAACCTGGGAAGCCATGCTTTTTCCATGGAACTGTGCAACCCACAGATCAGAATATCCCACTTGTGACCCCATACTACCATGGCCTAGGATCCCAACCACGGAGCCGCACAAATTCTCAACAGCTAGAATCTATCTAAGCCTGTTGCATTCCCGGGCAGAGGGGCAGCCATCACCACAGCTGTGGCTGCCTGCTGTCTAAGCCATCTGAGCTTCTTGCGGGAGGGGCGGCAGCCAACACTGGGACTGCTAGTTGGCCAGGCGCGGTGGCTCACGCCTGTAATCCCAGCACTTTGGGAGGCCGAGGCGGGCGGATCACGAGGTCAGGAGATCAAAACCATCCTGGCTAACACGGTGAAACCCCGTCTCTACTAAAAATACAAAAAAATTAGCTGGGCGTGATGGCGGGCACCTGTAGTCCCAGCTACTCGGGAGGCTGAGGCAGGAGAATGGCGTGAACCTGGGATGTGGAGCTTGCAGTGAAGCGAGATGGCGCCACTGCACTCCAGCCTGGGTGACAGAGCAAGACTCCGTCTCAAAAAAAAAAATTTAAAAAAATCTGCTACAACATCTGTCTAACATTGTACTGAAAGTCAGAGCCAGTGTAATTAGATGAAAAATTAAAAGACATCCATATTGGGACAGGAAAATTAAAATTGTCTCTACTTGCAGATGGCATGATTTATATACAAAAAATCCTAAATAATTCACTAAGAAACTACTACATTTAAGTAGGCAGAACCAAAAAATCAATACACAATGATCAATTCTATCTCTATACACTTACAATGAGCAATCAAAAATGAAATAAAGAAGCAATTTCATTTACAATAGCATCAAAAAGAAAAATACTTAATACATTTAACAAAAAGTGTAAATCTTATACTCTGAAAGCTAAAAAGTACTGTTGAAAGAAACTGAAAAAGTCATAAATAAATGGAAAGACATGCCATGTTCACAGATTAGAAGACTATTTGTCTAAGATGATAATAAATATTCCCAAAATTGATCTACAAGATTCAATGTAATCTTCATTAAAGTCCCAGATGACTTCTTTGCAGAAATTGAGTAACTGATCCTAAAAGTCAAGGGACTTAGAGTAGCCAAAACAACCGTTAAAAAGAACAAATTAGGTGGAGCCAGTTTCAAAAGTTTCTACAAAGCTATAGTAATCAGTATAGCCTGGTACTGCCACGAAGATGTCACATAGTTCAATCAGATAAGATTTAGAGTCTAGACATAAACCCTTTGGTTAACAGTCAATTGATTTTCTTTTCTATATATATTTTAAGCAGAAAAGGATTTATTTTTATTTTTATTTTTTTACTTTAAGTTCTGGGATACGTGTGCAGAATGTGCAGGTTTGTTACATAGGTATACGTGTGCCATGTGGTTTGCTGCACCTATTGACCTGTCCTCTAAATTCCCTCAGTCAGTTGATTTTCTTTCTTTTTTTTTTTTTTTTTTGAGACAGAGTCTCGCTCTGTCCCCCAGGCTGGAGTGCAATCTTGGCTCACTGCAAGCTCCGCCTCCCGGGTTCACGCCATTCTCCTGCCTCAGCCTCTCAAGTAGCTGGGACTACAGGTGCCCGCCACCACGTCCGGCTAATTTTTTGTATTTTTAGTAGAGACAGGGTTTCACCGTGTTGGCCAGGCTGGTCTTGAACTCCTGACCTCAAGTGATCCTCCCACCTCGGCCTCCCAAAGTGTAGGATTACAGGTGTGAGCTACTGCACCCGGCCAAAAAAATAGTCTGTTAAAGCTTCTTAAGGTAAATCCAGTTTAAAAACTAGAAAGATAAAATAATGTTTCCTTCTGACCTAATTTAAAAGGACCCAGGAAACAAAGTCCTCTACAGAAATCACAGGGGGTGATACAGAGGGAAAGAAAGCAAATGAAGGAAGTAATAAAGGTACATCCAAGGCAGGATGGACGTGCAGGCATCATAGTCACAGCCATAAACCAGATGAACTCCTCAGAAAAGTGGAAGGCTCGTAATCTTGATTCGAAAACAAAACTCAGTGACTCAGCGTCCACAAAACACGGCTAAAACCAAAAATACAGGCACACAACCTAAAAGGAGGTGTCAAGGACTGCCCTACTGTTACTCCGCTGACCATCAGATAAAGTAGGTGGTTAGTTAAAAGACCGAGTGCCAGTGAAAGGAAGCAGCTGGCTTTTCGGAACCAGTGCTTTCGGGATCTGTTTAACTGTCCTCCCACGGTCCTTGAGGCCTCATAACAAACCTACACGGGCTATGGTATCACAGATCGCCCTGCCCAGGCTGCCCAGGGGTCTGCTAGGCTTGTAGTGGTGAGTGGGTGCTTCCCTGCCTTCCACTGCTCCTAGGAAATTGCTGCAGTCAAGGGCTTTCTGGAATGAAAATGTTGCAGCTGAGCCTGAAAGCCACAGCAAGGTGTGACATTCTTATTAGTTTTTCTTAACTTACAAAAATGACACATGAACATGCTTTTTTAAAATTTTTCAAATTATAGAGGAATTTATACAGTAAAAAATGAAAGTCCTCTTGTCCCCAACCATCCCGCTGGGCAAACAACACAAAACCGCAAAGTCCTTTCTTCCAGAGCTAACTACTATTAATAGTTTGATGTCCATCAGCCTGGACATTATTTTCTACACATATTCAAACATATGTATGTAGGAAGTAGGCGGGATGTGGGGCAAATCATTTAATCCCTCTGTATGTCAGTTTTCTGAGCCTTAAAATGGGGGCAATGATATTACTCTCATAGGGTTATTGTGAGGGTTATATGAGTTAAGATATTTGGTATTCTCAGAATAGTGTCTGGCCTATAGTGGGCACCCAGTTTCAGCTGTTGTGATTCATTCCTTATTTCTCGTTCACAGAAGCTTAGCATTCTATTGTAGAGATGATAACGATTCTGAGAGGTTTCACTGACTCCTACCTGGATAGTTAAGAACATACACACGGCCGGGTGTGGTGGCTCATGCCTACAATCCCAGCTACTTGGGAGACTGAGGCAGGAGGATTGCTTGAACCTGGGAGGAGGAGGTTGCAGTGAGCTGAGATCACACCACTGCACTCCAGCCTGGACAACAGAGCAAGACTCTATTCTGTCTCAAAAAAAAAAAAAAAAAAGAACATACTCACTATTAGCTCTCCTGAAATTAATGGGTTGGGGACCCTGGCCCAGAACTCAGAACCCTGCCTCTGGTCTGGTATTGTTTTCACCACACCACAGGGTCCCCCACAATTCCCCCTTAAAAGCTGAAACTGTCTGGATGGAGCAGCTGGTCCTACTCCTTGTCCCTCAGTGACGTCCAGCTCCGTTGTCTTATTTGCACCCTAGGCTGTCTCTGGTGGGTTTCTGGGGCAGGGGGCTCTAGGCCAGGTGAGCCCTCCTCTTGCTGCAGTCTCTGGACGTGCCCCTCCTGGTCCTCGAGGTTTGGCTTCCCCTTCCACACAGTGAGTCACTACATGTTGAGACTGCCGGCCTGAGGATTCCCGGCTGCTCTGGGTTTAGCTCAGGCTAATGGGCACGATGGAAACAGCTGGGAGCTGGGAGTGAGGTCTGGTTGCTTATGAGGCTACAGACATTTCCAGAGCTCCTTCTACATGCCAGGCACTGTGCCAGCCAGTTAGGGACACCTCCATAATGTAGGTGTGAGACTTGGTCATGGCTTCTGGAGGTCCCCGTCCATGTGAACCAACCGCCCAGAGCTCCTGGATCCAGCGGCTCTTCAGAGGGGCATCAGGGGAGCAGAGCAGAGCAGGCTGGTAAGAGGCAGCTCCTAAGTGCTGACACCTGGTTCCTCTCCTCCTCCCTGCCTGGCCTCTGGGCCTGCTGCCATCTCTCTTTCCCTGGCAGGTTTGTGGAATTGCTGAGAATGCTGGGTCAAGGCCAGGCTGAGGCCTTTTCTGCCACCCTGGGAACTCTTCACGTACCTTCAAGCACCTTTGCAGACTCAGGGCTCAGAGCTGGAAAAGTCTTGAGGGTCATTCATCCTACTCATTTAACAGGTCAAGAGAGAAAATTTGGTGAGACAAGGGCAGGGGCACAAGCACTTAATAAGCATAATCAGAGTGCCATTCACCAGGGGAAGAGCATCAGGCTTCTTTATTCTGTCCCTATGACAAGCCTGAGGCTTGTTTTATTTTTCCCACTTAAAGGATGAGGAACCTGAAGCTTGAAGGAGTCAAGTGAGTTGCTCGAGGTCATCAGGAAGCAGAGTAGCCTAACGTGTACTCACCTCTTCCTTACTATAGGGAGCCCAAGACATCTACACAACCCACTGGTCTCTTCCTTTACAAGTGCCTCTTCCAAATGCAGGAGAGCTGTCCCTCCAGTCAGCCACAGGCCCATGGCCAGACACAGACTGGATGACAGAAACTTTCCCAGCCAACCACCTTGGCAATGTCTGTTTTCCCTTCAGAAGCATCATTCCCTCTGGAACCCCATTCCGGAGGAAGGCAGCATGGCAGGAGCAAGGGCCTTCCTCAGGTCCTAGTTTTGTTGGGTGTTCAGCAAGGTGTGGGGATTTAGTGTGTGGTGCAGGGGAAGGCAAGTTGGGGTTGGCCCAGGAGAGCTCTGGCTAGAGCCTGTCTGTCCCTGTGCTATGCTGAAAGCCCAGCTGCTCCCCAGAACCAGCAGCCCCAGTCCCCAAAGGCCAGAGCTGAGTCACTTTCTTCAGTCTGCCCTGGATGACTAGTTCCTTGCCTCCCAGCTTTTTCCGCATTCACCTTCTCACAGATCATGTGTTGGACTCCTTCTGCTTACTGATAACAGTTTTCCCAGAAGTTCCTGAGAATCGTTAAACCTTAATACTGTCAGCGCTGGCAGCCCTATCCCATCTCACATGATGAGTGGCAAAAGATATGATTCCCTTTGGTATTCCTGAAAGCAGATAGCGCAAATATGCAAGAGCACTCGAAAATCTACACAGTATTGTTAAGCTATATAAGCACAGCGTTACATACACATATGTGCCCACAGAATGAAACAGCAATGTGACAAATGCTTTCGAATCACTCAGAAGGCAAAGTTCCTTAAGGGTTCTACAAATTGCCAAGTTTCTTGGGGTCTGAGCATCTAAGATCTGCATATTAACACCTGCTATGGTTTGAGTTTGACCCCACCAAAACTCATGTTGAAATTTGATCCCCAACGTGGCAGTTTTGGGAGCAGATGGCTAATGGGAGGTGTTTGGGTCATAAGGACAGATTCCTCCCAAATGGCTTGGTGCCATTTTCGCGGTAGTGAGTTCTCACTCTAGCAAGACTGGATTCTCTCAGGAACGGATTAGATCCACAAGAGTGGGTTGTTACAAAGCCAGGATGTCCCTTGAGTTTGGCCTCTTCACATGTGTCTGCTTCCCCTTTGACTTTCTCTGCAATGTTATAGTGTAGCACAAAAGCCCTTACCAGAAGGCAGTGCCATGCCCTTAAACTTCCCGGCCTGCAAAACTGTGAGCTAAATAAACCCCTTTATTTGTAAATCACTCAGTCCCAAGTATTCTGTTATAGCAACACAAAATGGACTAAGCCAGTACCCAGTCCAAGTCATTTTATGCCACATGGATTTGCACCTACTTGGAGAGGTCAGAACCAATAAGGAACATTCTACACACACCACCCTTACTTCTTCCTGGTGATTTGTTAAAGTTTGGTGAATGGGCCGGGTGCGGTGGCTCTTGCCTGTAATTCTAGCACTTTGGGAGGCCGAGGCGAGTAGATTGCCTGAGCTCAAGAGACCAGCCAGGGCAACATAGTGAAACCCAGTATCTACTAAAATACAAAAAAATTAGCCAGGCGTGGTGGTGTGTGCCTGTAATCCTGGCTACTCAGGAGGCTGAGACAGGAGAATCTCTTGGATCTGGGATGTGGAGGTTGCAGTGAGCTGAGATCACGCCACTGCACTCCAGCCTGGGCGACAGAATGAGATCCTGTCTCCAAAAAAAAAAAAAAAAAAGGTTTGGTGAATGGCCTTTCTTTAGAGTTGCAGGGGCTCCTGCCCTAAACTTCTCAGTGAAACAGATCTCAATGGTCTTATGCTCCTCCCTCTCCCCCATTGTTTCTTTTGCTGTTTCATTGCTGACAGTGTTCAACAGCAATATGCCCCATCTTTATATATCGTAAGAAACACTAATTCTAGGTTATTACAAGCAGAAATATTTTTGTCCTGAATAACATTGTTACTGGGCCAAAAGATAGATCAGGAGTCCCAGACTTTAGTTTCCTGAAATTGCCAGGTCAGGCACAAGGGGAAGGGGCTCCTGGATATTGACTAACTTGGGTGGGCCTAGCCAGGAGAAAGATAGCAACATGTGCTCTGTACTTTCTGGGAAGATCCCTGAAGCCATCACGGAGGCTCCCCAACTTCCGAGTCGCCTATCTGTTGCTGTGGCAGTGGGAATGGATTACTTAAGGAGAGGGCACTTTGCTCTCTGTAGGTGGGCAAGTTTCCCGGGCTCTCTGTTTTGCCTCCCTCTGGCTTCTTCCTCCTGGGCCCTCTGCTGTGTGCCACAGGGGATCAGGGATTCTCATCTTCCTGAGGACCAGTGGGGAAGAGTGAACATGGCAGCCTCAAGGTTAGCTGAAGCTGCCATTTGCCCAGCCTCTTCCATCCCAACCATGTCAGTGAGCCCAGGTCTGGTTAACTATTGCAGAATGCCTGTAGTAGGGAACTCTGGAAGTGTATTGGGCTGAGGTGGGATTTTCCCTCCCCACAATGCCCTGAGCAATGGAAGTGGTGAGGGGTGAGCGAGTCAGGCTGCTGAATTCTGTTGGCATTCCCTCCTTGTGTAAAATGGGGTGTTGGGGTGGGGCAGCCTCTGCTTGGATTTGGTTGTAAGATAAACCTGGAGGAGAAAAAAAAAGTTTGGTGAACGGTACCCAGTGTCCCCTGGAATTGAGGTGGAGGGACGGGGTAGGGAAGGCTTCCAGTATAAGTTCATTGATGGCGGCTCACTGCTCCACAGTAGCTGGGCCACAGTTCCCTGTGAATTCTGTGCCAGTCCTTTACAGGAGCTGTTTGTTGTCATGTCCTGGCAGTAGTCCCAGAGCTAAAAGGGACCACCAATTTTACTAATAAGGAAACTGGGGCCTGGAAAATGGCAATCTGTCCAAGTTTATGGGTCTAGGCCCCTGCTTTCCCAAGGGTGGCCTGAAGCCAGAGAGCCAGTGGCTTCATGGCCTCATCCTCAGCAGCCCCTGTGAGCTACCCAAGACCCCAGAGTCCTCCCACATCACACAAGGCCTGGGGCACCCCCAGAGATTTTCTTAGACAGTCTGAATGTCAATACTGTGTTTTCTTGTCTAACCAGGTCACCTTAAAAATGTGTGTACCCTTAACCCCAGCTATTTTCATTCTAAAATATAACTTCAAGAAATAACATATTAATAACTTCAGGAAATAATGAGTCAGGAGAACAAAAATATGCAACAAGGGTTGTCATTGCAACTTTATTATTAGAGCAAAACTCTGTAAACTATCCAAACACTCAAAATACTGCAATTTGCTTTATAAATGATAGTCTATCCACACAATGGGATGTGGTGATTTAAAATAATGATGTGTATAATTATTGACATAGAAAGAAATTTAGCCATTTATTAAATGAAAACAAGTATGTTTGTAAAATGGTATCCAGAAGACAAAGGACCCAGTTTCTTCAACATAACAGTGGCATGTGAACCAAAATGTAGGGGGAACTATAATAAAGAGGCTTAAGAAAGAAGAAAAAATAAAAAATAAAACAGGCTTAATATATCAACCGCATGCAATATGTTTAGATCCTGATTCCAGAAAAGCAAGTGTAAAAAAGTAAAGTTTTGGCTGGGCATGGTGGCTCATGCCTGTAATCTCAGTGCTTTGGGAAACTGAGGCAGGAAGATTGCTTGAGGCCAGGAATTCAAGAACACTCTGGGCCACATAGTGAGACCTTTTTAAATTTTTTTCTCTACAAAAAGTAGCCAGGCATGGTGGTGCATGCCTATAATCCCAGCTACTCCAGAGGCTGAGACAGGAGGATCACTTGAACCCAGGAGTTTGATATTGCAGTGAGCTCTGATCAAGACCCTGTCTTTGGGGGAAAAAAAAGTAATTTTTTCTGTTTTTTAGATGAGGGAAAATATGGCATGGATTGACGGGGTATTAGCTATTATGAAATTATTATTAGTTTTGTCAGGTATAGTAATGGGAATTATTTAATAATTGTGATTTTTTTAAAGTCCTCGTCTGTTTATGAGTAAAATGAAAAAAGTAAAGTACACTCCCATTAATGTTTACAAATGCATGCACATGTTTGATATGTATAGATTCATGGAAAGGGGCTGCAGGAAGCCCAGGAATTCATTCCTACCACCACCACAACCAACTAAGTGCTCAATCAATATTGATTGACTCAGTGAATCAGTCCCGGAACCAAGAATGTGAATTCCCCACAAGCTCCCCGACCTTGGGAGGCCCAGCAGCCTCTGTGTGCTCTGTCACCAGTGCCTGGCACTTGATTCACGCTTTCAGTCAACACTGAGGTCCCCACCCAGTCAGCTCCACGAGTGCTAGGGAGTGAAGACGTGTCAGGGCGGAGAGCTGGGAAGGACCCCACAGGCAACCTGGAAGCAGCGGACTGCTCCATGGACCCTAAAGGAGAAAGAGGACATGTTGGCTCCTCTAATTCCCTCTTGCAGCCCACCTCTGGCTACAGCAGATGCTGGTGTGAAGTCACCTCTGCACTCAGTCACTGGTTCTCTGACATCTTCCCCACCCAGTCTCCCTTGTGTAGCACAGTCCTGCCTCCTCCCTCCTGACTCCTATTGTGTGTGCAGGAGGCCTGTTGGGGAGTTGGTGGAGCCAGAGGTTAGGAGAAAGAGAGGCAAATAGGATTTATGGGATATTTGCCTTTCCTAAGAACTGTCCTCTGCTCATGATGTCAACCTAGGTTCAAGGTACAGAGGCCAAATAACAGGGAAGCAATGCTCAGAAATTAGCAGCCAGCTGGGACAGAGGCTGGGTCTGGCTACAGGCGGTGGGGCCTGGTCAGGGTCATCTCTGGGTGGCCTCCTCCACACACTGACTTCTACCTAGGGCTCAGGGAGGAGGAGGATGAAGGGGCAGCAGTGAAATGGCTTCACGAGGCATGCATAGGCTGCAGGAAGTGCCTCCAAGACACCAGCAGACATTCTCTGGTAGAGCCTCTGCCCCTCACTCCCAGCTTCCTTCTCTCTTAAAGCCCTGGCTGAAGCAGACACTGAGCTCCTTCTCTGGGCACCTGAAAGGGGGCACAGGGCGTGAGGATGATGTTTCCACCAAGACTGCTTAGTGCATCTTCTCATCAGTAGGAGCTGCTTGGTGGGGGTGGTGGCATGGGGAGCATCATTTGTCCTCTAGGACTGGACACCTCAGGCCTATGAGAGGCAGCATGTTGTAAAGGATTTGATGTCAGGATTCCTGGGTTCTGTCTAATCCTGGGCCATTGACTAACCCACTGTGTGATTTGCCAAGTCACTTCCCCAATCTGAGCCTCAATTTCCTCTCTCGTTAACTGAAGGGTTGTGTTGTAAGACAATCTTAAGGTCTCCTCTGGCATTTATATCTTCTTTATCTACAAAATGATTGTGTATGTGGCTTGTCATGAGGATTAGAGATAATTCATGTCAATGAAATTATATTTGGTACAGAAAATATGTAACCTTCAAAAATCCTGGGATCCTTCCCTCTGGGAAATGGGTAACCTGAGTCCATTCCCCACTAAACAGGACCATAAACAGCAGCATGAGTCAGATACCACCACCAATATTTATTACCCAAAGCAATCTGAAAGAATCGGGCACAAGGTCATGGCTTTCCCAGGTTACAAGAAAATCAGAACCTCTTCAAACTCACCCTCCACCCATAGCCAAAGTAAGGAATTAAAGGCTATAGCTCAAGCTATGTCATGGCTACTATATCCTCATTCTTGATGAATAGTCTCAAAGTCACAAGTTGGCATGATGCGATTTAGGTCCAAATCTTACCAGAAAAAAAACCCACCATTAAAATAAGACAAGTTCATAGAAATCATTCCAACAGAAAGATACCAAGAGCCTTTACTGGTAATGAGAAGAGGAAAGATTTTCTGTTTATAATAACCAGAAAGAAATGGAATTGTCTAATAACCATCAATTGAGTATGAGCCTAGTTGAGTTGAGTATGAGTCTAGTATGGCATGCTAATCTTCTGGGGTGGGGGAAGTCCTGTGAGCTAACCAAACCCTCCTGGTCTCTGGTGAGGTCCACAAGTAGCAGTTTCCTGGTTGCCTGGTGACAAGGGACCGTACTTAGGGGTGGGGTGGGGCATGTTGGGGAGGGGGTCCTTCACTTGGCAAGTGAAATAACACAATTCTCAGAAGCTGTAGAAGAGGCAATCTTCAAACAGTGCTGAGTAGTCCTCTTACTTTTTCCACATTAGGGGAATGCAAACTGGTTTAACCTCACATGACATTTCCTTTTTTGTTTGTTTGTTTTTTTCATTTGATTGGTTTAAAAATTATCCTGGATCCAGGAAAGTGATGCCTTTTCTTATTCTCCTTTTATCATCAAAACAAACAGCCAATATGTCTCTAGAAACATTGCGTTCTAAACTGGAAGTGCTGACAAGCCTTCATCCCAGACCCTGAGTGGCAGATTTTCATGAAAATCAGCTTCTGGGCCAGTTAAGTCTTCATGAAGTTATCTTTTCATAACTCAGCCCTCATTCCCCTCTGGGTCAGTAGCAGTGGAACCAGGAAACCCAAGGGCCAGATTTCCTTCCTCAATGAAGGCACTCCAGGAAGAAGGGGAGTTCCTGGCACCTGCCTGCCAAACTCTGCTCTACTTGCTGAACTTTGCTCAGCATGAACAGGGCATTCTGGCTACAAGTTCCCCCAAACTATCCCAGATTGTATCTTTAAGGCACACCAATTCCTCTGCGTAAGGACTTCTGTTCACAATGAATTGTATTAGTTATTCTTAACATTCAAAAGAGAAAGTTCTGCATCAGAGCCCACCCATGTCCAGCCATTGTGCCCTGAGATCCCGAGACTGGGGATGAGGGCAGAGCCCATTAACATCAGGGATTCTGGTCACTGGGGTCACACTTGAGCATGATTTTCAACCCCAATCCCTTTTTAAATGTTTCAAAGGCCTCCAGAGCTTTCTCCAGAGGAAACCTATGGGTGACGAGGGGTTTTACATTCACAGACTTGGACGCAAGCATCGAAATCGCCACTGGCCACCTGTAAAAGAGCACGAGCATTATATTCAACCTTCAAGAGGAAAGAGCCAGGTGCCCCAAACTACCAAGCACTAGATCAGCTTGGCCGTATTTATTGATAGCACTGTGGTTCTGCAAAGCCAATTTTACAGGCCAACAACCCAGGAAAGGACCTTATGGCTTATGATTCAGGGGTACAGAGCCTATTTGCAATTGCCCCCACCCCTCACCCACCCGCTCACTCTGCCACGTCTGCCATGGAGCCTAGAATTCCTGTGGCATGAAGGTACGAGGCACATGGTGGAGGCCACTGGGAAAAGGCAGAGAAGCCGTGGGGAGGCAGCCCGGGACAATCCAGTCACACCCACTAACAGCTCAGCTTACTGGAAAACTGGCGCCCTGATGAGGGCAGGGAGTTACAGCCTCTAAAGCCAGGAGTAAGGGACACTGCTGGGGAGAGGGGTCCCAGCCAGAGGGCCCCAGCAGGGGAGAGGGTGGAGCTGCAGAACATGGGTGGGGCAAACTAAGACCCTTTCGCTCCCCAGGGTGGGCCCTAGGGCTAAGGAACGGAAGCCACAGGACTTGATTTCTTCCTTTTGTCCTCCTTTCTCTCCTTCTTCCCTTTAAATGGAGAAAATGGAGACCTGGTAACTTAAGAAAATTGGGGGATAAAGGGGCCTAGGGCGGATAAGCAGCAGACACTCAGTAAGACTATGCTTCAAAATCCCCTCCTTCCCTCCCTCCATCCATCCTTCTGTTCCTCCCATTCTTTTTTTTTTTTTTTGAGACAGAGTCTGGCTCTGTTGCCCAGGCTGGAGTGCAGTGGTGCGATCTCCGCTCACTGCAATCTCTGCCTCCTGGGTTCACACCACTCTCCTGCCTCAGCCTCCCAAGTAGCTGGGACTACAGACACCCACCACCATGCCTGGCTAATTTTTTGTATTTTTAGTAGAGACAGGGGTCACCGTGTTAGCCAGGATGCTCTCGATCTCCTGACCTCGTGATCCGCCTGCCTCGGCTTCCCAAAGTGCTGGGATTACAGGCATGAGCCGCCACGCCCGGCCTTCCCATTCTTTAATTGGGAGTGAGTGTTCTCTCTTTGGATCCCTGTTATATCACACAGCTATCAGTGTGGCCAGGGAGTGCCCCCCATGAACAAACAGGCAGAGACTCATGGGCCAGAGGCTGAGTGGGGCCTGCCATGGTCTTGCTGGAGGCTGGGCATCCCGGCTCACCCACAGCATACTCACGTGTTGCAGTATCGAAACACGCCCTTGATATCCACCTCCCGGATGGCTGCATGCAGTAGGGGTACGGTGGTCATCTCAGAGCCCAGCCCCACAAGCACGAGGGTCCCACCAGAGCGAGTGGCCTGTAAAGGAGGTAAAAACAAGAAAGCTCAGAAGATAAGAAATACTGACTTCCCACTTACAATAACATATTGTCATCACACAAGTATCTTCTGGTTGCATCAGCTGAGCATCCAAAAATTCCTGAGAATGTGATTTGTGTACACTGCTGAACTGCTCAACCTGCCAACCAAACTTAACTGAGCGGGAGAGTAAACACGGTTTTCTTTAAAGTGTATTGTGAAAACATACACTTAACCCATGGAGAACCAGGCACAGTGGGAACATCTTCCAAAGCTTTACAGATTCGGGACCCAATATTGGCTTCAGCCACCTCCACAGTCTAAGCACCTGTTCCTCCCCCAGAGCGCCCCTCCACAGGCAGCACTTTCATCAGAGCTGGAAGGAACCACTGGCCCTCTAAGCTCACCGGTGGTGAGAAAACTATAAACATGAGACAGATGGGCCACTTGTATTCTGTGGCTTAAAAAAGGCTTCATACATGCGTGCAGGCTGGCAGTTAGAAATCTTTTTGTTCCAGAGATGTTTACCTCAACAGTATGAGCCATAATGGGTTTTGTCTTCCTTGAATGTTTATCTGCCTTATCAGTTCCCCACTTGGAGTGGGTCACAGGCAGCAGTGAAATTTCTCCTGAAAATTTCCCCAGAACTCCCTGTGAGTGCTGTGCTTGTTCCAGAGCTTTCTGGGGATCACTGTGCTCAGTGCGGTGAGAGACAGAACAATGGATAATTCAATCATGCTGGTTGTTCATTATAGTCAGCAGCAAGCATTTATTGGGACCATTCTAGGTGCTAAACAGTGGAACTAGAGAAAGGCACATGTCACAGCCTCCATTTCTGAGATGAAGGATACACCACGATCACAGCCTCCACTTCTGAGATGAAGGATACACCATGGAGAGAGGCCTGTGGTGCCGTGAGCAAGAGGTGAACTCAGGGTTTGAGTGGTGTGGGAGTGACTCCCAGCGCTGCTGCTTCAGAGCTGTGGCACCCTGGACGTGCCCTCTCAGCCCATTTTCTAGGGAAACTACTTCCTTATCAGCACTTCCTCTCTACCTGGTGGTGAGGAGGAACACCAACTGGCCATTCCAAGCTGCCAAGATGCCAGCAGTTTGCTGACCCAAGGTCAAGGAATGCTGGAACCACCTGGACACTATCCTGTAGGTATGGCATCTGCATCAAGGATATGACATCAATTCTACCCCAAGGCATCTGCCATGTCTCATCACAAACACTATCCAGTCATAACCTGGCAGGACGGCGATGCTCAGATTTGTCCATATTTGGTCCAGCCACCTAGCCTGCTCATTGGCGGGGTGGCCTATAGCATTCTACAGCACCCGTCATGCGTGACGTCAGGAGAGACACTGCTTCAGGCCTGGTGAGGCCCATGGGTCACATTCACCTCCATGCCTGCCTCAGGTAGCCTGGCAACCAGGCCCCCACCATCAACAGTGGAAATGCCAACTGTTCCAAATGCTCTAAGGGCAGGGCACAAGAGGAAGGAGAGCCATGTCCTTTAAGTCCCCCAGCTTATACTGCCTCTCTGCGGGGTGGAGGTCACTTACCTGCTGACAACTTGAAGACAGCAGATGCAACCTACTCATGTCTTAGCCCTCAAAGTGCCCAGCACAAAGCCTGGCACATGGTAGGTGCCCAAGACATACCATGGGTAGATCAATCACACACAGATCCATTGTTCCTCTCTGAGCTTCGGCTTCTTTTTGCCCCTTCCCACATGGCGACCACTGCCTATGACAGTGAAGCAGAGGGCTGGCGGACTCCAGCTGAAACTCACGACACTGCCAAGGTGGCACCCGCTCCTCCCTCTCCCCCACTGGTTCCTCAGCTCCCAAGGCCGCTGGGCAACTTAGTAGGAGGAGGTCTAGGCAGCTCTGCTACTCAGCTTGGTGGGTCAGCCTTCCCTAGAATGTCTCATGTGATGCAAAGTGCCCTCCTGCTGTGAGCCTCAGAAGGAAGGAGGAAGCCCACGCTACCTGGGGAGGCTGTCTGGGAGGCAGGGACAGGAGACCCCTGTGGTGGCGGCTGCCTGCTACCCTCTCCAGCCCTGGCCCTGTCCCCCCACCCTAGCATGGTTGTTCGTGCCCTCCTTCCCTTCCTCTCCTAAGCAGCGGGGCAACTCAGGCACTGGGGCCTGGCAGGGCTGGGCCTGGGCCTGACTTGGCTTGCCTCAAACAAACCACAAATCCCTCAGCATAAAACGGTAACTGGTTTTCAGGGCTGTTGTGCAGATTAGGCCTCATGTTTATAAAGTACAGCAGAGAACCTGGCATACAGTAGGGCTTGGAACCTGGAAGTTGTTATTTTCCCTTCGTTTCCTCATACTTTGATCTGTCAGTGCCACTCCCTCCCACCACCTCCAACTTCCTGCCAACTTCCCATAAGTGGCTGGTGGGTCGCTGAGGGGCGAATCAGGCATTGGCAGCTTATCTGTTCCTAGGTCTGGGAGACAAAACAAGCAGTAGTCAGCTGTGACCCTGGAAAATCACCTCACCTTCATGACTAACTGAATGACTGTCACTTTATATCTATGACTAAAAGACTGCAGTTTTCCTCAATAAAATAAGACAGAGATTTCCCACATACAATTAAGGCATGGTTCCCTGTTTTTCTTCTTGATCTTTTTACCAAAACTACTGCACTTTTAACATCACAGATATGATCATGAAGCCAACTGCGTCCCCAAAGTGTGTGTCCTTAACATTTTTCAAGGCCCATGTATAGCTGTTATCTTGTGTGAACCTCAGATGGCCCAATGAGGATGTAAGGCAAGTTCAAGTACAGGCTCCACACTAGAGATAAGAAAACAGAGATGGCAAAAGATGAATAAGTTTGGCTTGGGGCTCACGCAGCAAGCTGGTAAAGAAGTTTGACTCCCTACTTCTGCCTCCTTCACTCCCCTACGCTGATTCCCCAAAGCTGCCCTCAGCCCACTCACGTAGATGCCTGCCTGGATGGAGGCCTCTGCCCCGTGCACTCGATGGTGACTTCCGGCTTGCACCCCAGCAGACCTTCTACTTTCCTGGCGATTTCCTGAGGGCTCTCCTTGGAGATCTGGAGGACTAAATCAGCCCCAATCTCCTTGGCTTTGGACAATCGGGTAGCAGACAGATCTGAAGGTAAAAAAAAAAAAAAAAATTCTTTCAAACAAGAGAAATCTGATGACTCATTAGGAAGAAAAGAAAATGGAGGTGTAAGATCTGATGGCAACAAAGCTCTCGTGCAATGGGTGGTGGTGTTGAGCCCAACACACATACTCTTCACACCAAGCTTGTCCAACCTGCAGCCCACATGCAGCCCAGGATGGCTTTGAATATGGCCCAACACAAATCTGTAAACTCTCTAAAAATATTATGAAATTAAAAAACAGTTTTGTAAAGTTCATCAGCTATCATTAGTGTTAGGGTATTTTATGTGGGGCCCAAGACCATTCTTCCAATGTGGCCCAAGGAAGCCAAAAGATTGGACACCCCTGCTCTACACCCTCATATACCCCCATATCCACCATACAGCTACACACACACACACACACACACACTCTCACACAAACTCTCTCTCTCTCATAGCTTCTCCTAACACAAAACACACACTCACACTCCTCTATATCTCCACAATCCATATGACACTACACACTCACCCCCTCCACACTGTCACGGATAACCTCTCCTCACACATGCACATACAGTAGGACCAGCTGTTTCCCAGTCAAGGAGATTGATAAAGAACAAAGTCTTACCAGTCACCACTACTTGAGCTGCTCCCATTGCCTTGGCCACGAGCAAAGTGACTACCCCGATTGCCCCTAAACAAAGCAAAAGATATAAGATTGTGAAATATTAAACATCTGCTCTCCCACTTGTCCAGGCCACGGACAGGAACCATATCTTTTGTGTGTCTCTAGCATCTATCCCAGTGCCTGGCATGATAAGACCTTAGCGGCTGTTTGTTGAATGCAGAAGAGAATGAATCCATGAAGAATTATTCTCTACATAAAATACGCTCCTAGTGCTGGGTTCTATTTAATCCTCTCAAACCTCAGAGCTAAAATTTTCCCACTTACTCCTGGGCACTAGTGGAGATAATCTCAAAGAACCACGGGATTCAAGGAAACACAAACTTACTCAGAAAATAAGAAATCTCAGAAGGTCTGGACTTGTTTTCCTGTTCTTTCTTTGCCCCTACCTTCGTGAGAACCCATCACACCTCCCCCAGAGAGAGACATATTCCTTTTAGGTGCCCTCTGAGGACCACCTGGAGAGGGTTCTTAAGTGAGCTGGCTCCCTGGGTTGGCCCAGGTGCCCAGATAGCCCCAGGATACTCAGGTATCCAAGGATTTGCCTGAGACACCTGCTTCCCCATAGTATCTGCATGCTATGTGACACTATGGTTTTAATATAAAAATCAGACCCACAGAATGAAAGCAATGCAGAATATCTTTGGGGGTTTACTTTTTGTACACATCCCCTAAGAACAATTTTGTGAGCTCCCTCAGAAAACAAAACACTGAAAAATAATACCTGAAATGTCCAACAAAGCATGATTAAAAAACTACATGGCTACTAAAAATTACGCCATAACTCTTTATCTATTGACATGGAAAAATGTTCACAGTATATTGATTTTTTTTTTTTTTTGGAGACAGAGTCTTGCTCTGTCACCCAGGCTGGAGTGTAGTGTTGCAATCTCAGCTCACTGCAACCTTCGCCTCCCGGGTTCAAGCAATTCTCTCACCTCAGCCTCCTAAGTAGTGGAGATTACAGGCGCCCGCCACCAAGCCTGGCTACTTTTTGTTTTTTTAGTAGAGACAGGGTTTCACCATGTTGGCCAGGCTGATCTCAAATTCCTGACCTCAGGTGATCTGCCTGCCTCAGCCTCCCAAAGTGCTAGGATTACAGGCATGAGCCACTGTGCCCAGCCTGATTTTTAAAAAAGAGTAGGTAAAGGAAGCGTATTTAGCATGGTCTCAGAAAAAACCAACTAACTAAAAGATTCTATACCCAAATATTAATAGTGGTTCTCTTGGGCTAATCGGTAATGGGATTACAGGTGAATTTCTGTGTGTGTGTGTGTTGGGGGCAAGGCATGCATGTGTGTGGTATGTGTGACTTATTTTCCTTTTCTATGGTAAAAAGGTACTGGATCCATGCAGATTTTTATAAGAATCTGTCACCTGAGTCCCGCAGTCTGCTAGCCCATTGTGGCAAGTCTATTCTACATCCATCACCCCTCTTAGGAAGCCGTGTGATCACTTATTTGGCCAGCCAAAGAAAATCACAAACAAGTATGAGGAACACCAGATCACACCCACAAGGAGTGTGAGCGTACTGTCTGGGTCACCAGAATGATTCGTTCTGAGGCTGCTAGGGCTTGTTCCAGATGGCTGGAAAGATGGCTGGAAACAGGGGATGAGAGAAGGCAGCTAGCTACAACCCTACTGCAGGCAGACTGCTGGCTCACAGTGGTGTGGGAGCAGACCACTGCTCACTCCTCCCACTGGCTGGGAGCAGGGTCTACCTTATTCATAGATGGGACTAGGCCATCACTTTGCTGGTATAATTTGAAAGTTCCAAGAGTTGCCCTTCCCTTTACTATCAAAAATATTTCTCTAAGGTGGAGGTTGCAGTGAGCCAAGATCACGCAAATAAAAAAATTTTCCTAGTTTCCCATCAAGGGTTCAAAAATAATCGCCAGATTAATTCCCTTTTTTTTTTTTTTTTTTTTTTTTTTTGAGACAGAATCTCGCTCTGTCGCCCAGGCTGGAGCGCAGTGGCATGATCTTTGCTCACTGCAACCTCTGCTTCCCAGGTTCAAGTGATTCTCCTGTCTCGTCCTTCCATGTAAGTGGGACTACAGGGGGCGCACCACCACACCCAGCTAATTTTTGTATTTTTAGTAAAGATGAGGTTTCATCATGTTGGCCAGGCTGGTCTTGAACTTTCGGCCTCAAGTGATCCACCCGCCTCAGCCTTCCCGAGTGCTGGGATTATAGGCATGAGACACTGTGCCTGGCACAGATTCATTCTTTTTGTTTGTTTGTTTTGAGATGGGGTCTTGTTTTTTTTGAGACAGGGTCTTGTTCTGCCACCCAGACTGGAGTTCAGTGGCACAATCATGGCTCACTGCACTCTTGACCTCCCAGGCTCAAGTGACCCTCCCACCTCAGCCTTCTGAGTAGCTGGGACTATAGGCACACACTACCACACCGGCTAATTTTTGTATTTTTTTGTAGAGATGGGGTTTCACCATGTTACCCAGACTGGTCTCGAACTCCTGGGTTCAAGTGATCCACCGGCTTTGGTCTCCCAAAGTGCTGGGATTATAGGCAGGAGCCACCGTGCCCAGCCAATTCATTCTTTAAATGAATGAAAGGGCTATGTTGCCTAGGACATATAACCCTAGTTAATATCATGTCCACAGATACTCATTTGTTTAGCAAAGTGCTAGTCACTGAGGGAATGGGACACTGCAATCCTCCTTTACCCAGAAGGATTCTAGAACAAATCTCAAGCCTTGGAGGGGGAATGAGATGGGCAGAGGGTTCCCTGAATTCCCAGTCAATGAACCCGCAACAGGGTGGCTTCTGTTTCTTACCAGCTCCACACACAAGGACCTTGTGTCCCAGGGTAACTCCGCCTCTCCTGCAGGCATGGATCCCCACAGAAAGTGGATCAATCAGGGCGCCTTCCTCAAAGGTGACATTGTCAGGAAGCCTGAGGAGTCAATTGACACACAGAGATCCTCTGAGTTAACTACAATGCTAACAATAGTATTATATATGCCCAACGTCACTGTAATAACAACAATAGCTAACATTTATTGAGCATTTATTTATGTGCAGAGCAATGTGCTAAGCAATTTATATACATTAACTCACGTAAATCCCTGGAATAGTTCTGTGGTAGGTACTATCATTCCCATTTTACAGATGAGGAAACAGGCGTGGTGGGTTAAATGACTTGCCCCAGCGGTCCAAAGCTAGTGAGGAGCCAAAAGCGTTCAAATTAGAAGCCAGATATGTTCTCATCACAGAACCCATGCCACAATGTCCCCATCTGAAGAAGGCAACATGGTTTTCTTTGGGTAAATCAATTCAGTGAAATGAACACATTATGTTTTCTTTAATGTGCTATCCAAGGTACGGTATGGTGGTTATCATTAATAAATGAAAAGTTTGTTTATTTATTTACTTATTTATTTATTTATTTATTTTTGAGATGGAGTCTCACTCTATCTCCCAGGCTGGAGTGTAGTGGCGCAATCTCGGCTCACTGCAAGCTCTGTCTCCCAGGTTCACGCCATTCTCTCACCTCAGCCTCCTGAGCAGCTGGGACTACAGGCGCCCGCCACCATGCCGGGCTAATTTTTTATATTTTCTAGTAGAGACGGGGTTTCACCGTGTTATCCAGGATGGTCTCGACCTCCTGACCTTGTGATCCGCCCGCCTCAGCCTCCCAAAGTGCTGGGATTATAGGTGTGAGCCACCATGCCCGGCCGAAAAGTTTATTTAACAAGGAGTTAATATGGCCACCTTCCAGCATCTCATCTGCTTCCCAAACTTACAGCCTTTTTAGTTTCACTTTAGCAAACAATCCTGACTATCACCAGTTTTGCAGAACAGTGATTTAGCAATGGGCATCACTCTGATAGTCGCCTCCCATATTATACATTCCAGAAGAACCACATCTGAGGACAGCAGCTGCCCCGCTGACCCAGGACCAGTTAAGATGAAAGGACCTGTTCCACATAGCAGATTAAATGCTGTGTCACCTTCACTCTGGGTTCTAGGTTTTCACTTCCACTGGCATCTTAACCCTATCAATAATACAGCTGATGACGACAGCAAATATCTGCATAAAGCTTTACAGATTAGGAAGCATGCTCATCCGTTATCTCATTTAATCCTCATGAAAACCATGTTAGGCAGGTAGGGCAGGCTTTTTTTAAAAAACATTTATTTTACAGAAGAGTAAACGGAAACTCACTGACATGACATTAAGAGAATTGCCAAGGTTATGAAGCTAGGGAATGAAGGCCAGACTTAACAAAGGTGTCCTGATTCCACATCCTCTGCCTGTCCCATATCAGCTCCATCCTGGTATGAGCAGCTGTGTAGCTAATATTAATATCTAATTTCTGCTAGTTCCTCACTGCCCAGGATTTACCCAGCACCCCAAATCTCCACACACAGGAACAGGAAAACCCTCAAGTTCCAAAAAGAAATAAATGTGACAGCCAAACCATGTGCTCATCCCCATGATCCTTTCAACACTGTCTCCAATCTTCAACAGAATAACTCGGAGTCCTCCTGTCACTGTCCCTGATCCTTGACAGAACTACTCACCAGGCCAATGGAGGCCCAGCTGCCACCCACCACCCCCTTATCCCTTCCCCTCGGCTTCTTTCCCATCACTTCCCCTACTCCAATCCACTCTCCTGCTCTGACTGCGGTCACACTCCTTCTACTCCCCCTAGAAGTATCCCTTCTATATAATAGGAAAAAGGTGAAAATGAAATTGTGAAGATGCCTAAACTCTCTTAGGGACTCCACAGGTTCCTAGACATGCCTGCCCTTCCACATCTGGGCCTCCTGAGGAACTCATAAGGGCTCTATGCAGAGGGTGGCTTGCGTGGAAACTACATCAAGGAGAGATGGGATTGGGGAAGGTGATGAGGGAAGATTGTTATCAGGAAGAATACTCTACTGATTAAGCAGATGCTGCCTCATCCGCCTGCACCCAACACAGCCAACTGTGTTGGAAAGCCACCTGGTGTGGAGGCAGAAGCATGCACAAGGAGTCCTGGAGGCCAGCCCCGCTGCCACTGACCTTGGGAAAACCACTGACTCCACCCTCCCCAATCTTGTCCAGTGGGGGTTGATGGAGAACGAGGATGAGAAGACTCCAAGTTTCTTCCCAGCCCCAACCTTTCATGCTTTATAAACACCAGAGAGTGATGAGGCAACTTGGTAGTTTTTACAATGGGGTTCAGGGAACAGTCCAAATTGGGTAACGGATGATCAAGAAGCCAAGGAGGAAGCAGGAAAATAGAAAGAAAATAGATACAAAAATAAAGAGGCTGTGGTAGTATGGGAATCCTAAAAAGACATCAGAGAGGAGGGCTTGGGTCTAGGGAAGAACTGGGGACACAGGCAGAAAGCCCCCTGGGAGGAGAAGAAAGGCAGGGCTGTAGGACTCCCCAGAGACCTTCCTCAGCACCCCCACTGCCACTGCCACTGCCAGCCAGAGCCCCATCATTCCCTATAAACCACCAGCACAAGGCTCTCTTTCAGGCCTACTCCTGCACCTCCATGCCCAGACCACTAGGCCATGACTATGGCATAGCTTGGTACCATTTACTGAGCACCTACTATGTGCCAGACCTCATGCTGGAGACTTGATATGCTTTTCTCATTGGATCTCATCAGTAATTCTGTGAGGGAGGTACCATTACTATTTCTATTTTACAGGCGAGGATATTGAGGTTACAAAATTTAAGTGACTTGCCCAAGGTCACACAGTTGTAATTGGCAGAGACCAGTGGGCTTCACCACTATGCTCTTCTGCCTTCCATGAAACTTTCGTTTGGTGTCTTGACTTGGAAAGGGCCCCAGAAAGATGGGCCCATTCAGGAACCACTTGCTGAAAGGTGTACTCTGCACATGTAACCTGCTTACTTCTAGAGCAGGTTCAGGTGTTGACTTAAACCCATCACAAGGTCTCTGGCCTGTGACTCCTCTCAAGGCTCCCAGTGGGCCCTAGAAAAACTCAGATCTGTCAGACTGCTCCTGTGACTGGCACCTGGCCTCCATCGGACAAGCCCCATCCTGGCTGAAAACCACCACTGAGGCCAGGCTGCGGTGGGGGAAGAATGCATCTGGGTTGGGTCAGGGGGAAAGCGGCACTTCGGCACCCTAGAGCTCCACGGCTGGGGCCATGGGGGGCCACGCAGAAAGGGAGGCACTTTGCTTCCTCCAGACTCAACTTCACAATTTCAGGGGTGAGAATTGGAGTAGGGTAGGGGAGTGGGCACAGGGCAGGAGCTTGAGACTCACAGAGACCCCAGTTTGACTCTTGGTTGTGCTCTGTGCCCAAGTCAATGAGCTTCCTTCTGCCTTGGTTAACCCAAAAATGGTGCCCACCTCAGCATTATTCTTGTGGAGATTAAATAAATTGAAGCATGCAAACCACTTATTAGCACAAGGGCAGGCACATAGTAATAATAATTATGACTCTCCATGCATCACCTTATTTAATATTTTGGCGATTAAATGAAACTGAAGCAGAGAAAAGTTAAATCATTTCTCCAAATTCACTTGCCAGGAGGGAGTAGATCCAGGATCCCAGAACTCAAGCCCTGGCAGCACACCACACCTCAGGAAATGTCAGCCGTTGCTGTCATGGTGTGTTGTTGCTATTGTCGAGGTCATTGTTGTTACAGGTTTCCTTTCTGGTGGTTGCAGTGGAAACTAATAACAGAGGATGAACCACAGGAATTCCCTCCAGGATGTCTGCAGAGGGTGAGTGATTTCAGCAATAATTTTCTATTGTTGCTCTAAGTAAGGGAAACTGGAACTGAAAGACTAAAACCAACCACTGTGAGTCAGTCTTATTCCTAGGGAGGCTACCCTCTCTCAATGCCACCAAGAAGAGTAGCCTGCCCAGGCGATGCCTCATGTTTGGAATTAGGAGCTGAAAGAATAAAGAAATAACCACAGGAAACAGCACCAAGTTAATGAAGGGAAAGAGGTCCCAGGTGACCCAGTGGGACTGTGGACACTAACTTGTAACAAAAGGCTGCATTGTGCTTATAGAACTGGCAGAGGTTCCCATCATCAGGGGGTGTGGCACAGAAGAAGATGGAAGGTGACAGATTGTATCGGCCCATCTTGCAGAATTCATCATTTTCTCGGGGAGCACCAGATTCGATGGCAACACGATCACCTGGAGAGGAAAACAAAGATGGCACCATGTCCGAGGGTGGGAGCAGAGTCTGCCTCCTCTTTGGTCCGGTTCTTTGTTTTCCAACCTTTGAAAACAGCAGAAGCAGAGATGTTATGAAGGCTTGCATGCTCATGGGCAGATGCCAGATGAGAGAATCTAGCTTAACGAGCCACCCTCCTCCCTGGGGACCCAGGGTGTCTTAGGCAAGTGAGGAAACTCGGGATGAAGCACAGAGTCACTCTGGGGGAAAAGGACCAGCCCCCTCCTCCACAGCCCAGTGTGGCCTGCCCTTTTTCCAGCTCCTGCAACAAGCCAAGCCACCCTCTATCTCCACAGCCACTTCCCAGCTAAGGCAAGCCAAGTATAGTTCCCATCTCACACTGCTGGAAAAGGGGTAGCTAATACATGGAGTTTGCAGGCATTTTTTCTTCATCTGTTTGGAAGATAGAAAGCAAAGCCTTTACAAAGACAACAGCTATAATTACAGCATGTTTTATGTCCAGTTTGGTCGTTTTTAGACAATAATTAGGAGTCAACTGATTCCTGGTAGTAGAACTGCAAAGGCCAATGACCTGCAGAGGCCTCATACAGTGGAGAGTAATACTTGAGGCTTCTGAACAGCCAGCTCTATTATATTTCTACTCTATGCCTCACAACGACTGCTTGGAAACCCAGCCTGAGAACTGCTCTCTAATTGTTTTCTTTTTCTGTCTTTTTATTATGAAGAATTTCAAACACACAGCAAAATTCAAAGAATTGTATAGTCAACACCTGGATACCCTCCTCCTACATTCTTCAAGGAACATCTAGCTATGTTCACTTTATCACATATCTATCCATCTACCCCTCCATCTCATCTCTGTCTCCTTCCATCAGTCGATCTTCTTTTCCGATGCACTTCAAAGCAGGCTGCAGACATCAGTATACTTCACCCTTAAATGCTTCAGCCTGCATATCATTAACTAGAGTTCAGTATTTGTTTATGGTTCTTTTTTAAAGGTATCACCTAGGAATGCAAACCCCTTTTATGATACAGAACACTACCACTACCTCAGAAATCTTATTCCTCTGTATCTGTTCCCAGTCAATCCCCAGCCCCATCCCCAGAGGACACCAATGTTTTTATTTTTATTTTTTGTACCACAGATTAGTATTGCCTGTTCTAGCACGTCACAAAAATGGGATCATACAGTAGATACTCTTTTGTATCTTTCTTCTTTCAGTTAGCATAATGCTTTTCAGATTGATCTCTGTTGTTGTGGTATTAACTGTCTGGCCAGGTGTGGTGGCTCATGCCTATAATCTCATAATCCCAGCATTTTGGGAGGTCAAGGCAGGAGGATTGCTTGAGCCCAGGAGTTCGAGACGAACCTGGGCAACATAGAAAGACCTCATCTTTACAAAAAAATTTTTTTTTAATTAGCTGAGCATGGTGGTGTGTACCTGTGGTCTCAGCTACTTGGGAGGCTGAGGTGGGAGAATCAATTGAGCCCAGGAGTTCGAGACGAACCTGGGCAACATAGAAAGACCTCATCTTTACAAAAAAAATTTTTTTTTAATTAGCTGAGCATGGTGGTGTGTACCTGTGGTCTCAGCTACTTGGGAGGCTGAGGTGGGAGAATCACTTGAGCCCAGGAGGTTGAGGCTGCAGAGAGACATGATCACACCACTATATTCCCACCTGGGTGACAGAGCAAGACTGTCTCAAAAACAAATGACAGTTTGTTCCTTTTCATGGCTGAATAGTGTTCCCATAGTTGCTCAGGCAAGAGAAGATGCACCCCGTGCTTGCCTAATGTAAGAGTATACCACAGTCAGTATCACCATTCTCTTACTGATGGAAAAAACCTGGTTGTTTCCAGTTTTCTCATTGCTGGTTTTTTGGGTTTTTTTTGTGTATGTTTCTTTGTTGTTTTTTTTTTGTTTGTTTGTTTTTTGAGACAGGATCTCACTCTGTCACCCAGGCTGGAGTCCAGTGGTGCAATCACAGCTCACTGTAGCCTCGACCTCCCCAAGCCCAGGTGATCCTCCTGCCTCAGCCTCCCAAGTGAGGAAGGAGAAAGAAAAAAAGCAGGCAGACAGTTAGGGCAGGTCCTTGGTGGAATTCTTTCAAACAAAACAGCAGTCTGGAAAAAATCAAGCTGCAGGCACATAAAGAGCAGCTTGGAAAAATCAAGCTACAGGCACAGATAAGGGAGTGAGGCCCAACATAGAAATGCCTTGGTTCTCTGTGTAATCAGTGCACTCCCAGGAAAAAGTTTCCTCCCCTTTTTGGGCATGTACACAGTGGGCTCCATGAGAACTTGCATGGGGTGGGGTGGGGGCTTGCTTAAAACATGCCCGTAGTTGCTCAGGCAAGAGAAGCTGCACCCTATGCTTGCCTAAGACATGCTCGCAGCTGCACAAATAAGGGAAGCTACACAGGTAGCTACACAGATAAGGTAAGTTACACAGCACCTACACAGATAAGGGAAGTTTCTTATAAAAACCTTCGTATTTAACTGTAAAACAACAACCCTCTTTCAGGTCCCCCGCTCTGCTGCTGAGAGCTTTCCTCTTTCACTTATTAAACTTTCACTCCAACCTCACCCTTGGTGTCCACACTCCTTAATTTTCCTGGTCATGAGAC
This sequence comes from Homo sapiens, assembly GCF_000001405.40. Taxonomy (NCBI): domain Eukaryota; kingdom Metazoa; phylum Chordata; class Mammalia; order Primates; family Hominidae; genus Homo; species Homo sapiens. The sequence continues at coordinate 44,842,160 of NC_000015.10, forward strand.
AAAGAACTCTGGATAACACCTCAGACAGTGAGATTGCTATATTGACCCTAGACTGCTTTACAAGTAGCTGCAACTATAGGTGCATGCCACCATGCCTGGGTGATTTTTGTTTTTGTTTTTGCAGAGACAGGGTTTTTCCATGTTGCCCAGATTGGTCTCAAACTCCTGAGCTCAAGCAATCCTCCTGCCTTGGCCTCCCAAAGTGCTGGGATTACAGGTGTAAGCTACCATGTCCATCCCTGGTTGTTTTTCATGACTATCTTGCCTCCTCATCAAGGATGGGAATGCTTCAGGATTAGTCAGTCTTCTGCTCCATATTTATTTTTTCATAGTGTCTACTGTTGTGCTAGTCAAATTTTTATTGCTAAACATAGAATTTGTGGATTGGGGGAAAACAAACCATGGGACACAAATGTCATTAGTATCTAGAAGGGCATTACTTATTGGCAAAAATTTCCCCTGGAATGTGACAAGTAAAACCTGTTGGTTAAAGACAGTAGCACTTTTCTGTTGTAAAGGAAAGGGAGACAGGTAGGAATAATTGAGGACAAATAGTTATCCTGAGGTTTTGGGATGGTTTAGATGGTTCATCTTCATGTAGGTACCCAGCCCTGTGTAGGGGAACTCCAAATACACTGTCAATACAGCAATGGCCTCCATGTTTCCAGAAAACAGAAAGCAGACTTACAGGGGATTTTAATATCACAGGTATTGCTACACATCAAAGTTACGATTGGATTTAAACTCCGTCTGAATTTGGGGAGTGACCCATACCAGCGAATCAGAGACCAAACTAGAAACCCTGGCAGACCCTCCTGCCTGAACCCAGGCGTTAACTCCACAGAGAACAGCAGAAATCTCCCCTTCTAGCAGCCAGGAACAAGCTGGAGACCAACATGGCCAAACGCCAGTGAGGCAGGAAGCCATGTGGCAGGAGCCCAGGAAAGGACCCACAGGCCTTATCCTGCCTCAGTACCTGGTTATTCAGGAAAAGTCTGACGGATAGACTCCACTGGGAAGAGGTGCTTAAACCTACTACACAGAATAGAGTTTACCAATAATGGTGGGATCAAGTCCTGCCATTTACCAAATGCCCATTGTGTGCCAGGTACCAGGAAAGGCACATCACAAAATCTCCCTTCCCTCACCATAAACCAACAAGATGGTGTTATCTCTGCTTTAGCGATGAGGAAACAGAAGCTCAGGTGGTCACACAGTGATAAGCTGTGGAGATTTGACTGTCTGCTCACCTCTGTACTAGTGTTCAGGCCCTCTGGAGCCTGAAGAGGATGTTAGGAACCTGGTGAGGCCTGCTGAGGCCATGGAAGGTCTGGCCTTTATTCAGCAGGGACATGATAAGCAATTTTTCCTAAGTCTTTTTGTGTTGAAAGTACTCACAGAATAGTGTAGAGTCCTGGTACATAGTTAGTGCTCATTAAAATAAGTGGTGAAGGCTGGTCTGAAGGTAGTGCATCATCTTAATTGATTGTTCATACTCAGTTACAGATAATACTCCTTGTTCTACTCTTTCCCCACTTCTCACTACTGCACTTGACTAGTCTTAAAAAAAAACAGGAATGCTTCCATGCCTTAGAGTTATTGACTTATACGTATGTTTGTTCATTTGTTTGTTTGTTTATTTATTTATTTGAGACAGAGTCTTGCTCTGTCACCCATGTTGGAGTGCAGTGGCATGATCTCAGCTCACTGCAACCTCCACCTCCCAGGTTCAAGAAATTCTCCTGCCTCAGCCTCCTGAATAGCTGGGATTACAGATGCACGCCACCACGTCTGGCTAATTTTTGTATTTTTAGTAGAGATGGGGTTTCACCATGTTGGCCAGGCTGATCTCGAACTTCTGACCTCAAGTGATCTGCCCACATAGGCATCCCAAAGTGCTAGGATTACAGGCGTGAGCTACTGTGCCTGACTGACTTATATGTTTAAATTCTGTAAATGAACATTAGGAAATATTTGATGAGTTGTGGTCTTCTTTCTAGATTAGTTGATTAGAATTTTAAGTCAAAGTTAACAAATGAAAGACTTTAAATCCAAATTTTGTATCCTAAGGAAAGAAAAGGACCCACAGAAATCCTTATGACCACCAAAATATGTCTGTATTTAGCTGGGCATGGTGGTTTATGCCTATGTAATCCCAGCACTCTGGGAGGCCGAGGAGAGCTGATCACCTGAGGTCAGGAGTTTGAGACCAGCTTGGCAAACATAGTGAAACCCAGTCTCTATTAAAAAATACAAAAATTAGCCAGGTGTGGTGGTGCATGCCTGTAATCCCAGCTACTCAGGAGGCTGAGGCACAAGAATCACTTGAACCTGGGAGGCTGAGGTTGCAGTGAGCTGAGATGGCACCACTACACTCCAGCCTGGACAACAGAGTGAGACTTCATCTCCAAAAAATAAAATGTCTATATTTGTCTCTTCCTTCTATCTCCTCTGACTCCCTCTGCTTTCTCTCCTGTCCAGTGAACTTTCTGCAAATTATGCCTATGTCATTAAGGATGAATTCTTCCACCTAGCCTTCAAGATCCTCCATAATCAGGTGGAGTTTTCATATTATTCAGTTTTACCTTCTAATTATGATTATATTATGATAACATGACATTTCACAGTTTTACAGTGCTTTTTAAATTTTATTTTATTTTATTGTTTTGAGATAGAGTCTTGCTTTGTCACCCAAGCTGGAGTGCAGTGGTGCAATCATGGCTCACTGCAACCTCAACCTCCCGGGCTTAAGTGATCCTTCTGTCTCAGCCTCCTGAGTAGCTGGAAATGCAGGTGCACACTACCACACCCAGCTAATTTTATTTTTTGTAGAGACAGGGTCTCCCTCTGTTGCTCATGCTGGTCTCAAACTCCTGAGCTCAAGCAATTCTTCTGCCTCGGCCTCCCAAAGTGCTGAGATTACAGGTGTAAGCCACCATGCCCAGCCAAGTGCTTTTTAAAGGGGGACTTTTATAAAGATTATGCATGTTTATCATCTCCAATAACTCCCCAACACAAAACCTCTGCTCTGAGCAGCACAGACTTATCTGCACCCAGATGTGTTACTCTCACATCTGTAATTTTGTTGTTCCCTTCCTCTTTTATTTTTTTTTTTTGAGATGGAGTCTCGCTCTGTCTCTCACCAAGGCTGGAAAGCTGGCATGCAGTGGCATGATCCCAGCTCACTGCAACCTCTGCCTCCTGAGTTCAGGCAATTCTCCTGCCTTAGCCTCCCAAGTAGCTAGGACTATAGGCGCGTGCCACCATGTCTGGCTAATTTTTCTATTTTTAGACAGAGTTTCACCATATTGGCCAGGCTGGTCTCAAACCCCTGACCTCAAGTGACCTGCCCACCGCAGCTTCCCAAAGTACTGAGATTACAGGCATGAGCCACCGCACCCAGCCTGTTCGCTTCCTCTTAACTAGAATATTAGCTCTGACCTCTTCAATAACTCAAATATAAAACCGTTCTCAAGTATGAAGATGCTGGGTAGCCCAGTGGTTCTGAGCACTTGCTCTAGAGTCCAAAAGACCAGGGTGGGTATCCCAGTTCTGAGACCAACTAGTGAGTGACCCTGGGCAATAACCAGGCTTCAATTTCTTCTTCAATTAATGAAGATAATAATGCCTATCTCATAGAGTTGTTTCAAGAATGAAATAAATAGCCCAGGTGCAGTGGCTTAGGCCCGTAATTACAGAACTTTGGAAGGCCAAGGTAGGCAATTAACTTGAGGTCAGGAGTTCAAGACCAGCCTGGCCAATATGGTGAAGCCCAGCCTCTACCAAAAATACGAAAATTAGCCAGGCATGGTGCTGCATGTCTGTAATCCCAGCTACTTGGGAGGCTGAGGCACGGGAATCACTTGAACCAGGAGGTGGAGGTTGCAGCAAGGCAAGATTGCACCACTGCACTCCAGCCTGGGTGACAGAGCGAGACTCCGTCAAAAAAAAAAAAAAGAAAAAGAAAGAAAGAAAGAATTGTACATCTAAGTGTTTAACATGGAGACTAATGTAGCAAATCAATAAATATTAGCCACCTTCTTATTAATGTTACTACTGTTAGATGTCTAGCTCAAAGACCTATCTCCTCCATGAACTCTTTAACCACCTCTGCCCACAACAAATGCCCTTTGAACTCCTAAAGCCTATTCTTTCCCACACCTAATTGTACCCTATGGGCTTGCTGTCTAACTGCTGGTATTTATGAAGGGCCTGACATCTAGTGTTTCCATATAGAACTAAGCATCCAGGGATCATATCTGCTCATTTTTCTATATCCCTCAAGGCTCGTGGCATAAGACTGAGCTCATTGTGGACAACTGACTAAACCCTTGTTATAATTTACATTTACAGAACCCCACTCTTTGTTATAATTTATAGTCAGAGACTTTGTCCCACAGGTGAGAACCAATCATCAGTGGCTGTTGGAAGCTATAAACATTCCATTAGGAAATAACCTCATAACACCACAGGAGCCTTCTTGACTTCCACTAATGATGAATGACTTAACATCCCTAAACAAGACACATGCCTGACTGCTTCACAGCTGGTCAATCCCTCTCCATGTGGTTGGGCTCAGAGAACTTTATAAGTAACACAGGATGGGGCCTCCTGTCAACCTCCACCTTCCCCCAAATAACGTGACCTTATTTCCGGGCTGCACAGCAGCCTCACCGGTAAAGGAAGGTTAAAGCCAATAGCTAACTATGCCAAGACAACTTGGATTTAATTCACGGTATCAGGGAACAACACAGCCTGCCACAGCTGAGAATTCCTCCCTCTGGAAAAATGAATTTAGTAAATCTAGGAAAAATAATGGTGGTTTCCCAGCCATCTAATAAAAATCAAACATTATATCCAAGGCCGTGGTTCACAGCATGTAAAGGTAGTTTGGTTTCCTGTGCCTCAAATGTTTTCTCCAGCCCTTTACCTGGCTTATTTCTTACCTGGCTCCAGATGTTGGATTAATTGTCCCTTCCTCAAATGAACCAAGGGTCTGGGTAAAATACACTAATCACACCCTGCATTCTCCTCTACTGCCCTTAACACATGGTGACTAAGTAACTATCTGTCTGCTCCAGGTCCCTCTTTTCTTGTGTAAGGTAAGATCCATGTGAGTATGGAACAAGATTGTCTTGTTCCCTGCTGTACCCAGAGCTTAACAGAGGGCCTGGCCCAAAGAAAGCATGCACACATATTTATGTTGAATGAACACATAAGTCGAAGGACCTTGCTGACCTGGTTTTAGGTGCTTTACCGATGATCCCACTTTTTCGACTGTTCCCGAAGCTTCATGTCCCAGCACCATGGGCTTTTTCACAATAAAATTCCCAATTCGACCATACTCCCAGTAGTGGACATCTGAGCCACAGATTCCAACAGAATGCATCCTCAGCAAGACCTCTGATAAAAGAAAGGAAGAAAAAAACAGTGAGAGAGGGAACAACCCCTATCACTCTGAGGTGACCTAGTGATTTCCCTTTGCCCAGGGGAGAGGGCTGGGTTACCAGGCCAGGTACACAATTTAGGCCACAGAGGAAATCAAGCTCCATAGCAACCCTGATTAAGTCTCGCAAGGCAAACAAGCTTCCACATGTGGTGGCTAATTTTATGTGTCCACTTGGCTAGGCTATAGTGCCTGGTTGTTTGAAGATACGTGTTGGGCATGGTTAACTTTTAAACCAATAGATTTTGAGTAAAGTAGATTACCCTCCATAATGTGGGTGAGCCTCATCCAATCAGTTTGAAGGTCTTAAAGGCAAAGACTGAGGTTTTCTGAAGGAGAAGGAATTCTCCTCAAGACTGCAACATCAACTCTTACCTGAATTTCCAGCCTGCCCTTTGTACACATACACACATACATACATACACATATATCTTAGTGGTTTTGTTTCTCTGGACAACACTAACCAATACACTGGGTAAACAATATATCATTAGTAGGATGAAATGTACCAACCACTTAAGAGAACAAACTATTTTCCAAAAGATAACTTTCCAGACAATTAATATGCTATGCGTGATTCCTATCTATTTATGAGAACAGGTCTGGTAGAATCTCAGCTTGGCAACATTTTGTGAACTATCAAGTTGAGTTCTTCACGCCTATTGTTTTCTTTCTTTCTTTGTTTCTTTTTTTTTTTTTGAGACAGAGTCTCCCTCTGTTGCCCAGACTGGAGTGCAATGGCAGGATCTCGGCTCACCGCAATCTCCGCCTCCCGGGTTCAACCAATTCTCCTGCCTCAGCCTCCCAAGTAGCTGGGATTACAGGTGTGCACCACCATGCCAGGCTAATTTTTGTATTTTTAGCAGAAACGTGGTTTCGCCATGTTTGCCAGGCTGGTCTTGAACTCATGACGTCAGGTGATCCACCTGCCTCAGCCTCCCAAAGTGCTGGGATTACAGGCCTGAGCCACCACGCCTGGCCAGTTTTCTAAGTTTAAAATAATGATGGTACTGAGCCCCTTTGGTGGAATAAGTACCAATAAGTACCATCATCTCTGACTGAGATGATGGTTATGAATACCTCCCTGAAAAAAACACTCTGCCTTAGAAAGACAAAGAGACCCAAATCTCTGCTATGCACTGCACTTGCCACAGACTGCCAGGGGTGGCTCTTCAGAACTTTCTTCCTCCTTAGTTTTAGTGAAGAGTAAGAAATGGCAGGGTGAATTCTCAGGTCAAATGCAGGGAAAAGTCATTTGAGTTAGGAAAATCATCTCAGAATTTCGTCTCTTGAAGTAGCAATTGGTAGTGAGAGATTAGATTTGACTTGCTAGAACACTCGCTGAAATGCACTCTTTTCGCTTCCAATGCAAGTGTAGCAAGAGACGAGAGTGCAAGCAGAATGCTGCTTCAGGGAGAAAAGCTGTACCAGGAGCCAAGCTTGTACTCTGGGTCCAAGACAGCCCTCATTTGGCCACTTATGGAATCAACAGTCAACTTTTCAGGACACAGTGAGGTAACTCTTTCACTTCTCTGAACATGGTATCTTGGTGAAAATCCTTGAACCCTAGCTATACAATACTTACTCAGCACCCACAGAATGGTTATATTCTATCTAGTCTGTATTCTTACCACTTACAAGTCGATAACACAACTGACCTTTCAGTAGCAAAGCTGTGGATCTACCAGGAAAGCTGCCTTTGATCTGATGTTCACCCAGAAGCTGCGGTTCTGGTGTGAGGTAGGACAAAGTGGGAAAGGACACCCCCAACTCCTCAAGGGCAGAAAGGGGACCTGACTGTCTAGGTGTGAGAGGGGGAGGGTGAGTATCTACAGACACTCTGACCATTGCCCCCAGCCTCACTTCAGGGTCCTGCACGATTATGACAAAGTGGAATTCCAGGGATGGGAGGGATTAGAAAGCTGTCAGCAGGGATCTGCCCGAGCCAACAGACAAAAAGAGATGGAAATGTTCACAGCACCTGCCATGTGCAGACGGTGGGCTGGACTTTATCCTCACCATAGCACTCAGTTTGTACATGAGAAACCCAAAGCTGGGAAGTTGCAGATGCCACCTTGGGCGTCAGCATGTCAGCTAAGCCCCACAGGCTTAGCAAGTGAGAGACGTGGAAGGAGTGGAGTAAAGGTGTTGGAAACCCTGCCCCAGTGTGCTCACTCACTTTCTGTGCTTGGTTGATTAGGGCAGGGGACAGGGCCTCATGCAGCACCTCCCACCCCCACTGGACAGTAGGTCCTGGGCTGCCCCACACTTCGGTGACTGGCCTTCCTGGGGAGTGGGGAAACTGGCATGATGCTCCCTTTGCTAAAGATTAAGTTCTGTAGACTCACTCCTTTTCAAAGTTTGCGTTAGGGTTAGGACACTTGGCCACTCCAACAGCAGCTTCTGGTAGATAGGGTACACTGTCATTAGGTCAAAAGAGGAAGAATTCTGTCATTGGTCCATATACTTCACATCAAAAACTCTTTGGGACAAGTCAGCAGTCTGGTACGGTAATTTTTCTGATTCTATCACTATTCTTTTTATTTCATGTAGCAGCCAAGATAAACTTCCCACGAGGTCATGCTGTGGGCAGTACACACTGTTCTCAGCATAAGAAAAGCATAGGTTTTTAATGGACGCAAAAGTAATAAACAGTTGGAAAAGAGAGGTAAGGGAGCAATATACATGTGACTCCAAAGGAAACAACAGGAAATAACAGAATATAAGTCATGTTTCCCAAGAACTTACCATTTGGGCCTGGTTCAGGGATAGGATAGTTCTCCTAAAAGAAACAAAATTGAAAAAATCATTTAGCATGCATAAGAACTTCACCTTATGAACATTTTCCATTAAAAACAATTAGAGTTTCATCATTAGTTTATTTCTTCTTAGAATTAACACAAGCTCAGACCACACTGCTCCTGGGTGCATGCCTGAGGGGATACGCTAAATGGCACGCTGCACACACCTGCCTAGCCCTTCGTCACTTTTCTGCATAACACAGTGACGGACCCAACAGCAGCATGCCCAGCATACTCACAGAGCATACAGAGGACCACACTTGTTGTCAGTAGTGACATGTCACAGGGTGAGATGAAGTTCTGACGCTGGGTTCCCTCCCTAGGAAACAGCCTACAAGCCAAAGGCCAATCCTAACTGAGGAAGAGCTGACTCTAATTGCTGACCTCATCCCACCCACTGGTGCAACTTCGCCAGGACTAAGGAAAAAGCACAGTCCATGTAACTCTAGGCAGAAGGGATCTTTGGGTTTCTAGATCTGCCATCCGTATCAGATCCTGCCTTCCTGGAAAAACATGTTCTTAGATACAGATTTGTTTGGTCTGACAAACTCCTCCAGGGAAAGGATGCAGGCGTTTCTGACAGTTGCACTGAGGATGTTTCCCGCTAGACAGGTAGGAGAAAGTGTCTGTGCTGCCAACCTCTTTCCTTTACATCGGCACAAAGACTGATACCTGGTCCTCTTTTCCTAAACTTCCCATGTGGCATTTGAGGGGCCCCTTGGGAACACATAAGACCTGCATTTTGGCCCCTCTCACAGGTTCAAAAGTAATCTGAGCTATTCTGGTGTTCACAGCTAGTAGTAGTAGCAGTAGCAGCAGTAGTTGTAGTAGTGTTGGTTTACTAAGCCTTCTTTCCTCATTGTCAACAGGCTAGGAAAGTCCTAGTGACAAGGAAGGCCACTGAGTGGCCAAATCAATCCAAGTGTTCATTTTATTCTTTGAAGGTAATCAAGAAAAGAGATGTACCCAGGCGCAGTGGCTCATGCCTGTAATCCCAGCACTTTGGGAGGCTGATGCGGGCAGATCACTTGAGGTCAGGAGTTTGAGACCAGCCTGGCCAACATGGTGACACCCATCTCTACCAAAAATACAAAAATTAGCCGGGCGTGGTGGCACGTGCTTGTAGTCTCAGCTACTCAGCAGGCTGAGGCAGGAGAATTGCTTGAACCCGGGAGATGGAGGTAGCAGTGAGCCCAGATTGTGCCACTGCACTTCAGCCTGGGTGACAGGGTGAGACTCTGTCTCAAAAAAAAAAAAAAAAAAAAAAAAAAAAAGAGAGACAGAGAGAGATGGAAATGTTCACAGCACCTGTCATGTGCCAGACAGTGGGCTAGACTCTATCCTCACCATACCACTTAGTTTGGAAATGAGAAACTCGAAGCTGGGAAGTTAAATAACTTGGTCAAGGTCATGCTACCAGAGAGTGGATGAAGCCTGCTTCCACTGTACCCTACTGTAGCCCCAAGGTGGAATATGACTTTTCTCCTTCAGGGGTGGTGCAAAGAGCTGCCAAACAAGTGATGAGAATGTCAGAGCTGAGCCCCATGAAGAAAACTCTGGGAGGAGGCACTGTTCAAAGCTTACCTCCTTCCAAAAGGGCCTAACTAGCTACTTTCATAGGCAGCCCCACCGCACTAAACAACACCAAAGGACAAATGCTGCTCGGTACTATCACCGTGCTTAGTGATCAGTGGCTTTTTATTTTTTCCTAACAAGATAATAAACACCTTGAAGCCAAAGACCACGCCTTCCATCTCTTTAGCACCAGGTACACTGCTTGGCCCCAAACTCAAGTGTTTGTACTTGTTAAATAACCACTATCCAAACTAGTGTTTCCAAGGAAGGTCAGAGGTTTTCACTTATGTCAAGTTACCAGCCCTTTCTGTTGAAGAGGCTCAGTGCTAATTTGAACCTCTTCTCCCATGAAACAAAGCTCAAAGCTTTAATGTTATTGCTGCCTAGCTGATATTGCTCAATGGCTTCTTTATGTCAGGTACGGTGTGCTTTACAGGCATTACCTCATTTAATACTCACAGAAACCCTACATGGTACATCCTACTATTGTCCCTTTTTCATATGATGAGACTGAGGAACCCACCCATGGTAACACTAAGGCAGTAAACGGTGGAGCTGCATCCAAAGCAGCCTGATGGGGGCAAAAGGGCTTAAGGGAGTTTTTTTTTATCTCTTGATAATTTAGACTGGCTACATCGGAAGGAAGGAAGGAAGGAGGGAAGGAAGGAAGGGAGGATGGGAGGGAGGGAGGTAATCAGTCTAGAAATAGCCACCTTATGATAGCTGATTGTCACCAAAACCTTCCTTAAAGTTGTTGCTGGTCCCACATCAGACATCAGTGACCGCTGTGTAAAGCGATCCTTCTGTTATACCAAGTGGATTTTTTTTTGTTTTTTTTACTTTAAGTTCTGGGATACATGTGCAGAACCTGAGGTTTGTTACATAAGTATACATGTGCCATGCTGGTTTGCTGCACCTATTAACCCATCACCTAGGTTTGAAGCCCCACATGCATTAGGTATTTGTCCTAATGCCCTCCCTCCCCTTGCCCCGCACCCCCCGACAGGCCTCAGTGTGTGATGTTACCCTCCCTGTGCCCGTGTGTTCTCATTGTTCAACTCCCACTTATGAGTGAGAACATGTGGTATTTGGTTTTCTGTTTCTGTGTTAGTTTGCTGAGAAGGATGGCTTCCAGCTTCATCCATGTCCCTGAAAAAGACATGATCTCATTCTTTTTTATGGCTGCATTATACTGCGTGAAATGTTGAACTGCAGGTTAAATTGAAACTAAAGACTAAGGCCTTTATTTCAAACATGGGAGAGCACCCCACCTTCCCTGCTAAAGGCACTAGTAGGCAAATTCACAGACACTGAAAGACAGTTCCACAGCATACAATTCATAGCCTTGCCTCCAGCCAGGCCAGACCTGAACGCCCCATTTCAAGGTGGAGAGGTGGTAAGACTAAAGCTTAGAACAACAGTCATGCACACCAAGTAGGCCCTGGGTCACTAGAGAGAACACTACTGTAAATATTTGTTCAAGTTAACGGAGCTGAACAACTGTGCTCCTACCACACAGCAAAGCTGCAGTGACTCTCCCAGACACTAGAGGGTGCTGTGCCCACAGCCTGTGCTGTGCCTATAACGGAACACGCTTGATGGAGAAGTTCAAATAAATTCTTCTCCCTGCACACCAACTTTCTTTTTCCATTCTTTTTCTGGCTGATTCTAATTACCCTTGCAACTCAGGCTTGTCTCCTGCCTCCTGTCTCTGTAGGAGACATGCTACCTGAGCACAAAACCATTTTAACATCAGCCTGTAGGTTTGTAAATATTGCCCTAAGCACACTGTGGAGACTACAATGTTTTAGGAAGTTACTGCAGCATGGTTGCTCAAAACCTTGCTTTTCATGTTTCCTTGCCATGATGTTGGCCACAATCCTCTGTTTGCTTAATCCTTTTCTGTCTCAGATACTCTTCCATTTATCCAATTTCTCATGTACCAAAGTTTCTTAGCTCCTCTGAGATCCCGAACTTTCACTTTTATCTCCACAGCTCCTTTTTTTCTCATTCCCAAGGGTTTTGTCATCTCAATCATATTCAAGGTTTCCTAAAGGAATTTCTTTCTTTCTTTATTTTATTTATTTATTTATTTATTTTTTGTAACTCATCAGCAGTCCCTGATGTCAGATGTCGCTGCACTCAGGCTAGAGTGCAGTGGCATGATCTCGGCTCACTGCAGCCTCGACCTCCTGAACTCAAGTGATCCTCCCATCCTCCCACCTCAGGCTCCCGAGTAGCTGGGATTACAGGTGCGTGCCACGCCGCGTGGCTAATTTTTTTCTATTTTTGGTAGAGATGTGGTTTCATCATGTTGGCCAGGCTGGTCTCGAACTCCTGGCCTCAAGTGATCTGCCTGCCTCTGCCTCCCAAAGTGCTGGGATTACAGGTGTGAGCCACCATGCCCGGCCGAAATTCTTATCTTTTAATGAGTGACTGTACAAGAGGGTAAAAAGGAATTGAGTAATTTTTCTTTACCATAGTTGTGTGAGTTTTCCAGCATATTTCACTTCAAGTCAGAAATACATATCTGAATCACATATATACTCTCCCTTCTATCCCCTTCAGCTCCTCCCGCTGCCCTACCAGCCCACTCCTGAAGTAACTCATGGAAATACTTCAGGAAGTACTCTCTGCGGGGACATGGAATCATCTCAGGTACCTCTCACATACTAAATGTTACCTTGCTTTTCCTAAATACATTTTTTACATTAGCCTAAATATATATTTTCTAGCTATGTCATCATTGGTCCCTTTTCCTCTACTTCCACCTGCATAACTGAGTTGATTCCCTCAACACGTCTTGCTTGGGTTGTAGCAACAGCCTCAACACAAGCAGAAATGGAAGGAAGATGCCTTTTCCCTCCTCCAGCCAACCTGAGTGGCACAGTGAACTCAGACTCTGGAACTGCCTGTCAACATGCAACCCAGGCTTCCCCCACCAGCTGCGTGACCTCAGGGTAGTTATGTAACCCCTGTGTGCCCCAATTTCCTCCTTCATATAATGATAATCATGAAAGGGAATGCCGACTCAGTAAATACGTTCACTCTTATTACAAAAGAAGTAAAATCAAAGTTCTTTTTCCATAATTAGTTCACACTATGGTTGAACCAACCCTGGACAATCTTGTCCTTTTGATAAGAGTAAAGCATGTTAAATAGAAATTACAGGAGGCCACTGTTTTGCTTCTGCACAGCGCCCCAAGAGAACAGAATTAAAAACCCAAAATGGAGCCACTCATACTAAAGTTCCACATCATCAAAGCAAAACTAAGTTCTTATATGACCTTCAGAGAAATCAGGAGAGATAATAGCCAAATATCCCAAACAGGCCAGTTTCAGTCAGCATGATAATAAAGTTCCCTCTACTTTAATCCTTACCAAAAAATAAAAAATAATGACCTGAAGAAACCTGATCTTAACCAATCAGTTATTTTTCTGTTGTTCTATTTCCCTGTTCCCACCTTACAAGGAAAATAACCGAAATGACCAATCTGCTTTTTCTTGTGTTTCTGCTTTCTTTAGCTCTTTTCTGTTTGTAAAACCAACCTCCTCTGTTTACCTCACTGGAACACAGGCTATTTTATGGAATGAAGTGTTGCCCAATTCTAGAATTGCAAATAAAGCCAAAGAAAATCTTTTAAATTAAATTGCAGTCATTTTATCTTTTGACAAGTATTTTAAATTATTTTGTGGAAAAGTTGTGTTCTGCATCCTGGATTCAACCAAACCTGAGGTCAAAAATATTCAAAAAATAAAAAACAGCAATACAACAATAAAACATAATGCAAATGAATAATATTGTATAACAATTATTTACAGAGCATTTACATTGTGTTAGGTATTAGAGGTAATCTAGGGGGATTTAAAGTAGATGCGAGGATGCATGTAGGTTATATGCAAATACTAGACCATTTTATTACATACAAGGGACTTGAGAATCCTTGGATTCTGGCATCCACAAAGGGTTCCTGGAGCCAATCCTTCCCCTACTCCAGGATACCGAGGACAACTGTATTCTCATGGTTTTCATATCAACATTAAGAAAATCTGACCACTCTACAAGGCTGGCATTTGGAAGAAAGTGAAGGGATTCTAGCAGTTTTTAGGCTTGACTCTGCCAGTTGTGGAAAGAGTGCAATGTGCTCCCACTGTCTTCGGGTGGGGGACAGCTAGCAGTGTGTGGGGAAAGTGCTAGTCTCATCCCAGATGCACAGCAGTCACCTGCTCCCTGCTGCCAAGCCTCCTGTGGGCCTGTGGAGGGCTGCCCTGCACACCTGCAGGGCGCAAGAGACCCTGTTTTTCTTCCTTTCCTCTTCCATTTTCCCTTTCCCTTGAGTGCCTGAAGCGTGTTTTAAGGGTGGGAGGAAAATTCAAAGGTTTCCCAATTGGCTATTTTGTCATGAGAGGCTTTGTTCTAGCCGTGTTGGTCCTGGCAAACTTGAGGTCAAAGTAGGAGGTAGAATTTCCTCCCAAGGTCCAATGAGCTGGTCTCCAGCCCAAGCTCTCCTGGCTCCATTCAACTTTGTTCTGCTGATAACAATCTTGCTGAAATGCAAATCTGTATCAAGTCACCAGTGACCCTGGAGACTCCTAAACCCCTCACCTGGTGGCCACCACACCCCCATTTCACCTCCAACTACACCCATTTCCCATTGCCTAATCCCTCTCCTTCTTTCAGATCCCGCAGGAGGTGGGAATTGAGGCATCTGGGATGACTTCTGAATTCCTACAAGAATTACGAGACACTTAGGTTTGGACATGCTGGGACTGAGGTGTCTTGGGACATCCAGGTAGGGCTATTGATATATAATAATGTTTTGTGATTCTAAATGTCTCAAAATGGAGTCTTCTTTTTCTTCTAGTTATTGTTTTATAAAAATATATTGTGGTAAAATACATAACATAAAATCTACCATCTTAAATCTTTTTAAGTGTATAATTCAATATTGTTGTCTATATTCACATTGTTATACAACAGATCTCTAGAATTTCACATCTTGTAAACCTGAAACTGAATACCTGTTAAGTAACAACTGCCCATTTTACCCCCTCAGCAGCCCTTAACAAACACCATTCTACTTTTTGTGAGTTTGGCTACTTATTTCATATAAGTGGAATCATACACTATCTGTCACTTTGTCACTGGCTTGTTTTTATTAACATAATATTCTCAAGGTTTATTTTTAACACAGCATGTGACAAAACTTTTTTCAGGGCTGAATAATATTCCACTATATATCTATATGCCACATTTAAAAAATGTTCATTACTTGAATAACATCTGGGTTGTTTCCACCAACAAAATGGAGTCACAATGATAAGTGACTCAGCTCACAGTGAAACTGCTGACTGCTCAAAGTGATAAGCATATGTATGTAGGACTGAGATGACAACACCTGCTGTGGCCAGGCAACCCCAAAACTTGATAAGAAAGGGAAGCCAAGGCCAGGCGGGATGGCTCACACCGGTGATCCCAGCACTTTGGGAGGCCGAGGCAGGTGGATTGCTTAAACTCAGAAGTTCCAGACCAGCCTGGGCAACATGGTGAAACCCTGTCACCAAAATATCTGACAAAGGGCTAATATCCAGAATCTACAATGAACTCAAGCAAATTTACAAGAAAAAAACAAACAACCCCATCAAAAAGTGGGCAAAGGATATGAACAGACACTTCTCAAAAGAAGACATTTATGCAGCCAAAAGACACATGAAAAAATGCTCACCATCACTGGCCATCAGAGAAATGCAAATCAAAACCACAATGAGATACCATCTCACACCAGTTAGAATGGCAATCATTAAAAAGTCAGGAAACAACAGGTGCTGGAGAGGATGTGGAGAAATAGGAACACTTTTACACTGTTGGTGGGACTGTAAACTAGTTCAACCATTGTGGAAGTCAGTGTGGCGATTCCCCAGGGATCTAGAACTAGAAATACCATTTGATCCAGCAATCCCATTACTGGGTATATACCCAAAGGACTATAAATCATGCTGCTATAAAGAC
This sequence comes from Homo sapiens, assembly GCF_000001405.40. Classification (NCBI taxonomy): domain Eukaryota; kingdom Metazoa; phylum Chordata; class Mammalia; order Primates; family Hominidae; genus Homo; species Homo sapiens. Next base: position 44,857,992 of record NC_000015.10, read on the forward strand.
ACATGCACATGTATGTTTATTGTGGCACTATTCACAATAGCAAAGACTTGGAACCAACCCAAATGTCCAACAATGATAGACTGGATTAAGAAAATGTGGCAGATATACACCATGGAATACTATGCAGCCATAAAAAATGATGAGTTCATGTCCTTTGTAGGGACATGGATGAAATTGGAAATCATCATTCTCAGTAAACTATCGCAAGGACAAAAAACCAAACACCGCATGTTCTCACTCATAGATGGGAATTGAACAATGAGAACACATGGACACAGGAAGGGGAACATCACACTCTGGGGACTGTTGTGGGGTTGGGGGGAGGGGGGAGGCATAGCATTAGGAGATATACCTAATGCTAAATGATGAGTTAATGGGTGCAGCACACCAGCATGGCACATGTATACATATGTAACTAACCCGCACATTGTGCACATGTACCCTAAAACTTAAAGTATAATAATAATAATAATAATAATAATAATAATAATAATGAAAGATTTTAGGAATGAGAGTTTCCTCAAATGACTCCCTTCATAGGAGTTCCTGAGGCACTGAACCATTTTATCAGTAGACCCTGCCCCCCTGTATACCTAAATCGGCCACATTTTGCTGGGCTGCAGTTCCCCGGCCAGCCAGAAATGGAAGGGTTTTTAATCTGTGGCTGGTGGTCTTACATCAAAAGAAGAAAACAGTCAAATTCTCCAGTTCATATCCAACCAAGGGTTTTTTCCTCCCCCAAAATGCAACCGCTGACAATTTATTAAGTCCAGGAAATCCTGGGTTTCATTTTGGTCCTCTTGCAGAGAGGAAAATGGGTGGTTCCCCTCAAAGCTTCCCCAGGATTGTTCCTCCTAGTTGCTATCTCTGGTTCACTACTGACCCCAAACCCAAGCCAGTGAGCCTATTTGTCTTATGGAAAAGGTGGAGGAGCAGTGATACCACATTGGGGGTCCGGGTTGGGCACTGTGGAGGTGCTGGTGGAAGACCATGCCTGAGAAGGAGTGGCGAGGGCCCAGAAGGTCTGTGTTGAGCTGCAGGTGCACCTGAGGCAGCACAGTGGGTCTCCTCTGCTGACAACTCTTTCTGCCCTTTCCCCTCCAGTGTTGGGGCTCTCTCCAGGGTAATGTCCTCCTCTTCTTTCCTTCTCACTCTACATGGTTCACTCAGCCCAGGCAAGCTCAGCCATCCATAATTCCCCATAGGGCACTATTTGGGACAGGACAACTCTTTGTTGTGCAGGACAGTGCTATGAACTGAATAAAGTCCGCAGTAGTGCTCCTCAGTCATCGTGACAACCAAACCTCCCTGACACATTTCCAAATGCCCTCTGGGTCAGGGGGGCAGTGTAGTACTGCTCAGTAGAGGAGCAAAGGACTCCTGAGTTTACATTTCCAACCAAGATAGTTAGTATCCCTGCACTCCAGATCCTTGCACCCAAGGAAATTTCTCAAAGGCACCTTGTGTCCTGTCCCAGAGACATCTTTTTTTTTTTTTTTTTTTTTTTTTTAGACAGAGTTTTGCTGTCATCCAGGCTGGAGTGCAGTGGTACGATCTCAGTTCATTGCAATCTCTGACTCCCAGACTCAAGCGATTCTCAGCCTCCCAAGTAGCTGGGATTACAGGCATGTGGCACCACACCCAGCTAATTTTTGTATTTATAGTAGAGACAGAGTTTCACCGAGTTGGCCAGGTTGGTCTCAAACTCCTAACCTCAAGTGATCTGCGTACCTTGGCCTCTAAAAGTGCTGGGATTACAGGCATGAACTACCACAGCTGGCCTCCAGAGACATCTTAAACTCAACTTTTCAAACCTGATCTCATTTTAATCTACTCTGACCAGTAAATGACCCTACCACTTCCCATTCTCAAACTGAGCCTAGGTGTCATTTCCTAAATCCTCCTCTGAACTCTTTTACCCAGTTAGTGTACCAGCACACAACCACAGGTGAAATAGCCCATCATATTTTCTAGATCTTTTAGGTTACAGCCACCCCAACCTAGCCCCTAATCCAGTCAGAGAGTGGGTTCTAATGCAAAGCTGATGAGATCAAGGTTAGTTCGCTGCTGCTCTAATCTTCAAAGCTTTGTCTACGGAACCATAGTAGAGGTAGTCTGCCTGAGCAGTGGAAGACCATGAGTTTGAGGTAAGATGAAGGAGAACGTAACTGTGTTTCTGCATCTTAGGCGCATGACTTTTAAGCAGGCTCTGAGCAGATAGAGGGCCAAGGTTCTTTTCTCTTGGGGTCTTTTCTCTGTGGGGTCTTTTCTCTCTGAGGCCTCCATCAAAGCCCTCGGGCTCTGTCATAATTGTTGACTTTATCTGTCTGCCTCCCTCAGTAAACTTGGGAGCAGGGGCTGTGTCCTCCTCTCTGGGCCCTCAGCCCAGTGCCTGGCACATGGCAGGCACCCTTTCATGAGTGAATGTTTGTGGAATGAAGTACTGAGTTGGAAATCACTCTGCAAGCTGGGTAGAGCTGGACCACTTTCCCTTACTCATAATACCATCTGGCATTTGCAACAGTAAACACTAACAGCCTCACTTTAATTCAGGACCTTGGGTGGAGGCTCCAAAGAGTGGAATGAGCACTAGAATGGGGAGTCTGAACATCTGAGTCCTTGTCGTGGCTCTGTTAACTAACAAAACCTATCACCTTGGGTATGGCACTTTCTTCAACTGAGGAGATGGAGAGTCAGCTGGGACAAGGGTTCTATAGAGGGGCTTAGAGTGGCTTAAAGGGAGTCCTTGAACAATCTGAAATTGTTGCCAAACTCAGTCTCTTTGCATTCTGTCGAAGGGACACTACTGATTCTTAAATAGTCAAGAACTGCCAATCTGGATAAGCTTCTGAATTACTGCAATTTACATACTGATGCATGTACTTTGAGGGAGAGGAGGTACAGGGGAGCAGCAGAGATGGCTGGCACTCATCCCACATACCCACTGCCATCCCAGGCCCATCTGAGAAGCACTTTGTCAAGGGAGCCTTGGCATGACCAGGGTGCTGACTCCGCCACTTCCTAAACTTTGGTGCCACAAAACAGGAAGCAAAAGGCAGGGTCTAAAGCAGAGGACACACATACAGAATGCTCCTAAAGGGACAGAGGCACGGGATTAGAAAGAAAAACTGCTGGAAAGTAAACCAGATAGGGACTTAGGGAGAGAAGGAGCCTTACAGACAAGGGGACTACCAAGGTTCAGAAGTCTGGCACAGGCAAGGGGAACACCAGGAGTTCTGGAGATGGTGGTCTATACTGGAAGGAAAGGAGAAGGAGCTGGCACTTCCTGAGCACGTACTAAGTGCTGAGTACTCTTGTGATCATAATAATCCTGCAAGGGAGGTTTATCAGTTCCAAGCAAGGGGAGTTAAATATAAGTTCTGCTGTTTTTAAGTGTCCTCTGGCCCCCCTTTCTGCTTTGCACTGTCTGCCCGGATAATTCAGACAGCCTTAGCATTTTCTTTGAAAAGGTCAATGACGAGAGGCTGGACTATGAATCTGCAGCTGGCAAAGGAGAGAGAAAGCTTCATTCAAACAGTTTGCAACCATCCTGGGCACCGGCCACGTGCCAGCCATGGGGCTAGGTTCTCGGAGGTACACAACTAGATCCCTGCTCTTCGCAACAGCCACTACCCGCCACCCCCACATCCTGAGGGGAACTGGGATCTGGGCAGCCAGGGCGCTTAAGTTGCGGGGCCGGTGCTGGGCTGTAAGTGGGAAGCCAGGACTGTGGCTGGGCTCAGAGGAGAGTGAGTCAGGGTTGGTAGGCTTCCCACCCTCCTTCCAGGCTTATCAGGCGCAAGTCACCTGGTCCATGCACCACCAGGGAGAGGTTCTTGGGCTTGGCCGCCGCCGCCATGGAGCTTTTTTGCCTCTCGAGTGAGGCCTGGAACATGCAGGATGTATGGTTGCTCTGGTGGTGCTGCCCAGCTGAGGGTCCAAGACACTGGGTGGAAGGCGGGGCCTGGGAGAGGCAGCGCATGCAGGGGCGGGACAAGGCTTTTTACAATCCTCTTGCAAGACAGAAGAGTTCTCCAAGTCTCCACTCAACCCAGGAAGTTCAGCTGGCTTCACTTCTCAATCCTCCCTCTAAACAGGACATACCAACTGCTGTTGGGAATTGGGCGATGACTGATCTAGCTACTTCCTGCTGGATAGGGGCAAAGAAGGGGCCCTGCAGTTGTAGTGTCCTCCAGAGGGGAACTTTTTAGGCCAGTCAAAGGGCCAGTAGGTTGATCCAGGGGTCCTTCGTAGAAGTTGTGAATTGAGCTCATTTGGGGTTCCATTTGTAAGACCATCTGTAGCTTGATGGCCTCGATCCTGGAGGAAACAAATTTGACAAGGAGGTTAAAAATGCAGGGACTGGGCTGGGCGCAGTGTCTCATGCCTGAATCCCGGCACTTTGGGAGGCCAAGGCGGGCGGATCATGAGGTCAGGAGATCAAGACCATCCTGGCTAACACGGTGAAACCCCGTCTCTACTAAAAATACAAAAAATTAGCCGGGCATGGTGGCAGGTGCCTGTAGTACCAGCTACTTGGGAGGCTGAGGCAGGAGAATGGCATGAACCTGGGAGGTGGAGCTTGCAGTGAGCCAAGATCACACCACTGCACTCCAGCCTGGGTGACAGAGTGAGATTCCATCTCAAAAAAATTAATAAATAAAATAAAATACAGGGCCCGAAGGTGAGTAATAGCAAGATGGCTGTCACAGGACCTAGAAAGGGGAGAAGCCATGTCGCCCAACTCCAGAGGTTGGTCTAAGAGTTTGAGAGGCACTGTGTGATTTCAGAAGCCTTTTCCTGTAAATGCTCATACTATCCCTGACTGGTTAGTGTAAAAGCAACACTCTTCCCCTAAGAAGGTGCAAAGTCCTCCTTTCTCAGCAGCAAGGAGGTCTAGGCCTCAGCGGTTTTGGAGAATCACTGCTGCCAAAGAATCTATTTGGGATTGTAGAGTAAGGATAGATTTTGTTATTTCTCACAAACTGTCTGAGAAATCCTTTGAGAGTGTGTGGTAGTAGGATAGTGAAGTGGACAAACCTGCTATTCCAGTTCCTGTAGCAGTGACCATTCCTAACCCTATAAGGAAGGGTATTAGTTGTATGGCCCTGCACTGATGGACTTGAGCTTTGAGGGGCATTGATTGGGTTTGATTTCCTGGGGCAATGTCAATGTTGGGACTTAGGAAGACTAAGGTGCAGGTGCCTGTCCAGTTGGTGGAGAGGCAGATATAGGTTGAAGTTCTGCATAAGAAGAATATGCCTTGGCTGTAGACAGAACTGGTTGTGTATGTTAAAAAGCTGTGTGAGTTTGTTGTTTTCATTTTCCCATACTCCTAGAGTACTTGCCAAGGTAGCTCTTGTGAGTGGCTGGAAAGGGGTGTTAGGAGCAAATTGAGTGGCTCCCTGTGTTCCATTTTCCCATTGGAGAAAAAATCATTTTGTATCAACTACGAACCATTCAAGGGAGTGATTGAAAGAGGGGATGAGAAGGCAATAATTAATGGTGGGGGCATTGCTGCAGGGGGACCAGGGGTGAATGGTCATGCAGGGAGTATGTTTGCCATTACAAAACCCGGACTGTTTGTTAAGCAGGGAGGAGGTAATGATTTTTGGAGGCCCTGAGAAGCGGACAAGCCATCTGAATGGAGCTGTTTGGGTGACTCAGAAGTTACTATGATCAGTTGGGGCTTGAAGTTGTAGGGTGTAATTACACTGATGGGATAGTAGGTGCCCCAGGGGCAGGCCTGATAACAGGTTGTGCTGGAGGCATAAAGGGGCTTTGAAAGTTAAGACAGTATTCATGGTTACAGGGCCGTGTATGGACTTTTCATTGCTCATGTAATAGGTGAGGTTGGAAATGTAAAAGCTGGATTGCACGTCCTGTTAGGGTATTCTTGGTAAGCTTTGGGGAAACCCAAATCTAGGAATTATTTCATGAATTAGGACTTTAACCACTTCCCAAGGCTTCTCTGTCTTGGAGGGGAAGGCTTCTGTCCAATTTGTAAAGATATCAACACAGACCAAGTATTGAAATCCCCTTGACTTAGGCATATGGGTGAAGTCTAACTGCCAGTCCTCTCCAGGATCATGCCCTATTCTTTGTTCCCCCAGAGGGGCCTTATGATGGACCAAGGGATTATTCCTTTGGCACACCTCACAGGCTTTGACTACTTGTTGGATGGTCTGGAGGAGATTTGGCCCCATAAATAGGGATTTGGCCATTTGATGAGTGTTCTCAATACCCATATGAAAAGTTTGGTGAAGGTTCTTAAGTATTTTCCACTGGCTGGCTTTGGGCATGAGTACTTTTCCCTCTTCTGTCATTAACCACCCTAGGGGAGAAAACTATACCACCATGAAAGTCCCCATTCTGTTTTGGTTGGGGAACACTGGGGCTTAATCTCTTGGAGACGGTTGTTCCATACCAAGGGTCCTTCCATAGGTATTTCTAATGGGAGTTTCCACCTGGCAGCAATTTTGGCCTCAGTGTCTGCCTGATGGTTTCCTTCTGCCTTTTCTCCTTCACCTTTTTGACAGCTTTGGCAGTGGAAGACTGCCACCTCCTTGGGTTTTTGCACTGGGTGCAATAACTTCATGATTTCCTTGGGGTATTTAATAGGGGTTCCCCCAGAGGTTAGGAACTCCCTTTCTTTCCATATTGCAGCATGGGCATGTAGAATAGATAAGCATACTTTCTATCTGTATACACATTTATTCTTTTTCTCTTTCCCAGTTCTAAGGCTCGGATAAGTGCCACCAGTTCTGCTAACTGGGTGCTGGTCCCTGGGGGAAGACGCTTACTTTCAAGTACTGTTACATCACTAACTATGGCATAACCTGTCCTTTGTATCCCATTCTCCACAAATGAACTTCCATTGGTATATAGATTAAAGTCAGGATTAGCTAAGGGGACTTCTAAAAGATCCTCTTGGGTGGCATAAGTCTGGGCTACAATTTATTGGCAGTCATGCTTGATTGGTTCCCCATCCCATGGGAGAAAAGTGGCAGGGTTGAGGGACGCACACCTGCATATTTGAAGCACTGGTCCCTCAAGGAGTAGCACCTGGTATCTAAGCAGGCGGTTGTCTGATAGCCACAAATTTCCTTTGGCACCTAGTATGCTGTTTACATCATGAGTAGTCCGGACAGTGAGATCCTTTCCTTGAATTATTTTGATAGCCTCTGATACCAAGATAGCAACCATCACAACTACCTGTAAACAGTGAGGCCAGCCTTTTGCTACTACCTCAATTTCCTTACTTAGGTATGCCACTGGTTGTGGGGTTGTCCCACGAGTCTGAATAAGGACTCCAAGAGCTATTCCCACTCTCTCTGTGATGTATAAAGAGAAGTTTTGTCCTGTGGGAAGGCTTAAGGCTGGAGCTTGTACTAGGGCCTGCTTTAAGATTTTGAAGGCTGTTTCTGCCTCTTGTTCCCATTCTACTAGATGAGTATTTGCCCTCTGAGTCTCCTTGATTAGCATATAGAGTGGCCTGGCCATCTCACTGTATCCGGGGATCCATAGTCAGCAACAGCCAGTGATTCCAAGGAACCCCCGCAACTGTTTTAATGTCTTAGGGCAAGGATAAGGCAGTATAGGCTGTGTTTGTTCCTTGCTGAGGGCCCTGGTTCCTCTGGCTAAGATTAGGCCTAGATATTTGACTTGTTGTAGGCAGAGCTGGGCTTTCAGTTTAGATGCCTTGCACCTTTGATTAGCTAGAAAGTTCAAGAGATCTAGAGTAGCCTGCTGGCATGAGGCTTCCAAACTGGTAGCCAAAAGTAAATCATCCAAATTCCATTCCAAGATGGCTGAATAGGAATAGCTCCGATCTGCAGCTCCCAGGGTGATTGATGCAGAAGACGGTGATTTCTGCATTTCCAACTGTTGGACCTAGTTCATCTCATTGGGAATGGTTGGACAGTGGGTGCAGCCCATGGAGGGCAAGCCGAAGTGGGGCAGAGCATCGCCTCACCCAGGAAGCACAAGAGGTCAGGGAATTTCCCTTTCCTAGCCAAAGAAAGCTGTGACAGACTGTACCTGGAAAATCAGGACACTGTCACCCAAATACTGTGCTTTTCCAACAATCTTAGCAAACGGCACACCAGGAGATCATATCCCGCACCTGGCTTGGTGGATCCCAAGCCCACACAGCTTTTCTCACTGCTAGCACAGCAGTCTGAGGCAGCAGCCTGGTAGGGGAGGGGCGTCCACCATTGCTGAGGCTTGAGTAGGTAAACAATGTGGCTGGGGAAGTTTGAACTGGGCAGAGCCCACTGCAGCTCTGCAAGGCCTGCTGCCTCTGTAGACCCCACCTCTGGGGGCAGGCATAGCTGAACAAAAGACAGCAGAAACTTCTGCAGACATAAATGTCCCTGTCTGACAGCTCTGAAGAGAGCAATGGCTCTCCTGGCATGGTTTCTGAGCTCTGAGAATGGACAGACTGCCTCCTCAAGTGGGTCCCTGTTCCCCGTGTAGCCTAACTGGGAGACACCTCCCAGTAGGGGCTGACAGACACCTCATACAGGTGAGTGCCCCTCTGGGATGAAGCTTCCAGAGGAAGGATCAGGCAGCAACATTTGCTCTTCTGCAATATTTGCTGTTCTGCAGCCTCTGCTGGTGATACCCAGGTAAACAGGGTCTGGAGATGACCTCCAGCAAACTCCAACAGACCTTCAGCTGAGGGACCTGACTCTTAGAAGGAAAACTAACAAACAGAAAGGAATAACATCAACATCAACAAAAAGGACATCCACACCAAAACCCCATCTGTAGGTCACCAGCCTCAAAGACCAAAGGTAGATAAAACCACGAAGATGGGGAGAAACCAGAGCAGAATAGTGGAATTTACTGGAAACCAGTGCACCTCTTCTCTTCCAGAGGATAGCAGCTTCTCACCAGCAATGGAACAAAGCTGGACGGAGAATGATTTTGATGAGCTGACAGAAGTAGGCTTCAGAAGGTTGGTAATAAACTTCTCTGAGCTAAAGGAGGATGTTCGAACCCTTCATAAAGAAGCTAAAAACCTTGAAAAAAGATTACATGAAAGGAAAACTAGAACAAACAGTGTAAAGAAGATGATAAACAACCTGATGGAGCTGAAAACCATGGCACGAGAACTACATGATGCATGCACAAGCTTCAATAGCTGATTTGATCAAGTGGAAGAAAGGATATCAGTGATTGAAGATCACATTAATGAAATAAAGTGAGAGGAGAAGTTTAGAGAAAAAAGAGTGAAAGGAAATGAACGAAGCCTCCAAAAAACAGGGACTACGTGAAAAGACCAAAATCTATGTTTGATTGGTATACCTGAAAGTGACAGGGAGAATGGAACCAAGTAGGAAAACACTCTTCAGGATATTATCCAGGAGAACTTCCCCAACCTAGCAAGGCAGGCCAACATTTAAATTCGAGAAATACAGAGAACAACACAAAGATAATCCTCGAGAACAGCAACCCCAATACACATACTTGTCAGATGCTCCAAGGTTGAAATGAAGGAAAAAAGTTAAGGGCAGCCAGAGATAAAGGTCTGGTTACCCACAAAGGGAAGCCCATCAGACTAACAGCAGATCTCTCGGCAGAAACTCTACAAGCCAGAAGAGAGTAGGGGCCAATATTCAACATTCTTCAAGAAAAGAATTCTTCAAGAAAAAAATTCTGAATTTTCAATCCAGAATTTCATATCCAGCCAAACTAATTTTCATAAGTGAAGGAGAAATAAAACCCTTTACAGACAAGCAAGTGCTCAGAGATTTTGTCACCACCAGGCCTGCCTTACAAGATCTCCTGAAGGAAGCACTAAACATAGAATGGAGCAACCGGTACCAGCCACTGCAAAAACATGCCAAGTTTTGGCTGGGCACAGTGGCTCACACCTGTAATCCCAGCATTTTGGGAGGCCAAGGTGGGTGAATCACAAGGTGAGGAAATCGAGACCATCCTTGCTAAGATGGTGAAACCCTGTCTCTACTAAAAATACAAAAAATTAGCCAGGCATGGTGGTGGGCACCTGTAGTCCCAGCTACTCAGGAGGCTGAGGCAGGAGAATGGCATGAACCCAGGAGGCAGAGCTTGCAGTGAGCCAAGATCATGCCACTCCACTCCAGCCTGGGCAAAAGAGTGAGACTCTGTCTCAAAAAAAAACAACAAAAAACAAAAAACAAACAAACAAAAAAACATGCCAAATTTTAAAGATCATCGATGCTAGGAAGAAACTGTATCAATTAATGGGCAAAATAACCAGCTAACATCATAATGACAGGATCAAATTCACACATAGCAATATTAACCTTAAATGTAAGTGGGATAAATTCCCCAATTAAAAGACACAGACTGACAAATAGGATAAAGAGTCAAGACCCATCAGTGTGCTGTATTCAGGAGACCCATCTCACATGCAGACACACATTGGCTCAAAATAAAGGGATGGAGGAAGATCTACCAAGCAAATGGAAAGCAAAGAAAAAGCAGGGGTTGCAATCCTAGTCTCTGATAAAACAGACTTTGAACCAACAAAGAACAAAAGAGACAAAGAAGGCCATTACATAATGGTAAAGGGATCAATTCAACAAGAAGAGCTAACTACCCTAAATATATATGCACCCAATACAGGAGCACCCAGATTCATAAAGCAAGTCCTTAGAGACCTACGAAGAGACTTAGACTCCCACACAATAATAATGGGAGATTTTAACACCCCACTGTCAATATTAGACAGATCAACAAGACAGAAGGTTAACAAGGATATCCAGGACTTGAACTCAGCTCTGCACCTAGAAGACCTAAGAGACATCTACAGAACTCTCCACCCCAAATCAACAGAATACACATTCTTCTCAGCACCACATCGCACTTCTTCAAAAATTGACCACATAGTTGGAAGCAAAGCACTCCTCAGCCAATGTAAAAGAACAGAAATCACAACAAACTGTCTCTCAGACCACAGTGCAAACAAAGTAGAACTCAGGATGAAGGAACTCACTCAAAACTGCAAAACTACATGAAAACTGAACAATCTGTTCCTGAATGACTACTGGGTAAACAAAGAAATTAAGGCAGAAATAAAGATGTTCCTTGAAACCAATGAGAACAAAGACACAACGTACCAGAATCTCTGGGACACACTTAAAGCAGTGTGTAGAGGGAAATTTATAGCACTAAATGCCCACAAGAGAAAGCAGGAAAGATCTAAAATCAACACCCTATCATCACAATTGAAAGAACTAGAGAAGCAAGAGCAAACACATTCAAAAGCTAGCAGAAGGCAAGAAATAACTAAGATCAGAGCAGAAGTGAAGGAGATAGAGACACAAAAAACCCTTAAAAAATTAATGAATCCAGGTGCTGGTTTTTTGAAAAGATCATCAAAATTGATAGGCTGCTAGCAAGACTAATAAAGAAGAAATGAGAAAAAATGAAATAGACACAATAAAAAATGATAAAGGGGATATCACCACTGATCCCACAGATACAAACTACCATCAGAGAATACTATAAAAAGCTCTATGCAAATAAACTAGAAAATCTAGAATAAATGGATAAATTCCTGGACACACACACTGTCCCAAGACTAAACCAGTAAGAAGTTGAATCTCTGAATAGAACAATGACAGGTTCTGAAATTAAGACAATAATTAATAACCTATGAATCAAAAAGAGTCCAGGACCAGACGGATTCACAGCCAAATTCTACCACAGGTACAAAGAGTAGCTGATACCATTCCTTCTGAAACTATTCCAAACAATAGAAAAAGAGGGAATCCTCCCTAACTCATTTTATGAGGCCAGCATTATCCTGATACCAAAGCCTGGCAGAGACACAACAAAAAAAGAGAATTTCAGACCAATATCCCTGATGAACATCGATGCAAAAATCCTCAATAAAATACAGGCAAACCAAATCCAGCAGCACATCAAAAAGCTTATCCACCATGATCAAGTTGGCTTCATCCCTGGGATGCAAGGCTGGTTCAACATATGCAAATCAATAAACATAATCCATCACATAAACAGAACCGACGACAAAAACCACATGACTATCTCAATAGACGTAGAAAAGGCCTTTACAAAATTCAACAGCCCTTCATGCTAAATCTCTAATAAACTAGGTATTGATGGAACATATCTCAAAATGATAAGAGCTATTTATGACTAACCCACAGCCAATATCATACTTAATGGGCAAAAACTGGAAGCATTCCCTTTGAAAAGTGGTACAAGAGAAGGATGCCCTCTTTCACGACTCCTATTCAACATAGTGTTGGAAGATGGGCCAGGGCAATCAGGCAAGAGAAAGCTCCGCCTCCTGGGTTCATGCCATTCAATTAGGAAAAGAGGAAGTCAAATTGTCCCTGTTTGCAGATGACATGGCTGTATATTTAGAAAACCCCATCGTCTCAGCCCAAAATCTCCTTAAGCTGATAAGCAACTTCAGCAAAGTCTCAGGATACAAAATCCATGTGCAAAAATCACAAGCATTCCTATACGGCAATGACAGACAAACAGAGCCAAATCATGTGTGAATTCTCATTAACAATTTCTACAAAGAGAAAAAAATACCTAGGAATCCAACTTACAAGGGATGTGAAGGACCTCTTCAAGGAGGACCACAAACCAATGCTCAACGAAATAAAAGCGGACACAAACAAATGGAAGAACATTCCATGCTCATGGATAGGAAGAATCAATATCATGAAAATGGCCATACTGCCCAAGGTAGTTTATAGATTCAATGCCATCCCCATCAAGCTACCAATGACTTTCTTCACAGAATTGGAAAAAACTACTTTAAAGTTCATATGGAAACAAAAAAAGAGCCTGTAGCCTGTATTGCCAAGAAAATCCTAACCAAAAAGAATGAAGTTGGAGGCATCATGCTACCTGACTTCAAACTATACTACAAGGCTACAGCAACAAAAACAGCATGGTACTGGTACCAAAACAGATATATAGACCAATAGAACAGAACAGTGGCCTCAGAAATAACACCACACATCTACAACCACCTGATCTTTGACAAACCTGACAAAAACAAGCAATGGGGAAAGGATTCTCTATTTAATAAACGTGCTGGGGAAACTGGCTAGCCATATGTAGGAAGCTGAAATGGGATCCCTTCCTTACACCTTATACAAAAATTAATTCAAGATGGACTAAAGACTTAAATGTTAGATCTAAAACCATAAAAACCCTAGAAGAAAACCTAGGCAATACCATTCATGATATAGGCATGGGCAAGGACTTCATGACTAAAACACCAAAAGCAATGTTAAGAAAAGCCAAAACAAATGGGATCTAATTAAACTAAAGAGCTTCTGCACAGCAAAAGAAATTATCATCAGAGTGAACAGGCAACCTACAGAATGGGAGAAAATTTTTGCAATCTACCCATCTGACAAAGGGCTAATATCCAGAATCTACAAAGAACTTAAACAAATGTACAAGACAAAAACAAACCACCCATCAAAAAGTGGGCAAAGGATATTAACAGTCACTTTTCAAAAGAAGACATTTATGTAGCCAACAGGCACATGGAAAAATGCTCATCATCACTGGTCATCAGAGAAATGCAAATGAAAACCACAATGAGATACCATTTCACACCAGTTAGAATGGTGATCATTAAAAAGTCAGGAAACAACAGATGCTGGAGAGGATGTGAAGAAATAGGAATGCTTTTACACTGTTGGTGGGAGTGTAAACTAGTTCATCCATTGTGGAAGACAGTGTGGTGGTGATTCTTCAAGGATCTAGAACTAGAAATACCATTTGACCCAGCCATCCCATTACTGGGTATATACCCAAAGGATTAAAAGTCATGCTACTATAAAGACACATGCACACGTATGTTTATTGTGGCACTATTCACAATAGCAAAAACTTGGAACCAACCCTAATGTCCACCAATGATAGCATGGATTAAGAAAATGTGACACATATACACCAGGGAATACTATGCAGCTATAAAAAAGGATGAGTCCATGTCCTTTGCAGGCACATGGATGAAGCTGGAAACCATCATTCTCAGCAAACTATCACAAGGACAGAAAACCAAACACTGCATGTTCTTACTCATGGTTGGGAATTGAACAATGAGAACACTTGGACACACGGTGGGGAACATCACACACGGGGGCCTGTCATGGGGTGGGGGGCAGGGGGAGGGATAGCATTAGGAGAAATACCTAATGTAAATGACGAGTTGATGGTTGCAGCAAACCAACATGGCACATGTAACCTATGTAACAAACCTGCATGTTGTGCACATGTACCCTAGAACTTAAAGTATAGTAATAATAAAAAATATAAATCATCCACATTCTGAAGGACCAGAGTTCCTGGACTTGGGAAGTGGCCTACATCTTGGGCCAGTGCCTGACCAAACAGATGAGGGCTATCCCTAAACCCTTGAGGCAAGACTGTCCACGTAAATTGGGATGTGTGGTCTGTGGGATCCTCAAAGGCAAAGAGAAACTGGGAGTCAGAGTGCAGGAGAATGCAGAAGAAGGTATCCTTGAGGTCCAGAATAGTGAACCATTCTGCTTCCTCTGGTATTTGAGAGAGCAGGGTATAGGAGTTGGCTACAACTGGATATAGAGAAATTACTGCCTCATTGATGAGACTAAGATCTTGCACTAGTCTCCACTGAACATTTGCTTTTTGTACTCCTAGAATTGGAGTGTTGCAGGGCCTATTGCATTTTCTTACTAAGCCTTGAGCTTTTAAATGTCTAACAATATACTGTAAACCTTTATGAGCTTTGGGCCTTAAGGGATATTGCCTTTGATAAGGAAAAGTGGTGGGGTCTTTTAGCCTGATTCGAACTGGCTGGGCATTTTTTGCCCTTCTGAATTGTCCTTCCAATGCCCAGACTTCAGAGTTGATTCCCTCCTCAAGTAGGAGACAACAAATGGGTAACTTGTCCCCCATATTCATATCATATCAGTAATAGCTCCAGCTTTGGCTAACACGTCCTTCCCTAATAAGAGTGTGGGACTTTCAGGCATAACAAGAAAGGCATGTGAAAAGAGCAAAGTCTCTGAATTACAACTGAGGAGGTGGGAGAAATACCTGGTTACAGGCTGTCCCAGGATTCCTCGGATGGTAATGGACTTTGAGGACAGTGGTCCGGGGCAGGAGAGTAACACTGAGAAGGCAGTGTCAGTGTCCAGGAGGAAATCAATTCACTGGCCCTCAATGGTTAAAGTTACCCGAGTCTCAGAGAAGGTGATGACATGAGCTGGCACTTGCCTTGGGCATCCTCAGTCCTGTTGTTGGATCATCTGGTTGGGGGTTCTGGCCTAGAGAACCTTTGTCCTCCAGGACATCTTCCAGTGATTGCCTTGGCATAGTGGACATGGGCGAGAGGGTGGCTTGTTTCTCATTGGACAATCTTTTTTGAAGTGTTCTTGCAAACCACACTGATAACAAGCCCTACCAGGTTATTGGCCTTCTCCATTTTCTCTCCTCTCTGAACCACCAAGGTTTGTTCATGTGAGGGCCATGAGTTAGGCTGTGGCCTTTCTCTGATCTCGCTTTTCCTTCTCAGCCTGTTCCTCTTGGTCCCTGTGATAGAACACCAAGGTTGCCAGCTTTAATAATGCCTCCAGATTTTGTTCAGGGCCCAGGGCTCACTTTTGGAGCTTTCTCGTGATATCTGCAGCTGGTTGCATAATAAACTTATCCTTTTGGATTAATTGACCCTCAAAGGAGTCAGAGGACAGGGGAGTATATTTTCTTAAGGCCTCCCATAGCCACTCGAGGAAGGTGGATGGATTTTCTTCCTTTCCCTGAGTTATGGTGGACATCATTGAATAATTCATGGGCTTTTTCCTAATTCTCTTCGTCATTCTAGAACACAGGTTAACAGATGTTTGCGACTCCAGTTCCCATGATCTGAGTCAAGGTCCCAGTGGGGATCAATACTGGTGATGGCTTGCTGACTGGTAGGGAATTTGTCCCTTTCTTTGGCTGTCATTCTATCATTTACTTGACTAAGATACCAAGTATCTCCAAACTCTCAGGCTGCAGCTAAACCTGCATTCTTTTCATTAAAGGCCAGGGTTTGATCTAACAATAGCATGACATCTCTCCAAGTGAGGTCGAAGTTTTGCCCTAGACCCTGTAGGACATCTATATACCTATCAGGATCATCTGAAAACTTCCCCAGATCTACCTTGATCTGCTTTAAATCAGAGAGGGAGAAGGGGACATGTACCCAGGTTGGGCCAAATTCCCCTCCCCCTACAGCTTGAAAAGAACATAACCAATAGCCCAGAGGTTTTTGTGGCCCCTTGGAGATTTCTTTGCTTGTTTCCTTCTGGGTGGGGGAGATTAGAGGAGGCTCATCATTAATAGGAAGAGGAGCTGTAGGGAGGCTAGGATATGGGGGTAAGCTGAGAGGTCCTCCTGTGGAATGTAGGTTGCAAGCTTTGCATAGTTGTGGATTGTCCTTCAGTGAAAAGAAAGCTTGGACATAAGGTATTTCACTCCATTTGCCTTCCATCTTACAGAAAAAGTCAAGCTGCAGGATAATACTGTAATTTATACTTTCCACAGGTGGCCATTTTTCCCTATCAGAGAGAGAATATTGGGACCAGGCCACAGTGCAGAAAAAAATAAGCCTCTTCTTTTTCAGGGCTTGCAGGTCAAATTCATCCCAATGGCTTAGGATGCATTTCAAGTGTGAGCCTGTTTGATGCCTGAGTGTTTCCCATCTAAAAGAAAAAACTGCCCATGATTTTGGTTCATTTTTTTATCCCTGACCAAAAACTTGCAACGGTCCCTGGACCCTGCTGTTCAGAATAGTTGTGCTCACTGAAGCAGCAGCAGAAACACTAGTTTTCCTCCTAGACGACAAAGAGGACTGAGGAAGGTCAGATTTAGTGGCCCTTACCAATGCATTCTCGAAAACCTGCACCCTTGCCTTTCCTCTTAGACCACAAAGAGGACCGAGAAAAATCGGATTCAGTGGCCCTTACACATTCTCGAAAACCTGTTAGTTAAGAGTCCTAAGCATTTTCTTCTGTTGGTATTGTGACCTTACCCTTGTCCTATAGAGAAGATATGCCTCAAAATGGAGTGGAGGGCCATACTTGAAGGAGGGAAGGGATCGCCAGGGTTGTAAGAGTGATGCCTTTTGTCCTCACTTCTCATCATATGAATAGGAAGGATATCCCCCCTCCCAATTTTGGAATCTATAATTTCTGAGGCTCTGCATATCTTAGCTTTGGGAATAGCCTTTGTTAGGCCTACTCGTCTGTAGAGGGATCCTAAAATTCCAGATAGTCCCTCCGAGATAGGGCTTCGGGCAATAATTATGTCTTTCTGATTGGTGAGCCTGGGTGCCTCAAAAAGGGAACAGAGTCCCGAAATTTATACAAAAATAATTCTTATAGGAGAAACTTGAAAAGCACCAGGGACAGGGAGTGGTTTTTAGAAGCAGGATTACCCTTGGAGAACAGAGGCAGGAGGAAGTTTGTCTGACAGGCATTAGGACCCAGGAGGCAAGGATCAGGATAGATAGGATAGATGGACAAGTCTCACTTGGGTGATGTAACTTTGAGAGTCTGCTCATGGCTGCAAGGTCAACCAACTTTTGTTAGGACCCCAGAGTGAATGGCTTTCCTCTCTGTTGACCCTTAGCTCAGCCCGGAAGTACAGGAGAAGCAGAAGCTGTTTCCAGGCAAACCAATGCTCCTAACTCCAAAGAGTTGGGGGGTTTTTAGAGAGCCCTTTCCTAGAAAGCCTGACACCCGTGTCTTATTCTGGGGGCCACACTAGTTCCTTCTAACTGGCTGACAAGTGCTTGGTGTTTAGCCCCCGAATTCTAAGGAAAAATAGGACAGAATAGCAAGTGAAATGGTACTCACTGCATGATGCTATCCTGGATGAGCCCCCAAAATATGTCCAGAGTTGGTTGACTGTGGGTTCATGGCCTTGCTGACTTCAAGAATGAAGCTGCAGACCTTTGCGGTGAGTGTTACAGCTCTTAAAGGTGACACCAACCCAAAGAATGAGCACTAGCAAGGCTTATTTTGAAGAGCAAAAGAACAAAGCCTCCACAGCATGGAAGGGGATCCGAGCAGCTTGCTGCTGCTGGCTGGGTGTGGCCAGCTTTTATTCCCTTATTTGTCCCCTCCTATGTTCCATTTCTATCCTATCAGAAACCCTTTTTTCAATCCTCCCTGTGATTGGCTACTTTGAGGATCCTGCTGATTGGTGCATTTTACAAAGCACTGATGGGGCATTTTACAATCCCCTTGCTAGCTACAGAATGCTGATTGGTGTTTTTTTACAGAGCACTGATTGGTGCATTTTACAATCCTCTTGTAAGATAGAAAAGTTCTTTAAGTCCCCATTTGGCCCAGGAAGTCCAGCTGGCTCCACCTCTCACCAGCACTTTGGGAGGCCAAGGCAGGCATATCACCTGAGGTCAGGATTTTGAGACCAGCCTTGCCAACGTGGCAAAGCCCTGTCTCTACTAAAAATACAAAAATTAGCCGGGCATGGTGGTGGGCACCTGTAATCCCAGCTACTTGGGAGGCTGAGGCATGAGAATCTCTTGAACCCAGAAGGCAGAGGTTGCAGTAAGCCAATATCATGCCACCGCACTCCAGCCTGGGTAACAGAGTGAGACTCTGTCTCAAAAAAACAGAAAACAAAAAAACTAAGTTCCCCACAAAGTTATTTCAGACTTTGCCCAGGAATGAACAAGGACAGCTTGGAGGTTAGAAGCAAGACGGACTTGGTTAGGTTGGATCTCTTTTACTGTCTCAGTTATGTTTTTGCAATGGCGTTTTCAATCCCTTCCTTTGGGTTTTATAACACCTTAATCTTAAGGTGTTGGCTAATGAAGATGGAGAAAGGGCAAAGACCACTCTAACTTCTTCCTGCTGACCAGGGGCATAGTCGGGGTAGGTGTTGACCCCAAGGTGAGAGGACTGGAATCATTTTGCTACTGTCTGAACATACTCACGCAGGATGGCTGAAAAATGTGTTAGTATTGTCATCTATAATTTTAGTATTGCATTTAAGGGAACAGCACACTACAAAGTAAATAATGAGTTCTAGCATAAGGCATGCAATTCCAACTTTTAAAAGTAAAGATTTGAAAACATTAATTTGGAGACTTGTAGTCCATGAATAATTTAGGATTTAGTCCAAACTGCAGAAAAAACTCAAGAACAACTAACAATGATTGTTTTTTATTTTTGGAGCATAATTTTTCTGTCTCCAGTCCCCATTTTTTAATTAAAAATAAATCACAGTAGGTCAACTTTACTTGCAAAATAAGTTTTAGTCTTATTATGCTCTGCCTGATTACTTGCATAAGTGCAGCAACAATAATTATTGTTCACATAGGCTTTTTAAATTGGCTTTGATGGAACTCTGTTCCATAAGGAATCTCAAACAAGACTTTTTTAAAGCCAGGCCAAGCCCATGGGTTTGTACCCTCAAATAACCATGAGTTGGGTCAATTCCTCTCCTCTTGAGGTCCCAAGATAACTTGGGGCTCCTGGGCCTGTTAGAAAGTGACATTCTTTACTCACCACAGATCAGGAACCCTGTACAGGGACTGTGTAGACAAGGCATGAGGCCAGTTTTCCCAAGGGGCTTTGTTTTCTCTGTTTTGTTTTGTTTTTGAGACAGGATCTTGCTCTGTCACCCAGACTGGAGTGCAGTGATGCAATCTCTGCTCACTGCAACTCCATCCCCCAGGCTCAAGCAATCCTCCCACCTCAGCCTCCCAAGTCGCTGGAACTACAGGCATGTGCCACCACACCCAGATAATTTTTGTATTTTAAGTAGAGACGGGGTTTCACCAAGTTGCCCAGGTTGGTCTTGAGCTCCTGAGCTCAAGCTATCTGCCTGCCCCGGTCTCCTAAAGTGCTGGGATTGCAGGCATGAGCCACCATGCCTGGCCTCAAGAGGCTTTTATTCCTTAAAGGCAAGCATACGATTCCAGTCAAAGCCTTGGTAAAATAACCAGTTTCTTCAATTTTGTCCTGTTGCAAATGAAAACATTCTTATTGCACTTATGGAAGTAACTATATTGCCATAAGAATACTCACAAATAGTTACCAAATCCTGGCAAAATCAGGAAGAGAGAATCAAATATGCTCCAAATTTTGTTTACAGATGTGTACTTTACTCAATATTAAAAGCTGTAAATAGCTCAAAAGAAAGGTTTTCTTGGCTCTGAAAAACAAAAAATGATCAGCAATGTTTTAAACAAAAAGTCAAAAAAAGTTGCCTCAGTCTTCTATTAGTTCAGCCCATGCAGTTAACTTCCATTCTGCTTAGTATTCATGAACATTTCAGCTCTCAATGAGAGTCCTGAAAGTTTTTCCTCTATTCTAATGTCACAATCTCCAAAGTTTTCAGAAACCTGCATTTAAGAGCACCTGTCAGAGTGTTATAGCTGATTATAAAACCATTTAAAGAGGATCAAAAGACAATAATTGTCTGTGGATGACAAAAAGTTTTAGGCCAGCCACAGTTAAAGACACAATTGACAAGGAAATTTGTTACTTCTGGGGAACACAATAATTTAACATAGCAATTATAATTATTAATGATAACATATACAAAGTCATATCAGAATTACAGGAGTTTCACATAATTTTGGAACATATATCAATAACACAAAAATCTTTTTCAAAAGAGAAAACCAAATTTCATGTTTGCATTAATGCCTCTTTAATGCTAAAGCTAGTTTTTAAATAAAATGTTATAAATTATCCAGTTTTAATTAGTTTGACCATAAGGTAAGGTTTTTATAAACTTTTTTAGAACACTTTACAATTTTCCATTAAACAGCAGATTAATTTTCTAAGAAAACCCTTTTGTTTAGACACAGGGGCCCAGATTCTGGCCCGGCATTAGTGTGCTTTTATGTTCAACATACAGAAAAAAATTAAATAATCCCCTTCAAAACTTAAGACCAACCCTTCACAAACACTTTTCAACTTGCTTAAACCTTCAGTTTTGTCCTGTTACTCTTTTAGGTTAAGACGATCTTTAAAGCCCTCTGAACTAGACAAAATTACATTCCCTTTGACAAAAGCCATATTCCCTTACCTTATTTAATCCTTTAGCTAAAGCACATTCTACTTTCCTTACACATCTTGCATGTAAAACAATTTCTCCAGCAGTCTCAATTACACGTTACAACGTTAACACTTAGCAACTTTTGTTTTTGATGAAAACCCTGATAAATAAGTGGTTTTAATTATGTACTAAGTGTGGAGCCTAGGACATCAGACAGAAATGCAGATAAGGTCTGCCTCCAGCATAGCTAGGGGGCATGGCTAATTCCACATGTCCCCAGACCTTAGCTAGAATTTCTAATGGCTCCAAAGTAGGTAAGTCTAACAATTTTCGAAAGTCAAAGAAACAGTTTATGACTTTAAAGCATTTAGCAAACCTAACATCTGACCTTATTTAGACCAAACATCTAAATTGTGAAGACATTTTTTATTTACCAGTGATCTTTAAAACTGTTTTTATTTCCAAAAGATCACTGAAATTATGTGAACAAACAGGCATTAAAAAGTTTCTATTTTTCTGACAAAATACTTGATTTAAGTGCTTATTTTTCTAAGCCAATTAGAGCTCTTTTATACAAACATCATGCATACAACACATATACATAGACAGACAGACAGAAGATCTGGTACTTGTAAGATTTTTCATTTGCTAGTTTCTTAATTGGATTACTGGCTTCAAGGTGACACCCTTGGAGGAACAGCACCAGGAAAGCATGGCATTTCTAGGGCCCAATAAGAAGGCATAGCTAGAAGGCAAAAACATATCCCCAAAATTAAGGGTGCCATTTGTATACTGCATCCTGGATCCCCCCAAAAGAGGGAAATACTATGGGAGAAGATAGTGCAATACTTCTACCATGCATGTCATTGCAAAGCAACCCAAAGCCAATTAGCCCATTTTGAAATCAGCCCATCCTCCATGGGAGTCTCCTCTCAGTTCGGGGTGGGGATATTTCCATACCTTCCAGGTGGCCAAGAGCATGCTTCTCTAATCCAAAAATCCAAGAGCCAAGTATCCCTCTTAACTGCTATTAGTTATCCCTTAAAGTATATTTCCTACCTGGTTATTACACACCAAGACTAAAAGCTCTCAAATAATGCAAAGTAATTTTTGATACCTGCCAAAGTAAAAAATGTCAGGTAATGTAATATAAAACAGAATACAGCCTTAGATTTTGAGAGGGATCTATTCTCTTTCAATTCCTAGGGTTCCATGAGAAAAACAGAGCTTTTTCCCAGAATGGGGTCTGTGGCACCTCCTCTGTTTTTCCCTAAGAGTCCCAGGCTGTTAGAATTTATCTTAGGTTCTTTCATGTGGGCATCAAGAGTGTTGAGAAGACAAAAGTGGAGAAAAACAATTCAGTCAACTGAGAAGAAAAAACCTTTTTTTTCTTTAGAAAAATAAGATCCAAGAAGAGAAAAAAAAGTAAAGGTATTTTAAATATATGTACAGTTTGGATATCTGCTTTTAATGAAGCTGATTTTAACCATACAGCTCTTTAAAAAATTATTTTTTAAATATCTAATTACTAGACTCTAGCCAGCACAGACAGTCAATGTTCCTTGCTTTTGAACTTCACCACAGGTAACTTCCCATGTGAAATTAATGTTTTAAATAAGGTTATAATGGATACACATGGTGATTCAAAGAGAGAGTAATCAGTTTCTTTCTTTTTTTTTTTTTTTAACAAGATTTAGAATCTTCCCAAGGTAGTTCAAAGGAAAACTCAAGAGGAGAAATCAAAAGTGGTCCATGGGGGAAAAAGAATCAATAAGGGTCAAAAAGTTACACAAATAAACCAGAAAAGACTCATTCCCTAAGCCAAGAATTGAACCTGGGATGCCATTGTCAAAAGACAAGGCCTTAGCTACTGAGTTACAGCATTGAGCAATTTCTATTGCTCTTCCTAGAAGAAGCCTAGAGCAGCCAATTTTGAGCTTGCAAAGGCTTTTAACTGCTCAAGATAACTTTTAGGGTTAACTATGACATGAATCCCCAAATTCCTGTCCTCTGGGTGGCAGAGACCAAGAGAAAGTATCCCCACATGGTCACAAGATTGGGCTCTTAAGGACACAAAACAAACAGATAAATTTCATCTAGTATTGGTTTCAGGGACACACAGCAAAGTTTGTAACTGAGCAGCCTGCCAGGATGGCTTGAAAAGTGGGCTTACAGGAGTCTTAAACCCACATTCTATTCTGTGATTCCCTTCTCTCCATTACAGAAGAACACAGAAAGACAAATTCTTAGCACAAAGTACACCAGATTTGCTACCACCTAAGACTAGTCTCACAAATGCTTTCTTCTACTAATCAAACCCTTGCAGAGGAGACAAACAGTGATGTTTATCATTTATACAAATACACACACACACATACACACACAGAGAGAGAGAGAGGAGAGAGAGAGACAGAGACCAGAAACTCGGCTGGTGAGAAATTCTTACCCTTTTTACCAGCATACCAGATTTCTGTGTTCCCTTTCTCTGAAGCTTCCAGAAGAATGGAGCAGCTTTTGATGAATCTGCTTACTGTGCCATAGCTGTGGGGGCCAAGCCCTGTTACAAAAGAAAATCATCCATTTCTGTTTTATGGAACCGTAGGCAAAAGCTTCTCACTTTTGCAAGATGCTGCCTGACGGGTTGCATGGGGAACTGAATTAATATTTTCCATCCCAGCCGAAGCAAAATACACATAACTAAACAGACACTAGTCACCTCGTTCAGCACCCAATATTGACCTGGCAAGGCTCAAATTTTCTCATGTTGGTTCCTATAGTCTTTGATCCACTCCAAGTGGAGAGGGATGACTTCCAACCGGTAATTAAATGGGTGGTCTCTGGGCAAGATGAAGAGTGGACAGTCACCCCATGTCAGGCCTGTTGAGCTTTCTTCAGGGCTCACCAGATGTAACCTGACTTACGGAGGGTTCTCTGAGTTAGGCCTGCTGGACTTCCATCAGCAATTCCCTCAGAGATCCCCTCAACATATACAAACACACACACAACAAAGACAAGACAGACAGAAGGCCTTTGAGACACAGATTCCAGACCCAGTCACAAACCAAGAGTATTCCTCCAAACAAGTCCCCCTATTCTCCATCCAATTAGATACCCCACCAGTAGACATCTCGTGATGGGGCTAAAAACAGACACACCATGATGGGGCTACAGACAGACATCCTGCAAGGCAACCAAGAGACAGCAGCACGTCCAGAGAGGCTGACAAATAGGAGAAGGAAGGGGCTGTTGGCAGCACCTAGAATACTCACCAAATCAGATACCCCATAATGGGGCTACAGCTACAGACACTACGTGATGGGCTACAGACAGACACCCAGTGATAGGGCTAGAGTCTCAGACATCCAGTGGTGGAGCTGGAGACAGACACCCCACCATGGGGCTACAGACAAACATTCCAGCATGGAGCTACAGTTATGGGATATCTCCCAGGACTATTTCTGTATTGCAATTAAATCCATGCCCATTGGATCAGCAGCACCCCACCAGTAGAGCCTAGAGTCCAAGAGAACTAGGTGGCCACTTGGGCTGGCCTCTGGATCTGTTGCTGGAGGGAGTCTACCAAACCACGGGCAGGCAGCCACAAGGGCAAGCCCCAGCAAGCCCCAAATTTGTAACTGCCCATGGGTTCACCTTGTCTGCTGCCTAGACAAAGTTAATTTATCCAGACAGGGGAACTGCAGTAAAGAAAGTAACTCATGCAGAGCCAGCTTTGCGGGAGACTGGAGTTTTATTATTACTCAAATCAGTCTCCCCAAGCATTCAAGCATACAGAGATCGGCGTTTTTAATGATAATTTGGAGGGTGGGGGAAAACCAGTGAGTCAGGAGTGCTGACTAGTTGGGTCGGAGGTGAGATCATAAGGGGTCAAAGCTGTCTTCTTGGGCTGAGTCAGTTCCTGGGTAGGGGCCCCAAAATCAGATGAGCCAGTTTATCAATCTGGGTGGTGCCAGCTGATCCATCAAGTGCAGGGTCTGCAAAATATCTAAAGCACTAACATTTCATTTTATAATAGTGATGTTATCCCCAGGAGCAATTTGGGGAGGGTCAGAATCCTGTAGTCTCCAGCTGCGTGACTCCTAAACCATAATTTCTACTCTTGTGGCTAATTCATTACTCCTACAAAGGCAGTCTAGTCCCCAGGCAAGAAGGAGGTTTGTTTTGGAGAAGGGCTGTTATCTCTGTTTTAATCTATAAATTAAAAACTAAGATCTCCCTGAAGTTGGTTCAGACCATGCCCAGGAATGAAGAAGGACAGCTTGGAGGTTAGAAGCAAGATTTTAGGTCAGATTTCTTTCACTGTCTCAGTTATGATTTTGCAGTGGTGGTTTCACAGACACACTGCTAATCCCCTTACCTAATCCATTAGACTTTGCCCCAGCCCTTGAAGTTGTCTCCCCTGGCCTGCCCAACACACAGGGCACAGCCTGTACTTTCACCAGTAATCACCCCTTCCCCAAATGCACTGGAATCCCACTGATGACAAGGCCTCATTTCTTAACCAGGATGTGGTAAAGTGTTCTATACAGTATAAAAGCCCCCAAAAAATTTGGTGATGAAGACGGATCAATCTCTGGAGCCCCAGTAATGACAAAAAAGGAAGTGTGTATGTGTGCGCACGCGTGCATGTGTAGGTGCGGGGTGGGGGAGCATTACAAGATGTACAAGGCAGTGGAATGGATTTTTGCAGTGGAATGACTTATGGAATCAGTCAGGTCCTTTGCTTTTAGATACCTCCCACAGCTCTTAGCTGTGCATGACTGGTTCTTTCAGTAGCTCCTGCTCTTAGCAGCTAAGAAGGTCTTGCTTGGAGAGATGAGGTACTTGCCTTCACTTACCCACTGAATTTAAAACCCAGTTTAACCCTCCTTGCTTTATGGGGTTTCCTCACAGTCTTCTAAGCATGTCCTTCCAATGGGTGAAGCTGAAGGAGAAGACCCCAGGAATGGCTTAAGAGCTGAGGGCCACTTTAAGGAGACACTCCTTGGACTTTAAATTATGAAAACAAAACACAGAGAACCAAAGCAAAAGCCACTGGAATAATGACATAATGGCCACACTGGAGTTGTATTTGTTTTCTCCTGAGCAATAACACTTTAAAGCTGTCTTGAAGGTTGTTGCCTGGTAGCAGAGATTTGGAGGAGGGGAAGGCAAATTTAGAAATATATTCTATGACTAGGGCTCTTTATAGAGAAAGTAAAAGGAAGAATTGATAAGGATTCTGTTTTTTCAGAGCAGAAGAACTTGATAAGGAGTCTTAAGAAGCTGACATTTTAAAAACAAAAAAAAAGTTGTTATTATAGTATTGTGACATTCTGCATAATTTCCTAATGAAGACCAGCATTCATAGTGCTGAGGAACAGACTTTTCCAGGCATTTTACTGAATAAGCTGTAAAATGCTGCCTTTGACTTTGCTGGTGGCCTGCTTGGCATAGCTTCTCTAGGTCTCTGCTTAACGTTCCCAGACAGCACAGCACTTCGAAACACTCTCCCCACTGAATACAACTAACAAGTTCTTGATAAATCTCTACTATCAAAACTTATTTGGATTCTTACCTGGCAGGGGAGATGCCATGATCATGAAGGTGGTTTTCCCAGGCTGAGGCTCATCCATTGCACTCCATAGGTGTGCTTACCACTGTGATTTCCCCAAATGCGGGAAACTCAACAGCATAATTTGTGGTAGTGAGGAACTGCATTCGTGCTTTCCCCTGGGGAAAAAAAAAAGGAAAAAAAAACTCATTTGGAGTTTAAAATATAATTAATTAAAAATTAATCCTGTGGGGTCACGTATCTAAGGGAGACTTTAACCCATCAGATACTGGATCTGGATAACCTGCAATAACCCAGTGTCTGTGATGGGTTAGTCTCCCCTTAAATTATCACAGATACTGGGTTATTGCAGGTCTGGATTACATAGTGTACTAACAAGAAAAATCAGTGTGCCATAGGTCCTTGGTGTTCCAAAAGTCAGAACAGTTATAAAATCCTGACTATGGCTTTCTCCATTGCTTCATCAGCTATTCAGTTACTCACACCTAGCTATTCACAACAAAAGAAAGAAGCAACAAAAAACCAAAAACCATAAAGTTTCTTGAAGAACTTGGAAATAAGGTTGACAACGAACATTAAACTAGTAAAATCCATATGCAATAAAAGAGATTAATAGAGGCCACCCTGAGGAACCATTAACATACTTTCCATTAACAAACCTGAAGAAAGCACTAAGAAGAGTTAGGAAAAGAGAGTCAGAGAGCAGGAATTTTAGTCTAGAACTACCCAAGGAGAGAGGCACTTTGGTAGTGGTGGCAGTGCTGGTGGCACAGGAAGAATGGAAGCAAGGAGACCAGTTGAGGTTCCTGCTATATGCCAGCCAAGAATGGTGATTTGGACTTGGATAAATGGTGGAAGTGGAGGTGGAGTGAAGTAGACAGATACAAGATTTATTTTGGATGTAGGATCCATGGAACTTGGTAAGGTGTTAGCTTGTGGGAGTTGAGGAGAAGATAGCAGAAAGGCTGACTCCCAGATTTCTGGCATGACTAACTGGATGGATGAAGATACTCTCAGCTGAGATTTGGGGAGGACCCGATTTGGGGAAAATATCAAACGTGTAATTTTGGGTAGGCCAAGTTTGAGATGGTGTCTTTGTCTACTTTGTGTTGCTATAAAGGAATATCTGAGGCTGGGTGACTTATAAAGGAAAGGCTTATAGGGCTCATGGTTCTGCAGGCTGCACAATAAGCATGGTGGCAGCATCTGCTCAGCTTCTGGTGAGGGGCTGCAGGTTGCCTCCACTATTGGCAGAAGGGAAGAGGGAAGGAGAGCGAGCACGCGCTGAGATCACATGGTGAGAGAGGAAGCAAGAGAGAGCAGGGAGGTGCTAGGCTCTTTTTACCAACCAGCTTTCATGGGAACTAACAACCAGCATAACAGAGTGAGAACTCACTCACTTTACCTGCGCCCACCAACCCACAAAGGGAGGGCATTAATCTATTCATGAGAGGTCATCCTCTCTGACCCAAACATTTCCCATTAGGCCCCACTTCCAACATTGGGATCAAATTTCAACATGAGGCTTGGGGAGACAAACATCCAAACTATAACATTCTGCCCCTTCCCCCCAAACTCATGTCCTTCTCACATGCAAAATACAGTCTACCCCAGTAGTCCCAAAAGCATTAACTTGTTCCAACATCAACTTAAAAATATGAAGTCCAGAGTCTCATCTGAGACTCAGGGCAAATTCCTTCCAGCTATGAGCCTGTAAAATCAAAAACAAGTTATTTAGTTCCCAGATGCAATGGTTGTACAGGCATTAGGTAAAGATTTTCATTCCCCAAAGGAGAAACTGGCCAAAAGAAAGGTAACAGGCCCATGCAAGTCTGAAACCCAGTAGGGCAGACAGGCAGACATTAAATCTTAAAGCTCCAAAATAAACTTTGACTCCATGTCCTGCATTCTGGGGACACTGGTTTGAGGGATGGGCTCCCAGTGCCTCAGACAGCCCTATCCCTATGGCTTTGCTGAGCGCTGCCTACATGGCTGCTCTTATGGTTTGGAGTGGAGTGCCTGAGGCTTTCACAGACTGAGGTGCATGCTGCTGGTGACTCCATAATGCTAGGGTGGAGGGCAGCAGCCCTTCTTCCACAGCTACTAGGCACTGCCCTAGTACAGTTTCTCTGCAGTGGCTTGCCCCTGTGGCAGGCTTCTGCCTGGGCACTCAGGCTTTCCAATACATCCTCTGAAATCTAGGTGGAAGCTGCCCAGCCTCTACCACTCTTACATTCTGGGAGCCTGCAGACAACACCATGTGGAAGCTGCCACAACTTAAGGCTTACGCTCTCTGGAACAGCAGCCTGAGTGGTACCTGGGGCTGTTTGTGCTCAGGTTAGAGCTAGAGCAATTGGGATGCTCCCCACATCCTGTGGTGGCACAGAACAAAAGCACCCCAGGCCTGTCCCCTGAAACCATTCTGTCCTCATAGGCCTCTGAGCCTGTGATGGGAGGGATGACCTCAAAGATTTCTGAAATGTCTTTGAGGTCTTTTCCCCATTGTTCTATTAGCACCTGGTTCCCTTTTATCCATGGTAATCTCTCTAGCAAGTGGTTGCTCCATATCGCCCTTGGATTCCTCACCTGAAAACATTCTTTCCTTCTCTACCACATGACCAAGTTATAAATATTCCAAATTGTTTTGCTCTTTCTATTTTATTTAGAAATTCCACCTTTAGATCATTATTTTGCTGCTGTATCTGATCATAAGCTGTTAAAAGTAGCCATGCCACTTCTTGAATGCGTTGCTGTTTAGAAATTTCTTCCACCAGATACCCCAGGTCATCACTCTTAAGTTTGGCCTTCCACAAAGCCCTAGGCCATGAACACAATGCAGCCAAGTTCTTTGCTACGGCATAATATGGGTGACATTTGCTCCAGTTCCCAATAAGTTCCTCATTTCCATCTGAGACTTTGTCAGCATGGCCTTTACTGTCTATATGTCTATAAGCATTTTGGTCACAACCATTTAACCAATATGTAAGAAGTTCCTAAATTTTTCTAGTCTTTTTGTCTTCTTCTCAGCCCTCCAAACTCTTCCAACCTCTGCCCATTAACTAGTCCAAAGCCATTTCCACATTTTTAAGTATTTTTTTTTTTTTTGACACAGAGTCTCACTCTGTTGCCCAGGCTGGAGTGCAGTGGTGTGATCTCGGCTCACTGCAAGCTCCATCTCCCAGGTTCACGCCATCCTCCTGCCTCAGCCTCCCAAGTACCTGGGACTATAGGCACCCACCACCAAACCCGGCTAATTTTTTGTATTTTTTTTAGTAGAGACGGGGTTTCACCATGTTGGCCAGGATGGTCTCGATCTCCTGACCTCGTAATCCACCCGCCTCAGCCTCCCAAAGTGTTGGGATTACAGGTGTGAGCTACCGTGCCCAGCCAAAAAGTAGTGTTTTAAGAAAAAAGTGCTCAAGTGTTTAAGACTGATAAGAAGTCAAGAGGGAAACCAAAGAATATCTAGTGGATTCAGCAACAAGGAGGTAATTGGTCATCATGCAAACGGAGTTTTGGTGAAAAGATGGGAGTGGGAGCCATATTGGGACGGGATCATTCATCCATTTATTCAGCAACTATGTAATAAGTGTCTGTGACATGCTGGTACACGGTGCTGGGGATACAATGAATCTGACAGACACAATCCCCACTTAGGGGAGGAGAAGCCATTAAGCAGATAATCATAGAAGTAATGACTCAAACACAATTATGGTAAGGGCTATGAAGGAAAAGAAAAGAAAACCATGAAAGTGTGTAGCAGAGGAACCTAGTCTAGCTTGAAAGCAAGGGAAGTTTGCCCTGAGGGAGTGATAGATAAAGCTGTACTTGAGAGACTTGAGTTGTGACAGCAGTGAGGCTAGGGAGGGAGATTGTGTGTTCCAGGCAGAAGGAACCACAAACGTGGAGTCCAAGAGGGCGAGACCATCATGAAAAGTCAGCAGTGTGGCAGAATCACAGTGAACAAGGAGAGAGTGGCACAAAACAACAAAAACAACAACAGCAACTAGAGCCTAGCAAGTGACCCAACCCAGGGGTTCACATAGATCCTCCAGTGTTTTACACTGTAGGAAATGCCAGGGTGCAAGAAGAAAGGTAGTGAGAAGGCCTATGGCTGAAGACCTTAGGGCAAAAGCTGGAAAATTATACTTCTCTAGGGTTAGGATTTCACTCTGATGTACAAAGTCTATTTTTTTTCAAGCCAAAAATAATCCAATAGCACTGACTTTTATTCATTCATGTGAAGTCACCTGAAATGATATCCGTTGCATTTAAATGCTCATTAATAATATAAATGACTTAACAAATCCATTTCAATGGATATTCAATATTCCACTTAGATAAGTCACACAGCCTCATGACAACGCATATAACATATATAAACAGACAGAGATAAACACCCCCTCCCCCTCAGTTGATTTATTCAGCATGTTAGAGCAGTGAAGAATGGTTTCAGTCTTATAACCAAGTTAGAGTGAAGACACTGGCCACATAATACACATGCTGCATTTGTAAAACAATTCTGAGTCTTGGGCAAATGTACTCTTGAAATCTTACAGTTTTTAAAAGCAGTTATTGTCCAAAGCTTGGAGAACTTAAGTCTTCTCAAATGAGCATGTGAATGAATGGAGGGAGGTAAACAAAAATAAAATTTAAAAAGATGAGGTCTGATATGGGAGCAGCTGGATAAGAAACTAAAAAGGGGCCGGGCACGGTGGCTCACACCTAGAATCCCAGCACTTTGGGAGGCCAAGACAGGCAGATCGCTTGAGCTCAGGAGTTCGAGACCAGCCTGGGCAACATGGTGAAACCCTGTCTCCACAAAAAATTAAAAAAAAAAAAATACAAAAATTAGTCAGGTGTGGTGGCACACGCCTGTAATCCCAGCTACTTGGGTGGCTGATGCAGGAGAATTGCTTGAATCCAGGGGGGCAGAGGCTGCAGTAAGTGGAGAAAGAGAGAGAGAGAGAGAGAGAGAGAGGAGAGAGAGAGAGAGAGAGCGAGAGGAAGGGAGGAAGGTAAAAAGGAATAGCAATTTAAAGTTTATTTCAGCTATAATGCAGGTTATTCTGACTTTGAGGTAGCATCACATGGCATACTTCTGAGTCAATTCTCGAGATATTCTGTTGTGTTTATCTCTGTCTGTTTATATAAAAAGGCACAGTGAGACATTTCTGAACATGGGAGGATCTCAAGAAATATTGTTTCCATGAGCATTCCTTGAAGAAAGTACTAGAAGATGAACTTACACCAACCAATAAATAAATGGGAAAACTATGGCAAAAAGAGAGGTCATCAAGAGCAGGATAGGGAGAAGATGAGAAAATATTCTAATTTCATTATTTAGTCATATTAGGGGATTGATAGATAATGCCTAAAAGAGGAAGATTAAGTATATAAATTATAAAGACAATCACTAAAACAAAAATATAACCTTTCCAGATTTTCAGAAAAAATAAAACCAAATACCACAACATCAGAGTTTTTAAAGGATCTATGAAATATAGAAGGCATCATATAAAATTATATAAATAATTAAGACCAAGTATGTCAATTTAATAAATATAAATGTGCTAAGCTAATGTATTAAAATAAAAGAAATTTCAGTCACGTGTGGTGACTCACACCTGTAATCCTAGCACTTTGGGAGGCTTAGGCAGGAGGATCGCTTGAGCCCAGGAGTTCATGAACAGCCTGGGCAACATAGTGAGATCCCATCACTATTTTTTATTTAAAAAATAATAAAAATTGAAAGTCAAATAAAATAAAATAAATTTGGATTAAATCATAAAGGAAAATCCAACTCTATGCTGTATACAAGGGATCCAAAAAAAAGTAAATACAAAATCTTTACAAATGTAAATTAGAAGAAAGCAATGGTTATAATTTTTTTGTTTTTTGTTTTTGTTTTTTTTCTCTTTCTTCCTTTTTATTTTCTATTACAGTTTAAATTCTAGAGTACATGTGCACAACATGCAGGTTTGTTACATAGGTATACATGTGCCATGTTTGTTTGCTGCACCCATCAACTCGTCATTTACATTAGGTATTTTTCCTAATGCTATCCCTCCCCCAGGCCCCCACCCCCTGACAGGCCCTGGTGTGTGATGTTCCCCGCCCTGTGTCCATGTGTTCTCATTGTTCAACTCCCACCTATGAGTGAGAACATGCGGTGTTTGGTTTTCTGTCCTTGTGATAGTTTGCTGAGAATGATGGTTTCCAGCTTCATCCATGTCCCTGCAAAGGACACAAACTCATCCTTTTTTATGGCTGCATAGTATCCCATAGTGTATATGTGCCACATTTTCTTAATCCAGTCTATCATTGATGGACATTTGGGTTGGTTCCAAGTCTTTGCTATTGTGAATAGTGCCACAGTAAACATAAGTGCACATGTGTCTTTATAGTAGCATGATTTATAATCCTTTGGGTATATACCCAGTAATGGGATCACTGGGTCAAATGGTATTTCTAGTTCTAGATCCTTGAGGAATCGCCACACTCTCTTCCACAATGGTTGAACTAATTTACACTCCCACCAACAGCGTAAAAGTGTTCCTATTTTTCCACATCCTCTCCAGCATCTGTTGTTTCCTGACTTTTTTAATGATCGCCATTCTAACTGGTCAGAGATGGTATCTCACTGTGGTTTTGATTTGCATTTCTCTCATGACCAGTGATGATGAGCATTTTTTCGTGTGTCTGTTGGCTGCATAAATGTCTTCTGAAGTGTTTGTTCATATCCTTTGGCCACTTTTTGATGGGGTTGTTTTTGTATTGTACATTTGTTTAAGTTCTTTGTAGATTCTGGATATTAGCCCTTTGTCAGATGGGTAGATTGCAAAAATTTTCTCCCATTCTGTAGGTTGCCTGTTCACTCTGATGATAGTTTCTTTTGCCATGCAGAAGAAGCTCTTTAGTTTAATTAGATCCCATCTGTCTATTTTGGCTTTTGTTGACATTGCTTTTGTTGTTTTAGTCATGAAGTCTTTGCCCATGGCTATGTCCTGAATGGTATTGCCTAGGTTTTCTTCTATGGTTTTTATGGTTTTAGGTCTTACATTTAAGTATTTAATCCACTTTCAGTTAATTTTTTTATAAGGTGTAAGGAAGGGATCCTGTTTCAGCGTTCTACATATGGCTAGCCAGTTTTCCCAGCACGTTTATTAAATAGGGAATCCTTTCCACATTGTTTGTTTTTGTCAGGTTTGTCAAAGATCAGATGGTTGTAGATGTGTGGTGTTATTTCTGAGGCCACTGTTCTGTTCCATTTATCTATATATCTGTTTTGGTACCAGTACCATGCTGTTTTGGTTACTGTAGCCTTGTAGTATAGTTTGAAGTCAGGTAGTGTGATGCCTCCAGCTTTGTTCTTTTGGCTTAGGATTATCTTGGCTATGCGGGCTCTTTTTAGGTTCCATATGAACTTTAAAGTAGTTTTCTCCAATTCTGTGAAGAAAGTCATTGGTAACTTGATGGGGATGGCATTGAATCTATAAATTACCCTGGGCAGTATGGCCATTTTCACGATGTTGATTCTTCCTATCCATGAGCATGGAATGTTCTTCCATTTGTTTGTGTCCTCTTTTATTTCATTGAGCAGTGGTTTGTAGTTCTCCTTGAAGAGGTCCTTCACATCCCCTGTGAAGTTGGATTCCTAGGTATTTTATTCTCTTTGTGGCAATTGTGAATGGGAGTTCACTCATGATTTGGCTCTCTGTTTGTCTGTTATTGCCGTATAGGAATGCTTGTGATTTTTGCACATTGATTTTGTATCCTGAGACTTTGCTGAAGTTGCTTATCAGCCTAAGGAGATTTTGGGCTGAGATGATGGGATTTTCTAAATACACAATCATGTCATCTGCAAACAGGGACAATTTAACTTCCTCTTTTCCTAATTGAATACCCTTTATTTCTTTCTCTTGCCCGATTGCCCTGGCCCATCTTCCAACACTATGTTGAATAGGAGTGGTGAAAGAGGGCATACTTGTCTTGTGCCGGTTTTCAAAGGGAATGCTTCCAGTGTTTGCCCATTCAGTATGATATTGGCTATGGTTTTGTCATAACTAGTTGTTATTATTTTGAGATACATTCCATCAATACCTAGTTTATTGAGAGTTTTCAGCATGAAGCGCTGTTGAATTTTGTCAAAAGCCTTTTCTGCATCGATTGAGATAATCATGTGGTTTTTGTCATCAGTTCTGTTTATGTGATGGATTATGTTTGTTGATTTGCATATGTTGAACCAGCCTTTCATTGCAGGGATGAAGCCGAGTTGATTGTGGTGTATAAGCTTTTTGAGGTGCTGCTGGATTCGGTTTGACTATACTAATTTTGCATCGATCTTCATCAGGGATATTGGTCTAAATTTCTCTTTTTTTGTTGTGTCTCTGCCAGGCTTTGGTATCAGGATGATGCTGGCCTCATAAAATTAGGGAGGATTCCCTCTTTTTCTATTGTTTGAAATAGTTTCAGAAGGAATGGTACCAGCTCCTTTTTATACCTCTGGTACAATTTGGCTGTGAATTTGTCTGGTCCTGGACTTTTTTTTGGTTGATAGGCTATTAATTATTGCCTCAATTTCAGAACATATTATTGTTCTATTCAGAGATTCATCTTCTTCCTGGTTTAGTCTTGGGAGGGTGTGTGTGTCCAGGGAATTATCCATTTCTTCTAGATTTTCTAGTTTATTTCCATAGAAGTGTTTATAGTATTCTCTGGTGGTAGTTTGTATTTCTGTGGGATCTGTGGTGATATCCCCTTTATCGTTTTTTATTGCATTTATTTGATTCTTCTCTCTTTCTTTTATTAGTCTTGCTAGCAATCTATCAATTTTATTGATCTTTTCAAAAAACCAGCTCCTGGATTCACTGTTTTTTTGAAGGGTTTGTTGTATCTCTATCTCCTTCAGTTCTGCTTTGATCTTAGTTATTTCTTGCCGTATGCTAGCTTTTGAATATGTTTTCTGTTGCTTCTCTAGTTCTTTCAATTGTCATGATAGGGTGTTGATTTTAGATCTTTCCTGCTTTCTCTTGTGGGCATTTAGTGCTATAAATTTCCTTCTACACACTGCTTTAAATGTGTCCCGGAGATTCTGGTACGTTGTGTCTTTGTTCTCATTGGTTTCAAAGAACATCTTTATTTCTGCCTTCATTTCGTTATTTACCCAGTATTCATTCAGGAACAGGTTGTTCAGTTTCCATGTATTTGTGTGGTTTTGAGTGAGTTTCTTAATCCTGATTTCTAGTTTGTTTGCACTGTGGTCTGAGAGACAGTTTGTTGTGATTTCTGTTCTTTTACATTTGCTGAGGAGTGTTTTACTTCCAACTATGTGGTCAATTTTGGAAGAAGTGCGATGTGGTGCTGAGAAGAATGTGTATAATGTTGATTTGGGGTGGAGAGTTCTGTAGATGTCTATTAGGTCCACTAGGTGCAGAGGTGAGTTCAAGTCCTGGATATCCTTGTTAGCCTTCTGTCTCATTGATCTGTCTAATATTGACAGTGGGGTGTTATAATCTCCCATTATTGTGTGAGAGTCTAAGTCTCTTTGTAGGTCTCTAAGGATTTGCTTTATGAATCTGGGTGCCCCTGTATTGGGTGCATATATATTTAGGATAGTTAGCTCTTCTTGTTGAATTGATCCCTTTACCATTATGTAATGGCCTTCTTTGTCTCTTTTGATCTTTGTTGGTTCAAAGTCTGTTTTATCAGAGACTAGGAATACAACCCCTGCTTTTCTTTTTGCTTTCCATTTGCTTGGTAGATCTTCCTCCATCCCTTTATTTTGAGCCAATGTGTGTCTCTGCACGTGAGATGGGTCTCCTGAATACAGTACACTGATGGGTCTTGACTCATTATCCTATTTGTCAGTATCTGTCTTTTAATTGGGGTATTTATCCCATTTACATTTAAGGTTAAATTGTTATGTGTGAATTTGATCCTGTCATTATGATGTTAGCTGGTTATTTTGCCCATTAATTGATGCAGTTTCTTCCTAGCATCAATGGTCTTTAAAATTTGGCATATTTTGCAGTGGCTGGTACTGGTTGTTGCTTTCCATGTTTAGTGTTTCCTTCAGGAGCTCTTGTAAGGCAGGCCTGGGGGTGACAAAAGCATTTGCTTGTCTGTAAAGGATTTTATTTCTCCTTCACTTAGGAAGCTTAGTTTGGCTGGATATGAAATTCTGGGTTGAAAATTCTTTCCTTAAAGAATGTTGAATATTGTCCCCCACTCTCTTCTGGCTTGTAGAGTTTCTGCCAAGAGATCTGCTGTTAGTCTGATGGGCTTCCCTTTGTGGGTTACCCAACCTTTCTCTCTGACTGCCCTTAACATTTTTTCCTTCATTTCAACCTTGGAGCGTCTGACAATTGTGTGTCTTGGGATTGCTCTTCTCAAGGAGTATCTTTGTGGTGTTCTATGTATTTCCTGAATTTGAATGTTGGCCTGCCTTGCTAGGTTGGGGAAGTTCTCCCAGATAATATCCTGAAAAGTGTTCCCTAACTTGGTTCCATTCTCTCTGTCACTTTCAGGTACACCAATCAAATGTAGATTTGGTCTTTTCACATAGTCCCATATTTCTTGGAGGCTTTGTTCATTTCTTTTCACTGTTTTTTCTCTAATTTTGTCTTCTCGCTTTATTTCATTAATTTGATCTTCAATCACTGATATCCTTTCTTCCACTTGATCGAATCAGCTATTGAATCTTGTGCATGCATCACAAAGTTCTCGTGCTATGGTTTTCAGCTCCATCAGGTCATTTCAGGTCTTCTCTACACTGTTTATTCTAGTTAGCCATTTGTCTAACCTTTTTTCAAGGTTTTTAGCTTCCTTGCGATGGGTTAGAACATACTCCTTTAGCTGGAGAAGTTTGTTATTACTGACCTTCTGAAGCCTACTTCTGTCAACTCGTCAAACTTATTCTCTGTCCAGTTTTGTTCCATTGCTGGCGAGGAGCTGCAGTACTTTGGAGGAGAAGAGGCACTCTGGTTTTTGGAATATTCCACTTTTCTGCTCTGGTTTCTCCCCATCTTTGTGGTTTTATCTAACTTTGGTCTTTGACGTTGGTGACCTACAGATGGGGATTTGGTGTGGATGTCCTTTTTGTTGATGTTGGTGCTATTCCTTTCTGTTTGTTAGTTTTGCTTCTCACAGGCCTCTCAGCTGCAGGTCTGTTGGAGTTTGCTGGAGGTCCACTCCAGACACTGTTTGCCTGGGTATCACCAGCGGAGGCTGCAGAACAGTGAATATTGCAGAACAGCTATTGCTGCCTGATCCTTCCTCTGGAAGCTTTGTCCCAGAGGGGTACCCACCTGTATGAGGTGTTAGTTGGCCCCTACTGGAGGTGCCTCCCAGTCCGGCTACACAGGGATCAGGGACCCACTTGAGGAGGCAGTCTGTCTATTCTCAGAGCTCGAACACTGTGCTGGGAGAACCACTGCTCTCTTCAGAGCTGTCAGACAGGGACATTTAAGTCTGCAGAAGTTGTCTGCTGCCTTTTGTTCAGCTATGCCCTGCCCACAGAGGTAGAGTCTAGAGAGGCAGTAGACCTTGCTGAGCTGTGGTGGGCTCCACCCAGTTCGAGCTTCCTGGCTGCTTTGTTTACCTACTCAAGCCTCAGCAATGGCGGATGTCCCTCTCCCCACCAGGCTGCAGCCTTGCAGGTCAATCTCAGACTGCTGTGCTAGCAGTGAGCAAGGCTCCATCGGTGTGGGACCTGCCGAGCCAGGCACGGAAGAGAATTTGCTGGTCAGTTGGTTGCTAAGGCTGTGGGAAAAGTGCAGTATTTGGGTGGGAGTGTACCCTTTCCTCCAGGTAGAGTCTGTCATGGCTTCCCTTAGCTAGCAAAGGGAAATGCCCCAACCCCTTGTGCTTACTGTGTGAGGCAATGTCCCGCCCTGCTTCAGCTAGCCCTCTGTGGGCTGCACCCACTGTCCAATCAGTCTCAATGAGATGAACCAAGTACTTCAGTTGGAAATGCAGAGATCACCCATCTTCTGTGTCAGTCTTGCTGGGAGCTGCAGGCCAGAGCTGTTCCAATTCAGCCATCTTGGAAGTGACTGCAATGGTTATAATTTTAACATCAGGCAAGGCTAACATCAGGACAAACAAGTATTAAGGGGTACAAATAAATAATCTATAATGATAAAAAATTGCAGTTCACAAGTTACAATGTTATGAATACCTAGGCACCAAATAACTTAGCACCGACATGAATATTAATTAAAACATAAAATCACAGGATGTACAAGAAAAAATGGAAACACTGTAGTAGAAGCCAAAACAACAGAGAAGGGCTAAATACCATAATTAATAACAGATAAAACTTGGTACTCAAGAAAGAGAATACACCTTTTTTTTAAAGTATCTGTGGATAATTCACAAAAATTGACCATATATTAGGCCAAAATGAAAAATTTGTGAGGTATAAACTATAGAAAAAGTACAGATAACATTGTCTAAATACAAGGCAATAAAAAAGAAGAGAAGAGCCAGGTGCAGTAGCTCATGCCTATAATCCCAGCACTTTGGGAGGCCAAAGCTGGTGGATCCCTTGAGCCCAGGAGTTCGAGACCAGTCTGGGCAACAAGGTGAAACTTTGTCACTACCAAAAAAAAAAAAAAAAAAAAAAAAAAAACACACACCAAAGAGAAGAGAACACTTTATAACTTGTTTTATGAGGCCAGCATAACCTTGATATCCAAAACAGACAAGGACATTATAAGAAAGGAAAATTACATGATGATCTCTCTCATCAACATAGATGCAAAAATTCTGAACAAAATATTAGCAAATCTAATTGTATTAATACATTCAAAGCATGTATAGCTTTTTTTTTTTTTTTTTTTTGAGATGGAGTTTCACTCTTGTTGCCCAGGCTGGAGTGTAATGGCATGATCTTGGCTCACCACAACCTCTGCCTCCCAGGTTCCAGCAATTCTCCTGCCTCAGCCTCCCGAGTAGCTGGGATTGCAGGTATGTGCCACCATACCCAGCTAATATTTTGTATTTTTTAGTAGAGACGGGGTTTCTCCATGTTGGTCAGGCTGGTCTTGAACTCCCGACCTCAGGTGATCTGCCCTGGCCTCCCAAAGTGCTGGGATTACAGGTGTGAGCCACTACACCCAGCCAAGCATGTATAGTTTTTAAAAGCTCAACAACATGATCTGATATGCAGTCAGGTTTGATCCACTGTTGTACATAATATAAGATGTCATCATCACAGACCATAATAGTAAATTCCCAATTGAATTGCCAATTTAGAAGCTTGACTTTTCCCGGTCACTTCAGCATTATGTTGGAAAAGACTGAACCTTAAAATCAGACTGATCAGGGATGGAATCATAATTCTTTATTTATTTTTTCTTTTTTGAGACGGAGTCTCCCTCTGTCGCCTAGGTTGGAGTGCAGTGACGCAATCTCGGCTCACTGCAAGCTCTGCCTCCCAGGTTCATGCCATTCTCCTGCTTCAGCCTCCCGAGTACCTGGGACTACAGGTGCCTGCCACCATGCCTGGCTAATTTTTTGTATTTTTAGTAGAGACAGGGTTTCACCATGTTAGCCAGGATGGTCTCGATCTCCTGACCTTAGGTTCTGCCCGCCTCAGCCTCCCAAAGTGCTGGGATTACAGGTGTGAGATCACCACGCCCAGCCAGAACCACTATTCTTAGAATTTACCAGCTATGTGATTTTGGACAAGTTACCAAACCTGTTAGTGTCAGTTTTTTTCAGCCGTAAAATAAGAATAACACTAACTCTCAGTAATGTTCATTTGTGGAATTAAGGAGACACAATTTATACAGGCAATATGTTGGGATGACACCCCAAATAATATAAAATCAATGAGAGCCAAATAAAAAGGATGAGGTTAGACACCAGTAGAAATGACACAGCCAAAGAGATTATTGGATTATTTGTGGGTGTGTAATAGTCTCACCAACACCCAGATCAAATTTAAGTGGCCTGGGTATACTGTCATCTTTGGAAAATAGGAACTGGACTGCACCGGATTAGGTTAAGTCTCAACCTAATCGGTTGCATAATAACATAGGACGAAAACAATGTGCCAATCCCCACAGTAGGAACACCCTAATAACAGACATGGAGGCATCAGGCCACTGAAGCAGGGTGGCATCAGCCATTAGAACCATGGAGCCTCCCGTACCCCACCCGTGGGGTTTCCTGCTCACTGGGCCACCTTCTGCTGACATTTTTACAGATGTGCCTACGGAAAGGGGATGACATGATGAGCCAACAAGCACATCCATCAAATCCTCTAGAGCAGTATCAGTGGAAATCTAAAAGCCCTAGGACTCGGACCTTGGCCACCTCACTGCCCTTAGTGCCTGGGTGATGCTGGAGAGGATATTTGCAAGCCTCCATCTTTTTCTCCCATCCCAGTCTAGTCAGTTTATATGGCAATGAGGTGAGGAAAGGAAGCTTTGGTGATTCAGGTTTCTGGGGTGGCCACTACATGATTCATCATGACAAGACTGCAATGATGATTTCTCAGACTTAGCAAATACTAGCACTTATCCCTTCTGAAGTAAAGCAGGTCCATTATGAGATGGTTTTTAATATGGCCACTTCTGGTATCTTTCATTTTTCAGAGAACATCTTGTATAACTCAAACTCCTTCTCCTCTCCTTCCTTAGTGCTGTGCCCTTGTTTGCTTCTTTCATCTCCCAGAATGCAGTCTGAACTTCAGTCACTTCCACGGCCCCCCTTTTCCTCCACACTACGCTTTTTCCCATGATCATTCTGAATACTTGTCACTGACCCTGTGGAGATCTCTTTCTCCACAGTTCATTTCCCAGTTTCACTTTCTCCTACTCAATGATGTCCATCTCCTACCCATTCCCAGGTTATGCTGAGTTTAACCACAGTCCATCATGCCAGAAAGACTAGTATGTGACGCATGGACAAAATGCTGTTTATTTTTCATGGGACAAAATGTAATGTTTTCCTGAAGGGTTATTGTTGTAATCTCTACCTGTACCAGACAACAGACAGGCTGACCTTTAGAAGGTAAAACTAAACTTCTTCCTTTTCAACTCACCCCTGTCACCATGTCAACTTCTAGGGGTTGGCAAATAAGGAGGTAGAGCTTGTTCTGTTTGATCAGTATTCTTTGCACTTAATGATCCTTATGTGCTCCAGCTTTGGCAGTTAAATCAACAATATTAATTTTGTTTTCAGTATGTGCAGAGCACCAAACCACAAGAGAAAGTGCATGACAGACAGACTCCTTGTCCTGAAAGAGATGACACTCTATGGGGAAAGACCACCCCTACTCCAAGAACACATACAACCACTCAAATGATTCAAATGGAAAAGTAGGGTGAGCGTCATTCTTACCACAAGTGCAGTCATAGGTGTGCTCCCCAAATCAGCCTGTATGGAGGCTAAGAGCACGGGCTCTGACACTTGCCATCTGATTTTAGGCAACTGCTTAAGCTCTCTAAGCCTCTTTCTTCTCTGTAAGATGGGATACCCATAGTCTCTGCTTCATAGTGTTGTAGTGAGGATTAATTAGCACATAAAAAGTGCTTAGCACAGTAATAATAATAGCTAGTTTCTTAAGCATTTACTTTATACCAGCGTGGCAGCTAAATAATGGCCATGAAAGATATCTAGGTGCTAATCCCTGGAATCTGTGAATGTTACCTTAATGGAAAAGGGGTCTTTGCAGATGTTATTAAGTATCTTGAGATGGGGAAATTATCTTGGGTTACCTGGGTGGACCCTAAATGTAATCACAAAGTGTCCTTGTAAGAGGGAGATAGAGGGAGTAAAATCTAGGAAGGGTTTTACTGAGGAAGGCAGCAATGTGATGATGGAAACCAGATACTATGCTGCTGGCCCTTGAGATGGAGGAAGGTGCCACCTTCATCCTAACCTAATATAAAAATCCAGATTTACAAAACAAGTCAGTGAAAAGATAATTATTTTTTCCTTGTTGCAACTTCTTTCACTCTGGACCCTGGGTTATGGGGTTATGGGATTGGTGAGGAGTGGTTTGGGAGAAAGCTGTGGCTTGAGGCTCTTCAGGTCTCTCCCTGGCCTAGAATAAAGTGGGTCAGGAAGGTTCTGCACATGTGAGTACAGGGTGTGGTGTGTGGTGAAGCCTAGTGAGGATGGTAGATTAGTAAGTATGATCCCTGGATACACCTCCCCACTATCAATGAGGAGATGGGAAGAGGTGAGAGTTGGATGAACCAATACAAGGGAGTTCTTTAGAATAGTGCCTGGCTGTATTCATTTCCTATGGCTGCTGTTACAAATTACCACAAACTTGGTGGCTAAAAACAATACACATTATTCTCTCACAGTTCTGGAGGTCAGAAGTCTGAAATCAGTGTCACTGAGCCAAAATCCAAGTGTCTGCAA
Source organism: Homo sapiens (assembly GCF_000001405.40). NCBI lineage: Eukaryota > Metazoa > Chordata > Mammalia > Primates > Hominidae > Homo > Homo sapiens. The sequence continues at coordinate 44,901,007 of NC_000015.10, forward strand.
AGTCGAGCTCCCTCCAGAGGCTCTAGGGGAGATTCTGTTTATTTCTCTTTTCCAGCATCTAGAGCTGCATTCTTGGGCACCTTCCTCCATCTTGAAAGCTGGCAGCATAGCATCTTGTTTCAGTCATCACCTTGCCGCCTTTTTCTGTATATAAGAAGTCACCTAGGCAAGCAGTATGCTAAATGATTAATGATCAAAAGCTTAGTTGCTATTATGGAAGACTCTACCAGACTGGCTCCTTATCGTTGCCATTCAGAAGCTATTTGTGTCTTCAAGGAAGCTGCTTGAAAGAAACACAAAAAAGAAACCAACATTTGTCCTTGTGGCCTGAGTCACAGGGAAACACAGAACGGAGAGAACCAAGTTTCCTATCTGTGACCTGACTCCACCATAGCCTAGACCCAAGTGATGCCTATAGCACTTCCAAAGTCCCTGGGAGTTTGGATCCAGGCCAGGACTGGTTACCAGTGGGACTGGGTCCCGGCTCAGTATCAAGATCTATCTGTTTCCCCCAAGGGTTTTCCAAATTTCCTAGGGTACCTGAGTCTGGGGAACAGCCTTTAGGACAGCACTGTCCAAGAGAAGTACAGTGGTCTCTTGGGATATACAGAGGATTGGTTTCAGGACACCTCCAACACAGCTACCAAAATCCGCGATGCTCAAGTCCCTTATATGAAATGGTGTAGTTTGTGCTTATAACCTACACACATCTTACTGTATACTTTAAATCATCTCTAGGTTACTTATAATACCTAAGACAATGTAAATGCTATGTAAATAGTTGTCATATTTTTAAAATTTGTTATTTTTATTGTTGTATCGTTATTTTTTCCCAGATATTTTTGATCCACAGTTGGTTGAATCCACAGATGCAGAACCCACAGATATGAAGGGCCAACTGTATAATGTGGGCCATGTACAGTTTTATTTATTTATTTTTTTAGAGACAGAGTCTCGCTCTGTCACCCAAGCTGGAATGCAGTGGCACAATCATAGCTCATTGCAACTTTGAACCCATGGGCTCAAGTGATCCTCTTCTCTCAGCTTCCCATGCAGCTGAGACAACAAGGATGCATCACCATGCTCAACTATTTATTTTTTCTGTAGAGATGAGGGTCTACACCCTATATTGCCCATGGTGTATCTAACTTTAAATGGTCAAGTAGCCACATTAAAAAAGGAAAAAAAAAAAGAAACAGTTGAAATTAATTTCAACAATATATTTTATTTAAACCAATATATCCTAAACATGATTTTAACATGTAATCAACATGAAAGTTATTCTGTTTTTGCCTGGGCACGGTGGCTCACGCCTGTAATCCCAGCACTTTGGGAGGCCGAGGTGGGCAGATCACTTGGGGTCAGGAGTTTGAGGCCAGCCTGGCCAACATGGTGAAATACCACCTCTACTAAAAATACAAAAATTAAAACAAAATATAAAAATAAATTAAATAAACACACATACAATTCAAAAATTAGTCAGGCATGGTGGCAGACACCTATAATCTCAGCTGCTCGGGAGGCTGAGGCACGAGAATCACTTGAACCTGAGAGGCATAAGGTTGCAGTGAGCAGAGATGGTGCCACTGCACTCCAGCCTGGGTGACAGAGGGAGACTCTGTCTCAAAAAATAAAAATAAAAATTATTCTGTTTTTGCGCTAAGTCTTCACAATCCAAGGTGTATTTCACACTTAATACATCTCAGTTCAGACTAGCCACATTTCAAGTGCCCACTAGCTACATCTTGCTATATTAGACAGCACAGGTCTACAGCAACTTGACTTGCCTGCTCCTACCCACTCTACCTCGCACTCTCATCAAATGCAGAGACAGTGCCAGGGATTTCATGAGAGGTGGGCCAGAAAAGCTCAGGGGGACTTTTTTTTTTTTATATAAGGCAATAAAATATGTTGCCCAGGCCGGCCTCAAGCAATCCTCCTGCCTGGGCCACCCAAAGTGCTGGGAACCTGTAAAGGTGTGAGCCACAATGACCGCTCACTTTTTTTTTTTTTTAACAAATCTTTGTTGTATATATTTATGGGGTAAAATGTGATGTTTTGATGTATGTATACAATTGGCATGATTAAATCAAGCGGATTAACACATCCATCACTTCACTTACCTATTATTTTTTATAGTGAGACATTTGAAATTTACTCGTAGCTATTTTGAAATATATATTACCATTGACTATAGTCACCCTGATGTGCAGTAGATGTCAAAACCTGTTCCTCCTGTCTATCTGAAATTTTGTACCCTTTAATCAATAATTCCCCATTCTGTCCCTCCCCACCTTCCCCCAAGCTTCTGTTAACCATTGCTCTACTTTCTACTTCTATGAGTTCAACTTTATTAGAATCCACATATAAGTGAGATCATGTGGTATTTATATTTCTGTGCCTGGCTTATTTCACTTAGCATAATGACCTCCAGACTCATCCATGTTGTTGCTGGAAATGACAGGATTTCCCCCTTTCGGGGCCTAGTTGTTATCATAGTGATGCTATGAGTCCACCAGGGAAAACAAAGTTACCCTTCTTCTGAATCATCCTGATTTTTTCCAATATCCCTCTTTTCTGCCCTGCAGAAACCAAGGACTAGTGCTCTTAGAGAATTTGACCTATATGTTATTCTAGCACCTACTTCACTTTGCCTTACAGTCAGTTGTTTATATTTCCAACTCTCCAACCAGATTATATTTATAATGGAAGGGTCCCACTCCCTGTTATCTCACTTTACAGGAAAAGAAAAAAAAGCTGTGAGTTTAGCACTCTGTCATCAACAAATGTTTGTTGAATGAATGCGTAAATGAATGAATGAGACAACCCTAGCAGGGTTGATGAATGTGTATTATGGAAGCCTTCGTTTTATCTGGCACCTCCAGGTCCATACAACCTGCTTCCTAATAAACAGTGAAACAGGGCACTGTTGGGTCCCAGTCTGGAAACTGAAGGAAATATTTTCCTTTATCTTCTGGATCCTTACATGTATGAATTCAATTCATCAAATAGTACCTGAGTAACTCCCATATTCCAGGCACTGTGCTGGGTGCTGTGGGAGCTGCAAAGATTAGTAAGAAATAATCCTTGCCTTCAAGTACCTAACAATGTAGTAGGGGCCTTTGGCAGGTATACACAAGTAATTATAACTTTAGGTTGAGTAACCTAAGTGCTCTAAGTGGACTAGAGTCCTGTGGGGAGAGGGGGCAAGAAGAGGAGGTTGCCAAAGAAGTTTCATTCAGAGATATCCTTTGAGATGATGCCTGAAAGAAGGACAGGATTTGGACAGATGGGAATGGGGAGAGGGAAAGAAACAGCTTTTAAAAACCTAACAAATGGGCTGCGTGTGGTGGCTCGCACCTGTAATCCCAGCACTTTGGGAGGCTGAGGCGGGTGGATCACAAAGTCAAGAGACCGAGACGATCCTGGCCAACATGGTGAAACCCGTCTCTACTAAAAATACAAAAATTATCCAGGCATGATGGCGCACACCTATAGTCCCACCTACTCAGGAGCCTGAGGCAGGAGAATTGCTTGAACCCAGGAGGTGGAGGTTGTGGTGAGCCAAGATCGCACCATTGCACTTCAGCCTGGTGACAGAGCAAGACTCCATCTCAAAAAAAAAAAAAAAAAAAAAAAAATCTGACAAATGAGGAAGAAACACAATACAGAGTAGGTATGGTGAGGAGCCTAACTAAGACAAGGAAATGAACCCGATTTTAAAGATAAGAGCAAAGTGAAATAAATCACAACACTGTGACAAGGAAACAAACCTCTTTAAGAGGGGTGAGGGCCCCACAGTTGGCAGGCACCCTCGTTTAAGTCAGCAACACCATGAAGGAAAGCTCTTGAGATTGGGAATTCCAGGAAGAGATGAGATCTGTGCCACACCTTCATCTGTGTCACACCCTCATGATTGCAGAGGCAAGGAATGGAGGAATGAAGGGCTCTCTGATCAAGAAAGAGGGAATCTCCTAAAGACTGTGACACAATCAGGTTGAGCAAAGCCCCCGAGTGACAGAGAAAGGATGAGAAGAGATCAGATACGCTGGAAATAACTTTATGTAACACAGAAGACATGGGCAATAGTCTGGCTAGTGAGTACTACATGCTCTGGAGATTAGGGGAACCATACGAACGGGAAAACAAATAGCAGGCTGGGAAATCACCCCAGGGTGGGGAGATGGAAGAAGAATGGAGACAGTGATAGTGAGAACTGGAGTGTAAATTCTAAGTGACAGCCTTTTCCAAGCCACTAAGGTCAGGATCCAAGGCCTGGAGTAGGGTAGGTGGTTCTGTACATATCACAAAAATTGCACCCACAACAGTGGGAAAAAAATTCCAAGACTGATATTGAGGCAGGTGTGTAAAACAAAAGCAGAGACAATCTGATTTAAGGAAAAGATTGATTTACTTTCAATTTTATTTTTAAATTTCAGATCCACCTAATGCCCTGAGCAGTTTTACTTCAGAACAAAGAGCAGGCCCCTTTACCTTTCAGAGCCTGCACACAAGGGAGCCTGAAGAACACACACATTCTGCACTCAGTGATACACCATAGCTGTAAAGGAAACTAATAAAGGCAAGCATGCATTGATCATGTGGCAAATGCTAGGCCCTGTGCAATGCACTTTTACAGGCATTTTCTCATTTAATCCTTCAATATTACTATGGCATTGTTACTATCTTCATTTCTCAGATGCGGAAACAAGTTACATAGCTCACTAAGATGACAAAATCTAGTAATTAGTGGGGCTGTAGGAAGATTTTTAATATTATAAAATCACTATTTTTCCCAGTTAAAGGACTGCTCAGATTTTCTCTTTTTCATGGCAGTTTTAGTAAGATATATTTCCTAGAAATTTAAATAGTTCATGTAAATGTTCAAATTTATTGACATTAATTTGGTCATAATTTCCTCTAATTTTTTTAAATGTCTCTAGAATCTGAGATGTATTCCTCTTTTCATTTTTGATATTATCTGTGCCTTCTTTCTTTTTCTTTGCCAGTCCTATCAGAAATTTATAAATTTCTTTTAGTCTTCAAAACTCAACTTCTTGATTTGTTGATCATTTCTACTGTAAGTTTGTTTCCTATTTTATTAATTTCTTCTATCTCTACTACAATTCCATATTATTTCCTAACTTCTATTTTCTTTGGGGTTTTTTGGTGATTTTTTTCTTTTTCAATTTCTTTCTTCCTTTTTTCTTTTTTTTTAGATGGTCTTGCTCTGTTGCCCAGGCTGGAGTGCAGTGGCACAAACATGGCTCCCTGCAGCCTCAACATCCCAGCTCAAAGCATTCCTCCCACTTCAACTTCCTGGGTAGCTGGGACTACAGGTACACGCCACCACACATAGCTACTTTAAAAAAAATTTTGTAGAAATGGGGTCTCCCTATGTTGCCCAGGCCTGTCTCAAACTCCTGGGATCAAGCAATCCTCCCGCCTCGGCTTCCCAAAATGCCAAGATTACAGGCGTGAACCACCACGTCCAGCCCCTATCTTCCATTGTTTTACTTTCAACATTTTAACATCCTTAAATTTTAAATGTCTTTTATAAATGGCATATAATTATTTTAAAACTCTAGCTGCCCAAAGTGGTGATTTAATTGAAGCATTTAGTCCACTTACCTTTAAGATAATTGTTGATATACTAGGGTAAATAATAAACATTTCTACCATGTATCTCCCGTAAAGAGAGAAAAATTTTCCTTGGGAAGAAATGAAGGATATTATATTGATGCCATCTACTGAAAAAATTAAAAAACTGAAAAACTACTCCAAGTAACATTGTTTCCGTTAAGCAAACTTTTAAAAAGCTTTTGTTCAAGGTTTCAACTATGTTATTGTATTGGATAAACACATTCTGCCTTCAGCTATTCATAGATTTCTATCTTTTCCAACCTGTTAGGGTAAAAATGGAGCTGTCATGAACTCTTTGTGTCTTAGGAGGTAAAAAGCTCCCCAACTCTATCTAGTTTGCCCACACTAGATAGAGTCTCCCTCTATTGCCCAGGCCGGAGTGCAGTGGTGCGATCTTGGCTCACTGCAACCTCTGCCTCCTGGGTTCAAGCGATTCTCCTGCCTCAGCCTCCCAAGTAGCTGGGACTACAGGCACACGCCACCATGCCCAGCTAATTTTTGTATTTTTTGCAGAGACGGGGTTTCACCATGTTGGCCAGGCTGCTGTCAAACTCCTGACCTCAAGTAATCCACCCACCTTGGCCTCCCAAAGTGCTGGGATTTCAGGTGTGAGCCACTGTGCCCAGCTTTGAGTGTTTTATTGAACTTAATTTTTTAAGTAAAGACTGGGTTCTTGCTATGTTGCCCAGGCTGATCTTGAACTCCTAGCCTCCAGAGATCCTCCTGCCTTGGCCTCTAAAGTGCTGAGACCACCATGCCTGGCCCCAATTTGAGTTTTCAAAGTACTAGTTTGATGATCATTTATCACTTACTTTGTGACAGGAACCCGAATATGCTAATAATAATGAAGCTACATAGCTTTTTTATTGAGCACTTACTAAGTATCAGGTACGGTCCTAGGCACTTTACATGTATTACCTTGCTTAATCCTCACAATTTCCCTATAATTTTGGCATTAAGATCCCCATTTACCAGGAAACTGAGGCACAGACAGCTTAAGTAACTGGTCCAAGATCACAAACTAGATAAGAGTTACAGTTGGAATTTAAACCAAGATAGTCTGACTCTGTGCTCTTAGCCATTCCCTTATACTGCTACTGAGATGCAGTGCCCTCTCCAATACAAAGGGTATGAGTTCAAGTATCATTTACGAGTATGTTTGCTGTGGCATAATGTAGAATGCAAAGTAAACAGAAAAAAAAAGGTACTCTAGGGAAGGTCTGTAGATTTTAATAAAATTATTAATAGCTTTAGGTGGGTTCTCCTATCCAGTAGTAACAGGATGATAGCTGTATCGCTGGGCTACTAGGCCTTTCATTTAAGTACTTCAGGGAATCACTCATGCAAATAGAATTTTCTGCTAAATAGTTATTTCTGGGAATTATTTGTGCCTAGTAAAATTTTATAGACTCACAGATCTGGAAGGTCCCTTAGAGATCTATTATTCCAGACCACTCATTTATAATATTAACAATTATCTTTGAAGGTGGTTTTGTTTGTTTGTTTGTTTTTTGAGACAGTGTCTTACTCTGTCATCCAGGCGTACAGTGGTGTGATCACAGCTCACTGCAGCCTTGAACTCCTGGGCTCAGGTGATCCCCCTACTTCAGCCTCCTGGGTAGCTGAGACTACAACAGGCACATTCAGCTAATGTTTTGTATTTTTCGTACAGACAAGGTTTTGCCATGTTGCCCGGGCTGGTCTCAAACTCCTGGACTCAAGCTATTCTGCCATGGCTTCTCAAAGTGCTAGGATTACAGGCATGAGCCACCACACCTGGCCTGGAGGTGGTATTTTAAGGGCCTTTTTCTTTTTTTTATTTATATGGTGTTTAATTTTTTATAAGAACACATCACACATAGTCAGAAAAATAAACTTAAAGATGGTTATTTCTGCTAAGACAAGTCAATGAAGGAAAAAATAGTCATTTCAACAAATGGTGCTGGAACAACTGAATATCCACATGCCAAAGAATGAATCTGGACTCCTACCTCAAACTATACTAACTCAAATCATAGACCTAAATGTAAAAATTAAAACTGTAAAACTCTTAGAATGTAGGAGTAAATCTTCATGATCTTAGGTTGGGCAATGGTTTCTTAGGTACAAACCAAAGGCACAATCAACAAAAGAAAGTATAGATAAATTGGACTTCATCAAAATTAAAAACTGTGTGTTGCAAACAATGTCATCAAGAAAGCAAAAAAAAAAAAATCCATGAATAGGAGAAAATATTTGCAAATCATATATATGATAAAGTACTTGTATCCAGAATATATAAAGAACTCTTATAATTCATTAACAAAAAGACAATTAACCCAGATTAAAAATGGCAAAGGAGGTGAATAGAAAGATATTCTATTCTTTCTATTCAATATTCTTCAGAAGATATTGAAGTATATTCAATATCTTCTTTTATTGGCTTCTTTTTTATCTCCAAAGAAGATACAAAAAATAGCCAGGCTGGGCACTGTGGCTAACGCCTGCAATCCCAACACTTTGGGCAGCTGAGATGGGTGGATCACTTGAGTCCAGGAGTTCAAGACCAGCCTGGGTGACATGGCAAAACCCTGTCTCTACAAAAAAAAAAATTAGCCAAGCATGGTGGCCTTGCCTGTAGTCCCAGCTACTCAGGAGGCTGAGCCAGGAGGATTGGTTGAGCCCAGGAGGTGGAGGTTTCCATGAGCCAAGATCATGTCACTGCATTCCAGCCTAGGTGATAGAGTGAGAACCCATCTCAAAAAAAAAAAAAAAAAAAAAAAGAGGGAGAGATAGCCAATAAGCACATGAAAAGATGTTCCATATTATTAGCCATTAGAGAAATGCAAATCACAAGAGACCACTTAACACCCACTAGGATGGCTATATTTAAAAAGACAGATAAATGTTGTTGAGGATGTGAAGAAATTAGAACCCTTATTCATTGCTGGTGGGTATGAAAATGGTGTAGCTACTTTGAAAAACAGTTGGCACTTCCTCAAAACGTTAAACATAGTTATTAGATGACCCAGCAATTCCACTCTTAGATATATACGCAATAGAAAAAAAAACATATATCCACATAAAAATGAAATGTTCATAGCAGCATTATTCATAGTAGATAAAAAGTGGAAAGACTTAAATGTCCATCAGTTGATGAATAGGTAAATACAATGTAGTATATCCATACAATGGAATATTATTATACTTAGCAATAAAAAGTAATGAAGTACTGATACATGCTTTAACATAAATGAACCTGGAATACATTATGCTAAGTGAAAGAAGCTAGTCACAAAACAGCATATATTGTATGATTCCATTCATATAAAATGTCCAGAATAGGAAAATATATATAAATAGAAAGTAGATTCATGGTTGCCTAGGGCTGGGGTGTGTGTTGGGGGCATGGGGAGTAACTGCTAATGGTCAAGGGGATGATGGAAATGTTCTAAAATGTTCTTTTGGGAATGATGAGAATGTTCTAAAATCAGACTGTGGCGATGATTGTACAACTCTGTAAATGCTCTAAAAACCATTGAATTGTACACTTTATATGAGTGAATTGTAAGGTCTATGAATTATATCTTAATAAAGCAGTTAAAGGAAAAATGGCTATTCCATTAAACTGGAATAGCAATATGATTTAAGATGCCATTCTATCTATTCATTATTAAACATTGAGGTTAATTTCAGTTTTTCACTCTGCTAAATAATAGTGTAACCAAGCACGCCATTACAAAGAACTTTTTACTAAAGCTGCTATAAATCTAATAAATATGTGATGTCACTAAAGTCACCTACCTCACTTTAAGGTTACAAATCTGTCAATACTTTACAGATGTAAATAAATGGTATCTTCCACACAATTCTCACCCATAGACCAAGGTCAACAGCTTGCCCTTAAACCTCAATTATAATTGGTTTGGCAATAATAGACAAAAATATAGTGACTTAAACAAAACAGAAGTTTGTTTGTCTGTCACATAAGTCTAGAGGTAGGCAGCCCAAGGCTGGGATGGCAGATTTCTACACAATATCCTCAGGATCTCAGGCTCTTTTCAGTCCACTGCTTTGCCAACCCTAGGGTATGGTTCTTGCTCTTATGGACTGAAATGGTAACTACCACATCCTCTAAGTAACAGGCTGAAAGAACACAGAAAGAATGGGAGTGGAAGGAAAGGGAGACAAAGAGTATGTGCCAAGGCCTTTAAGAAAAGTTCCCGGATTCCATTTCTTCTGTATATCCATTGGCTAAACCACTGTGACAGCCATACTTAATTTCAAGTGGAACTGAGAATATATTCTTTATTCTTGGTAGCATGTGCTTAGATAGAAATTAGGGGTTCTGGGGCCAGGTGTGGTAGCTCATGCCCATAATCCCAGCACTTTAGGAGGCTGAGACAGGAGGATTGCCTGAGCCCAGGTGTTTGAGACCAGCCTATAGGCAATATAGTGAGACCCTGTTTCTAGAAAAATATTTAAAAATTAGCCAGGTGTAGTGGTATATGCCTATAGTCCTAGCTACTTGAGAGGCTGAGGTGGGAGGACTGCTTGAATCCAGGAGTTCAAGGTGATTGCACCACTGCACTCCAGCCTGGTGAAACAAGAAAGAAAAGAAAAGGAAAAGAAGAGAGAGGAAGGAAGGAAGGAAGGAAGGAAGGAAGGAAGGAAGGAAGGAAGGAAGGAAGGAAGGAAATTAGGGGTTCTATATCATTATGGAAAAAAGAGAAACAGACATTCAGAAATTAACTGGCAGACTTGGCCAATGACTCATAATGTATCTAATTACAGAAAACACTACCAAAAGCTAGAAAAAAAATCTAGTCACAAAGGATGAAATAACTAAGATGAACTACACACTAAATTAAACAGTTTAGGAAATGACTATGCTTAATACTTGAAAGCATCAGAGAAGACATGCTTTCAAAAGGATGGAGAAATAAAAGTTCTAAAGTGAGGAGAACATTTTTTTCTTTTTTTTTTCTTTTTTTGAGACGGAGTTTCCCTCTGTCTCCAGGCTGGAGTTCAGTGGCACGATCTCGGCTCACTGCAACCTCTGCCTCCCAGGTTCAAAGGATTCTCTGGCCTCAGCCTCCCGAGTAGCTGGGATTATAGGCATTTGCCGCCACGACCAGCTAATTTTTGTATTTTTAGTAGAGACTGGGTTTCACCTTGTTGGCCAGGATGGTCTCAATCTCCTGACTTCGTGATCCACTCACCTTAGCCTCCCAAAGTGCTGGGATTACAGGTATGAGCCACTATGCCTGGCCAGAGAACACTTTTAATAAGGATAGTCAGAGGCATTATCCATCAGCTACATTAAAGCAAGTTTTAAAAAACGGTTACATGAGCAATAATTAAGATCATATTGCTTTTCACTTCCCATTAAAACAATAAACTTAAAATAGTTCAACTTTGCTTATTTTATTTTTTCATATGCTTCTAATTCCTGGAAGGCTTATGTTATCACTGATTTTATTGTGTCTGACAATATTTCAAAGATATAGGTTACATTTTGCTTTACTATATACATTGAAAGATACAATCACTTTGGGAAACAAACCAAAAAAAGTGTTTCATTATAATTTTAAATTTACACATGCATAATATATCAGAAAAATACTGGATACTCTCTTTCAAGAAATTCCAACATACACAACTTGGTGTACATTTACTTAATCCTCTTAGTCATTAATTTAAGATCTACAGACAGGCTTGGTTTCTATACAAGAAACAGTCAATGGTATGTAACTACAATAAAGTATTCAGGAGAAATGCGTTTCAGGGAAAGATAATTAAGATTTAAGGTTTTTGTCTTTTCTGTTTTTTTGTGTAATTTACAAGATCTGAAGGGCTTAACCACAGATGTGAATATAAATAAGGAAAAGTTATCATATGGAAAAAATATAAATTCTCAAATGCTGATGCCAAAAGTAGTGTTAAAATTTTGTCTTATGAAATTTATGTCATGGGAGAAGGGCCAGGGCCAGGGCCCACATATACCTAAATGGTCCAAGCACTAAAAAAGTGTGCATTTTCTTTAGATAATTCTATAGCTGGTATTCACTTGCTTGGAAGAAGTACAGTTCTAAGATGATAGCTTCACAAATAACACTGTCATTTATAAGTCACAAAAATGTAATAAACCAGTCAGACTCTATATAGCATGGCCATATGAATAAAGATAACAAACTGCCTTCTTGAAATCACTACAACTCAATACTAATGAAACTGTCTAGGGTCAATGGTCTTGTAGTCTGAGGTGTTATCTGAGCTCATTGTCTCACAACCAAGAAAATTAAGGAGCCTGGACACAAGGGTGAGGTTGGAGCAAAACTTTTATAAGCAAAAGAAAGAAAGCTCTCCACAGTGGAGAAGGGACCCGAGTGGGCTGCTGTTTTTACAGTTGAATCCAAAAGCTTTTATGTGAAACTCCCCTCAACTCTGTAGCTGTTTGTGTAACTTCCCTTATCTATGAAGCTGTGTATGTAACTCTCCTTATCTGTGTATGTCTTGGGTAAACACAAAGTGCAGCTTCTCTTGTTTGTGTAACTGTGGGTCTGTTTTAGGTAAGCTCCCCACCTCCGTGTGCAAGTTCCCACGGAGCTCACCACATAAATGCCTGAAAAGGGGAGGAAATTTTTTCCTGAGAGCCTGCTAATCACACAAAGAACAAAGGCTCTATGCTGGGCCTTGCTTTCTTATCAGTGCAGCTGCCATTTGGTTTTTCCCCAGGCTACTCTATTTATGCCTGTAGCTGTGATTTTTTCAGGCTCTTTCTCAGAGGACTAGCCTTAGTGGTCTGCCTAACTGATTTTTCCTTTTCTTCTCCCTCACTATTTCAGCTTATTTAAAAGGCAAGCATGTTGGCTTGTTTCTGGGTCTGCTTTGCGGATCTGCAGTTGTATTGTGCCTGGCACATAAGCTACAGAATTTGCTATTTGGGAGAGTGGGGAGGTACTTGCCTAGAAAATCAAGATGGTTGTGTTCCAATTCTGTTTTGGCCCCCAGTTAGTCCCCCTAAGTAAGACATCTTCTCAAGGTCCTTATTTCCTCATTAAAAACAATAAGTGAACGGGACTCGTTCTTTAAGTTCCTTTCTAAAACTGTGATTCTAAGGTGACTTGCAGGTTCATCTAACAAGACATAACACTCATAGTCTGTTTATGTTAAGTCACTTTTGAAACCTGCACGTTGTGCACAGGTACCCTAAAACTTAAAGTATAATAAAAATAAAAAAGAAAAAAAAAGAAATATTATCAGAAACCATCCAACATGATATATGAATTATTAAAATGTTTTTCTCCATTATGTTTCAAGTCAGAGACAGTAATTCAGAACTCCACTAGCATCCTATTTTTTTTTTTTTTTTTTGAAATGGAGTCTCACTCTGTCGCCCAGGCTGGAGTACAGTGGTGCGATCTTGGCTCACTGCAAGCTCTGCCTCCCAGGTTCATGCCATTCTCCTGCCTCGGCCTCCTGAGTAGCTGGGACTACAGGCGCCCGCCACCATGTATTTTTGTTTAGTAGAGACGGGGTTTCACCGTGTTACCCAGGATAGTCTTGATCTCCTGACCTCGTGATCCGCCCGCCTCGGCCTCCCAAAGTGCTGGGATTACAGGCGTAAGCCACTGCGCCTGGCCGCATCCTAATTTTTAAAATCAAAATAAGATGACCAGAATAATAAAACTTAGCATTCACAGTATTCAATCTAGAAAAAATATAATTAATAGAATGTTAAAGCCAAAAGAGCATTCAACAGACAGAAAGAGACAGGGGAGAGAGAAGGGGAGTAGAGAAAGAGAGAGAGAAAAGAGAAAGTGAGAAAGAGAAAGAGAGAGAGAGAGGAGGAGGAGGAGGATTGAGAGATGGAGAGTTTGTGATTGAGACTTCTCATGAAATGTATTTTAATGACAATTACTCCTTAACAACTGTGCATTGAGAATATTTGAACATATTGTTATAAGCTAGGGGAAAAAATCCAGCCCAAATGTCAAAACACAGAACCAAAATGATTCTGAATTTCCTAAAGACATATTTTGAGAAACAGAAAAATTATTTCCCATTTCTCTATCCCCCAGTACCAAAAGGGAGCATTTTACATTATGCACATCTTGATAATATTTTATAGAAAATAAATGCAAGGTATTTACAATTTAATTTAATATTTCCTCTTCAATTTGTTTTTTATAGCAGACATATTAATTTCATTTTGAACATGATATGCCAAATATCCCGAGTTTCCAGCAATGAAGTCATGTAACTCCCCAAGGAATTTCTTCATGGCATCAATTGATATATAATCTACAAAATAAAATAAAATAAATATATACAGATATATACTTGAAACCCTCTCATACTATTTGCTTTTCAGTGTCTTTGATTTATTAGAGTTAAGACTTCTAAAGAATGTTTTTAGAAAATAAGTAAAAAGAAGAAATAATACTAGTAAGAAGATTCTCCATGAAACCTTATAATTATCAGGGAACACCTCCTCTTCCCCTCCCACAACTTTCTGCCACCTTTTAAAAGATTAAAATGCGGATTAAAGTCGCTTTAACTATTGAGATTGTGAAGTCTAGGTTGGGGCTAGAACGTAAAAGAGACCAAAATAACTGGGAAGTGTATCTAGCTTAGAGGGTAATCACTTAGAACTATCCATCCAACTAGCTACTAACAGTATAAACAGTTCATCTTCCCTGTTTCAGCAGGCAACACTTTCCTGCACTGCTAACACTGGAATAGGATTCTTTTAACAAAAAAATTAATGAAAAATTGATGTTACTGCTCATTCAACAAAGATAATGGGTGAGAGTAATTTTGATGTCAATTAGTTATCCAAAACAGATATGAGTCATATAAAAAATGCTGCCTAGAATGGAGACAGCTTAAGGACTCTATGACTAAGCAATATTAACTTGATATCAGTTGCTTACTATTTAAATGATTACATTTTATGTGTAACACAAGTGTTTGTGGCTTTTACTAAAATTGAAATCTAATTTAAAAGTAAATATTGTGTGGAAAAAATTCTGATAAAGCTCAAGGATGACTGAATTTAGAACACCATACCATCAAGATCAACAGGATATCCATGCATATTGTTTAATCATTTTTAATAAAAAATAAATTCACAGTTAATAAATTAACTATGAATCCAACCATATAAAATTGACTAGTATCTTTAAAGATATTTTAATCATGGTCATTTACTTTAGGAGCTCCTGAAGCACTATACTCTATGAGTTCATAATCTTTGCCTAATGGCTATGTATCTGTGTAAAATAAGCTAGTGCAGAAAACTATCACTATTAGTGTTTAGTTAATTGCACATATACACTGTGTGAAACCTCTGAAGATGTGTGAGGATAGGAATTTAAAAATTACTACATTAGTAAAAAATATTCCTGTAAGTATAAGAAGGATAGGACATTTATGGCATCAGAAATAAATTATTGTAGCATTTTTGAATAGTTAAGGACTTTAGGATGAAATGGACAGAAACCTAATTTAAACTAACTTAAACAAAAGGGGAGTTTACTGGAAGGACATTGCCGTATCATCCGAGCTGTGAGGAAGGCAGGCATATTGCTGGGACTCAGAGTTAATTAGAACCAGCTATGATCGCTCTCACCAGTCTGAAGTTTTTAGGGTTTTTTTTCGTGTGTGTGTGTGTGTGTTTTGACAGGGTCTTATTTTGTTGCCCATGCTGGAGTGCAGTGGCACTATCACACCTCACTGCAGCCTTGGTCTCAAGTTTTTCTCTATGTATTAGCCTCATTTTCCTTTTTGGAGGCAAGTTGGCTTTCTTTTCATGGTAGAAAATACGGCCAATGACAGCTCCTAAGTTTTACATCTTAGAGTTTTGATCACCTAAATGAGAATGACTTGATTTGCTATGTTCCACATCTAAAAATCCAGAAGAAGATCTGCAATTAGCCCAGTTCAAATCAGGCATTCACTCTCAAAGCAAATGTTGAGCATGGGGAGCAAGCTCATGTTTAAAAAAATGTCTGTTCCTGTGTTATCCAGATAAATTGGGAGGGAGAAGGGAATTCCTAAGAAAGGCACTCCTGGTGGACAATCCCACATGCATCTGTGATAGCCAGCCACCCAGTGGCCCCAACTGATCCCCACCTCCTGATATTCACAGTCCACTACGATTTTGTACTTGGTTTGATCTGTATAACCAATATGACAGAAGTGATGCAATGTCACTTCTGAGAGTCGGATGTAAAAAAGACTATGGCTTTTCTTCTTGGGCATGCTCTTTCTTATTCTTGGATTTTTCACTCTGAGGGAAGCAAACTACCTACCATGCTGTGGATGGTCCTTATGGAGAGGCCCATTTGGTGAAGAGTTGAAGCCTTTGGCCAAAATCCAGCAAAGACCCAACATCTGCCAATAACCACTTGAATGAGGTTTGAAGTGGATTTTCCAGTCCCAGTTGTGCCTTGGAATGACTGCACTCCAGCTGACAACTTGACTGCAACCTTACAAAAGGCTATGAGACAGAAGTACCCAGCTAGGATACTCCTGGATTTCTGACCTTAGAAACTGAAATAATAAATGTTCACTGGGTCAGGTGCAGTGGCTCGTACCTGGAATCCCAGCACCTTGGGAGGCCAAGGCAGGAGGATTGCTTGAGCCCAGGAGTTTGAGCCCAGCTTGGGCAACACAGTGAGACCTCATCTCTATAATAAATAAATAAACAAATGTTCATTGTTTTAAGCTGCTAAGTTTCAGAGCACTTTGATTTACATCAATAACTAGTACAGCATCTATTATAGATTTCCAAACTTTTAATTATCAGAACCTTTTGATTTGAAAATTGTTGCCAGCAAAGTATTTATAATTATTAGTAATTGCTTTCTTACTCTTATTAATCACATATGTAAATGTCAATCAGAACTTCTTATCATGGGTGATAATAAGTGATATTAGTCTGAGGGAATTTAATTCCAGTCATAAGCTGAAAACAAAACAAAAAATCTTTTGATGTTTTAGGGGATATCTGGCAATGTCTAGGAACATTTTTGGTTGTCACAACTGGGGGAGAGATGGGTAATGCTATTGGTATCTAGTGGGCAGAGGCCAGGGTAAATATTCTTTTTTTTTTTTTTTTTGAGATGGAGTCTGGCTCTGTTGCCCAGGCTGGAGTGCAGTGGCGCGATCTCCGCTCACTGCAAGCTCCGCCTTCTGGGTTCACACCATTCTCCTGCCTCAGCCTCCCAAGTAGCTGGGACTACAGGCACCTGCCACCACGCCCGGCTAATTTTTTTTTGTATTTTTAGTAGAGACGGGGTTTCACTGTGTTAGCCAGGATGGTCTCCATCTCCTGACCTCGTGATCTGCCCGCCTCGGCCTCCCAAAGTGCTGGGATTACAGGCGTGAGCCACTGCGCCCGGCCAGGCCAGGGTAAATATTCTATAATGCACAGGACTGACACTCACCTACCCTCGCCCTAACGAAGAATTATCTGGCCTAAAATGCCAGTAGTGCCAAAACTAAGAAACCCTGTTCTAGGCTATTGCCCCAACGTGTACTTTCTATAACTAAAGACCACAATTAATTCTATTTTCAGAAATTTAATAGTCAATGAGTTGAACCTAACCCATCCTGAGGAAGAGATAGTCAAGTTTTAGTCACAAAAATTGATACCACAGCCTAAATTAGAACTCTTAGTCACTAAATGTTTAATTAACACAAGCTGATTTTTTCCAACAAGAAGTTATTCCTTCCTGTGCAAGCAGATGGGCATGATAAAAAAGAGAAGTACTTGTTATTTCACATCAAAATTAAAAACAAATACATTATCTCTAAAAATGAAGATTTCTTCCAAGAAATTGCTATTATTTAATGCAGAAATATGAAAAAGGAAATTTATTCAATTGAGAAAATAAAAAGATTAAAAATTTTTACTTTAGTTCTACCAATAAAATTCACAACAGAGTATTGCCACAGGTTGAAATTATACTTTTAAAATTCTGACTAATTTTTTAAGTTTTTTAAAATTTGTTTTTGTGTTACACTGTTATGTCTTTGTGAAAAATCAGACTGTTTCTTTATCCAGCAATAATACATAAAACAGCACTGTTACATGTCCAAATGTAGGCATATGTCCTTATCTATGGCTGATTTTAATATTTATCATTGCTCTTCTT
This sequence comes from Homo sapiens, assembly GCF_000001405.40. Taxonomy (NCBI): domain Eukaryota; kingdom Metazoa; phylum Chordata; class Mammalia; order Primates; family Hominidae; genus Homo; species Homo sapiens. The sequence goes on from NC_000015.10 coordinate 44,918,796, forward strand.
TTTTTTTTTTTGAGACGAAGTTTCGCTCTGTCGCCCAGGTTGGAGTGCAGTGGCGCGATCTTGGCTCACTGCAACCTCCGCCTCCTGGGGTCACGCCTTCTCCTGCCTCAGCCTCCCGAGTAGCTGGGACTACAGGCGTCCGCAACCACGCCCGGATAATTTTTTGTATTTTTAGTAGAGGCGGGGTTTCACCGTGTTAGCCAGGATAGTCTCGATCTCCTGACCTCGTGATCTGCCCGCCTCGGCCTCCCAAAGTGCTGGGATTACAGGCGTGAGCCACCGCGCCCAGCCGGAATACTTTCATTTATTAACAAATGATATGACTAGGCACCCTGAAGAGCCAAGATGATCGATTAAAATATTCTTAGAATGTTAAGGAATTCCAAATGGGTAGATATAAGACCAATACTCTCAATTCAATAACTCAGAGTGGCTGCTTTCGCTCGCAAAGTGGAGGTATCTTCAAGGAAATCGGAACCCGTGGTGATCCCTGGCAACCCGATCTGTTTTTGGCTGTTTCTAAACATTAAGGAATGGAAACTCCATGGCGGCCCTAAGTAGCCTGGTTTCAGGCTCTCATGGATGCACTGATAGAAGGTGATACCTGTATGCTAAATTATGAGAAAACCACAGCAACTCCAATTTCAACATATTGAGGAGATGCTTCTGTTGCTTCCCAATTTGCCCATATGAAGACATCAAAAAAGGACTTAAGGATTCAGAGAAAGAGAAATCTTATGATAAAGAAAAGAATTAGATTTTTGGAAGAAAAGCTTATAGGAGCTCAATTAGATGAAGAAACAAGTTTTGTGGAATAGCAACAAGTAAATAAGGCCTATTATGCATATTGAAAGATTTGTGGCCCGGCGCGGTGGCTCACACCTGTAATCCCAGCACTTTAGGAGGCTGAGGCGGGCGGATCACAAGATCAGGAGATCGAGACCATCCTGGCTAACACAGTGATACCCCATCTCTACTAAAAACATAAAAAATTAGCCGGCATGGTGGCAGGCGCCTGTAGTCCCAGCTACTCGGGAGGCTGAGGCAGGAGGATGGCGTGAACCCGGAAGGCGGAGCTTGTAGTGAGCCGAGATTGCCCACTGCACTCCAGCCTGGGTGACAGGGTGAGACTCTGTCTCAAAAAAAAAAAAAAAAAAGAAAGAAAGATTTGCATTGATAGACATGATTTAAAGAGCAAATTGGATAAAATGAGTAAACACAACTCTGAATCTTTAAAAGTATTGAATAAACAGATGCAATCTAAAGAAGTAGAACTCTAGCTAAGGACAGAGGTGGAAACTCAGCTGGTGATGAGGAATTTCAATCCACCTTCATCAAACTGGGAGGTGGAAATGTTAAGCTGTAACCTGAAGATCCAAGGTTTGGAACAAGAGCTGATGAGGAAAGAATATAACGATCTCAAAATAGAACTACTCAAAAACCAAACAAACCTATCTGTATGAGGAAGACAATCTTGAAGAGCAGAGATCTCTGAAGAGTAAGAACTTCAAGTGATAATACACAGAATGTATACTGGCAACTGAAGAGATAAATGTCTAATTTATATCTGGTGACTCAAGTGCTAGCTGAACTATTAAGAAAACTGGAAACCCCAACTGCAATCAAGAAAGCCTGCACCTCAGTAAGATGCATTGAAGACCCTTGGAAAGACAGCACAAAACTGCACATGATGAATTTTACTGCAACATACACAAGACATCCCCTTCCCTGACCAAATGGCAAAGTTCTTTTTTATACTACATCTTCCCCTTTACCAGGAGATATAAAGGTTTTATCAGAGAAAGCAGTCCTCCAATCACGGACAGATAATGAGAGAGCCATTCCTAATGAGGGCACACACTCTTATGGCAGAAATTCTCTGGAAGATCATTTTGAGTATTCCCAATCCCTCCTGACTCAAGTGAGACAGCATTTAGGAAAATTAAAAGTAAAATTTTGCCTTTTAACAAATGTGCCACTACTGCATTACTTGGATCAACATAGTCAAAATTTCCTTTATAAGACTTAACTCTGAAGAGATTCATCATTTGATCAAAAGGACACTGTCTCTCAGTGGTTCTCTCAAGAAATTCTTAACAAACTAAACGTAGATTTTGATTAAAATTTTGTAGAGTTCTTTAGTATATGCATTTGAACATACTGTATGATATTATGTAGTTTATTTCCAGTATGAAAGAATACCCTCCAGCTCCATATTCTAAGAAACAGATATATGCTACTAATTTTTTTTTTTTTTGATACATGGCCTCACTCTTTCACCTTGGTTGAAGCACAGTGGAATGACCATAGATAGCTCACTGCAAACCTCAACTCCTGGGCTTAAGCAATCCTCCTGCCCCAGCCTCCCAAGTAGCTAGGACTACAGGAGTACACCATTACATCCAGTTAATTTTTTTTTTAATCTTTTGTATAGACTGGGTCTCTCTATATTGCTCCGACTGGTCTCGAACTCCTGGCCCCAAGCTATCCTCATGCCTCAGCCTTCCAAAGTGCTGGGATGACAGGTGTGAGCCACCATGCCTGGCCTGCTACCATACTAATTAATAAATACCTTGGGCCCAGAAGTTCAAGACCAGCCTCAGCAACATAGTGAGATGCCATCTTGACAAAAAATAATTTAATTAGGCTGGGTGAATTGGGGCACACCTGTAATCCTAGCACTTTGGGAGGCCTAGGAGGGTGGATTGCTTGAGGCCAGGAGTTTGAGACCAGCCTGGCCAACATGGCAAAAACATGTTTCCATTAAAAATACCAAAAAAAGTTGTCCAGGCGTGGTGGTACACACCTGTAGTCCCAGCTACTCAGGAGGCTGAGGCACAAAAATTGTTTGAACCCAGGAGGTAGAAGTTGAGAGGTTACGGTGAGCCAAGATTGTGCCACTGTACTCCAGCCTGGGTGACAGAGCGAGACCCTGTATCAAAAAAAAAATTTTTTTTTTTTTTGTTAATTAGCCAGGCGTGGTGGCCCACATCTGCGGTCCTAGCTACTCAGCAGGCTGAGGTGGGAGGATTGCTTGAGCCCGGGAGTTCCAGGTTGCAGTGAGCATATGATCATGCTACCTCACTGCAGCTTGGGTGACACAGCAAGATCCTGTCTCTCTCTCTCTCTCTCTCTCACACACACACACACACACACACACACACACAAATTAAGTAAATAAATAAATAAACATAAGGTGTTTAAGAAAGAAGAAAAACGCCTCTTTATACCATAATTTCCACATCTGAGAATTTACATGAAGAAAACTATCAAAAAAGTAGAGCAAGATTTACTTTTAAAAAGATGTTCATGGAGGTGTCATAAAAGTAATAAATTCTAGGCCAGGTGTGGTGGCTCATGCCTGTAATCCTAGTGGCATTTTGGGAGGCTGAGGAGGGAGGATCTCTCGCTTCAACCTGGGAGGTTGAGGCTGCAGTGAACTGAAATAACGTCACTGCACCCAGCCCTGGGGGTCAGAGTGAGCTTTTGTCTCAAAAAAAAAAAAAAAAAAGGTTAAACAAACAAAATGAAATGCCATATGCTGCCAGTACACATCATAATATCAAATAAGATTTTTCGGCCAGCCACAGGTGGTTTATGCCTGTAATCCCGCCACTTTGGGAGGCTGAAGCAGGTAGATCACTTGAGGCCAGGAATTTGAGACCAGCCTGGAAAACACGGCCAAACCCCATCTCTACTAAAAATACAAACAATTAGCTGGTGTGGTGGGGTGGCATAGTCCCAGCTGCTCGAGAGGCCGAGGCATGAGAATTGGTTGAACCCGGGAGGCAGAGGTTGCAGTGAGCCGAGATCACGCCACTGCACTCCAGCCTGGGCAACAGACTAAGATTCTGTCTCAATTAAAAACAAAAAACGAAGGTTATCACTGGGAGAGGATTTGGGAGAAATTAGGATTTTATACTAATTCTGTACTGCCTGATTTTTCATACATCAAGTTTGTATGATGTAAAAAAAATCAACGTCCCTAGTACTATGCTAACAAATGCTTCAGCAGGTAAATTGAGGGTATATTTTATCTGTGTTCACACTGCACCCTCTGGTGTTTCCACAGAGAAAAGGCTCTAAGTAGACACCTACCTAGGGTTTATTCATATCCTTTGTCCATTTCTGTTGTTTTTGGATTGGACATATTTTTCCCAGATTTCTAATACCTCTTTGTATATTAAGGAAATTAGCCCTTATGGGAGAAAAACTTGAAAAAATTATATAAATTACATCATTACTTTTTATTTTGAAGAAAGATAACTACTATTTGATCATTTATATTACAGCAGCTAAATACCAGACTGTAGGGTACCCCAGTCCCATCCTCCCCTCCCCTGATTCCACTCCTGGCTTGCTTTCTGTGTCCTGACCAAAAATCACAGAGGGCTTTGACTGCTCTGTGAGACAGCCCAGTGCAGGGTTTTCCCATCAGGCTTGAACTCAAACCAGGACCTTAAACATTTCCAGGCACTGATAAAGGTATCTAGGTTGCTGCTCAAAACACTGAATGAAATTGGCCTCAGCCCTGAGCCAGATTCCTTAAACCCTCATATAAACTCCATACCCAGACCCCCTCACTGTGGATATACCTAGGTAGAACACCCCTTATATCTTGTCCATTGCAAGGATTGGTGTGATACTCTGCAAGTTCCCTCAATAGATGCTTTAGACTGATTACTCTAGCTAGTGGTTCTTTCTTTAGAATCCCAACTGGCCCCAACTTGGGACAGTTTGGGGCACTCCGTGGTGGGGATTCCCCTGCCTCCACTTTTAGGTTGACTCCGGCCACAGGTTTGGAGGGATAAAACAGACTTCTGAAGAACCAATGTTCCCTATGAATATTTGAAAACCAACTGAATTGGAAAATATGGAACTAGGGCTAGATCATGTATAACTAGGACCTGCAATGAAAAGGCCTCTCATAAACTGGTCCTAATATAACGGCAAGGCCATGTTTGTTTGTCTTTTTAAGTTAATTTCTTGTTTTTCTTTGAGACAGAGTATTGTTCTGTCACCCAGGCTAGAGTGCAGTGGCGTGATCACGGCTCACTGCGGTCTCAACCTCCTGGGCTCAAGTGATCCTCCCACCTCAGCCTCCAAATAGCTGGGACTACAGGTATGTGCCACTATGCCCAGCTAGTATTTTAAATTTTTTATAGAGATGGGGTATCCCTATGCTGCCCAGACTGGTCTCAAATTCCTGGGCTCAAGCGGTCATCCAGCTTCAGCCTCCCTAAGTGCTGAGATTACAAGCATGTGCTACAATGCCCAGGCTAAATTTAATTTCTTAAACCAATGTAATATATTACAAGCAATTTGGAAAGAAGAGGGGAAATCACTCATCACTTTTCATCCTAATAAAATTACTGCTAATATGTAGTGTATTTCCTTCCAAGTAAAAAATATATTTTAAGATTATTTTGTAGTTCATAAGCATGATGATTGGGTTTTCACACACAGATACATATAATTTTTAAATAATGTATTAACTGTTATCATAACATACATAAAATCCTTGTCTCCTTTCTGCAGAGACAGTATAGTGTGCTATACTATGAGATAGTATAGTATTCTACATAGTAAATACCTGGTATAGTATTTAATGACTACCATTTAAATAATGGGCTCTGACTCATTGAAATCCTGCTTCTCCCCTACTTAACAAAGTTTATATGACTTTGGGGAAATTGCTTATCTTTCTAATCATAGATCTCTTTTTTTGTATAATGGGAATGACTTATAACGCTATCTATCTCATAGGAAAACTGAAAATTAAATGAGATAAGCACAAAATCAGTGGTCACAGATTTCTACATTGAATTGAATATCAATGAAGTTTATGAATTCAATACCTTTCGGATAATTCTTTTTTGTGCTATGTTGCTAGTTCACTGTTTTCCCTAAGGGTCTTTATTTCATTTGGTGTTACTTCATCATGCTGTGGATAGAAAAATAAATCACATTTAAAAAAATCGTCATACCAGTGATCCAATCAGTAATGTTTTTAAAAAGGAAAAATAAACTGGAAATATATATATCAAAAGCCATAAAAATATTTACACATTTAAGTCCACTCAGTCTAGCTTTGTGGAGAAAATTTACAAAATTTTGTCCACACAAACATGTAATTATACTATATATTTTTGGAGACACATAAAGAAGACCAGAATTTTAAATATACCAGCTGTGGTTATGTCAGATAAGTAAAACTTTGACTGATTTTATTCTCCTTTCAATTATTGAAATTTCCTCTAATGTGGTTATATTACCTTTTAGTCACAAAAATAAGGAAACAAAAAAACTTGCTACTAATTTAAACTTTCTTAAAATCCTTGACTTAAGGATTCCTGCGAGCTACAAATCAAAAATATAAAGTAAGCTGAACAAATTATGTTTCTCCTTCAAAAGGACATTGACGTATTTAGCTGTAAAGATAAAAAATGACTAAATGTATGTTAAGCTTTTTCTAAATATTCTGTGAAAGCAACTTAGATACTGGTACCTATCACATAATCTATTTATTTTATATACCAGTAAGAAGTTTCTTTTTTTAAATTTTTATTTATTTATTTATTTTTTTGAGAGAGAGTCTTGCTCTGTCACCCAGGCTGGAGTACAGTGGCACAATCTCGGCTCACTGCAACCTCCGCCTCCCAAGTTCAAGCAATTCTCCTGCCTCAGCCTCTCGACTAGTTGAGACTACAGGCGCCAGCCACCACATCTGGCTAATTTTTTGTATTTTTAGTAGAGACGGGGTTTTGCCATGTTGCCCAGGCTGGTTTTGAACTCCCAAGCTCAGGCAATCGGCCCACCTCAGCCTCCCAAAGTGCCAGGATTATAGGCGAGAGTCACCGCGCCCAGCCACCATTAAGAAGTTTCTATATTTAAATACAAACTTAAATCCACTCCAAACAATTGTAATGCTCCCCAGATTTACCCTAGTTATTGCCATTCAATGAATACCTTCCACGTATATATTCTATGGTTACATTATTATAATTGGCTAATACTCATATCAACCAATATTTTGAAAGAATTGACAAACTCTTTTATCATGTAATAATATAACTTCTAGAGTCAACGTCCATACAAGCACGTTTTAGTAATTTTTTAGTAGAAAAAACATTGGATTGGGTTAGAGCTGAGAAAATTTGGCTCCACTTTGCCAATGTGTACTAAAATGGGTCATTATATTTTCTTTACCTTAGTTTTCTCATGTATAAAGCTAAATGATGAAATTAATGATCTTTAAACTCTAAAGTTCTGCTAGAGTCAATAATTACCACCAAATAATAACCATTGCATTACTGCTCACGTTCCTGCAAACACTGTGAAAAGTCAAGGATTAGATATTTCAGTCTTTAGTACAACATACTATTACCTCCTAGGCAAAAAGACTGAAAGAACTATTATTTTCAGATGATGATGGCTTGGGAAGAAAAAACAAATTAATGACAGAAATATAAAATATATAAGTTGATAGCCTGATTTTGGACATAATGTAAAGGTTTTCTATATGATATGGCTGTGGGTTTCAAGTTTGAAAAAATAAAAATGAAAGATTTTCTCCCTAACTCTTTATTGTGAAAAATTTCAAACTTACCACAAAGTTAAAGAATAGTACAATAGGCCAGGCACAGTGGCTCACGCCTGTAATCCCAGCACTTTGGGAGGCCAAGGTGGGCAGATCACGAGGTCAGGAGATTGAGACCATCCTGGCCAACATGGTGAAACCCCGTCTCTACTAAAAATACAAAAAGTAGCTGGGTGTGGTGGCGGGTGCCTGTAATCCCAGCTACTTGGGAGGCTGAGGCAGGAGAATCGCTTCAACCCAGGAGGTGGAGGTCGCAGTAAGCTGAGATCCTGCCACTTCACTCCATCCTGGTGACAGAACAAGACTCTGTCTCAAAAAAAAAAAAAAAAAAAAGAATAGTATAATAAATACCATATACCTTTCACCTAGATTCACAAAGTGTTAACATTTCCGACACCTTGAGTGCCTCCTCTCTCTTTTTATTTTTGTGGAACCACTTGAAAACATTTGCAGATATGACATTTCCACTCTCTAATACCTGGCATGTGTTTTCTAAAAATATACATTGTTTTATCTTTACAACACCACTATCACACTTAAGAAAATAAAATGTAATACAGTATCACCCATTATACAGTTCATTGTTAAATTTTCCCAATTGCTCTCCAAATGTCTTTTATACCTCTTTTTTATGTCTCTTAATCTACTATGCTCCTATTGCTTTTTTTGTATTTTATGACATTAACTGATGTTAGAGTCCAAGTCAGTTAATTGTCTTGTGGTATGGTCCATATTCTGGATTTGTCTGAATGTTAACTCATAATTAAATTCGGGTTAAATGTTTTGAACAAGAATACTACACAGATAATATTGTGTATTTATTATATCATATCTGACTGAACATAATGAAAGGTTGCTCCAATATTGATGATGCTGTTTGCTAAGTTAGTTAAATGGTGCCTGCCAGATCGCTCCATTGTAAAGATATGCTGTTTAACTTTGTAACTAATAATCAATCTGTGGGTGATAATTTGAGATCATAGGTTTAGAATCCATTAATGACCTTATCTAAATCAATTATTATATTGAGGGTTTTTAAAATGGTGATTTTTCTATTTTATCTTTCTTTCTATATTTACTAGCTGCTATTTTTGTAAAGGAAAATTTCCCTTCTCCCACCCTTATCTTCCTTATTTTCTTCCTTCTTTCCTTTCTTCCTTCTGTCCTTCCTTTTTTCTTTATGTCTGCTTTTGGAGTATCATATACACGTATGGAATGCTTCACGAATTTGCTTGTCGTCTTTGCACAGGGGCCATGCTAATCTCTGTATTGTTCCAATTTTAGTATGTGTGCTGCCGAAGCAAGCACATGGATTCTTTTTACCTAACATATTATAATCCATTATTGTCATTATTAGTTTCAATGCTCAATTGTTCCCAAATTTGGCTATTACTTAAAGATTCTGAAGTAAGTTAAAAGCATAAGTAAATCTGAGGCAGGATGGCAAAAGCTACAAAACAGCTATTTTTCCAGTATTGTACACTATTTTTTTCTTTTTTTTCGTTAATCAGGCAGCCCCTGAACCAGAATAGGTTCAGACAGACTCTTGTACACATTTATTGAGGGGTGTTATTCAAAACATTGAACAAACAGCATGTCACAGAAATTAACCAATCAGAATCTACACTGGCAGTAAAGAACTGGTAAATACTATGCACCTGTTATTCTCTTCCTATTACTAACAGAAGCAAATTTTCAAGTTTCTTATAGGAATAATTTTATTTATACAAAATAACCTCAATTTTACTAATGTACTACTATAAAACAAAGTCAAACAAAATAATATTCAATAACAGCATGCCCTTTAAATTTCTTAATCTGTGCCGGGCACAGTGGCTCACGCCTGTAATCCCAGCACTTTGGGATTACAGCACTTTGGTCAAGGTGGGGGGATCACTTAAGGCCCGGAGTTCGAGACCAGCCTGGCCAACATGGTGAAACCCCATCTCTACTAAAAATAAAAAAATTAGCCGGGTGTGGTGGCACATGCCCATAATCCCAGCTACTTGGGAGGCTGAGGCAGGAGAATCGCTTGAACCCAGAAGGCAAAGTTTGCAGTGAGCCGAGATCGCGTTGCTACACTCCAGCCCAGGAGACAGAGTGAGACTCCGTCTCAAAATAAATAAATCAATCTCTTAAACTGACTCATTGGTGCTAACATGTCACAAGTAAACATTTTAAAGATAACTTTGCTTTCAGAAAATGTTGAAACTGTAGATTCTAATCAAGTACCTTAATTTACTCTTACCTTTTCTATCAGAAAATGTTGGTCTTGTTCTCAAATAAAACTACCAATTTTTCTTCTTATTTCTGTGGTGAGAAAAACAAATCCAATATTTTTTTTTTGGAATCTTCTGAATTTTGCTTAAAGTCTGAAATTTCTAGGCCAGTGTTATTCTATTTGCAACAAAATCACATAACACACTTGTTAAAATGCAGATTCCTATTGAATCAGATCATTGAGGAGGAGCTCTGGAATTTGCATTTCTAACAAACTCTCCAGATGATTCTAATACACTTTGCTAATCATTGTTGTAGACGTTTCCTGCTAGAATATATCTATATCTATATCTGTATCTCTATATACATTAGATGTATATATATAATTGAGATATGTTCATCCACTCTTATATCTATATTTGTATCTACATATACATTAGATATACATCAATATCTATATCTGTATCATTAGATATACATTAGATGTATATGTATACACATGTAGATATACATCTACATATATATATCTCTATATATAATAATGCATATGTATCTATATAATGCATTAGATATATATTAGATGTATATCTAATGTCTATATAGCTACAGATATTGATACAGATACAGATATATAGATATAGATATAAAAAAGGGGTGGATGAACAATATGTCTAGTAAACATGGTAGTACAGGAATTCTACAATGGTCAGTATGTCAAACAACAATGTCGTCATCCAAACTCAATGATCTCAAAAGTTTTCACAGTAGCCAAAAGGACAAAAAAGGTAATATTACCCTAGACTTTTGCTGTCCAGTATGGCAGCCACTAGCTACATGTAGGTACTGAGCACTGGAAATGTGTGGTTAATCCAAATTGAGAGGTGCTGTAAGTATAAAATAAATACAGGATTTTGAAGACTTAGTATCAAAAAAATGTAGGGTATCTCAGTTTTTATAGATTATATATTGACATGATAATATTTTAGATATATTAGGTTAAATAAAATATATTCCTAAAATTAATTCTACTCACTTAATTATTCAATTAATTTTTTTAGAGAAGGGGGTCTCAGCTTGTTGCCCAGGCTGGAATGCAGTGGCTATTCACAGGCGAGATCATGGTACACTGCAGCCTCAAATTCCTGGGCTCAAGGAATTTTAAAATTCGCATTTTAAAAATGCGAATCAATGGATTTATTATCATAACCAATCTTTAAATATCAGAAGAAAAAATTAGAAAAATAATGAAGGGATTCAAAACTAGCAAAGAATACATTTATTAAACGCTTACCACATCAGATACCTTAATACATTATCTTATTTTAAAAAACAATTTGAAATTATTAAAATAAATAGAGACAGGGTCTCACCATGTTACCCTGTTGCCCAGGCTAGTCTTGAATTCCTGGGCTCAAGAGATCCGCTCCCCTCAGTTTCCCAAAGTGCTGGGATTACAGGCACGCCCTACCGCGCCCGGCCTATTATCTCATTTTATCCTCAAAACAACTTCAGAGAAGTAACTTGCTACAAGATCACAAAAGTAGTAAGCATCAGATCATAGCCTGTGAAGTTAAGATCTGCGTCTGTCTTATTCTCCACTGAATCCCCAGCACCTACCCAGGTTGAAACCTGGCACACAGGAAGAGCTCAATGAATGTATGAATAAACAATACATAAACAAAGTCAGGATATACACCCAAGGCAATCTGATCCAAAGTCCATGCTTTTTCCACTTATGTTAAATAGATACAAAATTCAAAAATATGTGACTGAGAGTAAAATAAGTACAGTTGAATTTGGCTGTTTAACAGAGATTAGCTGGATTTGGCTGTCTGACAGGGATTGGCTGAATGATCTTTGCTAACCTTTTTGCAGGCACGCAGGAGGAAGAATGAAACGACCCAAAGCCACCGAGTTTTTTATTTCGGCATTAGCTACTGCAGGGAGATAGTAGGCATGAAAACCTGTGGCATTATCCTCTATGTAATCAAGACTCTGATATATTCTAGGAGAAAGAAAGGAAATATTTTAGGTTATGAAAGAAACAAGAATGTATTCAAACTTTCAAAAGAATAAATAAATAACTGGAAGTAGGGAGACAATTACATTGAAGCATACATGTATGCTGTCCTTTTCTGGCAAGGAAGGAAAAACATATGGCATAAGATACTACTTTCTGGGGGCCTATATCTGGCACATCTCAGCTTTACAGGGTTGGTTAATGACCATATGAATTAGGAAACTTGATATAAAACGGTCGTGTTCACTGGGCATCAACAGTGGATAGAGCTAGCAGCCTATGGGGCTTATCCATGGTCATTGCTATAAAGAGGGATCAATTAATCCTGAGGTGAAGAGTGCGCATGCAATCAGAGAAACCTTCACATATAGAAAGCAACATATTTTCTATAGATGGAGATAAGAAAAGCATTACAAGAAAAAGGCACGCATGAAGGCACAATAATGGCATTTCGGGTTGACTGGGCTACCGAAGGCATGAGAAAAACTGGGAAATAAACAAGGCAGGCACAGCCACGATCTAAATCTGTAGGAAATCGCGGGGGCAGGAGGAAGTGGGGAAAGGAGGGTGGTAGGGCCCTGATCTGATGTCTGGTTTGTAAACGAAATCTGACAGCCATGCGAAGGGGGATCTCAGGGAACAGATTCAAGGCACAGTAACGGCTTAGGAAGTTACTTTGATAGCCCCGGCCAAAAGGGAATTAATGTGCTACTAAGTTAGTGGCAGTGAGGATGAAGAACAATTACAGGGATCTAATTCATGGTATTCGGCCTCTGACTGATTCATGGCGTAGGGTTGTTATTCAAAGTTTTGGAGAACACAGACCCTAGCGCAGGTATGGCAGGGACTACAGGAACCCGCCACCACGCCCAGCTAATTTTTTGTATTTTTAGTAGAGACGGGGTTTCACCGTGTTTGCCAGGATGGTCTTGATCTCCTGACTTCGTGATCCGCCCGCCTCGGCCTCCCAAAGTGCTGGGGTTACAGGCGTGAGCCACGGCGCCCAGCCTGCAGCAATATTTTTTAAAGGTAATCGTAGTGACCAGGGTATCTGCTAATATTAGAACATTGATTGAGAAGAAATTGAACCCTGAAGATTGAAATGGGGAAACACAGGCAAGCCCCCAGTGAAAGAGTGGACCTCAAACTAAATTTACCGAGTTCTCTCCTCTCCACCCCCTGGTCAAAGCAGCCCTTCAGCACCCAGCTGAGGAGGGTACCTCCCTTTGCCTGAAGAACATGCAATGCCCCCCTGTGAGGTAGTTAACTTGAAAGACACTGCTGAGTCTCACCAGAACCTATTTTAATAACATTATCCCGGCCAGGCGCGGTGGCTCACGCCTGTAATCCCAGCACTTTGGGAGGCCGAGGCGGGTGGATCACGAGGTCAGGAGATCGAGACCATCCTGGCTAACATGGTGAAACCCCCGTCTCTACTAAAAAATACAAAAAATTAGCCGAGCGTGGTGGCGGGCACCTGTAGTTCCAGCTACTTGGGAGGCTGAGGCAGGAGAGTGGCATGAACCTGCGAGTCAGAGCTTGCAGTGAGCCGAGATCGCGCCACTGCACTCCAGCCTGGGCGACAAAGCGAGACTCCATCTCAAAAAGAACACAAAAAAAAAAAAACAACAAAAAACACCCATTATCCCAATTTATGTAGACATTAAGTGGGATCAAGGCAGAAGCAATATAAAGTTGGATTAGGCTAAATGTATTGACATGGGTCAACTAAGCAGAGATCCTGGATGCAGCATTCCTAGCTCCAGGAGTTAGGAAGGGCTTTGTTTGGTTGGTTGGCTAAAATGTGAGCCCAAAGGTAGCCTATACTAAGTGAAGTTGAAATGCCAGACTGTCTTGGTGTACTATGGGAGAAAGATTGTTAAAGACTTAGAGGTATGGGAAGACAGAGTGGATTTATCATGTAAGGCCGGCTCACCCATGATCAGGGAATTCAGAGGACACACGTTTCACCACAGCTGTTAGAAATGAATTTGTGAGGGGAACCCTAGCATCCTTAAGATCTCTGTGGTCATTCTTCTCTGTAGGTCAGAAATGACAGTGGGAACTGCAACCACCAAACTTAAGATCCCTAAATGCAATGAGGTGCCAAGTGGCAACACTTGATTGTCAAAGACAAGGTGGGTGTGGTCACCACAATGGACAGTGGAACGAAAGAAGTGATCAGAGTAGACTGACTCAGAGAGATCTCTGGAGTTGACTGGTTATCAGGATGGTTCTAGGAAAGAAATAGATGGCCGGAGTTTTAGCACCTTTTTTGTGTAGTTATGATAGAATACCTGAGACTGGATCATTTGTAAAGAAAAGAAGTTTATTTAGCTAGTTGTTCTGCAGGTTGGGAAGTGGGACATGGCACTGGCATCTGCTCATCTTCTGGTGGGGGTCACATGCTATGTCAGAACATGGAAGAGAAGGTCAAAAGGGAAGAGAGAAAAACCAAGGGGCATCCTGTTTTCATAACAACCCACTCTTGAAGAAACTAATGCATTCCTGAAAGAATGAATCCCACCTCACCAGAGCAAGGACTCACTCACTGCTGTGAGAACAGCATCAAACCATCTATGACCCAACACCTGCCACTAGGCCCCACCTCCCAACACCTCACCTTGAAGATCAAATTTCAACATGTATTTTGGTGGCGGCAAACAAACCATATCCAAACCACAGCAGCCAGTCTACTAAATTCTCATTAGCCTGTGCAGTCAGAAAGATCTAGGTCCAGTGAACAGAAGTCTGACTTAAATCATCAAAAGAGAGTTACGGCTCCACAATCAATTCACAAACTAGAACCAGTTTATAGAATTCTTTCCTTTGAATTAAGAGGAAAGGTTCCCTTGAGGAAGGAACACAATACAATGTCAGAAACTTGTAATGCTGATTTTCCTCCCAGCCATCCCCAAAGGCACCCACAGCCCTTTGTCACAATGAGTGCCTTGAAGAAAGGGAAGTAATAAGACTTTTAAGGGATTGCTGGCTCTAAACTGACACTAATTCCTGAAGATGAATACTACCTGTGGCCCATCAGTCAGAATAGGTCTTTATGCAGGTCAGGTCATTGATGGACTTTTAGCTCAGATCTGTCTCATAGTTGACCGACTGTCTCCCTGAACCCAACCTGCACTCATTTCCTTAATTCTGGAATTCATAATTGGAAGAGACAGTCTCAGCAACTGGCAGAATCCCCAAATCCACAGGTTTCCAACCCGTGGAGTAAGGGCTATTATGGTAGGCAAGGTCAAGGAGAAGCCCCTAGAAGTGCTGCTCTTTCTACAAAAATAATTAGCCACAAGCAATACTGCATTCTGGAAGGACTGCAGAAATCAGTGCTACGATCAGGATACAGGGGTGATGATTGCACCACATTCCTGTTCAATGCACCAATTTGGTCCATGGAGAAGACAGACCGATATTGGAGAATGATAGTGGATTATCATAAATTATTCAGATGGTGACTCCAGTTGCAGCTGCTCTTTTCCAGATGTGGTTTTGTTGCTTTAGCCAATCAACCATCCTCTGGTACTTGATTTGCAGCTACTGATCTGAAGAATGCCTTTTTTATTTTCTTTATACCTATTAGTGAAGACCACTAGAGGCACTTTGATTTCAGCTGGCTAAGCTAGAAATACATTTTTGCTATCCAACCACAGGTGTTTATCAACACTCCAGCCTATACTTGATCACCTTTCCTTTCCACAGCACCTCACACTGGTTTATTACTTTTTTTTTTTTTTTTTTTTTTTGCAACAGAGTCTCGCTCTGTCCCCCAGGCTGGAGTGCAGTGGTGAGATCTCTACTCACTGCAAGCTCCGCCTCCTGGGTTCATGCCATTTCCTGCCTCAGCCTCCTGAGTTGTTGGGACTACAGGGCCGGCCACTACGCCCAGCTAATTTTTTTGTATTTTTTTTTTTTTTAGTAGAGACGGGGTTTCACCGTGTTAGCCAGGATGGTCTCAATCTCCTGACCTCATGATCCGCCTGTCTCACTCCGTCCTCACGTGGCCTTGTCTCTGGTTACTGCATCCCTGGTGCCTCTGTCTTCTCATAAAGACACCTGTCCTATTGGATGAGGGCCCCACCCACATGAGCTCATTTACCTTTAGGAGCCCCCTAAAGTCCCCGTTTTCAACTACAGTCACATTGGGAGTTAGGACTTTAACATATGAATTTTAGGGGGACACATTCAGCCTGTAACAGACATTTCAATTGTTTCTCGTGTCTTAATCTAATTCAAACTTAGCAGTGAGAGCTTCAGTAATCTCAGCCTCTGCCATCTCTCATAGCTGGGTAACTAGCCTTTCACAGGGTCTCACCTTGCTTGCTGAGGGTAAGTGTTAAATCACCCTTGTGACTGGCAGCTTTAAGCAAGTGCCTCATGAGGTAATAACCTACATTGGTCACATTGATTTTTTTATTTCCTTTTTTTTTTTAAATTGAGGCAGAGTCTCACTCTGCCGCCCAGGCTGGAGTGCAGTGGTGCGATCTCGGCTCACTGCAACCTCCACTTTCCAAGTTCAAGGGATTCTCCCACCTCTGCCTCCTGAGTAGCTGGGATTACAGGTGCCTGCCACCATGCCCAGCTAATTTTTTTTTTTTTGCATTATTAGTAGAGACGAGGGTGTCACCATGTTGACCAGGCTGGTCTCGAACTCCTGCACTCAGGTGATCCACCCGCCTCGGTCTCCCAAACTTCTGGGATTACAGGTATGAGCCACCATGCCGACCTTATTTCTTTATTGAAAAATAAATAGAAAAAAAAATTTAAGATGTAAAATGATATGAAATGAAAACCATCTCATCTTCTGTTCCTATCCCACTATCGTATATCTCTTAATTTTCATAATTTCCATTATTTTCATAAATAAGGGCTGTTTCTTTTATGAATTACTGAAAACAATTCAAACTGGCTTGTAAAAAAGTGAAAATGAATGACCTCTGAAAAATGAACATTTTCAGATTTGTCTGGATTGGGTTTCAATTTTTTCTTTTCCTTTTTTTTTTTTTTGAGACAGGGTCTTGCTCTGTCACCCAAGCGGAGTACAGTGACACAATCTCGGCTCACTGCAGCCTCAATCTCCTGGGCTCAAGCAATCCCCCCACCTTAGCCTCCCAAATAGCTGGAACTACAGGCATGCACCACCACGCCTGGCTAATTTTCATTGTTTTTGTAGAGATGAGATTTTCCATGTTGCCCAGGCTCGTCTCAAACTGAGCTCAAGCGATCCACCCACCTCAGCCTCCCAAAGTGCTGGGGTTACAGGCGTAAGCCAGTGTGCCCAGCACTTTACTGTCTTTTACCATTTATCTCTTATATGGGATGAAGCACAGTGATTTACCAGGCCTGAGTTATGTGACTAATTTTATGGTGTGGATTGGGATGGATAATGTGTTTTCTGAAAAAAAAAAAAAAGAAAAGAAAAGAAAGAAAGAAAAAAAGAGAAAGAAAGAAGGAAAGAAAGAAAGAAAAAATGCAAGATACTGTTAACAGAAAAGGAAACAGGTGATAGGTAAGTCAATATTACAGATATTCACATTTAATGACAATTTAAAATATAATGCATGTATTGCTTTTTTTTCTTTTTTTTTTAACTGGCGCCTGGCTCATTTTTGTGTTTTTAGTAGAGATGGGGTTTCACCATATTGCCCAGGCTGGTCTCAAACTCCTGGCCCCAAGTGGTCCGCCCATCTTGGCTTCCCAAAGTGCTGGGATTACAGGCATGAGCCACTGTGCCCAGCCTATACTTGTTTTTTTATTGTGGTAAAATGTTTGTAACATAAAACTTACCATTTAACCACTTTTAAGTGTACAGTTCAGTGCCACTAAAGTGCATTCACAATGCTGTACAACCATCACCATTATCCATTTCCAGAACTTTTCCATCATCCCAGACAAACTCTGTACCCATTAAACAGTGACTCCCCAGCCTCTAGTAACCATTATTCTGCTTTTTGTCTCTGTGAATTTGCTTATTCTAGGTACCTCGTGAAAGCGGTATCATACGGTTTTGTCTTTCTGTGTCTGCCTTATTCCACTTAGCATAATGTTTTCAAGGTTCATCCATGTTGTCGGCTGTATCAGAATTTTATTCCTCTTAAGGCAGAATCATGTCCCGTTGTGTGTATTGTACAGATGCTCTCAATTTATGATGGAGCTACATCTCAATAAACCCACCGTAGATGGAAAATATCGTGTTGCAAATGCATTTAATACACCCAACCTACTGAACATCGTAGCTTAGCCTAACCTACCTTAAACATGCTCAGAACACTTAGATCAGCCTACAGCTGGGCAAAATCATCCAACACAAACCTTCTTTTATAATCAAGTGTTGAATATTTCCCGTAACTTATAGAATACTGAAAGTAGAAATCAGTATGGTTGTACGGGTACTTGAAGTACAGTTCCTATTGAATGGTTATCACTTTTGCACCATTGTGAAGTCAAAAAATATTAAGTCAAACCATC
Organism: Homo sapiens; assembly: GCF_000001405.40. Taxonomy (NCBI): domain Eukaryota; kingdom Metazoa; phylum Chordata; class Mammalia; order Primates; family Hominidae; genus Homo; species Homo sapiens. Next base: position 44,937,116 of record NC_000015.10, read on the forward strand.
GTAAGCTGGGGACTATCTGTGTTTGTTTTTGAATAGATAGTACATGCACAGAGTACAACATTCAAAGATGCAAAGGACCTAGAGTGAAGAGTAAATCTCTCTCTTATCCCTTCCTCCTCCCAGCCCCAGCTCCCCTCCCAAGAGACAACCAGTGTGACTGCATTCTTGTGTATCTTTTCTGAGAGTGTCTCTGCACACTCAGCATCTAGGTTTAAATAGTATTTAAAAATATATTTTCACACAAGTATTAGTACACCAGGCATATTGTTCCTGCATCTTGCTGGTATCCTCTTTCTTCACCACCTCCCTTCCCCCTTCCTTTTTTTTTAGACAGAGTTTCGTCTTGTTGCCCAGGCTGGATGCAATGGTGTGATCTCGGCTCACCACAACCTCCACCTCCTGGGTTCAAGTGATTCTCCTGCCTCAGCCTCCCGAGTAGCTAGGATTACAGGCATGTACCACCACGCCTGGCTAATTTTGTACTTTTAGTAGAGACGGAGTTTCACCGTGTTGGCCATGCTGGTCTTGAACTCCTGACCTCAGGTGATCCACCCACCTCAGCCTCCCAAAGTGCTGGGATTACAGACATGAGCCACCGCACCTGGCCAGGAGTAGATTTTTTTTTAAAGTTAATACATGATAAGATTTTGCCGGGCATAATGGTTAATGCCTGTAACCCCAGCACATTGGGAGACTGAGGTGGGAGAATTGCTTAAGCCCAGGACTCAGAGACTAGCCTAGGCAACGTAGTAAGATCCCATCATTACAAAAAATAAAATTAAAAAAAAAGCCAGGTTTGGTGGCCCACACCTATCGTCCCAGCTACTCTGGAGGCTGAGGTGGGAGAATCGCTTGAGCCTGAAAATTGAGGCTGCAATGAGCCGTGATCACACCACTGCACTCCAGCCTGGGCACCAGAGTGAGACCCTGTCTCAAAAAAAATAAATAAAGATTATATTTAACTCATTAAAAAGAAAACTGGCAAGGTGTTAAAATCAGTTCAAAGGACAATCCAGGAGAGGTACGGTGGCTCATACCTGTAATCCCAGCACTTTGGGAGGCCAAGGCAGGTGGATCACTTGAGGTCAGGGGTTCGAGACCAGCCTGGCCAACATGGTGAAACACTGTCTCTACTAAAAGTACAAAATTAGCCAGGCATGGTGGCATGCGTTTGTAATCCCAGTTACTCTGGAGGCTGAGGCAGGAGAATCACCTGAAGCCGGGAGGCAGAATTTGCAGTGAGCCAAGATCATGGCACTGCACTCCAGCGTGGGCAACAGAGTGAGGCTGTGTCTCAAAAAACAATGAACAAAAAAAAAAAAAGGATAATCCAGGCCTGGTTCGGTGGTTCCCAGCACTTTGGGAGGCCAAGGCAGGCAGATCACCTAAGGTCAGGAGTTAAAGACCAGCCTGGCCAACATGGTGAAACCCTGTCTCTACTAAAAATATAAAAATAAGCTGGGCGTGGTGGCATGTAGTCCCACCTACTCGGGAGGCTGAGGCATGAGAATTGCTTGAATCCAGGAGGAGGTTGCAGTGAGCTGAGATTGCGCCACTGCACTCCAGCCTGGGTGACAGAGGGAGACTCTCAAAACAAAAGGACTATCCAAAGAACAGATCAGGAATATTAACATAAATGTTTAAGGGAAGGTGAAACATCTTTCTAGCTTTTTTTTTGTTTTTTTCATAGATGGAGTCTTGCTATGTCACATAGGTTGGAGTGCAATGGCATGATCTCGGCTCTCTGCAACCTCCACCTCCCAGGTTGAAGCAATTCTCCTGCCTCAGCCTCTCTAGTAGCTGAGATTACAGGCACATGGTTGTAATCCACCACACCTGGCTAATTTTTGTATTTTTAGTAGAGACGGGGTTTCACCATGCTTGCCAGGCTGGTCTTGAACTCCTGACATCCGGTGATCCGCCTGTCTCCACCTCCCACAGCGATAGGATTACAGGCATGAGCCACCGTGCCCAGCCTGAAACAGGTTTTTCCTTGGAGGTGGTGGTGATGAAGGGGAAGAATTGTCACTCCACTGTATGGAGTTCGTTTGCATATGTATAAACAATAATTATTTTCCTTTTTTTTTTTTGATATGGACTCTTGCTCTGTCACCCAAGATGGAGTGCAATTGTGCGATGTCAGCTCACTGCAACCTCCACCTCCTGGGTTCAAGCAAGTCTCGTGCCTCAGCCTCCCAAGTAGCTGGGATTACAGGCACCTGCCACCACGCCCAGCTGATTTTTGTATTTTTAGTTGAGACGGGGTTTCACCATGTTGGCCTGGTTGTTCTTGAACTCCTGACCTCAAGTGATCCACCAACCTTGGCCTCCCAAAATGCCGGGATTACAGGTGTGAGCTACCATGCCCAGCCTATTTTCCATTGTTATAATTTATCTGTAATTTATAAAGTTGTAAAATAGTAATCCCAGCACTTTGGGAGGCTGAGGTGGGCAGAGCACCTGAGGTCAGGAGTTCAAGACCAGCCTGGCCAACATGGTGAAACCCCGTCTCTACTAAAAAAAAATTTAGCCGGGAGTGGTGGCGGGTGCCTGTAATCCCAGCTACTCGGGAGGCTGAGACAGGGAGAATTTCTTGAACCCGGGAGGCAGAGGTTGCAGTGAGCTGAGATTGTGCCACTGCATTCCAGCCTGGGCAACAGAGTGAGACTTTGTCTCAAAAAAAAAAAAAAGTAGAGAGTCTGGATTTCTAGAGAATATGAAGGGAGGACATTGCAAAACGCAGCAGCCAGGGGGAGGAAATATCCTGGAGGAAGTTGAACTTCACTCTGATTGGGAATCTATCCAGGTTGAAGCCCCTCTACAGAGGTCCCCAGAATGCTCCCCTCTTTCCCCACTGAGTTGGCTGGGAAGTAAAGTCCAAGATGACAGCTGCAATTGTTCCCATGTAGAAGTGTCCTCCAAGGGATCCGAATAAACTTAGAGTTTTCTTATCCTGACTGTGCCGATAAGGAGAATGGCCAACCCGGGTACACAAAGTGGAGGCCACTGTCCAGTATCTCTTGGCAGGTCACACTCTATCCTTTTCTGCTCACATCAGCTGGGCTGCTAACACCTCCCAGTGATAGTGTATCCAGGCTGGTCACCCGATGATGGTGTCTTGTCCATTTGGAAGGCCCAGACCAATCAGCAGAAGTGAAAAACTCACCCTACAATTTACTGCTCCTAGAACAAATTCTTTGTCTTGCTGATAATTCTCCTGTGCATGGCTGAAACTATCAGCTCTGGGACAATGCGCATAACTTTGCATGGATGATAAAGCTCCATTTATTTATTTGGCTGAATAGAGTTACTATACTATTACTTCCTCTATGAGTTTCTGACATAAAGTCAGACAAACTCAAATGCAAGCTTATTTTTATTTATTTTTATTTATTTATTTATTTTCTGTTTCATGTACCTTTTATTAAAAATAGTTTTTATATTGGACACATGTTTACAGATACCATTTTAAGAGGACCTAAAGCATACAAATATGGGCTCTTGGCTTGCTTCACTGAATGAAGATAAAGATATAAAAACCCATATCTGTCTGAGGGTAGTCATTTAAAGACAGCCACTAACGTGGAATTCTCACAATTGTTCTTTTAAGGGATATTTTAAGCCTTGTTCTCTTATCGTCGTAGGTAAGCACTTGTACCATGAAAACTGTAACCTGTACTTCAAGAAAACATTCACATTTCTGCTACAAGAAAAGGTTCTGATGATTTAAATGTTTAAGACTTATGGCAGCTTTTCAGAAAGAAAAAGGGTCTTCATAAGATACAAAGATAGGGAGGCTGAGGCGGGTGGATCGTGAGGTCAGGAGTTCAAGACCAGCCTGGCCAAGATGGTGAAACCCCGTCTCTACTGAAAATACAAAAATTAGCCTGGCATGGTGACAGGCACCTGTAATCCCAGCTACTCAGGAGGCTGAGGCAGAGAATTGCTTGAACCTAGGTGGTGGAGGTTGCAATAAGCCGAAATCATGAAACTGCACTCCAGCCTGGGCAACAGTGCGAGATTCAAACAAACAAACAAAAAGTAACTAGGAAAGTGTTTTACATGTGGGCTTATTATAAGAAGAAATTTACTAAAAGCTGAGAGATGGGTCTCAATAAAACTTGCTGATTCAAAGAAAGTGGATGGGAACTTTACTGATCTTGGTTTAAAATATCCTGAGTCACCTGCCTTATGAGGTGGAAGGTCTTTCTTTCTTATTATATGTACACCTTTAATTGAAGAGGTGAGAAAAGCTCCATATTGTGATGCTATGATTTCCCCAAGGCTTACCTTCTATAAGCAGTCAGTGATAAAGTGCTGTTGACCCACATTTGTTTAGAATTATTTCATTAAAATTGGGGCATGGCCTAGCAGTTTATAATAAATATTTATGGATAATTTTATTGGCTTTTAAAAGATACTGTAAAATTGACATATCTCAAAATGGAGTTAATTTATATTTACAACAAACCAAACACAAATATCAATTATGGAATTACAGGGTCACATTTTAATTCCTGAATTTTACAGTTTAGCATTAATATCACCACATGTATACAAATGGTGTAAAACAAGTACAGTGGTATTTTTAATACAAAATAAACATCTGTTTTATGGAAAAACTATACTTCATATCTACACAGACAGCTCATCTTTTCCAAACAATAGCCAAAATTAAAATTAACTACAAAATCTCCAAAACAGGGGAAACTGCTTCAGATTAAACTATTCCAGGAAAAATGGACCCGTAACACATTACAAGGGTGATCTAAAGATTGTAGTTGAAATTACTGTTAAAATTTTTTTCCCCAATGCATTAAATTGTATTTTGGGGACATTTTTCTCACTTCGGCATGATCTCAGATCATAGATGATCAAACTAACATTAAAATATTTACAGTTAACTTGTTGCTCTAAAAATAAAACTTCTTAACTGTTTGCCTCAATTTATTTTTAAAATTCACTTACGTACATGGAATGTGCTTTTACTCTTCTTAAAAAAGCAGTTTTCGTATCACACCCTTGTTTACAGAAAAGCTACATGTGCTTCATGCTGACTTTGACACTTAAGTAGCTTCTTGGATCAAAATGGCTTCTAGATACTAAATGCCACTTAATTCAGCACTATTCTTTGTTGGTCTGTATAAGTAACACTTTAAAACTTGCAGCTCTGGAAAGAGAGAGAACTTTACTAACAAAGTAGAAAGTGATTTCAAACTATCTTCCACAAAAGATTGTACTGGTAGGCGGTTGAAAACATTCTATTCGATCCACTTTCAAATTTCTAGAGAAAATCATTTTGGAATACTACTGTACTGATTCTTGGCCTTCGTTGTCTCTAAAAGTGCTGATTTTAACATTATCTTAAAACTGTCCAGTTTGAATTGAGCTTGTTTTCATCAATATACACATTGAAAATTCCTGGTGTAGAAAACTCAACATGTGCTGAATACGGGGTGTACTTCCCTTCAACTACCTAAAAGGCTGAACTTTTGTTAAATCTTAAAGAAATGGTCCCAACAGCTTAACTTCATTTTTTTAATGATAGTTGAATGTGTTTTCCATAAAAATTTACTTTAAAACGAGGCAACTGATTAAAACAACAACATGGCCATCACCATTATACAAGTAATGTTATTGAGTTTACAACTGAAGTTCTGTAAAATTGTTTCTAGATCGATACCCCGAGGAGCAACCCTGCATTATTATATCAACCTTTTCCCTTCCCCTAAACCGTCTCAAAAAACCCCTGGATTAGCACACTGAGCTAAGCCTCTGTCACAAAAAAAAAAAAAAAAAAAAAAAAAAGAAGGGGGAGGTGAAGAAAGAAGATACCAGCAAGATGCAGGAACAATATGCCTGGTGTACTAATACTTGTGTGAAAATATATTTTTAAATACTATTTAAACCTAGATGCTGAGTGTGCAGACACTCTCAGAAAAGATACACAGGAATGCAGTCACACTGGTTGTCTCTTGGGAGGGGAGCTGGGGCTGGGAGGAGGAAGGGATAAGAGAGAGATTTACTCTTCACTCTAGGTCCTTTGCATCTTTGAATGTTGTACTCTGTGCATGTACTATCTATTCAAAAACAAACACAGATAGTCCCCAGCTTACGATGGTTTGACTTAATATTTTTTGACTTCACAATGGTGCAAAAGTGATAACCATTCAATAGGAACTGTACTTCAAGTACCCGTACAACCATACTGATTTCTACTTTCAGTATTCTATAAGTTACGGGAAATATTCAACACTTGATTATAAAAGAAGGTTTGTGTTGGATGATTTTGCCCAGCTGTAGGCTGATCTAAGTGTTCTGAGCATGTTTAAGGTAGGTTAGGCTAAGCTACGATGTTCAGTAGGTTGGGTGTATTAAATGCATTTGCAACACGATATTTTCCATCTACGGTGGGTTTATTGAGATGTAACTCCATCATAAATTGAGAGCATCTGTACAATACACACAACGGGACATGATTCTGCCTTAAGAGGAATAAAATTCTGATACAGCCGACAACATGGATGAACCTTGAAAACATTATGCTAAGTGGAATAAGGCAGACACAGAAAGACAAAACCGTATGATACCGCTTTCACGAGGTACCTAGAATAAGCAAATTCACAGAGACAAAAAGCAGAATAATGGTTACTAGAGGCTGGGGAGTCACTGTTTAATGGGTACAGAGTTTGTCTGGGATGATGGAAAAGTTCTGGAAATGGATAATGGTGATGGTTGTACAGCATTGTGAATGCACTTTAGTGGCACTGAACTGTACACTTAAAAGTGGTTAAATGGTAAGTTTTATGTTACAAACATTTTACCACAATAAAAAAACAAGTATAGGCTGGGCACAGTGGCTCATGCCTGTAATCCCAGCACTTTGGGAAGCCAAGATGGGCGGACCACTTGGGGCCAGGAGTTTGAGACCAGCCTGGGCAATATGGTGAAACCCCATCTCTACTAAAAACACAAAAATGAGCCAGGCGCCAGTTAAAAAAAAAAGAAAAAAAAGCAATACATGCATTATATTTTAAATTGACATTAAATGTGAATATCTGTAATATTGACTTACCTATCACCTGTTTCCTTTTCTGTTAACAGTATCTTGCATTTTTTCTTTCTTTCCTTCTTTCTTTCTCTTTTTTTCTTTCTTTCTTTCTTTTCTTTTCTTTTTTTTTTTTTTCAGAAAACACATTATCCATCCCAATCCACACCATAAAATTAGTCACATAACTCAGGCCTGGTAAATCACTGTGCTTCATCCCATATAAGAGATAAATGGTAAAAGACAGTAAAGTGCTGGGCACATTGGCTTACGCCTGTAACCCCAGCACTTTGGGAGGCTGAGGTGGGTGGATCGCTTGAGCTCAGTTTGAGACGAGCCTGGGCAACATGGAAAATCTCATCTCTACAAAAATAATGAAAATTAGCCAGGCGTGGTGCATGCCTGTAGTTCCAGCTATTTGGGAGGCTAAGGTGGGGGGATTGCTTGAGCCCAGGAGATTGAGGCTGCAGTGAGCCAAGATTGTGTCACTGTACTCCAGCCTGGGTGACAGAGCAAGACCTTGTCTCAAAAAAAAAAAAAAAAAAAAAGAAAAGAGAAAAGAAAAAAAATTGAAACCCAATCCAGACAAATCTGAAAATGTTCATTTTTCAGGGGTCATTCATCTTCACTTTTTTACAAGCCAGTTTGAATTGCTTTCAGTAATTCATAAAAGAAACAGCCCTTATTTATGAAAATAATGGAAATTATGAAAATTAAGAGATATGTGATAGATAGTGGGATAGGAAGGGAAGACAAGATGCTTTTCATTTAATATCATTTTACAACTTAAAATTTTTATTGTTATCTATTTATTTTTCAATAAAGAAATAAGGTCAGCATAGTGGCTCATGCCTGTAATCCCAGAAGTTTGGGAGGCCAAGGCGGGTGGATCACTTGAGGTCAGGAGTTCGAGACCAGCCTGGCCAACATGAGGAAACCCTGTCTCTACTAATAATACAAAAAAAAAAAAATTAGCTGGGCATGGTGGCAGGCACCTGTAATCTCAGCTACTCAGGAGGCAGAGGTGGGAGAGTCCCTTGAACTTGGGAAGTGGAGGTTGCAGTGAGCCGAGATCGCACCACTGCACTCCAGCCTGGGTGTCAGAGTGAGACTCTGCCTCAATTTAAAAAAAAAAAGGAAATAAAAAAATCAATGTGACCAATGTAGGTTATTACCTCATGAGGCACTTGCTTAAAGCTGCCAGTCACAAGGGTGATTTAACACTTACCCTCAGCAAGCAAGGTGAGACCCTGTGAAAGGCTAGTTACCCAGCTATGAGAGATGGCAGAGGCTGAGATTACTGAAGCTCTCACTGCTAAGTTTGAATTAGATTAAGACACGAGAAACAATTGAAATATCTGCTACAGGCTGAATGTGTCCCCCTAAAATTCATATGTTAAAGTCCTAACCCCCAATGTGACTGTAGTTGGAAACAGGGACTTTAGGGGGCTCCTAAAGGTAAATGAGCTCATGTGGGTGGGGCCCTCATCCAATAGGACAGGTGTCCTTATGAGAAGAGAGAGAGGCACCAGGGATGCAGTGCCCAGAGACAAGGCCACGTGAGGACATAGTGAGGTGGCGTCCACAAACAAAGCGGGGAGGCCTCAGGAGAAACCGAACCTGCTCACTCTTTGATCTTGGACATCCAGCCTCATGAACTGTGAGAAATACATTTATGCTGTTTAAGCCACCCAGTCTGTGGTATTACCTTATGACAGTCCTAGCAGACTCATACAATGTCCATCTCTGTGAAATTACATAATTATACTTCATTGTGAATAATTCTCAAGAGGATTTATAGATTCAGTGAAATCCCATCAAAATTCTCATGGGGAACTCCTTCGCATGCTGACCCTAACAATGTAAGATGTGAGTAAAGGACAAGCAGAGGCAAAAGCATCTGAAGGGGAAGCTCGAGGGCCTATCCCAGCAGATGGGAAGGACGGTTTACCATCTCATAGGAAGATCTGACCATCTAACTGGAAACCCAGATCCATACAAATCGGAAAAATTCCATTTATCAAAAGTCATATCTTCTCTCTTTTTTTTTACAAGCCAGTTTGAAATATTTTCAGTAATTCACTATAATCTACTATAAAAGTGTGATTAAGACATGCTAGTGTTGATTCAAGGATAAATAAATGAAGCATTGGAGTGGAACGAAGAGCCACATAACAGAGCTAAACATTGAGGACGATTTTACATATGATGAAGTTATCACAGCAGAAGGCTAAGGAGGAAGGACAGCAGAGGTGCTGGGACAGGTGGTTATCCACATGAGAGAAAAAAAAACTAGTTTCTATGGCTAGACGTGGTGGCTCATGCCTATAATCCCAACACTTCGAGAGGCTGAGGCAGGAGGATTGCTTGAGTCCAAGAGTTCTAGAGCAGTCTGGGAAACAGTGAGACTCCATCTCTACGAAAAATGAAAAATTAGCCAGGCATGGTGGCACATGCCTGTAGTCCCATCTACTTAGGAGGCTGAGGTGGGAGGATTGCTTGAACTCAGGAGGTTGATGCTGTGGTGATACAAGATCGCACCACTGCACTCAGCCTGGGCAACAGTGAGACTCTGTTTCAGAAAAAAAGAAAAAAATAGTCTCTTACTTCATATTATTTATTATCTACAAAATACTTCAGAAGGGTTAAGGTCATAATAGCAAAGACATACTCTAAATTTGTTATAAAAAGTAAAGAAGACTTTGTGATAAAAATTTCTTAAAATTGTTATAAAACACGAATCAAAAAGTAGAAATAATGATAAATACTCTATGAACGTTTTCAAAATCAAAAGGGAGTCATTAACTTAAAAAAAAAAAAAAAGAAAGCTTGACAAATAGAGCCAGGGAAGGCCAAGAAAAGAGAATTCTAATTCTTTTATGCCTGATAACAAAAAGTATCATAAAAGACTGCAAAAAACACAACTTTGCACAAAGGTCATTGTAACCTTATACAAAAAATGCTTCTGTGACATCTGCCTAGCAACTGCCTGTCCAACCTTGGACTGGAATCACCTTTATTGAGAACGATAATGTAATCCTCTTCATTATTACCTTTAAAAACCATTGTCTTCCATTTCCTCCCTGAATGTGCTCATAGTTTACCATGGCACACATATTCTCATCACAATCCTTTGTTCTCAAATATCTTTTATTTTAGAGAATCCTTCAGTGTATTATTTAGGTTGACAACTGCTAAAATAATAATAAGAACTTCAGTTATAAAAAAGAAAATAGGCCGGGCGCAGTGGCTCATGCCTGTAATCCCAGCACTTTGGGAGGCCGAGGTGGGTGGATCACCTGAGGTCGGGAGTTTGAGACCAGCCTGACCAACATGTAGAAACCCGTCTTTACTAAAAATACAAAATTAGCCAGGTGTGGTGGCGCATGCCTATAATCCCAGCTACTCGGGAGGGCTGAGGCAGGAGAATTGCTTGAACCTGGGAGGCAGAGGTTGTGGTGAGCCGAGATTGTGCCATTGCACTTCTGCCTGGGCAACAAGAGTGAAACTCTGTCTCAAAAAAAAAAAAAAAAAAAAAAAAAAAAAAAAACAAACGAAAAGAAAATAAAGAAATTTAAAACACAAGCAATTATCTGTATTTTTTTTTGCTTTCTTTTGTTTTTGGTTTATTTTCTGGTAACATATGAGAAAGAATGAATATCTAAAGAATATAAAAATGTTCTATAAAATAATGAGAAAAAGACAACTCAATACAAAAAATGGGGGGGCAACAGACTCAAACATACAATTCACAGAAGAGTAAGCACAAATGGCCAACATGCCATTTAATAACCAATTAAATGAAAAGCAGGAATACAGCAAGATATTTTATTACATCCATGTAAATTGGCAAAAATTACTTTATTGGAAAAATCTCATTGCTGATGGTAATACAAATGTAGCAGCCTGGACCTGTTACAGAGCCTTCTCTTGTCCCTTGTTGTGGGCTATACTCAAAACTATCAGCTTTTCAGGTCATGGTTAATGAGTTGGCATAGCACACCCAAATGAGATACATGTTGCCTACAAAGAGACCGAGTAGGGATTATACCTCTTTTGTGGTCATAGGAGGGCCAGATGTAACAAGTTTTCCTTAACTTTAGGAGGGATTCTCCTACCATGGGACCCCTAGAAACTTCAGTGAGACAGAAGATTCATGAATATTTATGAGATCTATTTCCTGAGACACTTACATTGCAGAGTAATTGCTACTTTCTGCTCACCAAGTTCAAGCAATATAATATCATAAAAGTAATAGACCAGTGTGAGGTGCTGTGGAAAGGAAAGGTGATCAAGTATAGGCTGGAGTGTTGATAAACACCTGTGGTTGGATAGCAAAAATGTATTTCTAGCTTAGCCAGCTGAAATCAAAGTGCCTCTAGTGGTCTTCACTAATAGGTATAAAGAAAATAAAAAAGGCATTCTTCAGATCAGTAGCTGCAAATCAAGTACCAGGGGATGGTTGATTGGCTAAAGCAACAAAACCACATCTGGAAAAGAGCAGCTGCAACTGGAGTCACCATCTGAATAATTTATGATAATCCACTATCATTCTCCAATATCGGTCTGTCTTCTCCATGGACCAAATTGGTGCATTGAACAGGAATGTGGTGCAATCATCACCCCTGTATCCTGATCGTAGCACTGATTTCTGCAGTCCTTCCAGAATGCAGTATTGCTTGTGGCTAATTATTTTTGTAGAAAGAGCAGCACTTCTAGGGGCTTCTCCTTGACCTTGCCTACCATAATAGCCCTTACTCCACGGGTTGGAAACCTGTGGATTTGGGGATTCTGCCAGTTGCTGAGACTGTCTCTTCCAATTATGAATTCCAGAACTAAGGAAATGAGTGCAGTTTGGGTTCAGGGAGACAGTCGGTCAACTATGAGAGAGGTCTGGGCCAAAAGTCCATCAATGACCTGACCTGCATAAAGACCTATTCTGACTGATAGGCCACAGGTAGTATTCATCTTCAGGAATTAGTGTCAGTTTAGAGCCAGCAATCCCTTAAAAGTCTTATTACTTCCCTTTCCTCAAGGCACTCATTGTGACAAAGGGCTGTGGGTGCCTTTGGGGATGGCTGGGAGGAAAATCAGCATTACAAGTTTCTGACATTGTATTGTGTTCCTTCCTCAAGGGAACCTTTCCTCTTAATTTAAAGGAAAGAATTCTATAAACTGGTTCTAGTTTGTGAATTGATTGTGGAGCCGTAACTCTCTTTTGATGATTTAAGTCAGACTTCTGTTCACTGGACCTAGATCTTTCTGACTGCACAGGCTAATGAGAATTTAGTAGACTGGCTGCTGTGGTTTGGATATGGTTTGTTTGCCGCCACCAAAATACATGTTGAAATTTGATCTTCAAGGTGAGGTGTTGGGTCATAGGTGGTTTGGTACTGTTCTCACAGCAGCGATCTAACTTTATATGTAACTTATATCACAGCCTGATCTAACGTTATATTGCTTCTGCCTTGATCCCACTTAATGTCTACATAAATTGGGATAATGTTATTAAAATAGGTTCTTGTGAGACTCAGCAGTGTCTTTCAAGTTAACTACCTCACAGGGGGGCATTACATGTTCTTCAGGCAAAGGGAGGTACCCTCCTCAGCTGAGTGCTGAAGGGCTGCTTTGACTAGGGGGTGGGGAGGGGAGAACTTGGTAAATTTAGTTTGAGGGCCACTTTTTCACTGGGGGCTTGCCTGTGTTTCCCCATTTCAATCTTCAGGGTTCAATTTCTTCTCAATCAATGTTCTAATATTAGCAGATACCCTGGTCACTAGGATTACCTTTAAAAAATATTGCTGCAGCCTGGGTGCAGTGGCTCACGCCTGTAATCCCAGCACTTTGGGAGACCAAGGCGGGCTGATCACAAGGTCAGGAGATGGAGACCATCGTGGCTAACATGGTGAAACCCCGTCTCTACTAAAAATAAAAAAAAATTAGCTGGGTGTGCTGGTGGGCTCCTGTACTCCCAGCTACTGGAGAGGCTGAGGCAAGAGAATGGCATGAACCAGGGAAACCGAGCTTGCAGTGAGCTGAGATCATGCCACTGCACTCCAGCCTGGGCGTCAGAGCGAGACTCCGTCTCAAAAAAAAACAAAAAATTGCTGCATTTGATTTGCCAATATTTTGTTAAGAAATTTAGCATCTATGTTCGTAGGGATATTGTTTTTTTCTGGGGTTATGCTGGTCACTTAAAATATGTTGGGAATTGTCCACTCCTTTGTTGGAATTGTAATAGTAGCTTCCCTTTCATTCTAGATATTAGTAACTTACTAAAGTGTTACCAATTTTATGGATCGTTACCAAAAAACCCTTTTGTTTTCATTGTTTCTATTGCTCATTAGCTTTCATTTTCGTCAATTCCTTCTGTCACCTATGTTTTTTCTACCTACTTATTGTCATCTAAATTTGCTCGTTTTGCTTTGCTTAGCTTCCTAAGATTTAAATGTAGCATTGATATAGAGCTTTTGCTTTATTTCCTAACATATACATAAATCTATACATCTGCACTGTTTTCCATACCTCTCAGAAATATCGATACGTTGTGTTTTAATTTTCATCCATTTCAAAATATTTTCTGTTTTTAGTTGTGATGTGTTCTTTGAGCAATCTGTTGTTTAAAAGTGAGTTGTTTAGCTTCCAGATATTGGGGAATATCTAGATGTTTTATTTCTGTTAATTTGTAATTTAGTATAATTTTGGTCAGAGAACATATTCTGTAAAATTTTAAATTTTAAAGCTTATTGAGCCTTGTTTTATGACCCAGTATGTGCAAAATCTTGGTAAATATATTGCATTTGGACCTGAAAGGATATTTATTCTCAACTTTTAGGATTTTTATAAATACAATTTACTTTGATTAAAGTAGTTGATGGCATTCATCAGATCATTTATTTTGAAATGGTTTTTTGTGTGTGTGTCACCTCTTCTATTAATTGCTGCAAGATTAGTGTTAAAATCTCCAACTATGATTTTGGAGTTTCTTTTCTCCTTTTAGTTGTTAAATATTTTATATCTTACTCCTGTTTCTAGGCACATGTATGGTGATAATTTTTATGTATTATTGATATATTGACACTATTAACATTATTAACTGTCCTTCTTTGTCCCTTTTGTCTTGATGTTTGATATTTACATAGAATTTTTTGCTTATAATGTGCATGGTATTTCATTTCCCATTTGGTCAATTTCATCTATCTGTGTCATCATATCTAAATGTTGTACCTAATAGACAAGAATTCAGTTGTTTCTTGCTTTCATATTCTGTCTGGTCTTCTGTGCTTTTTGGTTGTGGTGATATACCTATTTATGTTTAATGCACTATTAATATGGTTCTATTGAGGCCTGCATTTCACTCGTTTTCCTATTCCCTATCTCATTTACTTTTCCTTTCATCTTTATTATATTTTTCTTGTGTTTTTTGTTTTTTTATATTACTTTTTTATTGTATTACTTTTCTATATTTTCCATCTGTGAAATTAAATCATATATTGAATTCTTTCATTTCTAATAAATGTGCTTGACATGGTTTGGCTGTGTCCCCATTCAAATCTCAACTTGAATTATATTTACCAGAATTCTCACGTGTTGTTGGAGCCGCCTAAGGGGAGGTAACTGAATCCTAGGGGCCGATCTTTCCTGTGCGCCTCTCCTGATAGTAAGTCTCACGAGATCTGACGGGTTTATCAGGGGTTTCCGCTTTTGCTTCCTCCTCATTTTCTCTTGCCCTCACCATGTAAGAAGTGCCTTTCACCTCCCGCCCTGATTCTGAGGCCTCCCCAGCCACATGGAAATATAAGTCCAACTAAACCTCTTTTTCTTCCCAGTCTCAAGTATGTCTTTATCAGCAATGTGAAAATGGTCTAATACAGTGCTCGATGCTAAGAATTTTCCTCCAATTTCTACATTAAATGGACCCATAGATGCTGATCTGTAATATTTTAATTATCATTGTTTTTAGAATTTTTCCATCTCCCCTTTTACTCCATAGTTAACAATTTTTAAATTTTTTCCATGGGAAAGTCTTTGTGTTTATGACTTTGCTAATAATTTCTAGCATCATTGCATTGTAACTAGCAAGTGTTGTTTATAATATTTGTACTTACGGAACTTGCAGATATGTCTTTGTGATCTATTATATGATAATTTCTTGTGACTATTCTACGTGTTCTTGACGAAGTATATACTCTAGGCCGGGCATGGTGGCTCACGCCTGTAATCCCAGTACTTTGGGAGGCCAAGGTGGGTGGATCATAAGGTCAGGAGTTCATGACCAGCCTGGCCAACATGGTGAAACTCCGTCTCTACTAAAAATACAAAAATTAGCCAGGGTGGTGGCACACGCATGTTGTCCCAGCTACTTGGGAGGCTGAAGCAGGAGAACTGCTTGAACCAGGGGGTTGGAGGTTGCAGTGAGCTGAGATCGTTCCACTGCACTCCAGCCTGGGCAACAGAGTGAGACTGTGTCTCCAAAAGAAAGTATATTTTCTAAGGGTGTAATGTTTGTATTTATTCTTAAGATTTTTCTTATTGATTTTATGATGTTTAGGTCTTCTATCTCCTTAGTTATTTTGTCCACTTGATGTGTGTTGTATTGAGAGTAGTGTTTTAAAGTTCCCAATGATGAGAGCCTTCCTAACTACTCATTAGTGCCTCTCTGGTTTCTATTTACGCAGAATGTGATTTTTGTGCACAGACATTCATAAGTATTGTATCTTTATCGTGAATTGGGTTTTAGCATTAAAAGCTTGCTTTCTTTGTCATACTTAATGTTTTGTGGCCTGAATACTACTTACATAAGGATTGCTATACCTTGTTTTTTTTAATGTTTTCATTTGCCTAGTATGCCTTTGTGCTTTTTTTTTTTTTTTGAGACAGAGTCTTGCACTTGTCACCCAGGCTGGAGTGCAATGGCACGATCTCAGGTCACTGAAACCTCTGCCTTGTTCAAGCGATTCTCCTGCCTCAGCCTCCTGAGTAGCTGGAATTACAGGTGCCTGCCACCACACCTAGCTAATTTTTTTATTTTTAGTAGAAACGGGGTTTCACCATGTTGGCCAGGCTGGTCTTGAACTGCTGACCTCAGGTGATTTGCCCACGTCACCTTCCCAAAGTGCTAGGATTACAGGCATGAGCCACTGTGCCCGGCCTTGTGTGTAAATTTTTATCCTTTCTTAATCACTTTGGTTTTGGTGTGTCTCTTATATTCTGCAAATATTTGGGCTGTGTTTTGTGATTCAAAGTGATGTCTTGTTTTGGTAGTTAAGCCATTCATATGGATAAGTATGACTTTTGATAGATTTGGCCTCAACTGTGTCACAATATTTTATAACTATTTTTATTATAATTGCTGTGTTTCCTTTTCTACAAGTCCTGTATTAATTGCTTCTGTATTTTAAAAAATTTAACTTATTCTACTTTCTTCTTTCCCTCTCTCTTCTCCTCCCATTTTTAGTTTCATTATTTTTAACTTACACAATATATAAGATTTCCATATTAGTAACTCACCCTTGTCCTATTTTCATTTTAGCCTTAGAGCTACTATATGTGTAAATACTCACACCCATCATTTTAATAAGGATTTCCCAGTAATATTTGTTTGGATGAAACTCATCCTGTAGTTTCTTCAAGAAAGGCTTGTAGGTAAATGATTTTATATGTTCTTATATCTTTAACACTTTCTTGTGTAGTCCTGGTACTACACGAGGTTAGTTGGCTGGATATAAAGCCCTCTGTATATTATAGAGTATTTTGAATTTGCTACCCACCTTATGATTGTTTTGCTTTGTATGTTGTTTTTGAAAGGTCTGATAGGCCAGGTGTGGTGGCTCACACCTATAATCCCAGCACTTTGGGAGGCCAAGGCAGGCAGATCACCTGAGGTCAGGAGTATTCATAAATTATTTAAATCAGCCTAAGAGTATTCATAAATTATTTAAATCAGTCTAAGAAATTTTCAAGTTCATGTAACTTACGTAAATCATTAATAAACAAATAAAACTCAGATCCAATATACTCTGACTAATTAAAATCTCCCCAAATAAAATAACTATGACTCAGAATAAAATTCTAAGCTGACACTTCAAATAGAATAAAATTTATTCAAATAAGCATTTGTGGATATGAAAAGCCCCTGGAGTCAGATATCTAAAAAATAAGAACAAAAATGGGCAAAAACATAAGGAAATGAAAATATAGTTAATTAAAGCTGGAAGATAAATGAAAGAAAGAAAGACAAAGTTATCTCCTAAAGAAAAAGGGAACCACAAGGTCACAAAAGAGAATAGACTCAAATGAAAATATAATGACTAGCATTGAAGAAAGGTAGAAAAACACCTGGAGAATGAAAATGACATAAGGAAAAAAGAGGTCACAGAAAAGTGGTAGAAATCAAAGTTAAGCAAAGGCACTATTCACAAAGTTGGAGTGCCAGGAAAAAAGTAATAAAACAATGGAATAAACTAATGAGATAATATTTAAAAGTATGTTGCAAGAAATTTTTGCTGAAATAAACTTGAGTCGACTGAGTATTTGGGAAAATTCTCCTGAAACAGTAAACTTTAAGTCATAAGCTAGTAAAATCATTAGGCTTTATAGATTTTGAAGCAAACAATATTGACAAGAATGCACATCAAAACTTGTTATGGCTAAAAACAAATATATCAATGTAACTATGCATGTATTAGGATAAAAAAGGTGAAGAATAATTTACAATTGTGAAGGGCACATGAAGTAAAATGGGACATTTAAAGATAAACTCTTCCTGGTCTTCAAGAGAAAAGATCACACAAAACACCTTCTTTTTTTTTTTGAGATGGAGTCTTGCTCTGTCGCCCAGGCTGTAGTAGTGCAGTGGCACAATCTCGGCTCACTGAAACCTCCACCTCCCGGATTCAAGTGATTCTCCTGCCTCAGCCTCCCAAGAAGCTGGGACCACAGGTGCGTGCCACCACACTCAGCTAATTTTTATATTTTTAGTAGAGACAGGGTTTCACCATGTTGGCCAGGCTGGTCTCGAACTCCAGAAATCAATAACAACTAGATAACTAGAAAATCATATGTACTTGGAGATTTAAAAACATTTCACATAATCCACAAGTCACAATACTCATATGGGAAATCTGAAAATACTTTGAATTGAATAATAATAAAAAATGACCTCTTAAAAACATGTGACACACATTTCAAAGGAAATTTATAGCTTTATATGCACATATTAGAAAAATAAAGGATCAAAAACAATTATCTAGTTCAAGAAATTAGAAAAATAACAGCCTTTTTTTTTTTTTTTTTTTTTTTTTTTTTGAGATGGAGTGTTGCCCTGTCACCCAGGCTGGAGTGCAGTGGCGTGATCTCAACTCACTGCAACATCTGCCTCCCGGGCTCAAGCGATTCTCCTGTCTCAGCTTCCCTAGTAGCTGAGATTACAGGCATGCGCCACCACACCCGGATATTTTTTGTATTTTTAGTAGAGATGGGGTTTCACCATGCTGGCCAGGCTGGTCTCGAACTCCTGACCTCAAGTGATCCCCCGACCTAGGCCTCCGAAAGTGCTGGGATTACAGGCATGAGCCACTGCGCCCAGCCTAAGAACAGCAATTTTAAAGAAAGAAAAGTGGAAGGAAATTATAAAGAGCTAAAATTAATGATATAGAAAAGAAATACATGAAGAGAATATCAATAAAACCAGAAGTATGTTCTTTGAAAAGGCTAAAAAATTGACGAAGTTCTAATCAGATTAGGAAATAAAAAAAGGGAAGGCACAAATGACCAGTATCAGAAATGAAAAAAAGATTGTCAGAGAGGTGACTAAAGTAGGAGGAAAAATTTAAAAACAAGGACAAAAAAATGAGAACAAGAACCATGACTAGAGATCCCTCAGATATTAAAAAAGTAAAAGACTTTATGGACAACTTTATATAAACAATTTTTTAATGTTTAAAGGAAGACAACACCAGAAAAATATAACTACTTATCACAACTGATGTAAGAGGTGGGAAACTGTAAAAGGAAAACAATTTTGAGTAAAACAGAAATTTGAACACTGGTGCTATTTGACTATATTAAAGAACTATCTTTTAAGTGTGAGAATGGTGTCGCGGTTGTGTGTATGTTTTTTAAGTCCTCACTTTTCAGGGATTCAAAGTGAAACATTTATAGATGAAATGATGAAATGAATTTTGCTTCAAAAATAATACTTGATGCTGCAGAATCTGCCCTATGCCTGTAAACATAAAGCATGGTAACTTTGTTAATATTTAGGGTTTAAAACTCCCCACCTCAAAATTTAAAACAAAACCAACCAAACAAAAAACCCTCACCAACTCGAGTCGCCGCCCTCCTCTTATCAGGGGAAGGCTGAGAGGCCCCTAAGTGATCCCGAGAACCAGTCAGCTCAGTCTGGTAGTGACTGTCCCTTATCTGAGGGCCTCAGGCCCTTCCCGGCCATTCCTCTTGAGAACCAATCATCGAGCTTGACTTTGGACCTGGAACCAATCAGGGATCTCAGCTCTGCGGCCTCCTCTCTCACATCTCCACAGGCTTGGCGACGCCATGTTTCAAGGGCAGCGCGGTTGGTTTTGCGGCAGCGTTAGCCAGGATCTGAGGCAATTCTGGGGTAGGAAGCTGAGTGGAAGCAGCGGGTTAGGTGGTGAGGGGAGCATCCTCCTCTCTCTGATGCTTTGGGTCCAGGGTGCTTGATAGGTTCACCCTGTGCTCTTACCTCCACAGTGGCTGAAGGGGGAACGATCAGTGACCCGCGAGCCGCCGACTTCTTGTTCAGCTGTGATGCCTCGCACCCAGACACGCTGAGGTACTGAGGGCGACCTGGCAGTGCCTCTTATGTTAGGATGAGCCGGGAGTTAGGGATGGAAGTTGCAGTCCACTAATAAATATTGATGAGGCTGGGCGCGGTGGCGGACACCTATAATCCCAGCTACTGGGAAGACTGAAGCAGGAGAATCGCTTGAACTCGGGAGGCGGAGGTTGCAGTGAGCCAAGATCGCACCACTGCACTCCAGCCTGGGTGACAGAGCAAGATTCCATCTCAAAAAAAAAAAACATAAATAAAGTAATAAAATACAATAAAATAAAAAATAAATAAATAATATTGACGATAGGGTGAGACTGAAAACGAGCAAGTTTTCAGTCCTAGATTTGAGGGAAAGAAATAGACAACCTCCTTTCCTTTCTGCTGCAGTGTCACAGGCTTCTCCCTGGTCCTCGGGCCTCTTCCTGAATTCCAAGTGTGTGTTTCCAGCTGCCTCTTCTACACCCGCATGTAGCGCCTTGAAGGCCCCTCATACTCAATGTCTAAATCAAATCTTGTCATTTCCCCTCATACCTGCGCCAGGGCCTGTGTTCTCCAAAACTTTGAATAACTTTGAATAACAACCCTACGCCATGAATCAGTCAGAGGCCGAATACCATGAATTAGATCCCTGTAATTGTTCTTCATCCTCACTGACACTAACTTAGTAGCACCTTAATTCCGTTTTCGCCGGGACTATCAGAGTAACTTCCTAAGCCGTTACTGTGCCTCGAATCTGTTCCCTGAGATCCCCCTTCGCATGGCTATCAGATTTCGTTTACAAACCAGACATCAGATCAGGGCCCTACCACCCTCCTTTCCTCACTCCCGCCCCCACCCCCAAGCTGCTGATTTCCTACAGATTTAGATCGTGGCTGTGCCTGCCTTGTTTATTTCCCAGTTTTTCTCATGACTTCCGTAGCCCAGTCAACCCGAACTGCCATTATTGTTCATGCATGCCTTTTTCTTGTAATGCTCTTCTTATCTCCACCTATAGAAAAGATGTTGCTTTCTATATGTGAAGCTTTCTCTGACTGCATGCACACTCCTCACCTCAGGATTAATTGATCCCTCTTTATAGCAATGACCATGGATAAGCCCCATAGGCTGCTAGCTCAATCCACTGTTGATGCCCAGTGAACACGACCGTTTTAGATCAAGTTTCCTAATTCATATGA
Source organism: Homo sapiens (assembly GCF_000001405.40). Taxonomy (NCBI): domain Eukaryota; kingdom Metazoa; phylum Chordata; class Mammalia; order Primates; family Hominidae; genus Homo; species Homo sapiens. Next base: position 44,958,153 of record NC_000015.10, read on the forward strand.
TGATTAACCAACCCTGTAAAGCTGAGATGTGCCAGATATAGGCCCCCAGAAAAGAGTATCTTATGCCATATGTTTTTCCTTCCTTGCCAGAAAAGGACAGCATACATGTATGCTTCAATGTAATCGTCTCCCTACTTCCAGTGATTTATTTATTCTTTTGAAAGGTTAAATACATTCTTGTTTCTTTCATAACCTAAAATATTTCCTTTCTTTCTCCTAGAATATATCAGAGCCTTGATTACATAGAAGATAATGCTACAGTTTTTCATGCCTACTATCTCTCTGCGGTAGCTAATGCCAAAATAAAAAACTCGGTGGCTTTGGGTCATTTCATTCTTCCTCCTGCGTGCCTGCAAAAAGGTTAGCAAAGATCATTCAGCCAATCCCTGTCAGACAGCCAAATCCAGCTAATCTCTGTTAAACAGCCAAATTCAACTGTACTTATTTTGTTCTCAGTCACATATTTTTGAATTTTGTATCTATTTAACATAAGTGGAAAAAGCATGGACTTTGGATCAGATTGCCTTGGGTGTATATCCTGACTTTGTTTATGTATTGTTTATTCATACATTCATTGAGCTCTTCCTGTGTGCCAGGTTTCAACCTGGGTAGGTGCTGGGGATTCAGTGGAGAATAAAACAGTGCAGATCTTGCCTTCACAGGCTACGATCTAATGCTTACTAGTTTTGTGATCATTTAGCAAGTTACTTTCTGAAGTTGTTTTGAGGATAAAATGAGATAATAGGCCGGGTGCGGTAGGGCGTGCCTGTAATCCCAGCACTTTGGGAAACTGAGGCGGGCAGATCACTTGAGCCCAGGAGTTCAAGACTAGACTGGGCAACAGGGTAACATGGTGAGACCCTGTCTCTATTTATTTTAATAATTTCAAATTATTTCTAAAAATAAGATAATGTATTAAGGTGTCTGATGTGAGCATTTAATAAATGTGTTCTTTCCTACTTTTGAATCTCTTCATTATTTTTCTAATTTTTTCTTCTGATATTTAAAGATTGGTTATGATAATAAACCCATGTATCTGTATTTTTTAAAATACATTTGAAAGCACTTTCACATCAATTTTTTCAGCAGCCCTAGGAAATAGGATGGGGAAGTAAATAAACTGCTTCTGAGATTGGTTCTTTTAATTTTCCCTGCTTGGAACACCCTTTCTTATACCGTTCTTCTACCCAAATCCTGCCTATTTTTTCTGGGCTAACTTTATTATTATTATTTTGAGATGGAGTCTTACTCTGTCGTCCAGGCTGGAGTGCAATGGTGTGATCTCAGCTCACTGCAACTCCACCTCCTGGGTTCAAGCGATTCTCCTGCCTCAGCCTCCTAAGTAGCTGGGACTACAGGCGCCCACCACCACACCCGGCTAATTTTTATATTTTTAATAGACATGGGGTTTCACCAAGTTGGCCAGGCTGGTCTTGAATTCCTGACCTCAAGTGATCCACCCGCCTCAGCCCCCCAAAGTGCTGGGAATACAGGCATGAGCCATTGCGCCTGGCCTGGGCTAACTTTAACTAGCCCATGGGTAGGTTTCTTATTATTACTCAATTCTTGATATGTAGGTGGCAAGCATATCAATTCCTGATATGTAGCTTGTCTACATATCAAGATACGTGTTATCATACATATCGTAGATACGTGTTCATCTCCAGAAAGACAGATTAAAGCTGAGTACATATTCCCAGTGAGGAGAGTATTAAAAAGAAAACAAACAACTTAAAAATTATTTCTATAAAAGAGCCATTAGAAACCCCAGAGATTTGGTTCCTTCCATAGTCAATGTCCTGGTCAAACCTACTTATAAGTAATAACACTAAATTGTTCTAAGTAGTTACATAAATCAATTAATGACTGGATGGGGGAATTGATTTTAAAAACTACTTGTGCCAATCAGTGAATACCCACCTTCAAGGAACTTATATTGTAGAATGGCTGTGATTTAATTTATCACTCCTATTTACTTATATGATTTTAAATTATCACTCCTATTCTGTCTTTGAGTTTAGCATCTTATGTTAACATGTATTTAAATTTTCAAAAATCTGTTTTAAATGAAAACATGCTTCTTTTAAAAAATTAAAAGTATACCTTTTTAATCTGCCTATTGTCTAGTAGAAGTGTGAGGTGCAAATGTGAGCCACATATGAATTTTACATTTTCTAGTAGCCACATTACTAAGAATAAAAAATAACTGGGTGAGGTGGCATGCACCTGTAATCCCAGCTACTCTAGAGGCTGAGATGGGAGGATCCCTTGAACCCAGGAATTTGAGGCTGCAGTGCACCATGATCACCCCTGTGAATAGCCACTGCATTCCAGCCTGGGCAACATGCTGAGACGCCCTTCTCTAAAAAAATTAATTACATAATTGAGTAGAATTAATTTTAGAAATATATTTTATTTAACCTAATATATCTAAAATATTATTTCAATATATAATCTATAAAAATTGAGATACCCTACATTCTGTTTTTGATACTAAGTCTTCAAAATCCTGTATTTATTTTATACTTACAGCACCTCTCAATTTGGATTAACCACACATTTCCAGTGCTCAGTACCTACATGTAGCTAGTGGCTGCCATACTGGACAGCAAAAGTCTAGAGTAATATTACCTTTTTTGTCCTTTTGACTACTGTGAAAACTTTTGAGATCATTGAGTTTGGATGATGACATTGTCCTTTGACATACTGACCATTGTAGAATTCCTGTACTACCATGTTTACTAGACATATTGTTAATCCATCCTTCATTTATATCTATATCTATATATGTGTATCTGTATCAATATCTATAGCTATATAGACATTAGATATACATCTAATATATATCTAATGCATTATATAGATACATATGCATTATATAGAGAGATATATATCTATAAATGCAGAGGTATATCTATACATACATATATACATATACATCTAATGTATATCTAATGATACAGATATAGATATTGATGTATATTTAATATATATGTAGATACAAATATAGATAGAAGAGTGGATGAACATACCTCAATGATATATATATATATATATATATATACACACACACACACACATCTAATGTAGAGATACAAATATAGATATAGATATATTCTAGCAGGAAACGTCTACAACAATGATTAGCAAAGTGTATTAGAATCATCTGGAGAGTTTGTTAGAAATGCAAATTCCAGAGCTCCTCCTCAATGATCTGATTCAATAGGAATCTGCATTTTAACAAGTGTGTTATGTGATTTTGTTGCAAATAGAATAACACTGGCCTAGAAATTTCAGACTTTAAGCAAAATTCAGAAGATTCTTAAAAAAAAAAACCAAAACAGTATTGGATTTGTTTTTCTCACCACAGAAATAAGAAGAAAAATTGGTAGTTTTATTTGGGAACAAGACCAACATTTTCTGATAGAAAAGGTAAGAGTAAATTAAGGTACTTGATTAGCATCTACAGCTTCAACATTTTCTGAAAGCAAGGTTATCTTTAAAATGTTTATTTGTGACATGTTAGCACCAATGAGTCAGATTAAGAGATTGATTTATTTATTTTGAGACGGAGTCTCACTCTGTCTCCCAGGCTGGAGTGTAGCAACGCGATCTCGGCTCACTGCAACCTTTGCCTTCTGGGTTCAAGCGATTCTCCTGCCTCAGCCTCCCAAGTAGCTGGGATTATGGGCGTGTGCCACCACGCCCGGCTAATTTTTTTATTTTTAGTAGAGATGGGGTTTCACCATGTTGGCCAGGCTGTTCTCGAACTCTGGCCCTCAAGTGATCCGCCCACCTTGACCTCCCGAAGTGCTGGGATTACAGGCGTGAGCCACTGTGCCCAGCACAGATTAAGAAATTTAAAGGGCATGCTGTTATTGAATATTACTTGGTTCGACATTGTTTTATAGTAGTGCATTAGTAAAATTGAGGTTATTTTGTATAAATAAAATTATTCCCATAAGAAACTTGAAAATTTGCTTCTGTTACTAATAAGAAGAGAATAACAGGTGCATAGTATTTACCAGTTCTTTTTTTTTTTTTTTGGAGACAGAGTCTCCCTCTGTCGCCTAGACTGGAGTGCAGTGGTGCGATCTCGGCTCACTGCAAGCTCCGCCTCCCGGGTTCACGCCATTCTCCTGCCTCAGCCTCCAGAGTAGCTGGGACCACGGGCGCCAGCCACCAAGCCCAGCTATTTTTTTTTTTTTTTGTATTTTTAGTAGAGACAGGGTTTCACCGTGTTAGCCAGGATGGTCTCAATCTCCTGACCTCGTGATCCGCCCGCCTCGGCCTCCCAAAGTGCTGGGATTACAGGCGTGAGCCACCGCGCCCTGCCATTTACCAGTTCTTTACTGCCAGTGTAGACTCTGATTGGTGAATTCCTATGATGCACAGTTTGTTCAATGTTTTGAATAACACGCCTCAATAAATGTGTACAAGAGTCTGTCTGAACCTATTCTGGTTCGGGGGCTGCCTGATTAACCAAAACAAGAAGAAGAAAAGTGTACAATACTGGAAAAATAGCTGTTTTGTAGCTTTTGCCATCCTGCCTCAGATTTACTTACGCTTTTGACTTACTTCAAAATCTTTAAGTAATAGCCAAATTTGGGAACAATTGAGCATTAAAACTAATAATGACAATAATGGATTATAATATGTTAGGTAAAAAGAATCCATGTGCTTGCTTCGGCAGCACACATACTAAAATTGGAACAATACAGAGATTAGCATGGCCCCTGTGCAAAGATGACACGCAAATTCGTGAAGCATTCCATACGTGTATATGATACTCCAAAAGCAGACATAAAGAAAAAAGGAAGGACAGAAGGAAGAAAGGAAAGAAGGAAGAAAATAAGGAAGATAAGGGTGGGAGAAGGAAAATTTTCTTTTACATAAATAGCAGCTGGTAAATATAGAAAGAAAGATAAAATAGAAAAATCACCATTTTTAAAACCCTCAATTTAATAATTGATTTAGATAAGGTCATTAATGGATTCTAAACCTATGATCTCAAATTATCACCCACAGATTGAATATTAGTTACAAAGTAAAACAGCGTATCTTTACAATGGAGCGATCTGGCAGGCACCATTTAACTAACTTAGCAAACAGCATCACCAATATTGGAGCAACCTTTCATTATGTTCAGTCAGATATGATATAATAAATACACAATATTATCTGTGTAGTATTCTTGTTCAAAACATTTAACCCGAATTTAATTATGAGTTAACATTCAGACAAATCCAGAATATGGACCATACCACAAGACAATTAACCGACCTGGACTCTAACATCAGTTAATGTCATAAAATACAAAAAAAGCAATAGGAGCATAGTAGATTAAGAGACATAAAAAAGAGGTATAAAAGACATTTGGAGAGCAATTGGGAAAATTTAACAATGAACTGTATAATGGGTGATACTGTATTACATTTTATTTTCTTAAGTGTGATAGTGGTGTTGTAAAGATAAAACAATGTATATTTTTAGAAAACACATGCCAGGTATTAGAGAGTGGAAATGTCATATCTGCAAATGTTTTCAAGTGGTTCCACAAAAATAAAAAGAGAGAGGAGGCACTCAAGGTGTCAGAAATGTTAACACTTTGTGAATCTAGGTGAAAGGTATATGGTATTTATTATACTATTCTTTTTTTTTTTTTTTTTTTTTTTTGAGATGGAGCCTCGTTCTGTCGCCAGGGTGGAGTGAAGTGGCGGGATCTCAAGCTTACTGCGACCACCACCTCCTGGGTTGAAGCGATTCTCGTGCCTCAGCCTCCCGAGTAGCTGGGATTACAGGCACCCGCCACCACACCCAGCTACTTTTTGTATTTTTAGTAGAGACGGGGTTTCACCATGTTGGCCGGGATGGTCTCAATCTCCTGACCTCGTGATCCGCCTGCCTTGGCCTCCCAAAGTGCTGGGATTACAGGCGTGAGCCACTGTGCCTGGCCTATTGTACTATTCTTTAACTTTGTGGTAAGTTTGAAATTTTTCACAACAAAGAGTTAGGGAGAAAATCTTTCATTTTTATTTTATTTTTTTTAAACTTCAAACCCACAGCCATATCATATAGAAAACCTTTACATTATGTCCAAAATCAGGCCATCAACTTATATATTTTATATTTCTGTCATTAATTTGTTTTTTCTTCCCAAGGCATCATCATCTGAAAATAATAGTTCTTTCAGTTTTTTTTTCTAGGAGGTAATAGTATGTTGTACTAAGGACTGAAATATCTAATCCTTGACTTTTCACAGTGTTTCCAGGAATGTGAGCAGTAATGCAATGGTTATTATTTGGTGGTAATTATTGACTCTAGCAGAACTTTAGAGTTTAAAGATCATTAATTTCATCATTTAGCTTTATACATGAGAAAACTAAGGTAAAGAAAATATAATGACCCATTTTAGTACACATTGGCAAAGTGGAGCCAAATTTTCTCAGCTCTAACCCAATCCAATGTTTTTTCTACTAAAAAATTACTAAAACGTGCTTGTATGGACGTTGACTCTAGAAGTTATATTATTACATGATAAAAGAATTTGTCAATTCTTTCAAAATATTGGTTGATATGAGTATTAGCCAATTATAATAATGTAACCATAGAATATATACGTGGAAGGTATTCATTGAATGGCAATAACTAGGGTAAATCTGGGGAGCATTACAATTGTTTGGAGTGGATTTAAGTTTTTATTTAAATATAGAAACTTCTTAATGGTGGCTGGGCGCAGTGGGTCGCGCCTGTAATCCTGGCATTTTGGGAGGCTGGGGCGGGCCGATTGCCTGAGCTTGGGAGTTCAAAACCAACCTGGGCAACATGGCAAAACCCCGTCTCTACTAAAAATACAAAAAATTTGCCAGATGTGGTGGCTGGCGCCTGTAATCTCAACTACTCGAGAGGCTGAGGCAGGAGAATTGCTTGAACTTGGGAGGCGGAGGTTGCAGTGAGCCGAGATTTTGCCACTGTACTCCAGCCTGGGTGACAGAGCAAGACTCTGTCTCAAAAAAAAAAAAAAAAAAAAAAAAAAGAAAAGGAAAAAAAAGAAACTTCTTACTGGTATATAAAATAAATAGATTATATGATAGGTACCAGTATCTAAGTTGCTTTCACAGAATATTTGGAAAAAGCTTAACATATGTTTAGTTATTTTGTATCTTTACATATATATCTTTACGTATATAGTGAAGCAAATACTTCACTGTCCTTTTGAAGGAGAAATATAATTTGTTCAGCTTTCTTTATATTTTTGAGTTATATATTTTATACCTTTATAAATATATAAATATATATTTATAAAGATATATATATTTATAAAGATATATATTTATATAGATATATATTATATTTATATAGATATATATAATTATATATTATACATTTATATATTATATATTTATATATCTATATATTATATAAATCTATATATCATATAGATTTATATATTTAATAGATATATAAATATATATCTATATAAAGATATATATTTTATATCTTTATGTATATAGTGAAGCAAATACTTCACTGTCCTTTTGAAGGAGAAATATAATTTGTTCAGCTTACTTTATATTTTTGATTTGTAGCTCACAGGAATCCCTAAGTCAAGGATTTTAAGGAAGTTTAAATCAGTAGCAAGATTTTTTGTTTCCTTATTTTTGTGACTAAAAAGTAATATAACCACATTAGAGGAAATTTCAATAATTGAAAAGAGAATAAAATCAGTTAAAGTTTTACTTATCTGACATAACCACAGCTGGTATATTTAAAATTCTGGTCTTCTTTATGTGTCTCCAAAAATATATAGTATAATTATATGTGTGTGTGGAAAAAATTTTGTAAATTTTCTTCACTCAGCTAGATTGAGTGGACTTAAATGTGTAAATATTTTTATGGCTTTTGAGATATATATTTCCAGTTTATTTTTCCTTTTTAAAAACATTACTGATTGGATCACTGGTATGACGATTTTTTAAAATGTGATTTACTTTTCTATCCACAGCATGATGAAGTAACACCAAATGAAATAAAGACCCTTAGGGAAAACAGTGAACTAGCAACAGAGCACAAAAAAGAATTATCCAAAAGGTATTGAATTCAGAAACTTCATTAATATTCAATTCAATGTAGAAATCTGTGAGCACTGATTGTGTGCTTATCTCATTTAATTTTCAGTTTTCCTATGAGATAGATAGCATTATAATCATTCCCATTATACAAAAAAAAGAGATCTATGATTAGAAAGATAAGCAATTTCCCCAAAGTCATACAAACTTTATTAAGTACGGGAGAAGCAGGATTTGCACTGAGTCAGAGCCCATTATTTAAATGGTAGTCATTAAATACTATACCAGGTATTTACTATGTAGAATACTATACTATCTCATAGTATAGCACACTATACTGTCTCTGCAGAAAGGAGACAAGGATTTTATGTATGTTATGATAGCAGTTAATAAATTATTTAAAAATTATACGTATCTGTGTGTGAAAACCCCATCATCACACTTATGAACTACAAAAGAATCTTAAAATATATTTTTTACTTGGAAGGAAATACACTACATATTAGCAGTAATTTTATTAGGATGAAAAGTGGTGAGTGATTTCCCATCTTCTTTCCAAATTGCTTTAATATATTACGTTGGTTTAAGAAATTAAATTTGGGCATTGTGCCGCATGCTTGTAATCTCAGCACTTAGGGAGGCTGAAGCCGGATGACTGCTTGAGCCTAGGAATTTGAGACCAGTCTGGGCAGCATAGGGATACCCCACCTCTATAAAAAATTTAAAATACTAGCTGGGCATAGTGGCACATACCTATAGTCCCAGCTATTTGGAGGCTGAGGTGGGAGGATCGCTTGAGCCCAGGAGGTTGAGACCGCAGTGAGCCGTGATCACGCCACTGCACTCTAGCCTGGGTGACAGAACAATACTCTGTCTCAAAGAAAAACAAGAAATTAATTTAAAAAGACAAACAAACATGGCCTTGCCATTGTATTAGGAACAGTTTATAAGAGGCCTTCTCATTGCAGGCTTATACATGATCTAGTCCTAGCTTCATATTTTCCAATTCAGTTGGTTTTCAAATATTCATAGGGAACATTGGTTCTTCAGAAGTCTGTTTTATCCCTCCAAACCTGTGGCCGGAGTCAATCTAAAAGTGGAGGCAGGGGAATCCCCACAACGGAGTGCCCCAAACAGTCCCAAGCTGGGGCCAGTTGGGATTCTAAAGAAAGAACCACTAGCTAGAGTAATCAGTCTAAAGCATTTATTGAGGGAACTTGCAGAGTATCGCACCAATCCTTGCAATGGACAAGATATAAGGGGTGTTCTACCTAGGTATATCCACAGTGAGGGGGTCTGGGTATGGAGTTTATATGAGGGTTTAAGGAATCTGGCTCAGGGCTGAGGCCAGTTTCTTTCAGTGTTTTGAGCAGCAACCTAGATACCTTTATCAGTGCCTGGAAATGTTTAAGGTCCTGGTTTGAGTTCAAGCCTGATGGGAAAACCCTGCACTGGGCTGTCTCACAGAGCAGTCAAAGCCCTCTGTGATTTTTGGTCAGGACACAGAAAGCAAGCCAGGAGTGGAATCAGGGGAGGGGAGGATGGGACTGGGGTACCCTACAGTCTGGTATTTAGCTGCTGTAATATAAATGATCAAATAGTAGTTATCTTTCTTCAAAATAAAAAGTAATGATGTAATTTATATAATTTTTTCAAGTTTTTCTCCCATAAGGGCTAATTTCCTTAATATACAAAGAGGTATTAGAAATCTGGGAAAAATATGTCCAATCCAAAAACAACAGAAATGGACAAAGGATATGAATAAACCCTAGGTAGGTGTCTACTTAGAGCCTTTTCTCTGTGGAAACACCAGAGGGTGCAGTGTGAACACAGATAAAATATACCCTCAATTTACCTGCTGAAGCATTTGTTAGCATAGTACTAGGGACGTTGATTTTTTTTACATCATACAAACTTGATGTATGAAAAATCAGGCAGTACAGAATTAGTATAAAATCCTAATTTCTCCCAAATCCTCTCCCAGTGATAACCTTCATTTTTTGTTTTTAATTGAGACAGAATCTTAGTCTGTTGCCCAGGCTGGAGTGCAGTGGCGTGATCTCGGCTCACTGCAACCTCTGCCTCCTGGGTTCAAGCAATTCTTGTGCCTTGGCCTCCCGAGCAGCTGGGACTACAGGCACATGCCACCCCACCACACCAGCTAATTGTTTGTATTTTTAGTAGAGACGGGGTTTGGCCATGTTGCCCAGGCTGGTCTCAAATTCCTGGCCTCAAGTGATCCACCTGCTTCAGCCTCCCAAAGTTCTGGGATTGCAGGCATAAACCACCCGTGCCTGGCCGAAAAATCTTATTTGATATTATGATGTGTACTGGCAGCATATGGCATTTCATTTTGTTTAACCTTTTTTTTTTTTTTTTTTTTTTTTTTTGAGACAAAAGCTCACTCTGACCCCCAGGGGTGGAGTGCAGTGGCACGATTTCAGTTCACTGCAGCCTCAACCTCCCAGGCTGAAGTGAGAGATCCTCCCTCCTCAGCCACCCAGAATGCTGCTAGGATTACAGGCATGAGCCACCACACCTGGCCTAGAATTTGTTACTTTTATGACACTTCCATGAACATCTTTTTAAAAATAAATCTTGCTCTACTTTTTTGATAGTTTTCTTCATGTAAATTATCGGATGTGGAAATTATGGTATAAAGAGGAGTTTTTTTTCTTTCTTAAACACCTTATTTATTTACTTAGTTTGTGTGTGTGAGAGAGAGAGAGACAGGATCTTGCTGTGTCACCCAAGCTGCAGTGAGGTAGCATGATCATAGCTCACTGCAACCTGGAACTCCCAGGAGTTCAGGCAATCCTCCCACCTCAGCCTCCTGAGTAGCTAGGACCGCAGATGTGGGCCACCACGCCTGGCTAATTAAAAAAATTAATTAGACAGGGTCTCGCTCTGTCACCCAGGCTGGAGTACAGTGGCACAATCTTGGCTCACTATATCCTCTGCAACCTCCACCTCCTGGGTTCAAGCAACTTTCGTGCCTCAGCCTCCTGAGTAGCTGTGACTACAGCTGTGTACCACCCCGTCTAGCCAATTTTTCTTGGTGTTTTTAATAGAAACTTTTTTTTGCCATGTTGGCCAGGCTGGTCTCAAACTCCTGGCCTCAAGCAATCCACCCTCCTAGGCCTCCCAAAGTGCTGGGATTATAGGTGTGCGCCAACTCGCCCAGCCTAATTAAATTTTTTTTTTGTCAAGATGGCATCTCACTATGCTGCTGAGGCTGGTCTTGAACTTCTGGGCCCAAGGTATTTATTAATTAGTATAGTAGCAGGCCAGGCATGGTGGCTCACACCTGTCATCCCAGCACTTTGGAAAGCTGAGCCATGAGGATAGCTTGAGGCCAGGAGTTCAAGACCAGTCTGAGCAACAGAGAGAGAGCCAGTCACTACAAAAGATAAAAAAAAAAAATTAACTGGGTGTAGTGGTGTACTCCTGTAGTCCTAGCTACTTGGGAGGCTGGGGCAGGAGGATTGCTTAAGCCCAGGAGTTGAGGTTTGCAGTGAGCTATCTATGGTCATTCCACTGTGCTTCAACCAAGGTGAAAGAGTGAGGCCATGTATCAAAAAAAAAAAAAAAATTAGTAGCATATATCTGTTTCTTAGAATATGGAGCTGGAGGGTATTCTTTCATATTGGAAATAAACTACATAATATCATACAGTATGTTCAAATGCATATACTAAAGAACTCTACAAAATTTTAATCAAAATCTACGTTTAGTTTGTTAAGTAATTTCTTGAGAGAACCACTGAGAGACAGTGTCCTTGTGATCAAATGATGAGTCTCTTCAGAGTTAAGTCTTATAAAGGAAATTTTTATTATGTTGATCCAAGTAATGCAGTAGTGGCACATTGGTTAGAAGGCAAAATTTTACTTTAATTTCCCTAAATGCTGTCTCACTTGAGTCAGGAGGGATTGGGAATACTCAAAATGATCTTCCAGAGAATTTCTGCCATAAGAGTGTGTGCCCTCATTAGGAATGGCTCTCTCATTATCTGTCCGTGATTGGAGGACTGCTTTCTCTGATAAAACCTTTATATCTCCTGGTAAAGAGGAAGATGTAGTATAAAAAAGAACTTTGCCATTTGGTCAGGGAAGGGGATGTCTTGTGTATGTTGCAGTAAAATTCATCATGTGCAGTTTTGTGCTGTCTTTCCAAGGGTCTTCAATGCATCTTACTGAGGTGCAGGCTTTCTTGATTGCAGTTGGGGTTTCCAGTTTTCTTAATAGTTCAGCTAGCATTTGAGTCACCAGATATAAATTAGACATTTATCTCTTCAGTTGCCAGTATACATTCTGTGTATTATCACTTGAAGTTCTTACTCTTCAGAGATCTCTGCTCTTCAAGATTGTCTTCCTCATACAGATAGGTTTGTTTGGTTTTTGAGTAGTTCTATTTTGAGATCGTTACCTTCTTTCCTCATCAACTCTTGTTCCAAACCGTGGATCTTCAGGTTACAGCTTAACTTTTCCACCTCCCAGTTTGATGAAGGTGGATTGAAATTCCTCATCACCAGCTGAGTTTCCACCTCTGTCCTTAGCTAGAGTTCTACTTCTTTAGATTGCATCTGTTTATTCAATACTTTTAAAGATTCAGAGTTGTGTTTACTCATTTTATCCAATTTGCTCTTTAAATCATCTCTCAATGCAAATCTTTCAATATACAGAATAGGCCTTATTTACTTGTTGGTATTCCACAAAACTTGTTTCTTCATCTAATTGAGCTCCTATAAGCTTTTCTTCCAAAAATCTAATTCTTTTCTTTAACATAAGATTTCTCTTTCTCTGAATCCTTAAGTCCTTTTTTGATGTCTTCATATGGGCAAATTGGGAAGCAACAGAAGCATCTCCTCAATATGTTGAAACTGGAGTTGCTGGGGTTTTCTCATAATTTAGCATACAGGTGTCACCTTCTATCAGTGCATCCATGAGAGCCTGAAACCAGGCTACTTAGAGCCGCCACGGAGTTTCCATTCCCTAATGTTTAGAAACAGCCAAAAACAGATCGGGTTGCCAGGGATCATCACGGGTTCAGATTTCCCTGAAGATACCTCCACTTAACCAGCGAAAGCAGCCACTCTGAGTTATTGAAATGAGGATATTGGTCTTATATCTACCCATTTGGAATTCCTTAAGATTCTAAGGATATTTTAATTGATTCTAAGGATATTTTAATCGATTCTCTCTTGGCTCTTCAGGGTGCACAGTCATATCATTTGTTAATAATGAAAGTATTCCAGCTGGGTGCGGTGGCTCACGCCTGTAATCCCAGCACTTTGGGAGGCCCAGGCAGGCGGATCACGAGGTCAGGAGATTGAGACCATCCTGGCAAACACAGTTAAACCCCGTGTCTACTAAAAATACAAAAAATTAGCCAGGTGTGGTGGCGGGTGCCTGTAGTCCCAGCTACTTGGGAGGCTGAGGCAGGAAAATGGCCTGAACCTGGGAGGCCTGAGCTTGCAGTAAGCCAAGACCATGCCACTGCACTCCAGCCTGGGTGACAGAGCAAGACTCTGTCCTCCGAAAAAAAAAATAGTAAAATAAAATAATGAAAGTATTCCTTCTTTCACAACATCTCTTCCTTTTCATCCCCCCCCCTCCTTTTTTCCCTTTATCTCTTATTGTTTGGCCAGAATTAAATAGTGGGTGGTCCCTGACTTTTCTGGGAACACAATTTTGCTTTATTTGTAGGACCTCATCCTGATGAGTAGAGTTTCTTTTGGGAGAGTTTAAATGAAATAGAAGCTTTTTTTTTTTTTTTTTTTTTTTTTGAGACAGAGTTTCGTTCTTGTTGCCCAGGCTGGAGTGCAATGGCGCGATCTTGGCTCACTGCAACCTCCGCCTCCCAGGTTCAAGTGATTCTCCTGCTTCAGCCTCCTGAGTAGCTGGGATTACAGGCATGTGCCACCACGCCTGGCTATTTTTTTGTATTTTTATTAGAGACAGGGTTTCACCATGTTGGCCAGGCCGGTTGTGAACTCCTGACCTCAGGTGATCCACCCGCCTCGGCCTCCCAAAGTGCTGGGATTACAGGCGTGAGCTACTGCACCAGGCCTTAAAAATGGAAAATAAAGCCTTTGCTATTACTCAGTGTACTTCTAGATTTTTAGGAAAATAATAAATTTAAGGATGACTCCAATTTTTAATTATTGAGGTTTTTATTTTTATACAATTATATTGTTAGTTATATGTGATCTAAGTATAGTAAACATTGTCATTTTTGAATAGTGACTGTTCAAAACATGAATGAAAATAGGATCTTTTAGTTGAGATCCTTTTAGCTTTTTTTTTTTTTTTGAGACAGAGTCTGGCTCTGTCACCTAGGCTAGAGTTCCAGTGGCGCCATCTCAGCTCACTGCAACCTCCACCTCCCAGGTTCAAGCAATTCTCTTGCCTCAGCCTCCCGAATAGCTGGGATTACAGCTGCTCGCCACCACACCTGGCTAATTTTTGTATTTTTAGTAGAGACAGGGTTTCACCATGTTGGCCAGGGTGGTCTCAAACTCCTGACCTTAAGTGATCCGCCCACCTCTGTCTCCCAAAATGCTGGGATTATAGGCGTGAACCACTGTTCCTGGCCACCTTTTAGCTTTTAAAAATAAGAATATACATTTTTTTAGATTTTATAATTGTATAATTAGAACATCAATTGTTTTTTTTTTTTTGAGGTGGAGTCTCGTTCTGTTGCCCAAGCTGGAGTGCAGTGGTACGATCTTGGCTCACTGCAACCTCTGCCTCCTGGGTTCAAGCAATTCTCCTGCCTCAACCTTCCGAGTAGCTGGGATTACAGGTGGGTGCCACCACACCCAGCTGATTTGTATTTTTAGTAGAGATGGGCTTTCACCATGTTGGCCAGGCTGGTCTCGAACTCCTGACCTCAGGTGATCCACCTGCCTCGGCCTCCCAAAGTGCCAGATTTACAGGTGTGAGCCACTGCGCCTCGCCTAGACATCAGTTTTTATTTGTTATAGTAAACTATGGAAATACTAGTTAATAGATGCCCAATTATTTGAATACTAACAAACATGTTGTGATCATTTAAAATAGAATCTACTATGCTTTTCTTTTGGCAGATTTAATACTGTATATGTATATGTGTATTTTGTCTAAATATATAGTATTGCATTATTGTACTTTCAGGGATATGGAGAAAAAGACCCAGGACTCTATAGACTCAAATACTTGTTTTGTGAAGCGGCTAAGAACACTAGAATATCTATATGGGTCTTTATATTACTTAAAAGCACAAAAGAAGTTCATAATTAACATTTTCACCCATTAAGACTGAAGTCTGATCAAAGAGCAATTAAATTACTATATATGTGCTCACTTTGACAGCACATATACCAAAACTGGAACTATTCAGAGGTTAGCATGGCCCCTGCGCAAGGATGACAAGCAAATTTGTGAAGCATTCTATATATTTTTAAAAAATCACTATATATATTGCCTGGAATAAGTTCTTACTTGTAAAACAAATCCAAATATATACATATGTGGTATAGTATACTATAGTAAAGGTAATTATGTATTATAAATATTTATTTATAAATATACTTTAATATAAATGTAATACATATAGACATATATATACTATGTATGTGTGACTTTCTGTATGCTTTATTTTACAGCCCAGAAAAGCATTTTATAAGAACTCCAGTTGTAGAAAAGCAGATGTACTTCCCTCTACAGAATTACCCAGTTAACAACATGGTAACAGGTAGTTTAAAATAAAATTTAGAGTAAACTCAGGTAGGAAAGAAACAAGGGAATATTGTGTTGAATAAAGCTGTTGTACTTCAGATACCTAGAGAGTAGAGCCTTCTCTAGTAAGCCTGGTAATGGAGGACACATCACTTAAATATTGAATAAATTACCTGCAGAATTGACCCAGGAATATGCTTTTAAATTTTCTGTGCTAAAACAATGGTATCAAGGTAGGGTGACCACATGTCCCTATTTACATGAGACAGTCCCAGTTTAAGCTGTTGTTCTGGCATTAGTTTTTAATTCTCAAGTGTCCCAGTTTGGAAGATAAATTATATGAACAGCTCCAATCAGAGTTTCTTTTGAGAATCTGATGAAACATAGGCCCCTTTCCTTAGCATACACACATAGAAACATAACACACACACTGCCATTCCATTCAATATCAAATATATAAATATTTTAAAAACCAAACAAAAACATAACACACAAACTTTGCATATAATTGTAAAAGGCTCACAGATGCCCAGAAGCCTATACATGGATTACCCAGATGTCCATGGACTCCTTATTTGGGTTTCCTATCCTAGTGCTGTACATAAAGAGAAGACAACTAACCACGGCTGACATTGAGAGGGTAGAACCAAGGGAACCAACTGAAAAGTGGCCATTGGGATTTCAACTGTGTTGAGTGAGATGGATATTTAGATACTTTGATCTGAGTAGTATTCAGTGGAGTCACTGATAACAATTTTAAAAATAGAGATTTTTTTAAAAAATTGCTTTTAAAAGAGCAATTTTTAAAGTATGGGTTTTTGAAAGCTTATTTAAAAAATAATTTGTATATTTATCATTTTCTCTTTATTTAGCAATGTTAAAACTACCTCTTGCAGCTAGTCCACAGCTTCCTAGATCATAGATGTCTTGCCATATTACTATCCCTGTTCATTTGGACTTACCAAACATTTATTAATATATTTAAGAGAGCAATGATAAATATTAAAATCAGCCATACATAAGGACATATACCTACATTTGGACATGTAATAGTGCTGCTTTTTGTATTATTGCTGGATAAAGAAACAGTCTGATTGTTCAAAAAGACATAACAGTATAACATAAAAACAAATTTTTAAAAACTATTAAAAAATTAGTCAGAATTTTAAAAGTATAATTTCAACCTGTGGTAATACTCTGTTGTGAATTTTATTGGTAGAACTAAAGTAAAAATTTTTAATCTTTTTATTTGCTCAATTGAATAAATTTCCTTTTTTGTATTTCTGCATTAAATAATAGCAATTTCTTGGGAGAAATCTTCATTTTTAGAGATAATGTATTTGTTTTTAATTTTGATGTGAAATGACAAATACTTCTCTTTTTTTATCATGCCCATCTGCTTGCACAGGAAGGAATAACTTCTTGTTGGAAGAAATCAGCTTGTGTTAATTAAACATTTAGTGACTAAGAGTACTAATTTAGGCTGTGGTATCAATTTTTGTGACTAAAACTTCACTATCTCTTCTTTGGAATGGGTTGGGTTCAACACATTGACTATTAAATTTCTGAAAATAGAATTAATTGTGGTCTTTAGTTATAGAAAATACAAGTTGGGGCAATAGCCTAGAACAGGGTTTCTCAGTTTTGGCGCTACTGGCATTTTAGGCCAGATAATTCTTTGTTTGGGCGAGGGTAGATGAGTGTCAGTCCTGTGCATTATAGCATATTTACCTTGGCATCTGCCCACTAGATACCAATAGCATCACCCATCTCTCCCCCAGTTGTGACAACCAAAAATGTCCCTAGACATTGCCAAATATCCCCCTAAATCATCAAAAGAGTTTTTGTTTTGCTTTCAGCTTTTGACTGGAATTAAATTTTCTCAGACTAATATCACTTATTATCACCCATGATAAGAAGTTCTGATTGACATTTACATATGTGATTAATAAGAGTAAGAAAGCAATTACTAATAATTGTAAATACTTTGCTGGCAACAATTTTCAAATCAAAAGGTTCTGATAATTAAAAGTTTGGAAATCTACAGTAGATGCTGTATTAGTTATTTATTGATGTAAATCAAAGTGCTCCAAAACTTAGCAGCTTAAAACAATGAACATTTATTTATTTATTTATTATAGAGATGAGGTCTCACTGTGTTGCCCAGGCTGGTCTCGAACTCCTGGGCTCAAGCAATCCTCCTGCCTTGGCCTCCCAAAGTGCTGGGATTCCAGGTACGAGCCACCGCACCTGACCCAGTGAACATTTATTATTTCAGTTTCTAAGGTCAGAAATCCAGGAGTATCCTAGCTGGATGCTTCTGTCTCACAGCTTTTTGTAAGGTTGCAGTCAAGTTGTCAGCTGGAGTGCAGTCATTCCAAGGCACAACTGGGACTGGAAAATCCACTTCAAACCTCATTCAAGTGGTTATTGGCAGGTGTTGGGTCCTTGCTGGATTTTGGCCAAAGGCTTCAACTCTTCACCAAATGGGCCTCTCCATAAGGACCATCCACAGCATGGTAGGTAGTTTGCTTCCCTCAGAGTGAAAAATCCAAGAATAAGAAAGAGCACGCCCAAGAAAAAAAGCCATAGTCTTTTTTACATCCGACTCTCAGAAGTGACATTGCATCACTTCTGTCATATGCCATTGGTTATACAGATCAAAACAAGTACAAAATCGTAGTGGACTGTGAATATCAGGAGGTGGGGATCAGTTGGGGCCACTGGGTGGCTGGCTATCACAGATGCATGTGGGATTGTCCACCAGGAGTGCCTTTCTTAGGAATTCCCTTCTCCCTCCCAATTTATCTGGATAACACAGGAACAGACATTTTTTTAAACATGAGCTTGCTCCCCATGCTCAACATTTGCTTTGAGAGTGAATGCTGATTTGAACCGGGCTAACTGCAGATCTTCTTCTGGATTTTTAGATGTGGAACATAGCAAATCAAGTCATTCTCATTTAGGTGATCAAAACTCTAAGATGTAAAACTTAGGAGCTGTCATTGGCCATATTTTCTACCATGAAAAGAAAGCCAACTTGCCTCCAAAAAGGAAAATGAGGCTAATACATAGAGAAAAACTTGAGACCAAGGCTGCAGTGAGGTGTGATAGTGCCACTGCACTCCAGCATGGGCAACAAAATAAGACCCTGTCAAAACACACACACACACACACCCCAGAAAAAAAAACCCTAAAAACTTCAGACTGGTGAGAGCAATCATAGCTGGTTCTAATTAACTCTGAGTCCCAGCAATATGCCTGCCTTCCTCACAGCTCGGATGATACGGCAATGTCCTTCCAGTAAACTCCCCTTTTGTTTAAGTTAGTTTAAATTAGGTTTCTGTCCATTTCATCCTAAAGTCCTTAACTATTCAAAAATGCTACAATAATCTATTTCTGATGCCATAAATGTCCTATCCTTCTTATACTTATAGGAATATTTTTTACTAATGTAGTAATTTTTAAATTCCTATCCTCACACATCTTCAGAGGTTTCACACAGTGTATATGTGCAATTAACTAAACACTAATAGTGATATTTTTCTGCACTAGTTTATTTTACACAGATACATAGCCATTAGGCAAAGATTATGAACTCATAGAGTATAGTAATAGTGCTTCAAGAGCTCCTAAAGTAAATGACCATGATTAAAATATCTTTAAAGATACTAGTCAATTTTATGTGCTTCGATTGATAGTTAATTTATTAACTCTGAATTTATTATTTTTATTAAAAATGATTAAACAATATGCATGGATATCCTGTTGATCTTGATGGTATGGTGTTCTAAATTCAGTCATCCTTGAGCTCTACCAGAATTTTTTTCACACAATATTTATTTTTAAATTAGATTTCAATTTTAGTAAAAGCCACAAACACTTGTATTACACATAAAATGTAATCATTTAAATAGTAAGCAATTGATATCAAGTTAATATTGCTTAGTCATAGAGTCCTTAAGCTGTCTCCATTCTAGGCAGTGTTTTTTTTATATGACTCATATCTGTTTTGGATAACTAATTGACATCAAAATTACTCTCACCCATTATCTTTGTTGACTGAGCAGTAACATCGATTTTTCATTAACTTTTTTTGTTAAAAGAATCCTATTCCAGTGTTAGCAGTGCAGGAAAGTGTTGCCTGCTGGAACAGGGAAGATGAACTGTTTGCACTGTTAGTAGCTAGTTGGATGGATAGTTCTAAGTGATTACCGTCTAAGCTAGAAACACTTCCCAGTTATTTTTATCTAAGTTCTTTTATGTCCTAGCCCCAACCTAGACATCACAATCTCAATAGTCAAAGCAGCTTTAATCCACCTTTTAATATTTTAAAAGGTGGCAGAAAGTTGTGGGAGGGGAAGAGGAGGTGTTCCCGGATAATTATAAGGTTTCATGGAGAATCTTCTCACTGGTATTATTTCTTCTTTTTACTTCTTTTCTAAAAACATTCTTTAGAAGTCTTAACTCTAATAAATCAAAGACACTGAAAAGCAAATAGTATGAGCGGGTTTTAAGTATATATCTTTTTTTAAATTTTATTTTGTAGGTTATATATCAATTGATGCCATGAAGAAATTCCTTGGGGAGCTACATGACTTCATTCCTGGAACCTCAGGATATTTGGCATATCATGTTCAAAATGAAATTAATATGTCTGCTATAAAAAACAAATTGAAGAGGAAATAGTAAATTAAATTGTAAATACCTTGGCATTTATTTTCTATAAAATATTATACAGATGTGCATATCATAAAATGCTCCCTTTTGGTACTGGGGGATAGTGAAATGGGAAATAATTTTTCTGTTTCTCAAAGTATATCTTTAGGAAATACAGAATCATTTTGGTTCTGTGTTTTGACATTTTTCCCCTAGCTTTTAACAACATGTTCAAATATTCTCAATGCACAGTTGTTAATGAGTAATTGCCGTTAAAATATATTTCATAAGAAGTCTCAATCTCAAACTCTCCATCTCTCAATCCTCCTCCTCCTCCTCTTTCTTGCTTTCTCTTTTCCCTCTCTCTTTCTCTCCTCCCCTTCTCTCTTTCTGTCTTTCAAATGTTCTTTTGGCTTTAACATTCTATTAATTATATTTTTTCTAGATTGAATACTGTGAATGCTAAGTTTTATTAATCTGGTCATCTTATTTTGATTTTAAAAATTAGGATGCTAGTTGCATTCTGAATTACTGTTTCTGGTTTGAAACATGGAGAAAAACATTTTAATAATTCATATTTCATGTTGGATGGTTTCTAATAATAAATATCTCAAAAGTGACTTAACATAAACAGACTATGAGTGTTATGTCTTGTTAGATGAACCTGCAAGTCACCTTAGAATCACAGTTCTAGAATGGAACTTAAAGAACGAGTCCAGTTCACTTATTGTTTTTAATGAGGAAATAAGGACCTTGAGAAGATGTCTTACTTAGGGGGACTAACTGGGGGCCAAAACAGAATTGGAACACAACCATCTTGATTTTCTAGGCAAGTGCTTCCCCACTCTCCCAAATAGCATACGCTGTAGCTTCTGTGCCAGGTACAATACAACTGCAGATCCGCAAAGCAGACCCAGAAACAAGCCAACATGCTTGCCTTTTAATAAGCTGAAATAGTGAGGGAGAAGAAAAGGAAAAATCAGTTAGGCAGACCACTAAGGCTAGTCTTCTGAGAAAGAGCCTGAAAAAATCACAGCTACAGGCATAAATAGAGCAGCCTGGGGAAAAACCAAACTGCACCTGCACTGATAAGAAGGCAAGGCCCAGCATAGAGCCTTTGTTCTTTGTGTGATTAGCAGGCTCTCAGGAAAAAAATTCCTCCCATTTTCAGGCATTTACATGGTGGGCTCTGTGGGAACTTGCACAGGGAGGTGAGGGGCTTGCCTAAAACAGACCCACAGTTACACAAACAAGAGAAGCTGCACTTTGTGCTTACCCAAGATATACAAAGATAAGGAGAGTTACATACACAGCTTCATAGATAAGGGAAGTTACACAAACAGCTACAGAGTTGAGGGGAGTTTCACATAAAAGCTTTTGGATTCAACTGTAAAAACAGCAGCTCACTCGGGTCCGTTCTCCACTGTGGAGAGCTTTCTTTCTTTTGCTTATAAAAGTTTTGCTCCAACCTCACCCTTGTGTCCAGCCTCCTTAATTTTCTTGGTTGTGAAACAATGAGCTCAGATAACACCTCAAACTACAAGACCATTGACCCTAGACAGTTTCATTAGTATTGAGTTGTAGTCATTTCAAGAAGGCAGTTTGTTATCTTTATTCATATGGCCATGCTATATAGAGTCTGATTGGTTTATTACATTTTTGTGTCTTATAAATGACAGTGTTATTTGTGAAGCTATCATCTTAGAACTGTACTTCTTCCAAGCAAGTGAATACCAGCTGTAGAATTATCTAAAGAAAATGCACACTTTTTTTTAGTGCTTGGACCATTTGGGTATATGTGGGCCCTGGCCCTGGCCCTTCTCCCCTGACTCAAATTTCATAAGACAAAATTTTAACACTACTTTTGGCATCAGCATTTGAGAATTATATTTTTCCATATGATAACTTTTCCTTATTTATATTCACATCTGTGGTTAAGCCCTTCAGATCTTGTAAATTACACAAAAAACAGAAAAGACAAAAACCTTAAATGTTAATTATCTTTCCCTGAAACACATTTCTCCTGAATACTTTATCGTAGTTACATACCATTGATTGTTTCTTGTATAGAAACCAAGCCTGTCTGTAAATCTTAAATTAATGACTAAGAGGATTAAGTAAATGTACACCAAGTTGTGTATGTTGGAATTTCTTGAAAGAGAGTATCCAGTATTTTTCTGATATATTATGCATGTGTAAATTAAAAATTATAATGAAACAGTTTTTTAGGTTTGTTTCCCAAAGTGATTATATCTTTAGGTGTATATAATAAAGCAAAATGTAACCTATATCCTTGAAATATTGTCAGGCACAATAAAATCAGTGATAACATAAGCCTTCCAGGAATTAGAAGCATATGAAAAAATAAAATAAGCAAAGTTGAACTAGTTTTAAGTTTATTGTCTTAATGGGAAGTGAAAAGCAATATGATCTTAGTTACTGCTCATGTAACCTTTTTTAAAAAATTGCTTTAATGTAGCTGATGGATATTGCCTCTGAATATCCTTATAAAAAATGTTCTCTGGCCGGGCACGGTGGCTCAGGCCTGTAATCCCAGCACTTTGGGAGGCCAAGGTGGGCAGATCATGAGGTCAGGAGATTGAGATCATCCTGGCCAACAAGGTGAAATCCCGTCTCTACTAAAAATACAAAAATTAGCTGGGCATGGCGGCACGTGCCTGTAATCCCAGCTACTCAGGAGGCTGAGGCAGGAGAATCCCTTGAACCTGGGAGGTGGAGGTTGCAGGAAATAATATGGAATTGTAGTAGAGATAAAAGAAATTAATAAAATAGGAAACAAACTTACAATAGAAATGATCAACAAATCAAGAAGTTGAGTTTTGAAGACTAAAAGAAATTTATAAATTTCTGACTGGATTGGCCAAGAGAAAGAAAGAAGGCACAGATAATATCAAAAATGAAGAGAGGAATACTTCTCAGATTCTAGAGACATTTAAAAAAATTATGACCAAATTAATGTCAATAAATTTGAACATTTACATGAACTATTTAAATTTCTAGGAAATATATCTTACTAAAACTGCCATGAAAAAGAGAAAATCTGAGCAGTCCTTTAACTGGGAAAAATAGTGATTTTATAATATTAAAAATCTTCCTACAGCCCCACTAATTACTAGATTTTGTCATCTTAGTGAGCTATGTAACTTGTTTCCGCATCTGAGAAATGAAGATAGTAACAATGCCATAGTAATATTGAAGGATTAAATGAGAAAATGCCTGTAAAAGTGCATTGCACAGGGCCTAGCATTTGCCACATGATCAATGCAGCTTGCCTTTATTAGTTTCCTTTACAGCTATGGTGTATCACTGAGTGCAGAATGTGTGTGTTCTTCAGGCTCCCTTGTGTGCAGGCTCTGAAAGGTAAAGGGGCCTGCTCTTTGTTCTGAAGTAAAACTGCTCAGGGCATTAGGTGGATCTGAAATTTAAAAATAAAATTGAAAGTAAATCAATCTTTTCCTTAAATCAGATTGTCTCTGCTTTTGTTTTGCACACCTGCCTCAATATCAGTCTTGGAATTTTTTTCCTGCTGTTGTGGGTGCAATTTTTGTGATATGTACAGAACCACCTACCCTACTCCAGGCCTTGGATCCTGACCTTAGTGGCTTGGAAAAGGCTGTCACTTAGAATTTACACTCCAGTCCTCACTATCACTGTCTCCATTCTTCTTCCATCTCCCCACCCTGGGGTGATTTCCCAGCCTGCTATTTGATTTTCCATTCGTATGGTTCCCCTAATCTCCAGAGCATGTAGTACTCACTAGCCAGAGTATTGCCCATGTCTTCTGTGTTACATAAAGTTATTCCCAGCGTATCTGATCTCTTCTCATCCTTTCTCTGTCACTCGGGGGCTTTGCTCAACCTGGTTGTGTCACAATCTTTTTTTTTTCTTTTTTCTTTTGAGATGGGTTCTCGCTCTGTCGCCCAGGTTGGAGTGCAGTGGCGCGATCTTAGCTCACTGCAACCTCCCCCTCCTGGGTTCAAGCCTTCTCCTGCCTCAGCCTCCGGAGTAGCTGGGACTACAAGCGCCCGCCACCACGCCCAGCTAATTTGTGTGTGTCTGTGTGTGTGTGTATTTTTAGTAGAGACGGGGTTTCACCATGTTAGCCAGGATGGTCTCGATCTCCTGACTTCGTGATCCACCCACCTCGACCGCCCAAAGTGCTGGGATTACAGGCGCGAGCCAACGCGCCGGGCCGGTTGTGTCACAATCTTTAGGAGATTCCCTCTTTCTTGATCAGAGAGCCCTTCACTCCATTCCTTGCCTCTGCAATCATGAGGGTGTGACACAGATGAAGGTGTGACACAGATCTCATCTCTTCCTGGAATTCCCAATCTCAAGAGCTTTTCTTCATGGTGTTGCTGACTTAAACGAGGGTGCCTGCCAACTGTGGGGCCCTCACCCCATTTAAAGAGGTTCGTTTCCTTGTCACAGTGTTGTGATTTATTTCACTTTGCTCTTATCTTTAAAATCGGGTTCATTTCCTTGTCCTACTTAGGCTCCTCACCATACCTACTCTGTATTGTGTTTCTTCTTCATTTGTCAGATTTTTTTTTTTTTTTTTTTTTGAGACAGGGTCTTGCTCTATGGTCAGGCTGAAGTGCAGTGGTGCGATCTCGGCTCACCGCAACCTCTGCCTCCTGGGGTTCAAGCGATTCTCCTGCCTCAGGCTCCTGAGTAGCTGGGACTACAGGCATGCACCACCAAGCCCGGATAATTTTGGTATTTTTAGTAGAGATGGTGTTTCACCATGCTGGCCAGGATGGTTTGTGTCTCTTGACCTCATGATCCACCCGCCTCGGCCTCCCAAAGTGCTGGGATTACAGGCGTGAGATACCACACCCAGTCCATCTGTCAGATTTTTAAAAGCTGTTTCTTTCCCTCTCTCCATTCCCACCTGTCCAAATCCTGTCCTTCTTTCAGGCATCATCTCAAAGGATATCTCTGAATGAAACTTCTTTGGCAACCTCCTCTTCTTGCCCCCTCTCCCCACAGGACTCTAGTCCACTTAGAGCACTTAGGTTACTCAAACTAAAGTTATAATTATTTGTGTACACCTGCCAAAGGCCCCTACTACATTGTTAGGTACTTGAAGGCAAGGATTATTTCTTACTAATCTTTGCAGCTCCCACAGCACCCAGCACAGTGCCTGGAATATGGGAGTTACTCAGGAACTATTTGATGAATTGAATTCATACATGTAAGGATACAGAAGATAAAGAAAAGTATTTCCTTCAGTTTCCAGACTGGGACCCAACAGTGCCCTGTTTCACTGTTTATTAGGAAGCAGGTTGTATGGACCTGGAGGTGCCAGATAAAACGAAGGCTTCCATAATACACATTCATTCATCAACCCTGCTAGGGTTGTCTCATTCATTCATTTACGCACTCATTCAACAAACATTTGTTGATGACACAGTGCTAAACTCACGCTTTTTTTTCTTTTCCTGTAAAGTGAGATAACAGGGAGTGGGACCCTTCCATTAAGGCATTTATAATCTGGTTGGAGAGTTGGAAATATAAACAACTGACTGTAAGGCAAAGTGAAGTAGGTGCTAGAATAACATATAGGTCAAATTCTCTGAGAGCACTAGTCCTTGGTTTCTGCAGGGCAGAAAAGAGGGATATCGGAAAAAATCAGGATGGTTCAGAAGAAGGGTAACTTTGTTTTTCCTGGTGGACTCATAGCATCACCATGATAACAACAACCAGGCCCTGAAAGGGGGAAATCCTGTCATTTCCAGCAACAACATGGATGAGTCTGGAGGTCATTATGCTAAGTGAAATAAGCCAGGCACAGAAACATAAATACCACATGATCTCACTTATATGTGGAATCTAATAAAGTTGAACTCATAGAAGTAGAAAGTAGAACAATGGTTAACAGAGGCTTGGGAGAAGGTGGGGAGGGAGAGAATGGGGAATTATTGATTAAAGGGTACAAAATTTCAGATAGACAGGAGGAACAGGTTTTGAGATCTACTGCACATCAGGGTGACTATAGTCAATGGTAATATATATTTCAAAATAGCTACGAGTAAATTTCAAATGTCTCACTATAAAAAATAATAGGTAAGTGAAGTGATGGATGTGTTAATCAGCTTGATTTAATCATGCCAATTGTATACATACATCAAAACATCACATTTTACTCCATAAATATATACAACAAAGATTTGTTAAAAAAAAAAAAAAAACGTGAGCGGTCATTGTGGCTCACACCTTTACAGGTTCCCAGCATTTTGGGTGGCCCAGGCAGGAGGATTGCTTGAGGCCAGCCTGGGCAACATATTTTGTTGCCGTATATGAAAAAAAAAAGTCCCCCTGAGCTTTTCTGGCCCACCTCTCATGAAATCCCTGGCACTGTCTCTGCATTTGATGAGAGTGCGAGGTAGAGTGGGTAGGAGCAGGCAAGTCAAGTTGCTGTAGACCTGTGCTGTCTAATATAGCAAGATGTAGCTAGTGGGCACTTGAAATGTGGCTAGTCTGAACTGAGATGTATTAAGTGTGAAATACACCTTGGATTGTGAAGACTTAGCACAAAAAAAGAGTTATTTTTATTTTTATTTTTTGAGACAGAGTCTCACTACATCACCCAGGCTGCAGTCCAGTGGCACCATCTCTGCTCACTACAACCTCGTGCCTCTCAGGTTCAAGTGATTCTTGTGCCTCAGCCTCCTGAGCAGCTGGGATTATAGGCATGTGCCACCAAGCCCGACTAATTTTTGAATTGTATTTGTATTTATTTAATTTTTATTTTTTGTTTTAATTTTTGTATTTTTAGTAGAGGTGGTATTTCACCATGTTGGCCAAGCTGTTCTCAAACTGCTGAACTCAAGTGATCTGCCAGCCTCGGCCTCCCAAAGTGCTGGGATTACAGGTGTGAGCCACCGTGCCCAGCCAAAAACAGAATAATTTTCATGTTGATTAGATGTTAAAATCATATTTAGGATATATTGGTTTAAATAAAATATATTGTTGAAATTAATTTCACCTTTTTTTTTTTTTTTTTTTTTTTTTTTTTTACTTTTTTAATGTGGCTACTTGACCATTTAAAGTTAGGTACACCCTGGGCAATATAGGGTGTAGACCCTCGTCTCTAGAAAAAAAATAATTAGTTGAGCATGGTGATGCATCCTTGTAGTCCCAGCTGCACGGGAGGCTGAGGCAAGAGGATCACTTGAGCCCATGGGTTCAAAGTTGCAATGAGCTATGATTGTGCCACTGCACTCCAGCTTGGGTGACAGAGTGAGACTCTGTCTCTAAAAATATAAATAAATAAAACTGTACATGGCCCACATTATACAGTTGGCCCTTCATATCTGTGGGTACTGCTTCTGTGGATTGAACCAACTGTGGATCAAATATACCTGGAAAAAAATAACAATACAACAATAAAAATAAATTTTAAAAATATAGTATAACAACTATTTACATAGAATTACATTGTCTTAGGTATTACAAGTAATCTAGAGATGATTTAAAATACACAGTAGGATGTGTGTAGGTTATAAGCACAAACTACACCATTTGATATAAGGGACTTGAGCATCGTGGATTTTGGTAGCTGTGTTGGAGGTGTCCTGAAACCAATCCTCTGCATATCCCAAGAGACCACTGTATTTCTATTGGACAGTGCTGTTCTAAAGGCTGTTCCCCAGGCTCAGGTACCCTAGGAAATTTGGAAAACCCTTGGGGGAAACAGATAGATCTTGATACTGAGCCGGGACCCAGTCCCACTGGTATTTACCAGTCCTGACCTGGATCCAAACTCCCAGGGACTTTGGAAGTGCTATAGGCGTCACTTGGGTCTAGGCTATGGTGGAGTCAGGTCACAGATAGGAAACTTGGTTCTCTCCGTTCTGTGTTTCCCTGTGACTCAGGCCACAAGAACATATGTGACAGGGTGTTGGTTTGTTTTTTGTGTTTCTTTAAAGTGGCTTCCTTGAAGACACAAATAGCTTCTGAATGGCAATGATAAGGAGCCAGTCTGGTAGAGTCTTTCATAAGAGCAACTAAGCTTTTGATCATTAATCATTTAGCATACTGCTTGCCTAGGTGACTTCTTATATACAGAAAAAGGCGGCAAGGTGACGACTGAAACAAGATGCTATGCTGCCAGCTTTCAAGATGGAGGAAGGTCCCCAAGAATGCAGCTCTAGATGCTGGAAAAGAGAAATAAACAGATTCTCCCCTAGAGCCTCTGGAGGGAGCTCAACTTTGCAGACACTTGGATTTTGGCTCAGTGACACTGATTTCAGACTTCTGACCTCCAGAACTGTGAGAGAATGAATGTGTACTGTTTTTAGCCACCAAGTCTGTGGTAATTTATAACAGCAGCCATAGGAAATGAATACAGCCAGGCACTATTCTAAAGGACTCCCTTGTATTGGTTCATCCAACTCTCACCTCTTCCCATCTCCTCATTGATGATGGGGAGGTGTATCCAGGGATCATACTTACCAATCTACCATCCTCACTAGGCTTCACCACACACCTGTACTCACATGTGCAGAACCTTCCTGACCCACTTTATTCTAGGCCAGGGAGAGACCTGAAGAGCCTCAAGCCACAGCTTTCTCCCAAACCACTCCTCACCAATCCCATAACCCCATAACCCAGGGTCCAGAGTGAAAGAAGTTGCAACAAGGAAAAAATAATTATCTTTTCACTGACTTGTTTTGTAAATCTGGATTTTTATATTAGGTTAGGATGAAGGTGGCACCTTCCTCCATCTCAAGGGCCAGCAGCATAACATCTGGTTTCCATCATCACATTGCTGCCTTCCTCAGTAAAACCCTTCCTAGATTTTACTCCCTCTATCTCCCTCTTATAAGGACACTTGTGATTACATTTAGGGTCCACCCAGGTAACCCAAGAAAATTTCCCCATCTCAAGATACTTAATAACATCTGCAAAGACCCTTTTTCCATTAAGGTAACATTCACAGATTCCAGGGATTAGCACCTAGATATCTTTCATGGCCATTATTTAGCTGCCACAGTTGTATAAAGCAAATGCTTAAGAAACTAGCTATTATTATTACTGTGCTAAGCACTTTTTATGTGCTAATTAATCCTCACTACAACACTATGAAGCAGAGACTATGGGTATCCCATCTTACAGAGAAGAAAGAGGCTTAGAGAGCTTAAGCAGTTGCCTAAAATCAGATGGCAAGTGTCAGAGCCCATGCTCTTAGCCTCCATACAGGCTGATTTGGGGAGCACACCTATGACTGCACTTGTGGTAAGGATGACGCTCACCCTACTTTTCCATTTGAATCATTTGAGTGGTTGTATGTGTTCTTGGAGTAGGGGTGGTCTTTCCCCATAGAGTGTCATCTCTTTCAGGACAAGGAGTCTGTCTGTCATGCACTTTCTCTTGTGGTTTGGTGCTCTGCACATACTGAAAACAAAATTAATATTGTTGATTTAACTGCCAAAGCTGGAGCACATAAGGATCATTAAGTGCAAAGAATACTGATCAAACAGAACAAGCTCTACCTCCTTATTTGCCAACCCCTAGAAGTTGAAATGGTGACAGGGGTGAGTTGAAAAGGAAGAAGTTTAGTTTTACCTTCTAAAGGTCAGCCTGTCTGTTGTCTGGTACAGGTAGAGATTACAACAATAACCCTTCAGGAAAACATTACATTTTGTCCCATGAAAAATAAACAGCATTTTGTCCATGCGTCACATACTAGTCTTTCTGGCATGATGGACTGTGGTTAAACTCAGCATATCCTGGGAATGGGTAGGAGAGGGACATCATTGAGTAGGAGAAAGTGAAACTGGGAAATGAACTGTGGAGAAAGAGATCTCCACAGGGTCAGTGACAAGTATTCAGAATGATCATGGGAAAAAGCGTAGTGTGGAGGAAAAGGGGGGCCGTGGAAGTGACTGAAGTTCAGACTGCATTCTGGGAGATGAAAGAAGCAAACAAGGGCACAGCACTAAGGAAGGAGAGGAGAAGGAGTTTGAGTTATACAAGATGTTCTCTGAAAAATGAAAGATACCAGAAGTGGCCATATTAAAAACCATCTCATAATGGACCTGCTTTACTTCAGAAGGGATAAGTGCTAGTATTTGCTAAGTCTGAGAAGTCACCATCACAGTCTTGTCATGATGAAGCATGCAGTGGCCACCCCAGAAACCTGAATCACCAAAGCTTCCTTTCCTCACCTCATTGCCATATAAACTGACTAGACTGGGATGGGAGAAAAAGATGGAGGCTTAAAAATATCCTCTCCAGCATCACCCAGGCACTAAGGGCAGTGAGGTGGCCAAGGTCCCATTTCTAGGGCTTTTAGATTTCCATTGATACCGCTCTAGGGGATTTGATGGATGTGCTTGTTGGCTCATCATGTCATCCCCTTTCCATAGGCACATCTGTAAAAATGTCACCAGAAGGTGGCCCAGTGAGCAGGAAACCCCAGGGGTGGGGTACGGGAGGCTCCATGGTTCTAATGGCTGATGCCACCCTGCTTCACTGGCCTGATGCCTCCATGTCTGTTATTAGGGTGTTCCTACTGTGGGGATTGGCACATTGTTTTCGTCCTATGTTATTATGCAACCGATTAGGTTGAGACTTAACCTAATCCGGTGCAGTCCAGTTCCTATTTTCCAAAGATGACAGTATACCCAGGCCACTTAAATTTGATCTGGGTGTTGGTGAGACTATTACACACCCACAAATAATCCAATAATCTCTTTGGCTGTGTCATTTCTACTGGTGTCTAACCTCATCCTTTTTATTTGGGTCCCATTGATTTATATTCTAAGTTTTAGGGATACTTTGGGGTGTCATCCCAACATATTGCCTGTATAAATACTGTCTCCTTAATTCCACAATTGAACATTACAGAGAGTTAGTGTTATTCTTATTTTACGTCTGAAAAAAATGGACACTAACAGGTTTGGTAACTTGTCCAAAATCACGTAGCTAGTAAATTCTAAGAATTGTGATTCCAGGCGGGCGCGGTGGCTCACGCCTGTAATCCCAGCACTTTGGGAGGCTGAGGCAGGCAGATCACGAGGTCAGGAGATCGAGACCATCCTGGCTAACACGGTGAAACCCCATCTTTACTAAAAATACAAAAAAAAAAATTAGCCAGGTGTGGTGGCAGGCGCCTGCACTCCCAGCTACTCAGGAGGCTGAGGCAGGAGAATGGCGTGAACCCAAGCAATGGAGCGTGCCGTGAGCTGAGATTGTGCCACTGCACTCCAGCCTGGGCGACAGAGCGAGACTCTGTCAAAAAACAACAACAACAACAAAAAAGAATTGTGATTCCATCTCTGATCACTCTGGTTTTAAAGTTCAGTCTTTTCCTACATAATGCTGAAGTGACCGGGAAAAGTCAAGCTTCTAAATTGGCAATTCAATTGGGAATTTACTATTATGGTCTGTGATGATGACATCTTATATCATGTACAACAGTGGATCAAACCTGACTGCACATCAGATCATGTTGTTGAGCTTTTAAAAACTATACATGCTTGGCGAGGTGTGGTGGCTCATACCTGTAATCCCAGCACTTTGGGAGGCCGGGCATATCACCTGAGGTCGGGAGTTCAAGACCAGCCTGACCGACATGGAGAAATCCTGTCTCTACTAAAAAATACAAAAAATTAGCTAGGCATGATGGCACATGCGTGTAATCCCAGCTACTCGGGAGGCTGAGGCAGGAGAATAGCTTCAACCTGGGAGGCAGAGCTTGGGATGAGCCAAGATCGTGCTATTGCAATTCAGCCTGGGCAACAAGAGCAAAACTCCATCTCAAAAACAAACAAACAAACAAAAAAACAAAAAACTATACATGCTTTGAATGTATTAATACAATTAGATTTGCTAATATTTTGTTCAGAATTTTCACATGTATGTTGATGAGAGAGATCATCCTGTAATTTTCCTTTCTTGTAATGTCCTTGTCTGTTTTGGATATCAAGGTTATGCTGGCCTCATAAAACAAGTTATAAAGTGTTCTCTTCTCTCTCTTTTTTTTTTTGGCAGTGACAGGGTTGCACCTTGTTGCGCAGGCTGGTCTCAAACTCCTTGGCTCAAGGGATCTACCAGCCTTGGCCTCTCAAACTGCTGGGATTATAGGCATGAGCTACTGCACCTGGTTCTTCTCTTCTTTTTTAATGCCTTCTATATAGACAATGTTATCTGTACTATTTCTATAGTTTATATCTCACAAATATTTTCATTTTGGCCTAATACATGGTCAATTTTTGTGAATTATCCACAGATACTTTAAAAAAAAGGTGTATTCTCTTTTTTGAGTACCAAGTTTTATCTGTTATTAATTATGCTATTTAATCCTTCTCTGTCATTTCGGCGTCTACTACAATGTTTCCATTTTTTCTTGTATATCCTGTGATTTTATGTTTTAATTAATATTCATGGAGGTGCTAAGTTATTTGGTGCTTAGGTATTTATAACATTGTAACTGGTGAACTGCATTTTTTTATCATTATAGATTATTTATTTGTACCCCTTAACATTTGTTTGTCCCAATGTTAGCCTTGCCTGATGGGGAGAAACCAGAGCAGAAAAGCAGGAAATTCCAAAAATCAGAGCACCTCTTCTCCTCCAAAGGATTGCAGCTCCTCGCCAGCAATGGAACAAAACTGGACAGAAAATAAGTTTGACGAGTTGACAGAAGTAGGCTTCAGAAGGTCGATAATAACAAACTTCTCCAAGCTAAAGGAGGATGTTTGAACTCATCATGAGGAAGCTAAAAACCTTGAAAAAAGGTTAGATAAATGGCTAACTAGAATAAATATGTAGAGAAGACCTTAAATGACCTGATGGCGCTGAAAACCACAGCACGAGAACTGCATGACACATGCACAAGATTCAATAGCTGATTCGATCAAGTGGAAGAAAGGGTATCAGTGATTGAAGATCAAAT
Source organism: Homo sapiens (assembly GCF_000001405.40). Taxonomy (NCBI): domain Eukaryota; kingdom Metazoa; phylum Chordata; class Mammalia; order Primates; family Hominidae; genus Homo; species Homo sapiens. The sequence goes on from NC_000015.10 coordinate 44,991,527, forward strand.
TAATGAAATATAGTGAGAAGACAAGATAAGAGAAAAAAGAGTGAAAAGAAATGAACAAAGCCTCCAAGAAATATGGGACTTGTGAAAAGACCAAATCTACATTTGATTTGTGTACCTGAAAGTGATAGGGAGAATGGAAACAAGTTGGAAAATACTCTTCAGAATATTATCCAGGAGAACTTCCACAACCTAGCAAGGTAGGCCAACATTCAAATTAAGGAAATACAGAGAACGCCACAAAGATACTCCTTGAGGAGAGCAACACCAAGACACACAATTGTCAGACTTACCAAGGTTGAAATGAAGGAAAAAATGTTAAGGGCAGCCAGAGAGAAAGATCAGGTTACCCACAAAGGGAAGCCCATCAGACTAACAGCAGATCTCTCGGCAGAAACTCTACAAGCCAGAAGAGAGTGGGGGCCGATATTCAACATTCTTCGAGAAAAGAATTTTCAACCCAGAATTTCATATTCAGCCAAACTAAGCTTCATAAGTGAAGGAGAAATAAAATCCTTTACAGACAAATAAATGCTGAGAGGTTTTGTCACCACCAGGCCTCCCTTTATAAGAGCTCCTGAAGGAAATAGTAAACATGGAAAGCAACAACCAGTACCAGCCACTGCAAAAACATGCCAAATTTTAAAGACCATCAATGCTAGGAAGAAACTGCATCAATTAACAGGCAAAATAACCAGCTAACATCATAATGACAGGATCAAATTCACACATAACAATATTAACCTTAAATGTAAATGGCCTAAATGACCCAATTAAAAGACACAGACTGACAAATTGGATAAAGAGTCAAGACTCATCAGTGTGCTGTATTCAGGAGACCCATCTCACATGCAGAAATGCACATCAGCTCAAAATAAAGGGATGGAGGAAGATCTACCAAGTAAATGGAAAGCAAAAAAAAAAAAAAAAAAAAAAAGCAGGGGTTGCAATCCTAGTCTCTGATAAAACAGACTTTAAATCAACAAAGATCAAAAGAGACAAAGAAGGCCATTACATAATGGTAAAGGGATCAATTCAAAAAGAAGAGCTAACTATCCTAAATATATATGCACCCAATACAGGAGCACCCAGATTCATAAAGCAAGTCCTTAGAGACCTACAAATAGACTTAGACTCCCACACAATAATGGGAGACATTAACACCCCACTGTCAATGTTAGACAGATCAACGAGACAGAAGGCTAACAAGGATATCCAGGACTTGAACTCAGCTCTGCACCAAGCGGACCTAATAGACATCTACAGAACTCTCCACCCCAAATCAACAGAATATACATTCTTCTCACCATCACATCACACTTATTCCACAATTGACCACATAATTAGAAGTAAAGCCCTCCTCAGCAAATGTAAAAGAACAGAAATCACAACAAACTGTCTCTCAGACCACAGTGCAAACAAATTAGAACTCAGGATTAAGAAACTCACTCAAAACTGGAAAACTACATGGAAACTGAACAACCTGCTCCTGAATTACTGGGTAAATAACGAAATGAAGGTAGAAATAAAGATGTTCTTTGAAACCAATAAGAGCAAAGACACAATGTACCAGAATCTCTGGGATACATTTAAAGCAGTGTGTGAGGGAAATTTATAGCATGAAATGCCCACAACAGAAAGCAGGAAAGATCTAAATTCAATACCCTATCATCACAATGGAAAGAACTAGAGAAGCAAGAGTAAACATATTCAAAAGCTAACAGAAGGCAAGAAATAACTAAGATCAGAGCAGAACTGAAGGAGATAGAGACACAAAAACCCTTCAAAAAAATCAATGAATCCAGGAGCTGGTTTTTTGAAAAGATCAACAAAATAGATAGACCACTAGCAAGACTAATAAGAAATGAGAGAAGGATCAAATAGCCACAATAAAAAATGATTTGCATTCCTCTGATGACCAGTGATGATGAGCATTTTTTCATGTGTCTGTTGGCTGCATAAATGTCTTCTTTTGAGAAGTGTCTGTTCATATCCTTTGCCCACTTTTTGATGGGGTTGTTTGTTTTTTTTCTTGTACATTTGTGTAAGTTCTTTGTAGACCCTGGATATTAGCCCTTTGTCAGATGGGTAGATTGCAAAAATTTTCTCCCATTCTGTAGGTTGCCTATTCACTCTGATGACAGTGTCTTTTGCTGTGCAGAAGCTCTTTAGTTTAAAATCCCATAGAAATACAAAGTACCATCAGAGAATACTATAAACACCTCTATGCAAATAAACTAGAAAATCTAGAAGAAATGAATAAGTTCCTGGACACATACACCTTCCCAAGACTAAACCAGGAAGAAATTGAATCTCTGAATAGACCAATAACTGGTTCTGAAATTGAGGCAATAATTAATAGCCTACCAACCAAAAAATCGTCCAGGACCAGACGGATTCACAGCCAAATTCTACCAGAGGTACAAAGAGGAGCTGGTACCATTCCTTCTGAAACTAATCCAAACAATACAAAAAGAGGAAATCCTCCCTAACTCATTTTATGAGGCCAGCATCATCCTGATACCAAAGCCTGGCAGAGACACAACTAAAAAAGAGAAATTTAGACCAATACACCTGATGAACATCGATGCAAAAATCCTCAATAAAATACTGGCAAACTGAATCCAGCAGCACATCAAAAAGCTTATCCACCACGATCAAGTAAGCTTCATCCCTGGGATGCAAGGCTGGTTCAACATATGCAAATCAATAAATATAATCCATCACATAAACAGAACCAATGATAAAAACCACATGATTATCTCAATAGATGCAGAAAAGGCTTTTGACAAAATTCAACAGCACTTCATGCTAAAAACTCTCAATAAACTAGGTATTGATGGAATGTACCTCAAAATAATAAGAGCTAGTTATGACAAACCCACAGCCAATATCATACTAAATAGGCAACAAATGGAAGCATTCCCTTTGAAAACCAGCACAAGACAAGGATGCCCTCTCTCACCACTCCTATTCAACATAGTGTTGGAAGTTCTGGCCAGGGCAATCAGGCAAGAGAAAGAAATAAAGGGTATTCAATTAGGAAAAGAGGAAGTCAAATTGTCCCTGTTTGCAGACGACATGATTGTATATTTAAAAAAACTCCATTGTCTCAGCCCAAAAACTCCTTAAGCTGATAAGCAACTTCAGCAAAGTCTCAGGATACAAAATCAATGTGCAAAAATCACAAGCATTCCTATACGCCAATAGCAGACAAGCAGAGAGCCAAATCATGAGGGAACTCCCATTCCTGATTGCTACAAAGAGAATAAAATACCTACGAACCCAACTTACAAGGGATGTGAAGGACCTCTTCAAGGAGAACCATAAACCACTGCTCAATGAAATAAAAGAGGACACAAACAAATGGAAGAACATTCCATGCTCATGGGTAGGAAGAATCAATATCGTGAAAATGGCCCTACTGCCCAAGGTAATTTATAGATTCAGTGCCATCCCCATCAAGCTACCAATGACTTTCTTCACAGAATTGCAAAAAACTACTTTAAAGTTCATATGGAACCAAAAAAGGGCCTGCATAGCCAAGATAATCCTAAGCAAAAAGAACAAAGCATGAGGCATCATGCTACCTGACTTCAAACTACACTACAAGGCTACAGTAACCAAAACAACATGGTACTGGTACCAAAACAAATATATAGACCAATGGAACAGAACAGTGGCCTTAGAAATAACACCACACATCTACAACCATCTGATCTTTGAGAAACCTGACAAAAACAAGCAATGGGGAAATGATTCCCTATGAATAAATGGTGCTGGGAAAACTCGCTAGCCAAATGTAGAAAGCTGAAACTGGATCCCTTCCTTACACCTTATTCAAAAATTAACTCAAAATGGATTAAAGACTTAAATGTAAGACCTAAAACCATAAAAACTGTAGAAGAAAACCTAGGCAATACCATTCAGGACATAGGCATGGGCAACAACTTCATGACTAAAACAACAAAAGCAATGTTAACAAAAGTCAAAATAGACAAATGGGGTCTAGTTAAACTAAAGAGCTTCTGCACAGCAAAAGAAACTGTCATCAGAGTGAACAGGCAACCTACAGAATGGGAGAAAATTTTTGCAATCTACCCATCTGACAAAGGGCTAATATCCAGAATCTACAAAGAACTTAAACAAATGTACAAGAAAAAAACAAACAACCCCATCAAAGAGCGGGCAAAAGATATGAACAGACACTTCTCAAAAGAAGACATTTATGCAGCCAACAGACACATGAAAAAATGCTCATCATCACTGGTCATCAGAGAAATGCAAATCAAAACCACAGTGAGATACCATCTCCAACAGTTAGAATGGTGATCATTTAAAAGTCAGGAAACAACAGATGCTGGAGAGGATATGGAGAAACAGGAACACTTTTACACTGTTGGTGGGAGTGTAAATTAGTTCAGCCATTGTGGAAGACAGTGTGGCGATTCCATGGAATACAATGCAGCCATAAAAAGAGTGAGTTCATGTCCTTTGGAGGGACATGGATGAAGCTGGAAACCATCATTCTCAGCAAACTATCACAAGGACAGAAAACCAAACACCTCATGTTCTCACTCATAGGTGGGAGTTGAACAATGAGAACACATGGACACAGGGCAGGGAACATCACACACCGGGGCCTGTCAGGGCTTGGGAGGCTGGGGGAGGGATAGCATTAGGAGAAATACCTAATGTAAATGACAAGTTGTTGGGTGCAGCACACCAACATGGCACATGTATACCTGTGTAACAAACCTGCACATTGTGCACATGTACCCTAGAATTTAAAGTGTAATAGAAAATAAAAAGGAAGAAAGAGAAACAAAATGAAGCAAAAAAAACTTATAACCATTGCTTTCTTCTAATTTACAATTGTAAAGATTTCTGATTTATTTTGTTTTGGATCCCTTGTGTACAGCATAGATTTGAATTTTGCTTTATGATTTAATCCAAATTTACTTTATTTTATTTTACTTTCAATTTTTATTATTTTTTAAATAAAAAATAGAGATGGGGTCTCACTGTGTTGCCCAGGCTGGTCATGAACTCCTGGGCTCAAACGATCCTCCTGCCTAAGCCACCCAAAGTGCTAGGATCACAGGTGTGGGTCACCAAGACTGGCTGAAATTTATTTTATTTTAATACATTAGTTTAGCACATTTAGATTTATCAAATTGAAATACTTGGTATTAATTATTAATACAATATATATAACTTTATATGATGTCTTCTATTATTTAATAGATCCTTTAAAAATTCTGATGTTATGGTATGTATTTGGTTTTATTTTTTCTGAAAATCTGAAAAGGTTATATTTTTATTTCAGTGATGGTCTTTATAATGTATTTACTTAATCTTCCTCTCTTAGGCACTATCTATCAATCCCCTGATATGAATAAACAATGAAATTAGAATATTTTCTCATCTTCTCCCTATCCTGCTCTTGATGACCTCTCTTTTTGCCATAGTTTTCCCATTTATTTCTTGGTTGAAGTTCATCTTCTAGTAGTTTATTCAAGGAAAGCTCATGGAAACAATATTTCTTGAGATCCTGCCATGTTTAGAAATGTCTCATTGTGCCTTTTTATATAAACAGACAGAGATAAACACAACAGAATATGTCGAGAATTGACTCAGAAGTATGCCATGTGATGCTACCTTGAAGTCAGAATAACCTGCATTATAGCTGAAATAAACTTTAAATTACTATTCCTTTTTACCTTCCTCCCTTCCTCTCTCTCTCTGTCTCTCTCTCTCTCTCTCCTTCTCCACTCACTGCAGCCTCCACCTCCTGGGTTCGAGTGATTCTCCTGCCTCAGCCACCCAAGTAGCTGGGATTACGGGCATGTGCCACCACACCTGACTAATTTTTGTATTTTTGTATTTATTTTTTATTTTATTTTTTTGTAGAGACAGGGTTTCACCATGTTGCCCAGGTTGGTCTTGAACTCCTGAGCTCAACCGATCTGCCTGCCTTGGCCTCCCAAAGTGCTGGGATTCTAGGTGTGAGCCACTGTGCCTAGCCGCTTTTTTAGTTTCTAATCCAGCTGCTCCCATATCAGACCTCATCTTTTTAAATTTTATTTTCTGTTTACCTCCCTCCATTCATTCACATGCTCATTTGAGAAGACTTAAGTTCTCCCAGCTTTGGACAATAACTGCTTTTAAAAACTGTAAGGTTTCAAGAGAACGGTTGCCCAAGACTGATAATTGTTTTACAAATGGAGCATGTGTATTATGCGGCCAGTGTCTTCACTCTAACTTGGTTATAAGACTGAAACCATTCTTCACTGCTCTAACATGCTGAATAAATCAACTGAGGGGGAGGAGGTGTTTATCCCTGTCTGTTTATATATGTTATATGCGTTGTCATGAGGCTGTGTGACTTATCTAAGTGGAATATTGAATATCCATTGAAATGGATTTGTTAAGTCATTTATATTATTAATGAGCATTTAAATGCAACAGATATCATTTCAGGTGACTTCACATGAATGAATAAAAGTCAGTGCTATTCCATTATTTTTTGCTTGAAAAAAATAGACTTTGTACATCAGAGTGAACTCCTCACCCTAGAGAAGTATAATTTTCTAGCTTTTGCCTTAAGGTCTTCAGCCATAGGCCTTCTCACTACCTTTCTTCTTGCACCCTGGCATTTCCTACAGTGTAAAACACTGGAGGATCTATGTGAACCCCTGGGTTGGGTCACTTGCTAGGCTCTAGTTGCTGTTGTTGTTTTTGTTGTTTTGTGCCACTCTCTCCTTGTTCACTGTGATTCTGCCACACTGCTGACTTTTCATGATGGTCTCGCCCTCTTGGACTCCACGTTTGTGGTTCCTTCTGCCTGGAACACACAATCTCCCTCCCTAGCCTCACTGCTGTCACAACTCAAGTCTCTCAAGTACAGCTTTATCTATCACTCCCTCAGGGCAAACTTCCCTTGCTTTCAAGCTAGACTAGGTTCCTCTGCTACACACTTTCATGGTTTTCTTTTCTTTTCCTTCATAGCCCTTACCATAATTGTGTTTGAGTCATTACTTCTATGATTATCTGCTTAATGGCTTCTCCTCCCCTAAGTGGGGATTGTGTCTGTCAGATTCATTGTATCCCCAGCACCGTGTACCAGCATGTCACAGACACTTATTACATAGTTGCTGAATAAATGGATGAATGATCCCGTCCCAATATGGCTCCCACTCCCATCTTTCCACCAAAACTCCGTTTGCATGATTACCAATTACCTCCTTGTTGCTGAATCCACTAGATATTCTTTGGTTTCCATCTTGACTTCTTATCAGTATTAAACACTTGAACACTTTTTTCTTAAAACAATGCTTTTTGTGCCTTCACTTATTCTCAGGATCCTTTGCTGTTTCCTCTTCATTTTTCCTAGTTCCTTGATGTTTGATGCTCAGAGCTTGGACCTGAGCTATGTCCTTTTTCAAATTGTGTGTTCAGTCTCTAGATTATCTTCTTCTCACTTACTGCTCTCAATAGTCTATATACCAATGACTTCCAAATTTCATCTAGACCTTCAAGCCTAGACTTTCCCAGTCTCCTACATAGCACGTGCCCTATATTGTTTGGTCATTTCACCTGGATGTCTGCTATAGGCATCTGCTATAATTTAGATGTTTGTCCCCCAACACCTCATGTTGAAATTTGATTCCCATGTTGAAGGTAGGGCCTAATGGGAGGTGTTTGTGCCATGGGCATAGACGACACATGAATAGATTAATGCCCTCCCTCTGGGGTTGGGGAAGTGAGAGTGAGTGAGTGAATTGTTGCTCTGTTAGTTCCCACCAAAGCTGTTTGTTAAAAAGAGCCTGGCACCCCTCTACTCTCTCTTGCTTCCTCTCTCACCATGTACTCTCTGCACACCTTGGCTCCTCTTTACCTTCACGATGAGTAGAAACAGCCTGAAGCCCTCACCAGAAGCAGATGCTGGTGCCATGCTTATCACACAGCCTGCAGAACTGTGAGCCACATAAACCTCTTCTTTATAAATTACTCAGCCTCAGGTATTCCTTTATAGCAACACAAAACAGATGAAGACAGAAAATTAATACTGAGGAGTGGGTGTTGCTATAAAGATACTTGAAAATGTGGAAATGGCTTTGGACTAGTTAATGGGCAGAGGTTGGAAGAGTTTGGAGGGCTCAGAAGGAGAAAAAAGACTAGGAAAAGTTAGGAACTTCTTACATATTGGTTAAATAGTTGTGACCAAAATGTTTATAGACATATAGACAGTAAAGGCCATGCTGACAAAGTCTCAGATGGAAATAAGGAACTTATTGGGAACTGGAGCAAATGTCACCCATATTATGTGGTAGCAAAGAACTTGGCTGCATTGTGTTCATGGCCTAGGGCTTTGTGGAAGGCCAAACTTAAGAGTGATGAACTAGGGTATCCAGTGGAAGAAATGTCTAAACAGCAACACATTCAAGAAGTGGCACGGCTACTTTTTTTTTTTTTTTTTTTTTTGAGACGGAGTCTCGCTCTGTCGCCCAGGCTGGAGCGCAGTGGCGCGATCTCCGCTCACTGCAAGCTCCGCCGCCTCCTGGGTTCACGCCATTCTCCTGCCTCAGCCTCCCAAGTAGCTGGGACTACAGGCACCTGCAACCACACCCGGCTAATTTTTTTTGTATTTTTAGTAGAGACGGGGTTTCACCGTGTTAGCCAGGATGGTCTTGATCTCCTGACCTCGTGATCTGCCCGCCTCAGCCTCCCAAAGTGCTGGGATTACAGGCGTGAGCACCATGACTGGCCTGCTACTTTTAACAGCTTATGATCAGATACAGCAGCAAAATAATGATCTAAAGGTGGAATTTCTAATTAAAAGAGAAAAAGAGCAAAACAATTTGGAACATTTATAACTTGGTCATGTGGTAGAGAAGGAAAGAATGTTTTCAGGTGAGGAATCCAAGGGCGATATGGAGCAACCACTTGCTAGAGAGATTACCATGGATAAAAGGGAATGAGGTGCTAATAGAACAATGGGGAAAAGACCTCAAAGACATTTCAGAAATCTTTGAGGTCATCCCTCCCATCACAGGCTCAGAGGCCTATGAGGACAGAATGGTTTCAGGGGACAGGCCTGGGGTGCTTTTGCCCTATGCCACCGCAGGATGTGGGGAGCATTCTAATTGCTCTAGCTCTAGCCTGAGCCCAAACAGCCCCAGGTACCACTTCAGGCTGCTGTTCCAGAGAGTGTAAGCCTTAAGTTGTTGCAGCTTCCGCATGGTGTTGTCTGCAGGCTCCCAGAATGTAAGAGTGGTAAAGGCTGGGCAGCTTCCACCTAGATTTCAGAGGATGTATTGGAAAGCCTGAGTGCCCAGGCAGAAGCCTGCCACAGGGGCAAGCCACTGCAGAGAAACTGTACTAGGGCAGTGCCTAGTAGCTGTGGAAGAAGGGCTGCTGCCCTCCACCCTAGCATTATGGAGGCACCAGCAGCATGCACCTCAGTCTGTGAAAGCCTCAGGTACTCCACTCCAAACCATAAGAGCAGCCATGTAGGCAGCGCTCAGCAAAGCCATAGGGGTAGGGCTGTCTGAGGCACTGGGAGCCCATCCCTCAAACCAGTGTCCCCAGAATGCAGGACATGGAGTCAAAGTTTATTTTGGAGCTTTAAGATTTAATGTCTGCCTGTCTGCCCTACTGGGTTTCAGACTTGCATGGGCCTGTTACCTTTCTTTTGGCCAGTTTCTCCTTTGGGGAATGAAAATCTTTACCTAATGCCTGTACAACCATTGCATCTGGGAACTAAATAACTTGTTTTTGATTTTACAGGCTCATAGCTGGAAGGAATTTGCCCTGAGTCTCAGATGAGACTTTGGACTTTAGACTTTTAAGTTGACGTTGGAACAAGTTAACACTTTGGGCACTATTGGGGTAGAATGTATTTTGCATCTGAGAAGGACATGAGTTTAGGGGGAAGGGGCAGAATGTTATAGTTTGGATGTTTGTCTCCCCAAGCCTCATGTTGAAATTTGATCCCAATGTTGGAAGTGGGACCTAATGGGAAATGTTTGGGTCAGGGAGGATGACCTCTCATGAATAGATTAATGCCCTCCCTTTGTGGGTTGGTGGGCGCAGGTAAAGTGAGTGAGTTTTCACTCTGTTATGCTGGTTGTTAGTTCCCATGAAAGCTGGTTGGTAAAAAGAGCCTAGCACCTCCCTGCTCTCTCTTGCTTCCTCTCTCACCATGTGATCTCAGCCCATGCTCGCTCTCCTTCCCTCTTCCTTTCTGCCAATAGTGGAGGCAACCTGCAGCCCCTCACCAGAAGCTGAGCAGATGCTGCCACCATGCTTATTGTGCAGCCTGCAGAACCATGAGCCCTATAAGCCTTTCCTTTATAAGTCACCCAGCCTCAGATATTCCTTTATAGCAACACAAAGTAGACAAAGACACCATCTCAAACTTGGCCTACCCAAAATTACATGTTTGATATTTTCCCCAAATCTGCTCCTCCCCAAATCTCAGCTGGGTGTCTCTTCATCCTTCCAGTTAGTCATGCCAGAAATCTGGGAGTCAGCCTTTCTGCTATCTTCTCCTCAACTCCCATAAGCTCACACCTTACCAAGTTCCATGGATCCTACATCCAAAATAAATCTTGGATCTGTCTACTTCACTCCACCTCCACTTCCACCATTTATCCAAGTCCAAATCACCATTCTTGGCTGGCATATAGCAGGAACCTCAACTGGTCTCCTTGCTTCCACTCTACCTGTGCCACCAGAACTGCCACTACTATCAAAGTGCCTCTCTCCTTGGATAGTTCTAGACTAAAATTCCTGCTCTCTGACTCTCTTTTCCTAACTCTTCTTAGTGCTTTCTTCAGGTTTGTTAATAGAAAGTATGTTAATGGTTCCTCAGGGTGGCCTCTGTTAATCTCTTTTATTGTATATGGATTTTACTAGTTTAATGTTCATTGTCAACCTTATTTCCAAGTTCTTCAAGAAACTTAATGGTTTTTTTTTTGTTGCTTCTTTCTTTTGTTGTGAATAGCTAGGTGTGAGTAACTGAATAGCTGATGAAGCAATGGAGGAAGCCATAGTCAGGATTTTATAACTATTCTGACTTTTGGAACACCAAGGACCTATGGCACACTGATTTTTCTTGTTAGTGCACTATGTAATCCAGACCTGCAATAACCCAGTATCTGTGATAAGTTAAGGGGAGACTAACCCATCACAGACACTGGGTTATTGCAAGTTATCCAGATCCAGTATCTGTGATGGGTTAAAGTCTCCCCTAGATATGTGATCCCACAGGATTGATTTTTAATTAATTATATTTTAAACTCCATATAAGTTTTTTTGTTTTTTTTTTTTCCCAGGGGAAAGCACGAATGCAGTTCCTCACTACCACAAATTATGCAGTTGAGTTTCCCGCATTTGGGGAAATCACAGGGGTAAGCACACCTATGGAGTGCAATGGATGAGCCTCAGCCTGGGAAAACCACCTTCATGATCATGGCATCTCCCCTGCCAGGTAAGAATCCAAATAAGTTTTGATAGTAGAGATTTATCAAGAACTTGTTAGTTGTATTCAGTGGGGAGAGTGTTTCAAAGTGCTGTGCTGTCTGGGAAAGTTAAGCAGAGGCCCAGAGAAGCTATGCCAAGCAGGCCACCAGCAAAGTCAAAGGCAGCATTTTACAGCTTATTCAGTAAAATGCCTGGAAAAGTCTGTTCCTCAGCACTATGAATGCTGGTCTTTGTTAGGAAATTATGCAGAAGTGTCACAATACTATAATAACAACTTGAGTTTTTTGTTTTTAAAATGTCAGCTTCTTAAGACTCCTTATCAAGTTCTTCTGCTCTGAAAAAACAGAATCCTTATCAATTCATCCTTTTACCTTTTCTATAAAGAGCCCTAGTCATAGAATATATTTCTAAATCTGCCTTCCCCTCCTGCAAATCTCTGCTACCAGGCAACAACCTTCGAGACAGCTTTGAAATGTTACTGCTCAGGAGAAAACAATACAACTCCAGTGTGGCCATTATGTCATTATTCCAGTGGCTTTTGCTTTGGTTCTGTGTGTTTTGTTTTCATAATTTAAAGTCCAAGAAGTATCTACTTAAAGTGGCCCTCAGCTCTTAAGCCATTCCTGGGGTCTTCTCCTTCAGCTTCACCCATTGGAAGGACATGCTTAGAAGACTGTGAGGAAACCCCATAAAGCAAGGAGGGTTAAACTGGGTTTTAAATTCAGTGGGTAAGTGAAGGCAAGTACCTCATCTCTCCAAGCAAGACCTGCTTAGCTGCTAAGTACACAAGCTACTGAAGGAATCATTCATGCACAGCTAAGAGCTGTGGGAGGTATCTAAAAGCAAAGGACCTGACTAATTCTATAAGTAGTCCCTGCAAAAATCCATTCCACTGCCTTGTACAACTTGTAATGCTCCCACACCCTTCACCTACATGTGTCCACGTGCACACACACACCCACACCCACACACACACACTTCCTTTTTTGTCATTAGTGGGGCTCCAGAGCTTGATCCATCATCATCATCAAATTTTTTGGGGGCTTTTATGCTGTAGAGAGCACTTTACCACATCCTGGTTAAGAAATGAGGCCTTGTCATCAGTGGGATTCCAGTGCATTTGGGGAAGGGGTGATTACTGGTGAAAGTACAGGCTGTGCCCTGTGTGTTGGGCAGGCCAGGGGGAGACAACTTCAAGGGCTGGGACAAAGTCTAATGGATTAGGTAAGAGGATTAGCCGTGTGTCTGTGAAACCACCACTGCAAAATCATAACTGAGACAGTGAAAGAGATCTGACCTAAAATCTTGCTTCTAACCTCCAAGCTGTCCTTCTTCATTCCTGGGCATGGTCTGAACCAACTTTGGGGGGATCTTAGTTTTTAATTTATAGATTAAAACAAAGATAACAGCCCTTCTTCAAAACAAACCTCCTTCTTGCCTGGGGACTAGACTGCCTTTGTAGGACTAATGAATTAGCCACAAAAGTAGAAATTATGGTTTAGGAGTCACACAGCTGGAGACTAAAGGATTCTGACCCTCCCCAAATTGCTCCTGGGGATAATGTCATTATTATAAAATGAAATGTTAGTGCTTTAGATATTTTGCAGACCCTGCACTTGATGGATCAGCTGGCACCACCCAGATTGATAAACTGGCTCATCTGATTTTGGGGCCCCTACCCAGGAACTGACTCAGCCCAAGAAGATAGCTTTGACCCTTTATGATTTCACCTCTGACCCAACTAATCAGCACTCCTGACTCACTGGTTCTCCCCTACTCTCCAAATTATCGTTAAAAATGCCGATCTCTGTATGTTTGAATGCTTAGGGAGACTGATTTGAGTAATAATAAAACTTCAGTCTCCCGCAAAGTTGGCTCTGCATGAATTACTCTTTCTTTATTGCAATTCCCCTGTCTTGATAAATTGGCTTTGTCTAGGCAGCAGGCAAGGTGAACTCATTGGGCGGTTACAAATTTGGGGCTTGCTCAGAATTGCCCTTGTGGCTGCCTGCCCATGGTTTGGTAGACTCCCTCCAGCAACAGATCCAGAGGCCACCCAAGTGGCCACCTAGTTCTCTTGGACTGGGGGTTGACTCTAGTACTGGCTCTACTGGTGGGGTGCTGCTGATCCATTGTGCATGAATTTAATTGCGATAGAGAAATAGTCCTGGGAGATATCCCATAACTGTAGCTCCATGGTGGAATGTTTGTCTGTAGCCCCATGGTGGGGTGTCTCTCTCCAGCTCCACCACTGGGTGTCTGCAACTGTAGCCCTACCACTGGGTGTCTGTCTGTAGCCCCGTCATGGAGTGTCTGTAGCTGTAGCCCCATTATGGGGTGTCTGATTTGGTGAGTATTCTAGGTGCTGCCAACAGCCCCTTCCTTCTCCTATTTGTCAGTCTCTCTGGAGGTGCTGCTGTCTCTTTTTTGGTGTCTGTCTTTAGCTCCATCATGGGGTGTCTGTCTTTAGCCCCATCACGAGATGTCTACTGGTGAGATGTCTAATTGGATGGAGAATAGGGGACTTGTTTGGAGGAATACTCTTGGTTTGTGACTGGGTCTGGAATCTGTGTCTCAAAGGCCTTCTGTCTGTCTTGTCTTTGTTGTGTGTGTGTTTGTATATGTTGAGGGGATCTCTGAGGGAATTGCTGATGGAAGTCCAGCAGGCCTAACTCGGAGAACTCTACGTAAGTCAGGTTACATCTGATGAGCCCTGAAGAAAGCTCAACAGGCCTGACATGGGGTGACTGTCCACTCTTCATCTTGCCCAGAGACCACCTATTCAATTACCGGTTGGAGGTCATCCCTCTCCACTTGGAGTGGATCAAAGACTATGGGAACCAACATGAGAAAGTTTGAGCCTTGCCAGGTCAATATTGGGTGCTGAACGAGGTGACTAGTGTCTGTTTCGTTATGTGTATTTTGCTTCGGCTGGGATGGAAAATATTAATTCAGTTCCCCATGCAACCCATCAGGCAGCATCTTGGAAAAGTGAGAAGCTTTTGCCTATGGTTCCATAAAACAGAAATGGATGATTTTCTTTTGTAACAGGGCTTGGCCCCCACAGCTATGGCACAGTAAGCAGGGTCATCAAAAGCTGCTCCATTTTCTGGAAGCTTCAGAGAAAGGGGACACAGAAACCTGGTATGCCAGCAAAAAGGGTAGGAATTTCTTACCAGCCAAGTTTCCGGTCTCTGTCTCTTTCTCTCTGTGTATAAATGATAAACATCAATGTCTCCTCTGCAAGGGTTTGATTAGTAGAAGAAAGGATTTCTGAGAGTAGTGTTAGGTTGTAGCAAATATGGTGTACTTTGTGCTAAGAATTTGTCTTTCTGTGTTGTTCTGTAATGGAGAGAAGGGTATCACAGAATAGAATGTGGGTTTAGGACTCCTGTAAGCCCATTTTTCAAGCCAGCCTGGCAGGCTGCTCAGTTACAAACTTTGCTGTGTGTCCCTGAAACCAATACCAGATGAAATTTATCTGTCTTGTTTTGTGTCTTTAAGAGCCCAACCTTGTGACCATGTGGAGATACTTTCTCTTGGTCTCTGGCATCCAGAGGACAGGAATTTGGGGATGCATATCATAGTTAACCCTAAAAGTTAACTTCAGCAGTTAAAAGCCTTTGCAAGCTCAAAATTGGCTGCTCTAGGCTTCTTCTAGGAAGAGCAATAGAAACTGCTCAATGCTGTACCTCAGTAGCTAAGGCCTTGTCTTTTGACAATGGCAGCCTGGGTTCAATTCTTAGGGAATGAGTCTTTTCTGGTTTATTTGTGTAACTTTTTGCCACTTATTGATTCTTTTTTCCCCCGTGGACCACTTTTGATTTCGTGTCTTGAGTTTTCCTTTGAACTACCTTGGAAAGATTCTAGATCTTGTTAAAAAAAAAAAAAAGAAACTGCTTACTATCTCTTTGAAATACCTTATGTATCCATTATAACCTTATTTAAAACATTAATTTCACATGGGAAGTTACCTGTGGTAAAGTTCAAAAGCAAGGAATATTGACTGTCCTGGCTAGAGTCTAATAATTAGATATTTAAAAAATAATTTTTTAAAGAGCTGTATGGTTAAAATCAGCTTCATTAAAAGCAGATATCCAAACTGCACACATATTTAAAATACCTTTACATGGTTTCTTTTTTCTCTTCTTGGATCTTATTTTTCTAAAGAAACAAAAAAGGTTTTTTTCTTCTCGCTCGACTGAGTTGTTTTTCTCCACTTTTGTCTTCTCAACACTCTTGATGCCCACATGAGAGAACCTAAGATAAATTCTAACAGCCTGGAACTCTTAGGGAAAAACAGGAAGTGCCACAGACCCCATTCTGGGAAAAAGCGCTGTTTTTCTCATGGAACCCTAGGAATTGAAAAAGAATAGATCCCTCTCAAAATCTAAGGCTGTCTTCTGTTTTACCTTACATTATCTCAAATTTTTTACTTTGGCAGGTATCAAAAATTACTTTGCATTATTTGAGAGCTTTTAGTCTTGGTGTGTAATAACCAGGTAGGAAATATACTTTAAGGAATGGCTAATGGCAGTTAAGAGGGATGCTTGGCTCTTGGATTTTTGGATTAGAGAAGCATGCTCTTGGCCACCTGGAAGATATGGAAACATCCCCACCTGCAACTGAGAGGAGATTCCCATGGAGGATGGGCTGGTTTCAAAATGGGCTGATTGGCTTTGGGTTGCTTTGCAATGACATGCACGGTAGAAGCATTGCACTCTTTCCCATAGCATTTTCCTCTTCTGGGGGGATCCAGGATGCAGTATACAAATGGCACCCTTAATTTTGGGGATATGTTTTTGCCTTCCAGCTATGCCTTTTTATTAGGCCCTAGAAATGCCATGCTTTGCTGATGCTGTTCCTCCAAGGGTGCCATCTTGAAGCCAGTAATTCAATTAAGAAACTGGCAAGTGAAAAATCTTACAACTACCAGATCTTCTGTCTGTCTGTCTATGTATATGTGTTGTATGCATGGTGTTTGTATAAAAGAGCTCTGACTAATTGGCTTAGAAAAATAAGCACTTAAATCAAGTATTTTGTCAGAAAAACAGAAACATTTTAATGCCTTTTTGTTCACGTGATTTCAGTGATCTTTTGGAAATAAAAACAGTTTTAAAGATTATTGGTAAAAAATGTCTTCACAATTTAGATGTTTAGTCTAAATTAGGTCAGATGTTAGGTTTGCTAAATGCTTTAAGGTCATAAACGGTTTCTTTGACTTTTGAAAATTGTTAGGCTTACCTACTTTGGAGCCATTAGAAATTCTAGCTAAGGTCTGTGGACATGTGGAATTAGCCATGCCCCCTAGCTATGCTGGAGTCAGACCTTATCTGCACTTCCATCTGAATATTAAGCAGAACAGACGTTAACTGTATGGGCTGAACTAATAGAAGACTGAAGCAACCTTTATTGACTTTTTGCTTAAAACATTGCTGATCTTTTTTGTTTTCCAGAGCCAAGAAAACCTTTCTTTTGAACCTATTTACAGCTTTTAATATTGAGTAAAGTACACATCTGTAAACAAAACTTGGAGCATATTTGATTCTCTCTTCCTGACTTCCCCAGGATTTGGTAACTATTTGTGAATATTCTTAACTTATGGCAATATAGTTATTTCCATAAGTGCAATAGGAATGTTTTCCTTTGCAACAGGACACAATTGAAGAAACTGCTTATTTTACCAAGGCTTTGACTGGAATTGTGTGCTTGCCTTTAAGGAATAAAAGCCTCTTGGGGCTAGGCGTGGTAGCTCATGCCTGCAATCCCAGCACTTTGGGAGACCAGGGTGGACAGACAGCTTGAGCTCAGGAGCTCAGGACCAACCTGGGCAACATGGTGAAACCCTGTCTCTACTAAAAATACAAAAATTAGCTGGGTGTGGTGGCACATGCCTGTAGTTCCAGCTACTTGGGAGGCTGAGGTGGGAGGATTGCTTGAGCCTGGGGGATGGAGGTTGCAGTGAGCAGAGATTGCATCATTGCACTCCAGCCTGGGTGATAGAGCAAGATCCTGTCTCAAAAACAAAACAAAACAGAGAAAACAAAGCCCCTTGGGAAAACTGGCCTCATACCTTGTCTACACAGTCCCTGTATAGGGTTCCTGATCTGTGGTAAGTAAAGAATGTCACCTTCTAACAGGCCCAAGAGCCCCAAGTTATCTTGGGACCTCAAGAGAAGAGGAATTTACCCAACTCATGGTTATTTGACGGTACAAACCCGTGGCTGGGCTTGGCTTTTAAAAAGTCTTATCTGAGATTCCTTATGAAACAGAATTCCATCAAAGCCATTTTAAAATGCCTATGTGAACAATAATTATTCTTGCTGCACTTTATGCAAGTAATCAGGCAGAGCATAATAAGACTAAAACTTACTTTGCAAGTAAAGTTGATCTACTGTGATTTATTTTTAATTAAAAAATGGGGACTGGAGACAGAAAAGTTATGCTCCAAAAATAAAGAAATATTCATTGTTAGTTGTTCTTGAGTTTTTTCTGCAGTTTGGACTAAATCCTAAATTATTTGTGGACTACAAGTCTCCAAATTAATGATTTCAAATCTTTACTTTTAAAAGTAGGAATTGCATTCCTTATGCTAGAACTCATTATTTACTTTGTAGTGTGCTGTTCCCTTAAATGCAATACTAAAATTATAGATGACAATACTAACACATTTTTCAGCCATCCTGCATGAGTATGCTCAGACAGTAGCAAAGTGGTTCCAGTCCTCTCACCTTGGGGTCAACACCTACCCCGACTATGCCCCTGGTCAGCAGGAAGAAGTTAGAGTGGTCTTTGCCCTTTCTCTATCTTCATTAGCCAACACCTTAAGATTAAGGTGTTATAAAACCCAAAGGAAGGGATTGAAACCGCCATTGCAAAATTATAACTAAGACAGTAAAAGAGATCCAACCTAACCAAGTCCATCTTGCTTCTAACCTCCAAGCTGTCCTTGTTCATTCCTGGGCAAAGTCTGAACTAACTTTGGGGGGAATTTCTTTTTTTGTTTTTTGGTTTTTTTTGAGACAGAGTCTCACTCTGTCACCCAGGCTTGAGTGCAGTGGTGTCATCTCAACTCACTGCAACCTCTGCCTCCTGGGTTCAAGTGATTCTTCTGCCTCAGCCTCCCAAGTAGCTGGGATTACAGGTGCCTGCCACCATGCCTGGCTAATTTTTGTATTTTTAGTAGAGACAGGGTTTTGCCACATTGACAAGGCTGGTCTCAAACCCCTGACCTCAGGTGATATGCCTGCCTTGGCCTCCCAAAGTGCTGGTGAGAGGTGGAGCCAGCTGGACTTCCTGGGCTGAGTGGAGACTTGGAGAACTTTTCTATCTTACAAGAAGATTGTAAAATGCACCAATCAGTGCTCTGTAAAAACTCACCAATCAGTGCTCTGTAGCTAGCAAGGGGATTGTAAAATGTCCCAAACAGTGCTCTGTAATATGCACCAATCAGCAGGATCCTGAAAGTATCCAATTGCAGGGAGGACTGAAAAAAGGGCATTCTGATAGGATAGAAATGGAACATAGGAGGGGACAAATAAAGGAATAAAAGCTGGCCACCCCCAGCCAGCAGTGACAAGCCGCTTGAGTCCCTACCATGCTGTGGAAGCTTGTTCTTTTGCTCTTCACAATAAACCTTGCTACCACTCACTCTTTGGGTCCATGCCATCTTTAAGAGCTGTAATACTCACCGTGAAGGTCTGCAGCTTCATTCTTGAGGTCAGTGAGACCACGAACCCACTGCGAACCAACTCGATACACAACTTGGGAGCTCGCCCAGTATAGCACCATGCAGTGAGTACCATTGGACCCCTTTCACTTGCTATTCTGTCCTATTTTTCCTTAGAATTCAGGGGCTAAACACCAGGCACCTGTTGGCCAGTTAGAAGCAACTAGCGTGGCCACCTGACTAAAGACACGGGTGTCAGGCTTTCTAGGAAAGGGATGTCTAACAACCCCCAACTCGTCAGAGTTAGGAGCATTGGTTTGCCTGGAAACAGCTTCTGCTTTTCCTATACTTCTGGGCTGAGCCGAGGGTCGACAGAGAGGAAAGCCATTCAGCTCTGCAGTCCCAACGAAAAGTTAATTGACCCTGCAGCCATGAACAGAGCGCTCAAAGTTACGTTGCCCAAGCGAGACTCATCCATCTATCTTATCTATCCCGACCCTTGCCTCCTGGGTCCTATGCCTGTCAGACAAACTTCCTCCCACCTCTCTTCTTCAAGACTAGTCCTGCTTCTAAAAACTACTCCTTGTCCCCGGTGCTCTTCTAGTTTCTCCAAAAAGAATGGTTTCTAGTATAAATTTCGGGACTCTGTTCCCTTTTTTAGGCACCCGGGCTCACCAATCAGAAAGACATAATTATTGCCCAAAGCCCCATCACAGAGGGGACTATCTGGAATTTTAGGATTCCTCCTCAGACTAGCAGGCCTAACAAAGGCTATTCCCAAAGCTAAGATATGGGGAGCCTCAGAAATTATAGACTCCAAAATTGGGCAGCGGATATCCTTCCTGTTCATATGATGAGAAGTGAAGACAAAAGGCATCACTCTTACAACCCTGGAGATCCCTTCCCTCCCTCAAGGTATGGCCCTCCCCTCCATTTTGTGGCATATCATCTTTATAGGATAAGGGTAAGGTCACAATACCAACAGAAGAAAATGCTTAGGACTCTAACAGATTTTTAAGAATGCATCAGTAAGGGCCACTAAATCCGTTTTTTCTCGGTCCTCTTTGTGGTCTAAGAGGAAAGGCAAGGGTGCAGGTTTTTGAGAATGCATTGGTAAGGGCAACTAAATCTGACCTTCCTCGGTCTTCTTTGTGGTCTAGGAGGAAAACTAGTGTTTCCACTGCTGCTTCTGTGAGCAAAACTATTCCAAACAGCAGCATCCAGGACCTGTTGCGGGTTCTTGGGCAGGAGAAAAAAAAACAAACCAAAACCATTGGCGTTTTTTTCTTTCAGGTGGGAAACACTCAGGGATCAACAGGCTCACACTTGAAATTAATCCTAAGCCATTGGGACCAATTTGACCTGCAAACCCTGAAAAAGAAGTGGCTTATTTTTTTCTGCACTATGGCCTGGTCCCAATATTGTCTCTCTGATGGGGAAAAATGGCCACCTGAGGGACGTATAAATTACAATAGTATCCTGCAGCTTGAACTTTTCTGTAAGAAGGAAGGCAAGTGGAGTGAAATACCTTATGTCCAAGCTTTCTTTTCACTGAAGGACAATCCACAACTATGCAAAGCTTGCAATCTACATTCCACAGGAGGACCTCTCAGCTTACCCCCATATCCTAGCCTCCTTACAGCTCCTCTTCCTTCCTATTAATGATGAGCCTCCTCTAATCTCCCCCACCCAGAAGGAAACAAGCAAAGAAATCTCCAAGGGACCACAAAAAACCCGCTATAGGTTATGTCCTCTTCAAGCTGTAGGGGGAGGGGAATTTGGCCCAACCCGGGTACAAGTCCCCTTCTCCCTCTCTGATTTAAAGCAGATCAAGTTAGATCTGGGGAAGTTTTCAGGTGATCCTGATAGGTATATAGATATCCTATGGGGTCTAGGGCAAACCTTCGACCTCACTTGGAGAGATGTCATGCTATTGTTTTGTTGCTGTTGTTGTTGTTTTGAGATGGAGTTTCACTCTGTTGCCCAGGCTGGAGTGCAGTGGCACAATCTCAGCTCACTGCAAGCTCCACTTCCCGGGTTCACACCATTCTCCTGCCTCAGCCTCCCGAGTAGCTGGGACTACAGTCATCCGCCACTACGCCTGGCTAATATTTTGTATTTTTAGTAGAGACGGGGATTCACCGTGTTAGCCAGGGTGGTCTCAATCTCCTGACCTTGTGACCTGCCCGCCTCGGCCTCCCAAAGTGCTGGGATTACAGGTGTGAGCCACCACCTCACCTGGCTCACTGGATCTATTGTTAGATCAAGCCCTGGCCTTTAATGAAAAGAATGCAGCTTTAGCTGCAGCCTGAGAGTTTGGAGATACCTGGTATCTTAGTCAAGTAAATGATAGAATGACAGCCGAAGAAAGGGACAAACTCCCTACCAGTCAGCAAGACATCCCCAGGATGGATCCCCACTGGGACCTTGACTCAGATCATGGGGACTGGAGTCACAAACATCTGTTGACCTGTGTTCTAGAAGAACTAAGGAGAATTAGGAAAAAGCCCATGAATTATTCAATGATGTCCACCATAACTCAGGGAAAGGAAGAAAATCCTTCCGCCTTCCTCGAGTGACTATGGGAGGTCTTAAGAAAACATACTCCCCTATCATCCGACTCCCTTGAGAGTCAATTGATCTTAAAAGATAAGTTTATTATGCAATCAGCTGCAGATATCAGGAGAAAGCTCCAAAAGCGAGCCCTGGGCCCTGAACAAAATCTGAGGCATTATTAAAGCTGGCAACCTCGGTGTTCTATAATAGGGACCAAAAGGAACAGGCCGAGTAGGAAAAGTGAGATCAGAGAAAGGCCACAGCCTTAGTCATGGCCCTCACATGAACAAACCTTGGTGGTTCAGACAGGACAGAAAATGGAGCAGGCCAATCACCTGGTAGGGCTTGTTATGAGTGTGGTTTGCAAGGACACTTTAAAAAAGATTGTCCAATGAGAAAAAAGCTGCCCCCTCACCCATGTCCACTATGCCAAGGCAATCACTGGAAGATGCACTGCCCCAGAGGACAAAGATTCTCTGGGCCAGAAGCCCCCAGCGAGATGACCCAACAGGACTGAGGGTGCCCGAGGCAAGCACCAGCTCATGTCATCACCCTCACTGAGCCCTGGGTAACTTTAACCACTGAAGGCCAGGAAATTGATTTCCTCCTGGACACTGGCACAGCCTTCTCAGTGTTAATCTCCTGCCCTGGACCGCCGTCCTCAAAGTCCATTACCATCCAAGGAATCCTGGGACAGCCTGTAACCAGGTATTTCTCCCACCTCCTCAGCTGTAATTGGGAGACTTTGCTATTTTCACATGACTTTCTTGTTATGCCTGAAAGTCCCACACCCTTATTAGGGAGGGACATATTAGCCAAAGCTGGAGCTATTATCTATATGAATATGGGGGACAAATTACCCATTTGTTGTCCCCTACTTGAGGAGGGAATCAACTCTGAATTCTGGGCATTGGAAGGACAATTCAGAAGGGCAAAAAATGCCCGCCCAGTTCAAATCAGGCTAAAAGACCCCGCCAATTTTCCTTATCAAAGGCAATATCCCTTAAGGCCTTAAGCTCATACAGGGTTACAGGATATTGTCAGACATTTAAAAACTCAAGGATTAGTAAGAAAATGCAACAGTCCCTGCAACACCCCAATTCTAGGAGTACAAAAACCAAATGGTCAGTGGAAACTAGTGCAAGATCTCAGACTAATCAATGAGGCAGTAATTTCTCTATATCCAGTTGTACGCAACTCCTATACCCTGCTCTCTCAAAAACCAGAGGAAGCAGAATGGTTCACTGTTCTGGACCTCAAGGATACCTTCATCTGCATTTCCCTACCCTCTGACTCCCAGTTTCTCTTTGCCTTTGAGGATTCCACAGACACATCCCTACTTATGAGGACATTCTTGCCTCAAGGGTTTAGGGATAGCCCTCATCTGTTTGGTCAGGTACTGACCCAAGATCTAGGCCACTTCTCAAGTCCAGGAACTCTGGTGCTGCTCCTTCAGCAAGTGGATGATTTACTTTTATTATTATTATTATACTTGAAGTTCTAGGGTACATGTGCACAGCATGCAGGTTTGTTACATATGTATACATGTGCCATGTTGGTTTGCCTCAACCATCAACTCATCATTTACATTAGATATTTCTCCTAATGCTATCCCTCCCCCTGCCCCCCACCCCACAACAGGCTCCCATGTGTGATGTTCCCCACCCTATGTCCAAGTGTTCTCATTGTTCAATTCCCACCTATGAGTGAGAACATGCGGTGTTTGGTTTTCTGTCCTTGTGATAGTTTGCTGAGAATGATGGTTTCCAGCTTCATCCATGTCCCTGCAAAGGACAAGGACTCATCCTTTTTTTATGGCTACATAGTATTCCATGGTGTATATGTGCCACATTTTCTTAATCCAGTCTATCAGTGATGGACATTTGGGTTGGTTCCAAGTCTTTGCTATTGTGAATTGTGCCACAATAAACATATGTGTGCATGTGTCTTCATAGTGGCATGACTTATAGTCCTTTGGGTATATACCCAGTAATGGGATCGCTGGGACAAATGGTATTTCTAGTTCTAGATTCTTGAGGAATTGCCACACTGCCTTCCACAATGGATGAACTAGTTTACACTCCCATCAACAGTGTAAAACATTCCTATTTCTTCACATCCTTTCCTGCATCTGTTGTTTCCTGACTTTTTAATGATTGCCATTCTAACTGGCATGAGATGGTATCTCATTGTGGTTTTGATTTGCATTTTTCTGATGACCAGTGATGATGAGCATTTTTCCATGTGTCTGTTGGCTACATAAATGTCTTCTTTTGAAAAGTGACTGTTAATATCCTTTGCCCAATTTTTGATGGGGTTGTTTGTTTTTTTCTTGTAAATTTGTTTAAGTTCTTTGTAGATTCTGGATATTAGTCCTTTGTCAGACAACAGGTTGCCTGTTCACTCTGATGGTAATTTCTTTTGCTGTGCAGAAGCTCTTTAGTTTCATTATATCCCATTTGTCTATTTTGGCTTTTGTTGCCATTGCTTTTGGTGTTTTAGTCATGAAGTCCTTGCCCATGCCTCTGTGATGAATGGTTTTGCCTAGGTTTTCTTCTACAGTTTGTACGGTTTTAGGTCTAACATTTAAGTCTTTAATCTATCTTGAATTAATTTTTGTATAAGGTGTAAGGAAGGGATCCAGTTTCAGCTTTCTACATATGGCTAGCCAGTTTTCCCAGCACCATTTATTAAATAGGGAATCCTTTCCCCATTGCTTTTTTTGTTGTTTGTTTGTTTGTTTTTTGTTTTGTTTTTTTGAGACGGAGTCTCACTCTGTCGCCCAGGCTAGAGTGCAGTGGCACAATCTTAGCTCACTGCCAGCTCCACCTCCTGGGTTCATGCCATTCTTCTGCCTTAGCCTCCCAAGTAGCTGGGACTACAGGCACCTGCCACCATGCCCGGTTAATTTTTTGTATTTTTAGTAGAGATGGTGTTTCACCGTGTTAGCCAGGATGGTCTCGATCTCCTGACATCATGATCCGCCCACCTTGGCATCCCAAAGTGCTGGGATTACAGGTGTGAGCCATGGTGCCTGGCCTCCCCATTGCTTGTTTCTATTAGGTTTGTGAAAGATCAGATGGTTGTAGATGTGTGGTGTTATTTCAGAGGCCTCTGTTCTGTTCCATTGGTCTATATATTTGTTTTGGTACCAGTACCATGCTGTTTTGGTTACTGTAGCCTTGTAGTATAGTTTGAAGTCAGGTAGCATGATGCCTCCAGCTTTGTTCTTTTTGCTTAGGATTGTCTTGGCAATGCAGGCTTTTTTTGGTTCCATATGAACTTTAAAGTAGTTTTTTCCAGTTCTGTGAAGAAAGTCATTGGTAGCTTGATGGGGATGGCAATGAATCTATAAACTACCATGGGCAGTATGGCCATTTTCACGATATTGATTCTTCCTATCCATGAGCATGGAGTGTTCTTCCATTTGTTTGTGTCTCCTTTTATTTCATTGAGCAGTGGTTTGTGGTTCTCCTTGAAGAGGTCCTTCACATCCCTTGTGAAGTTGGATTCCTAGGTATTTTATTCTCTTTGTAGCAATTGTGAATGGGAGTTCCCTCATGATTTGGCTCTCTGTTTGTCTGTTATTGGCATATAGGAATGCTTGTGATTTTTGCACACTGATTTTGTATCCTGAGACTTTGCTGAAGTTGCTTATCAGCTTAAGGAGATTTTGGGCTGAGACAATGGGGTTTTCTAAATATACAATATCTGCAAACAGGGACAATTTGACTTCCTCTTTTCCTAATTGAATACCCTTTATTTCTTTCTCTTGCCTGATTGCCCTGGCCAGAACTTGCAACACTATGTTGAATAGGAATGGTGAGAGAGGGCATCCTTGTCTTGTACCACTTTTCAAAGGGAATGCTTCCAGTTTTTGCCCATTATGATATTGGCTGTGGGTTTGTCATAACTAGCTCTTATTATTTTGAGATACGTTCCATCAATACTTAGTTTATTAGAGTTTTTAGCATGAAGGGCTGTTGAATTTTGTTGAAGGCCTTTTCTGCATCTATT
This sequence comes from Homo sapiens, assembly GCF_000001405.40. Lineage (NCBI taxonomy): Eukaryota > Metazoa > Chordata > Mammalia > Primates > Hominidae > Homo > Homo sapiens. The sequence goes on from NC_000015.10 coordinate 45,017,256, forward strand.
GAGATAATCATGTGGTTTTTGTCATTGGTTCTGTTTATGTGATGGATTACGTTTATTGATTTGCATATGTTGAACCAGCCTTGCATCCCAGGGATGAAGCCCACTTGATCATGGTGGATAAGCTTTTTGATGTGCTGCTGGATTCAGTTTGCCAGTATTTTATTGAGGATTTTTGCATCGATGTTCATCAGGGATATTGGTCTAACATTCTCTTTTTTAGTTGTGTCTCTGCCAGGCTTTGGTATCAGGATGATGCTGACCTCATAAAATCATTTAGGGAGGAGTCCCTCTTTTTCTATTGTTTGGAATAGTTTCAGAAGGAATAGTACCAGTTCCTCTTTCTACCTCTGGTAGAATTCGGCTGTGAATCCGTCTTGCCCTGGACTTTTTTTGGTTGATAGTCTATTAATTATTGACTCAATTTCAGAACCTGTTATTGGTTTATTCAGAGATTCAACTTCTTCCTGCTTTAGTCCTGGGAGGGTGTATGTGTCGAGGAATTTATCCATTTCTTCTAGATTTTCTAGTTTATTTCCATAGAGGTGGTTATAGTATTCTCTGATGGTAGTTTGTATTTCTGTGGGATCGGTGGTGATATCCCCTTTATCATTTTTTATTGTGTCTATTTGATTCTTCTCTCATTTCTTCTTTATTAGTCTTGCTAGCAGTCTGTCGATTTTGTTGATCTTTTCAAAAAACCAGCTCCTGAATTCACTGATTATTTTGAAGGGTTTTTTGTGTCTCTATCTCCTTCAGTTCTGCTCTGATCTTAGTTATTTCTTGCCTTCTGTTAGCTTTTGAATTTGTTTGCTCTTGCTTCTCTAGTTCTTTTAATTGTGATGTTAGGGTGTTGATTTTAGATCTTTCCTACTTTGTCTTCTGGGCATTTAGTGCTATAAATTTCCCTCTACACACTGCTTTAAATGTGTCCCAGAGATTCTGGTACTTTGTGTCTTTGTTCTCATTGGTTTCAAGGAACATCTTTATTTCTGCCTTCATTTCATTATTTACCCAGTAGTCATTCAGGAACAGTACAGTTTTCATGTAGTTTTGTGGTTTTGAGTGAGTTTCTTAATCCTGAGTTCTAATTTGATTGCGCTGTGGTCTCAGAGGCAGTGTGTTGTGATTTCTGTTCTTTTACATTTGCTGAGAAGTGCTTTACTTCCAACTATGTGGTCAATTTTGGAATAAGTGCTATGTGGTGCTTAGAAGAATGTATATTCTGTTGATTTGGGGTGGAGAGTTCTGTAGATGTCTACTAGGTCTGCCTGGTGCAGAGCTGAGTTCAAGTCCTGGATATCCTTGTTAACATTCTGTCTTGTTGATCTGTCTAATATTGACAGTTGGATGTTAAAGTCTCCCATTATCATGGTGTGGGAGTCTAAGTCTCTTTGTAAGTCTCTAAGGACTTGTTTTATGAATCTGGGTGCTCCTGTATTGGGTGCATAAATATTTAGGATAGTTAGCTCTTCTTTTTGAATTGATCCCTTTACCACTATGTAATGGCCTTCTCTGTCTCTTGATCTTTGTTGGTTCAAAGTCTGTTTTATCAGAGACTAGGATTGAAACCCCTGCTTTTTTTTTTTTTTTTTTGGCTTTCCATTTGCTTGTTAGATCTTCTTCCATCCCTTTATTTTGAGCCGATGTGAGTCTCTGCAGGTGAGATGGGTCTCCTGAATACAGCACACTGATGGGTCTTGAATCTTTACCTAATTTGCCAGTCCATGTCTTTTAACTGGGGCATTTAGCCCGTTTATATTTAAGGTTAATATAGTAGGCTTCAGAAGGTTGGTAATAACATACTTCTCCCAGCTAAAGAAGGATGTTTGAACCCATCATGCATTGTTATGTGTGAATTTGATCCTGTCATTTTGATGTTAGCTGGTTATTTTGCCCATTATTTAATGCATTTTCTTCCTAGCATTGATGGTCTTTAAAATTTGGCATGTTTTTGCAGTGGCTGGTACTGGTTGTTGCTTTCCATGTTTAGTGTTTCCTTCAGGAGCTCTTGTAAGGGAGGCCTGGTGGTGACAAAACCTCTCAGCATTTGCTTGTCTGTAAAGTATTTTATTTCTCCTTCACTTATGATGCTTAGTTTGGCTGAATATGAAATTCTGGGTTGAAAATTCTTTTCTTGAAGAATGTTGAATATTGGCCCCCACTCTCTTCTGGCTTGTAGAGTTTCTGCTGAGAGATCCAGTGCTAGTCTGAGGGGCTTCCCTTTGTGGGTAATCCGACCTTTCTCTCTGGCTGCGCTTAACATTTTTTCCTTCATTTCAACCTTGGTGAATCTGGCAATTGTGTGTCTCGGGGTTGCTCTTCTTGAGGAGTATCTTTGTGGTGTTCTCTGTATTTCCTTAATTTGAATGTTGGCCTGTCTTGCTAGGTTGTGGAAGTTCTCCTGGATAATATCCTGAAGAGTGTTTTCCAACTTGTTTCCATTCTCCCTGTCACTTTCAGGTACACCAATCAAATGTAGATTTGGTCTTTTCACATAGTCCCATATTTCTCGGAGGCTTTGTTCATTTCTTTTTACTCTTTTTTCTCTAAACTTCTCCTCTCACTTTATTTCATTAATTTGATCTTCAATCACTGATATCCTTTCTTCCATTTGAATGAATTGGCTGTTGAAGCTTGTGCATGCATCACATAGTTCTTGTGCCATGGTTTTCAGCTCCATCAGGTCATTTAAGGTCTTCTCTACACTATTTATTCCAGTTAGCCATTCGTCTAATCTTTTTTCAAGGTTTTTAGCTTCTTTGCGATGGGTTTGAACATCCTCCTTTAGCTGGGAGAAGTATGTTATTACCAACCTTCTGAAGCCTACTTCTCTCAGCTCATCAAAGTCATTCTCCGTCCACCTTTGGTCCGTTGCTGATGAGGAGCTGTGATCTTTTGGAGGAGAAGAGGCACTCTGGATTTTAGAATTTTCCGTTTTTCTGCTCTGGTTTCTCCCCATCTTCGTGGTTTTATCTACCTTTGATGCTGGTGACCTACAGATGGGGTTTTGGTGTGGATGTCCTTTTTGTTGATGTTGATGCTATTCCTATTTGCTAGTTTTCCTTCTAAGAGTCAGGTCCCTCAGCTGCAGATCTGTTGGAGTTTGCGGGAGGTCAACTCCAAACCCTGTTTACCTGAGTATTACCAGTGGAGGCTGCAGAACAGCAAATATTGCAGAAGAGCAAATGTTGCTGCCTGATCCTTCCTCTGGAAGCTTCGTCCCACAGGGGCACCCGCCTGTATGAGGTGTCAGTTGGCCCCTACTGGGAAGTGTCTCCCAGTTAGGCTACATGGGGGCCAGGGACCCACTTGAGGAGGCAGTCTGTCCATTCTCAGAGCTCAAACACTGTACTGGGAGAGCCACTGCTCTCTTCAGAGCTGTCAGACAGGGACGTTTAAGTCTGCAGAAGTTTCTGCTGTCTTTTGTTCACCTATGCCCTGCCCCCAGAGGTGAGGTCTACAGAGGCAGCAGACCTTGCAGAGCTGCGGTGGGCTCTGCCCAGTTCAACCTTCCCGGCTGCTTTGTTTACCTACTCAAGCCTCAGCAATGGCGGACGCCCCTCCCCTGCCAGGCTGCTGCCTCAGACTGCTGTGCTAGTAGTGAGCAAGGCTCTGTGGGCGTGGGACCCACTGAGCCAGGCACAGGATTTAATCTCCTGGTGTGCCATTTGCTAAGACCGTTGGAAAAGTGCAGTATTTGGGTGAGAGTGTCCTGATTTTCCAGGTACAGTCTGTCACAGCTTTCCTTGGCTAGGAAAGGGAAATCCCCCAACCGCTTGCGCTTCCCGGGTGAGGCAATGCCCCTCCCTGCTTCGGCTCACCCTCCATGGGCTGCAGCCACTGTCCAACCAGTCCCAATGAGATGAACCAGGTACCTCAGTTGGAAATGCAGAAATCACCGTCTTCTGCATCGATCACACTGGGAGCTGCAGACCGGAGCTGTTCCTATTTGGCCATCTTGGAACGGAATCTGGATGATTTACTTTTGGCTACCAATTTGGAAGCCTCATGCCAGCAGGCTACTCTAGATCTCTTGAACTTTCTAGGTAATCAAGCGGGCAAGGTGTCTAAACTGAAAGCCCAGCTCTGCCTACAACAAGTCAAATATCTAGGCCTAATCTTAGCCAGAGGAACCAGGGCCCTCAGCAAGGAACAAATACAGCCTATACTGGCACCGGTCCCTCAAGGCGTAGCACCAACCAGATTGATAAACTCACTTATCTGACCTTGTGGCCCTCGCCCAGAAACTGACTCAGTCCAAGAAGACAGCTTAGATCCCCTATGATTTCATCTCTGACCCAAACAATCAGCACTCCTGACTCACTGGCCTTTCCCCACCCATCAAACTATCCTTAAAAACTCTGAGTCCCCGTATGCTCGAATGCTTGGGGAGCCGGATTTGAGCAATAATGAAATTCCAGTCTCCTGCATAGCTGGTTCTGCATGAACTCTTTCCCTATTGCAGTTCCCCTGTCTTGATAAATTAGTTTTGTCTAGGCAGCAGGCAAGGTGAATCCATTGGGCGGTTACATATTGGGGAGGGGGGACTGTAAGGGAATGAAATCCTGAGCATTATCCTCAAAGGAGGGAGGGGCCTTATAGACTTAGGCCTATCTAGAAGCGCCTCTCTCCTCAGAGAGTAAAACCTCACTGTTTCTCAGAGGGCTGAGAGGCTTGAAGGAAGAGTTTGGGCAGAAACTCTGCTTTGAATAGAAGCAGCAGATCCAGTTGAGAGAAAGAGGTTCACAAATTCCATTTCATGGCTTTTTTTTTTTTAAAGACAGATTTTCACTCTTGTTGCCCAGGCTGGTGTTGAATGGCATGATCTCAGCTCACTGCAACCTCTGCTTCCCAGGTTCAAGCTATTCTCCTGTCTCAGCCTCCCGAGTAGCTGAGATTAAGGCGCATGCCACCATGCCCGGCTAATTTTTGTATTTTTAGTAGAGACGGGGTTTTCACCATATTGGTCAGGCTGGTCTCGAACTCCTGACCTCAGGTGATCCACCTGCCTCGGCTTCCCAAAGTGCTGGGATTACAGGCAAGAGCCACTGCGCCCGGCCTCATGTCTTTTTTATACTTAAGCACCAGGCCCATGTAATGATGCACGAATTCATTTACTCCTACTCGTGCCAGGCCCTTTCCTGGGGGCTGGAGACAAAGGGCCGACGTGGACGCTGCGTCATGGTAGCACCTGTCTCGCAAAGTGCACACCGTGCTCCACCCACAGCCTCAGCATTCTCGTTGCTAGGAATATGGACCCTCAGGCAGCACCTCAGACCTAGACCTACTGTATCAGAATCTCTGTGCTGGTCCTGAGAATGTGCATTCTCAACAGCGCCTCACATTCCCCACCCCAATTCTTCTGCAGCTAACGTTTGAGAGCGCTGGTCTGGTGCCTACTGCCTCTGCAGGCGGTTTTCAAGGCAGCCGTGTGTGCTTGCATGTGAGGCGGCAAAAACAGCGCGCTGCAGGGCCGGCGCGGTGGCTCACGCCTGTAATCCCAGCACTTTGGGAGGCGGAGGCGGGTGGATCACGAGGTCAGGATATCGAGACCATCCTGGCTAACACGGTGAAACCCCGTCTCTACTAAACAAAAATACGTGGTGGTGGGCGCCTGTAGTCCCAGCTATTCGGGAGGCTGAGGCAGGAGAATGGCTTGAACCCGGGAGGCAGAGCTTGCAGTGAGCCGGGATCGCACCACTGTACTCCAGCCTCGGCGACAAACAAACAAACAAACAAAAAAAACAGCGCGCTGCAGATGGAGCCAGCACCCGGGCTTCTCGCTCCCAGCCCCCTCCCGAAGCCCCGCCCCGCCTCCGGGTCTGGAGGAGGCTGGGAAGCCCCGCCCCTCCACGCTAGCGCCGCCCAGGCTGGCACAAAGGAGGAAGCCTAGTCCCGCCCCTGCGTGCGGCGCTTCTCCCAGGCCCCACCTTCCATCCAGTGCCCTGGACCCTCGGCTGGGTAGCGCCACCAGAGCGACCAAACGTCCCGCGCCTTCCAGGCCGCACTCCAGAGCCAAAAGAGCTCCATGGCGGCGGCGGCCAAGCCCAACAACCTTTCCCTGGTGGTGCACGGACCGGGGGACTTGCGCCTGGTAAGCTGGGAAGGAGGGTGGGAAGCATACCGATCCTGCCTCACTCTCCTCTGAGCCCAGCCATAGTCCTGGCTTCCCACTTCCAGCCTGGCGCCGGCCCCGCACCTTAAGCGCCCTGGCTGCCCAGATCCCAGCTGGTTCCCCTCGGGGTGTGGGGGCAGCAGGTAGTGGCTGTTGCGAAGGGCAGGGATCTAGTCGTGTGCCTCCCGGAACCTAGCCCCGTGGCTGGCACGTGGCCGGTGCCCAGGACGGTTGCAAACTGTTTGAATGAAGCTTTCTCTCTCCTTTGCCAGCTGCAGATTCATAGTCCAGCCTCTTGTCATTGACCTTTCCAAAGGAAATGCTAAGGCTGTCTGAATTATCGGGGCAGACCGTGCAGAGCAGAGAAAGGGGGGCCAGAGGACACTTAGAAACAGCAGAACTTGTATTTAACTCCCTTGCTTGGGACTGATAAACCTCCCTTGCAGGATTATGATGATCACAAGAGTACTCAGCACTTAGTACGTGCTCAGGAAGTGCCAGCTCCTTCTCCTTTCCTTCCAGTCTAGGCCTCCATCTCCAGAACCCCTGCTGTTCCCCTTGCCTGTGCCAGACTTGTGGATCTTGATAGCTCCCTTGTCTGTAAGGATCCTTCTCTCCCTAAGACCCTGTCTGGTTCACTTTCCAGCAGTTTTTCTTTCCAATCCCGTGCCTCTGTCCCTTTAGGAGCATTCTGTATGTGTGTCCTCTGCCTTAGACCCTGCCTTTTGCTCCCTGGCTTGTGGCACCAAAGTTTAGGAAGTGGCTGAGTCAGCAGCCTAGTCATGCCAAGCCTCCCTTGACAAAGTCCCTCTCAGATGGGCCTGGGATGGCAGTGGGTATGTGGGATGAGTGCCAGCCATCTCTGCTGCTCCCCTGTACCTCTTTTCCCTCAAAGTACATGCGTCAGTATGTAAACTGCAGTAATTCAGAAGCTTATCCAGGTTAGCAGTTCTTGACTATTTAAGAATCTGTGGTGTCCCCTCCACAGAATGCAAATAGACTGAGTTTGGCAACAATTTCAGACTGCTCAAGGACTCCCTTTAAGCCGCTCTAAGCCCCTCTATAGAACCCTTGTCCCAGCTGACTCTCCATCTCCTCAGTTGAAGAAAGTACCATACCCAAGGTGATAGGTTTTGTTAGTTAACAGAGCCACGACAAGGACTCAGATGTTCAGACTCCCCATTCTAGTGCTCATTCCACTCTTTGGAGCCTCCACCCAAGGTCCTGAATTAAAGTGAGGCTGTTAGTGTTTACTGTTGCAAATGCCAGATGGTATTATGAGTAAGGGAAAGTGGTCCAGCTCTACCCAGCTTGCAGAGTGATTTCCAACTCAGTACTTCATTCCACAAACATTCACTCATGAAAGGGTGCCTGCCATGTGCCAGGCACTGGGCTGAGGGCCCAGAAAGGAGGACACAGCCCCTGCTCCCAAGTTTACTGAGGGAGGCAGACAGATAAAGTCAACAATTATGACAGAGCCCGAGGGCTTTGATGGAGGCCTCAGAGAGAAAAGACGCCACAGGGAGGGGCCCTTGGCCCTCTATCTGCTCAGAGCCTGCTTAAAAGTCATGCACCTAAGGTGCAGAAACACAGTTAAGTTCTCCTTCATCTTACCTCAAACTCATGGTCTTCCACTGCTCAGGCAGACTACCTCTACTATGGTTCCGTAGACAAAGCTTTGAAGATTAGAGCAGCAGCGAACTAACCTTGATCTCATCAGCTTTGCATTAGAACCCACTCTCTGACTGGATTAGGGGCTAGGTTGGGGTGGCTGTAACCTGAAGTATCTAGAAAATATGATGGGCTAGAGAATTTCACCTTTGGTTGTGTGCTGGAACACTAGCTGGGTAAAAGAGTTCAGAGGAGGATTTAGGAAAACACCTAGGCTCAGTTTGAGAATGGGAAGTGGTAGCGTCATTTACTAGTCAGAGTAGATTAAAATGATGAGATCAGGTTTGAAAAGTTGAGTTTAAGATGTCTCTGGAGGCCAGGTGTGGTGGCTGATGCCTGTAATCCCAGCACTTTGAAAGGCCAAGGTAGGCAGATCGCTTGAGGTCTGGAGTTTGAGACCAACCTGGCCAACACGGTGAAACTGTCTCTACTATAAATACAAAAATTAGCTGGGTGTGGTGCCACATGCCTGTAATCCCAGCTACTTGGGAAGCTGAGAATCGCTTGAGTCTGGGAGTCAGAGATTGCAATGAACTGAGATCGTACCACTGCACTCCAGCCTGAATGACAGCAAAACTATGTCAAAAAAAAAAAAAAAAAAAAGATGTCTCTGGGACAGGACACAAGGTGCCTTTGAGAAATTTCCTTGGGTGCAGGGGTCTGGAGTGCAGGGATACTATCAGGGGTGGAAATGTAAACTCAGGAGTCCTTTGCTCCTCTACTGAGCAGTACTGCACTGCCCCGCCACCCAGGAGACATTTGGAAATGTGTCAGGGAGGCTTGGTTGTCACGATGACTGAGGAGCACTACTGCGGACTTTATTCAGTTCATAGTGCTATCTTGCACAACAAAGAGTTGTCCTGTCCCAAATAGTGCCCTATGGGGAATTATGGATGGCTGAGCTTGCCTGGGCTGAGTGAACCATGTAGAGTGAGAAGGAAAGAAGAGGAGGACATTACCCTGGAGAGAGCCCCAACACTGGAGGGGAAAGGGCAGAAAGAGTTGTCAGCAGAGGAGACCCACTGTGCTGCCTCAGGTGCACCTGCAGCTCAACACAGACCTTCTGGGCCCTCGCCACTCCTTCTCAGGCATGGTCTTCCACCAGCACCTCCACAGTGCCCAACCCAGACCCCGAGTGTGGTATCACTGCTCCTCCATCTTTTCCTTAAGACAAATAGGCTCAGTGGCTTGGGTTTGGGGTCAGTAGTAAACCAGAGATAGCAACTAGGAGGAACAATCCTGGGGAAGCTTTGAGGGGAACCACCCATTTTCCTCTCTGCAAGAGGACCAAAATGAAACCCAGAATTTCCTGGGCTTAATAAATTGTCAGCAAATGCATTTTGGGGGGAAAAAAGCCTTGGTTGGATATGAACTACAAAAAAGATAAGAGGAAGTGGGGAGAATTTGACTGTTTTCTTCTTTTGATGTAAGACCACCAGCCACAGATTAAAAACCCTTCCATTTCTGGCTGGCTGGGGAACTGCAGCCCAGCAAACTGTGGCCGATTTAGGTATACAGGGGGGCAGGGTCTACTGATAAAATGGTTCAGTGCCTCAGGAACTCCTATGAAGGGAGTTGTTTGGGGAAACTCTCATTCCTAAGATCTTTTCAAAAAATGTATAAATTTTCAAGGGAAAAGTGTATCATTTAACTTACATCATTATTTGCTTTCCAAAAAGTGTATAAATCATTCCTAAAATCTGAAGCAGGTTTCCAAAGCATTCTGAAGCAGGAAGCAATGTCTCAACCTTTCCCACTGCTGCCATCCTACTTGAGATAAGGCCAGGAACCAGCCAGCGTCTGGGGCAGTGGTTCTGTGGGGGAATGCGACCTTAGTCCACTTTACTTGTCCTTTAACTGGCAGGAAGGAAACCTACCACACAGCCTCCCTACTGCCTAAGGAGACTGCACCATTCTCTTCTTTCTTGATGTATGGCTGCACGGAACAAAAAATTAAACTCCTCACCTACTAATTAGTTAATGATCACCTTGACCACAGCAAGGAGGAGCATTTATAAATTGGGTGGTAAGTCAGACACACACTAAGACCAGTGGTTTTCTTTTATAGTTAGGAGAACAAAACGAAACAACAATCTGAGACTTAAGGATTTTCGCTTTTCCCTTCATTTTGAATAGAGAAAGTTTGAGAGTTGGAGGGAGGAAAAGGGACTGATGACCAAGTTGATGTATAAAGAAGCAAACAGTGTCAGCTTGCTGGGGTTCTCTCTAAATGGAAATAGTACGAAGTTCCCAAACCAGGCTGGGGAGCCAGAGTGGGGTTTAGTCCCCCTTCTACTGCTGCTAGTTGTATGACTCAACAAATTATTTTCCACTTCAACTTCCCCGTGAAATGGGGATAATGGTAGTATTCATCTTTGGTTGTATGAGGATTCAGTGGAACCAATTGTGCGTGTGAAAGGCCTAGCACAGCATTTAGCACACTGTTAATGGTATGTGCTAACTGTGGAGATAAGCAGGAAGCCAGAGCCCCTGAGGACGGACACTTAAACCATATCAGCTTAAAAAGAGGTGGATGGAGACCAGGGCCTTCAAACACATGAACAGTTTTCCTAACCAAATTATTATAATGTGGGCCCAGGCAATAATCTTGCTTTCCACTGTATTTACCAGTTTAATTACTGTATGCCCCTTTGATCAGTCTATTGAGACCCAGAAGCTTTTAATTAGGAAATGAATTATGGATTCATGAAGTTAGAATATAAAATAGTCAAATTAGTTTTTACCCCATAGAAGCTATGTTTGGTGGTGGGGGTGGTGGGAAGCTTGTTTTTACAATGTAGGGTTCACTCGAATGGTAAGGAAATGCGGGGAATTAATATATTGACTGCCTACTGCATTCCAGGCATGTGCTGGGAACTTTAATACAGGGCTTTACAAACTGTCCACAATGAAGGGCCAATTTTACTTTTTCCAGTCGGCCATGGACTGATATGTTTGCATCAATATATTTGAATGCTGTGTCACGTCAAAATGCTATAAACAGCCAGGCACGGTGGCTCATGCCTGTAACCCCAGCACTTTGGGAGGCCAAGGCGGGCAGATCACTTGAGGCCAGGAGTTTGAGACCAGCCTGGCCAACATGGCAAAAATCCTGTCTCTACTAAAAATACAAAAATTAACTGGGTGTGGTGGTGCACAACCTGTAATCCCAGCTACTCAGGAGGCTGAGGCACGAGAATCACTTGAATGGGGAGGCAGAGGTTGCAGTGAGCCAAGATCATGCCACTGCACTGCAGCGTGGGTGACAGAACAAGACTCTATCTCAAAACAAAAACAAACAAAAAAATTATATAAACATTTCTAAATGCTCCTCTCAATTTCTGTACATTGCATTACAAATCAGTTCATCAATCACCCTCTGAGTGCACTTTATCTCCCTTCTTCCTGAAAGCTGGCTCTTCCTTCAGGCAGGAGCATCTGAACAGGGAGAAGTATAGGAACAAAACAGGCTCCATTTCCAGGAAACAACACCATGGAGGGGATGTAGTCAGATTTTTGTTATGATCAGCTATATGAGGAGACAATAAATTAAAGGGAAAAATAATAATTTCAGAATGATGGGTTAATGTTGTTTAATTATAAAGGGCAGAAAAATTAATATATTGGCATCAAGTTTAAACATTACTCGGAGGTCCATGAAGATATTTCTTGAGTTTTTGTCCATTGAGGCAACGTATTATACCTTAGGTCAAAAGAATTGCTTTGACCTAAGCATTTTTAAATACTCTTATTTATTTTTAAAAATAAGATAAATCTATATCTGTAATACAGCACATTCAAAATGTCTATACTTTACTGTTAAGATTTTGGGGTGAGAAGCGGATGGTATAATGAGAGGGCATGAACATGGGCAGCTCAGATGGTCCTGTGCATCATGTCTGTTTCTCTGAGCCAGCTGCTTCTATGTGATCAGATTAAAGGGGCTGATAGTCATGAAGCAGGAGCTGGATTAAACCAGATTACCCTGATAGTGATGAGATGCAGGCTACTTAACCCTTACAAGTCAGAGACACTTGAGAGTGAAAAGAGAATGTGAAAATCCTCCAGAAAAAGAGAAATTGGGTAGCAGTAAGTAGCCCAAAGAACCATCTTTCTTGCTTTTATCTTAATTATGTTTTAACAACAAAACAAAACCCAAACTGGACATACCATTTCAAATTCAAAACAGGAAATTAAATCCAGTAAACACTCCCACCTCCACCAACAGCTCTGGAAAGGCAATGCCTTTGTCTGTGAAAGACCATGAGGCACAAAGGTAGCATTTTCCTCTCAAAGTGATGCAAGCTTTTTCTTGGCCCCTTCGCCAGACCTGTGGAGTACTGGGCCTACCGTGCTCAACCCCTTGTGGGAGGGAGCACATGAATGAGTGAGTGCGGGATCCAGCCAGCTGCTCCAGGCACTGACACAGGAGCAAGCTCCTTGAGGGGAATGCAGCAGCACCCAGGTAAGGGTGTCCATGACCCTGAAGCCCCAGAGGGGCTGTTACAGTGCTCCTTTATTTCCACCGTCTGCAGATGGTGGCATGTTAGCAGCTCAGTTGGCCCCTTGCCTCGCTGCACGGGGCATGCCACTGGTGAGGGGCAAAGGGCCAGTTTGACAGCCTTTTCTGGGTACCTGTACTTGGTGGGCCCTGAGCTCTTGTCCAGTGTCCAAGAAGAATGAGGTCACGCAGATGATTGAAGGATGGTGAAGGTGGAGAATTTTACTGAGCAATGAAAATGGCTTTCAGCAGAGAAGGGAACTGGAGAGGGGATGGGAAGGGCAGGTCATCTTCCCAGAAGTCAGGTTGTCTCCTCCCCGAAGTCAGGTCATTTCCCCCTCTACCAACTGAGTCTGGGATCTTTATAGGCACAGGATAGGAAGTGCGTATTGATGGGTTTGTGAGTATGCAAAAAAGGTTAACGTGAAGACACCATGCAAAGGTGGGCAAAACAGTGTAGAAAACTACTTAGGAAAGGTTAGGTATATGTAAAATAGGTGAAGGGTGGGGATCAATCAGAGGAAAGCGTCCAAACAGGAAGACAAGTTCTTGATCCAGTCCCAGGATTTAACTTGTAGCTTGGCTTTCCGGCTTTAAACTGTCTTCTACTTGGAGGTGGAATTTCACTGGGTACCCACCCCTATCTGCCTAGGCATTTGGCCACCTCCTTTTGCTATCAAAAGCAGGAGAAGAAGCAAGCAATATCACAAATAGGATTTTACCATTCCATAAAAGCAGCCCTATTCTAAGGGGAGACCCTAGAATTATGGATGTAGGGGAAATTTCTCTTTAAAACTGCACAACAGAAATTAAGAAGGAGGAGAAATATGTACACGTAGATACAATATTAGCATCTAACTTAGAAGTCTTTTAGTGTGGCTGTTGAAGCTGGCAGTTTTCCCCAAATCAGGTTTGCACTAAGAACATTAATTACCAGGGAAAATACATTCAAATTTTGCAAAGTAATATTCAACTCAACAATTTTAAAAAACACAGAAATATTCAATTACATAGACCCGAACACAGTGAGCACTTATCAAGATCACGAACAGACTAGAGCATCTGACAAAGCTCAGAGACTTAGAATTTTTGCTCCATATATAGAACCATTTAATAAGATCATGTATGGTTATGTTCATACACTTTGAATTAGGAGGAAATTTTAATATATTTATCCCTGATGAAAATTAAATAGTCCTTAACTATCCTGTGTGGATTCAATGCTAGGTGCTGGAGAAGTGCAAAGGAGAGAAAGGAGTCACCTCTCCAGCCTGGTGAGGACAGGGGAGGCTTCTTGCAGGAGGTGATGCCTGAGCACCAGTCCCAGTAACCAACTGCCTGTTGAACAGCTGTCATGTCAGGTTCCAGCCTACTTGTGCTGACTCCGACCAGGAGCCCAGAGGTTTCACAATAACTCAATGGCCAATTAAATGTGAGGCTTTCACATACCAACGATCATGCAAATATATTCAACACACACAGGCAGTGATAGGGGAGGTCGGGGCAGCCATGGTGGTTCACACCTGTAATCTCAGCACTTTGGGAAGCTGAGGTGGGAGGATCACTTGAGGCCAGGAGTTTGAGACCAGCCTGGGAAAGACCTTGTCTCTACAAAAAATGTAAAAAGTAGCCGGGTGTGATAGCACACTCCTGTAGTCACAGCTACTCAGCAGGCTGAAGTAGGAGGATCGTTTGAGCCCAGGAGTTCGAGATTGTGGTGAGCTATTAATGTGCCAGCCTGGGCTACAGAATGAGAACCCATCTCTTAAAACAACAACAACGACAAAAAAAAAAAAACAACAGGGAATGAACCGTGGCAAGTAGCTCCAGAGACCAGCACGCTGACTGATGAACAGATTTGGATTTCCCTTGAAACAACAAAGTGGGAGGAGTGTTGTTGCTGTTCTTCTCCCAGCAGAACTTATGGCAGCCTCTGTTCGTGAGGAGGCCTCAGAGTTCTCACGGGCAGAGCTTCTACAGGCTCTCGGCCATGGTCACTTTCTTTGCTGTTTTTATACCCTGCATAGGAATGTCCATTGTCATAACTTAGCCATCTTTTGGCTTCACTTTCTTATTTTATTTTATAAAATTAATTTTGGTGACAGGGTTTCACCATGTTGCCCAGGCTGGTCTGGAACTTCTGAGTTTAAGCAATCCACCTGCCTCGGCCTCCCAAAGTGCTGGGATCACCGGTGTGAGCCATCCCGCCTGGCCTTGGCTTCCCTTTCTTATCAAGTTTTGGGGTTGCCTGGCCACAGCAGGTGTTGTCATCTCAGTCCTACATACATATGCTTATCACTTTGAGCAGTCAGCAGTTTCACTGTGAGCTGAGTCACTTATCATTGTGACTCCATTTTGTTGGTGGAAACAACCCAGATGTTATTCAAGTAATGAACATTTTTTAAATGTGGCATATAGATATATAGTGGAATATTATTCAGCCCTGAAAAAAGTTTTGTCACATGCTGTGTTAAAAATAAACCTTGAGAATATTATGTTAATAAAAACAAGCCAGTGACAAAGTGACAGATAGTGTATGATTCCACTTATATGAAATAAGTAGCCAAACTCACAAAAAGTAGAATGGTGTTTGTTAAGGGCTGCTGAGGGGGTAAAATGGGCAGTTGTTACTTAACAGGTATTCAGTTTCAGGTTTACAAGATGTGAAATTCTAGAGATCTGTTGTATAACAATGTGAATATAGACAACAATATTGAATTATACACTTAAAAAGATTTAAGATGGTAAATTTTATGTTATGTATTTTACCACAATATATTTTTATAAAACAATAACTAGAAGGAAAAAAAGACTCCATTTTGAGACATTTAGAATCACAAAACATTATTATATATCAATAGCCCTACCTGGATGTCCCAAGACACCTCAGTCCCAGCATGTCCAAACCTAAGTGTCTCGTAATTCTTGTAGGAATTCAGAAGTCATCCCAGATGCCTCAATTCCCACCTCCTGCGGGATCTGAAAGAAGGAGAGGGATTAGGCAATGGGAAATGGGTGTAGTTGGAAGTGAGATGGGGGTGTGGTGGCCACCAGGTGAGGGGTTTAGGAGTCTCCAGGGTCACTGGTGACTTGATACAGATTTGCATTTCAGCAAGATTGTTATCAGCAGAACAAAGTTGAATGGAGCCAGGAGAGCTTGGGCTGGAGACCAGCTCACTGGACCTTGGGAGGAAATTCTACCTCCTACTTTGACCTCAAGTTTGCCAGGACCAACACAGCTAGAACAAAGCCTCTCATGACAAAATAGCCAATTGGGAAACCTTTGAATTTTCCTCCCACCCTTAAAACACGCTTCAGGCACTCAAGGGAAAGGGAAAATGGAAGAGGAAAGGAAGAAAAACAGGGTCTCTTGCGCCCTGCAGGTGTGCAGGGCAGCCCTCCACAGGCCCACAGGAGGCTTGGCAGCAGGGAGCAGGTGACTGCTGTGCATCTGGGATGAGACCAGCACTTTCCCCACACACTGCTAGCTGTCCCCCACCCGAAGACAGTGGGAGCACATTGCACTCTTTCCACAACTGGCAGAGTCAAGCCTAAAAACTGCTAGAATCCCTTCACTTTCTTCCAAATGCCAGCCTTGTAGAGTGGTCAGATTTTCTTAATGTTGATATGAAAACCATGAGAATACAGTTGTCCTCGGTATCCTGGAGTAGGGGAAGGATTGGCTCCAGGAACCCTTTGTGGATGCCAGAATCCAAGGATTCTCAAGTCCCTTGTATGTAATAAAATGGTCTAGTATTTGCATATAACCTACATGCATCCTCCCATCTACTTTAAATCCCCCTAGATTACCTCTAATACCTAACACAATGTAAATGCTCTGTAAATAATTGTTATACAATATTATTCATTTGCATTATGTTTTATTGTTGTATTGCTGTTTTTTATTTTTTGAATATTTTTGACCTCAGGTTTGGTTGAATCCAGGATGCAGAACACAACTTTTCCACAAAATAATTTAAAATACTTGTCAAAAGATAAAATGACTGCAATTTAATTTAAAAGATTTTCTTTGGCTTTATTTGCAATTCTAGAATTGGGCAACACTTCATTCCATAAAATAGCCTGTGTTCCAGTGAGGTAAACAGAGGAGGTTGGTTTTACAAACAGAAAAGAGCTAAAGAAAGCAGAAACACAAGAAAAAGCAGATTGGTCATTTCGGTTATTTTCCTTGTAAGGTGAGAACAGGGAAATAGAACAACAGAAAAATAACTGATTGGTTAAGATCAGGTTTCTTCAGGTCATTATTTTTTATTTTTTGGTAAGGATTAAAGTAGAGGGAACTTTATTATCATGCTGACTGAAACTGGCCTGTTTGGGATATTTGGCTATTATCTCTCCTGATTTCTCGGAAGGTCATATAAGAACTTAGTTTTGCTTTGATGATGTGGAACTTTAGTATGAGTGGCTCCATTTTGGGTTTTTAATTCTGTTCTCTTGGGGCGCTGTGCAGGAGCAAAACAGTGGCCTCCTGTAATTTCTATTTAACATGCTTTACTCTTATCAAAAGGACAAGATTGTCCAGGGTTGGTTCAACCATAGTGTGAACTAATTATGGAAAAAGAACTTTGATTTTACTTCTTTTGTAATAAGAGTGAATGTATTTACTGAGTCGGCATTCCCTTTCATGATTATCATTATATGAAGGAGGAAATTGGGGCACACAGGGGTTACATAACTACCCTGAGGTCACGCAGCTGGTGGGGGAAGCCTGGGTTGCATGTTGACAGGCAGTTCCAGAATCTGAGTTCACTGTGCCACTCAGGTTGGCTGGAGGAGGGAAAAGGCATCTTCCTTCCATTTCTGCTTGTGTTGAGGCTGTTGCTACAACCCAAGCAAGACGTGTTGAGGGAATCAACTCAGTTATGCAGGTGGAAGTAGAGGAAAAGGGACCAATGACGACATAGCTAGGAAATATATATTTAGGCTAATGTAAAAAAATGTATTTAGGAAAAGCAAGATAACATTTAGTATGTGAGAGGTACCTGAGATGATTCCATGTCCCCGCAGAGAGTACTTCCTGAAGTATTTCCATGAGTTACTTCAGGAGTGGGCTGGTAGGGCAGCGGGAGCAGCTGAAGGGGATAGAAGGTGAGAGGTGACAGCGTGCTGGCAGTCCTCACAGCCCTCTTCGCTCTCCGCGCCTCCTCTGCCTGGGCTCCCGCTTTGGCGGCACTTGAGAAGCCCTTCAGCCCACCACTGCACCGTGGGAGCCCCTTTCTGGGTTGGCCAAGGCCGGAGCCGGCTCCCTCAGCTTGCAGGGAGGTGTGGAGAGAGAGGCGCGAGCGGAAACCGGGGCTTCGCGCCGCGCTTGCGGGCCAGCTGGAGTTCCGGGTAGGCGTGGGCTTGGCGGGCCCCGCACTCAGAGCAGCCGGCCGGCCCTGCGGTTCCCGGGCAATGAGGGGCTTAGCACCCGGGCCAGCGGCTGCGGAGGGTGTGCTGGGTCCCCCAGCAGTGCCGGCCCGCCGGCGCTGCGCTCGATTTCTCGCCGGGCCTTAGCTGCCTTCCCGCGGGGCAGGGCTCGGGACCTGCAGCCCGCCATGCCTGACCCTTCCCCCGACTCCGTGGGCTCCTGTGCAGCCTGAGCCTCCCCGACGAGTGCCGCCCCCTGCTGCACGGCGCCCAATCCCATCGACCACCCAAGGGCTGAGGAGTGTGGGCGCACGGTGCGGGACTGGCAAGCAGCTCCACCTGCAGCCCCAGTGCGAGATCCACTGGGTGAAGCCAGCTGGGCTCCTGAGTCTAGTGGGAACTTGGAGGACCTTTATGTCTAGCTCAGAGCTTGTAAATATACCAATCGGCACTCGGTATTTAGCTCAAGGTTTGTAAACACACCAATCAGCACCCTGTGTCGAGCTCAGGGTTTATGAATGCACCAATCCACACTCTGTATCTAGCTAATCTGGGGGGGAGGTGGAAAACCTTTGTGTCTAGCTCAGGGATTGTAAATGCACCAATCAGCACCCTGTCAAAACAGACCACTGGGCTCTAGCAATCAGCAGGATGTGAGTGGGGCCAGATAAGAGAATAAAAGCTGGCTGCCTGAGCCAGCAGTGGCAACTCGCTGGGGTCCCCTTCCACACTGTGGAAGCTTTGTTCTTTCGCTCTTTGCAATACATTTTGCTACTGCTCACTCTTTGGGTACACACTGCCTTTATGAGCTGTAACACTCACCGTGAAGGTCTGCAGCTTCACTGCTGAAGCCAGCGAGACCACGAGCCCACCGGGAGGAACGAACAACTCCAGACGCGCCGCCTTAAGAGCTGTAACACTCACCGCGAAGGTCTGCAGCTTCACTCCTGAGCCAGCGAGACCACGAACCCACCAGAAGGAAGAAACTCCGAACACATCTGAACATCAGAAGGAACAAACTCCGGACACGTCGCCTTTAAGAACTGTAACACTCACGGCGAAGGTCTACAGCTTCACTCCTGAAGCCAGGGAGACCACGAACCCACCGGGAGGAACAAACAACTGCAGAAACGCTGGCTTAAGAGCTGTAACACTCACCGCGAAGGTCCGCAGCTTCACTGCTGAGCCAGCGAGACCACGAACCCACCAGAAGGAAGAAACTCCGAACACATCCGAACATCAGAATGAACAAACTCCGGACACGCCCCCTTTAGGAACTGTAACACTCAATGCGAGGGTCCGCAGCTTCATTGTTGAAGTCAGTGAGACCAAGAACCCACCAATTCCGGACACAAAGAGAGGAGTATATATGTGATTAAGATATGTATTTCTGACTTGAAGTGAAATATTCTGGAAAACTCACACAACTATGGTAAAGAAGAATTACTCAATTCCTTTTAGTCCTCTTGTAGTCACTCATTAAAAGATAAGAAATTCGGCCAGGCACAGTGGCTCACGCCTGTAATCCCAGCACTTTGGGAGGCAGAGGCAGGCAGATCAATTGAGGCCAGGAGTTCGAGATCAGCCTGGCCAACATGGTGAAACTCCGTCTCTACCAAAAATAAAAAAAAATTAGCCACGCAGCGTGGCATGCACCTGTAATCCCAGCTACTTGGGAGGCTGAGGTGGGAGGATGGGAGGATCACTTGAGTTCAGGAGGTTGAGGCTGCAGTGAGCCGAGATCGTGCCACTGCACTGTAGCCTGAGTGCAGTGACATCTGACATCAGGGACTGCTGATGAGTTACAAAAAATAAATAAATGAAAGAAATTCGTTTAGGAAACCTTTAATATGATTGAGATGACAAAACCTTTGGGAATGAGAAAAAAAAGAGCTGTGGAGATAAAAGTGAAAGTTCAGGATCTCAGAGAAACTAAGAAACTTTGGTAGATGAGAAATAGGATAAATGGAAGAGTATCTGAGACAGAAAAAGATTAAGCAAACAGAGGATTGTGGCCAACATCATGGCAAGGAAACATGAAAAGCAAGGTTTTGAGCAACCATGCTGTAATAACTTTCTAAAACATTGTAGTCTCCACAGTGTGCTTAGGGCAATATTTACAAACCTACAGGCTGATGTTAAAATGGTTTTGTGCTCAGGTAGCATGTCTCCTACAGAGACAGGAGGCAGGAGACAAGCCTGAGTTGCAAGGGTAATTAGAATCAGCCAGAAAAAGAATGGAAAAAGAAAGTTGGTGTGCAGGGAGAGGAATTTATTTGAACTTCTCCATCAAGCGTGTTCTGCTACAGGCACAGCACAGGCTGTGGGCACAGCACCCTCTCGTGTCTGGGAGAGTCACTGCAGCTTTGCTGTGTGGTACGAGCACAGCTGTTCAGCTCTGTTAACTTGAATAAATATTTACAGTAGTGTTCTCTCTAGTGACCCAGGGCCTATTTGGTGTGCCTGACTGTTGTTCTAAGCTTTAGTCTTACCACCTCTCCACCTCGAAATGGGGCGTTCAGGTCTGGCCAGGCTGGAGGCAAGGCTATGAATTGTATGCTGTGGAACTGTCTTTCAGTGTCTGTGAATTTGCCTACTAGTGCCTTTAGCAGGGAGGGTGGGGTGCTCTCCCATGTTTGAAATAAAGACCTTAGTCTTTAGTTTCAATTTAACCTGCAGTTTAACATTTCACGCAGTATAATGCAGCCATAAAAAAGAATGAGATCATGTCTTTTTCAGGGACATGGATGAAGCTGGAAGCCATCCTTCTCAGCAAACTAACACAGGAACAGAAAACCAAATACCACATGTTCTCACTCATAAGTGGGAGTTGAACAATGAGAATACATGGACACAGGGAGGGGACCATCACACACCAGGGCCTGTCAGGGGGTGGGGGACAAGGGGAGGGAGGGCATTAGGACAAATACCTAATGCATGTGGGGCTTCAAACCTAGGTGACAGGTTGATAGGTGCAGCAAACCAGCATGGCACATGTATACTTATGTAACAAACCTCAGGTTCTGCACATGTATCCCAGAACTTAAAGTAAAAAAAAAAAAAAATCCACGTGGTATAACAGAAGGATCACTTTACACAGCGGTCCCTGATGTCTGATGTGGGACCAGCAACAACTTTGAGGAAGGTTTTGGTGACAATCAGCTATCTTGAGGTGGCTATTTCTAGACTGATTACTTCCTTCCCTCGCATCCTCCCTTCCTTCCTTCCTTCCTTCCTTCCTTCCTTCCTTCCTTCCTTCCTTCCTTCCTTCCTTCCTTCCTTCTGATGTAGCCAGTCTAAATTATTAAAAGATAAAAAGACTCCCTTAAGCCCTTTTGCCCCCATCGGGCTGCTTTGGATGCAGCTCCACCATTTACTGCCTTAGTGTTACCATGGGTGGGTTCCTCAGTCTCATCACATGAAAAAGAGACAATAGTAGGATGTACCATGTAGGGTTTTTCCGAGTATTAAATGAGGTAATGCCTATAAAGCACACAGTACCTGCCACAAAGAAGCCATTGAGCAATGTCAGCTAGGCAGCAATAACATTAAAGCTTTGAGCTTTGTTTCACAGGAGAAGAGGTTCAAATTAGCACTGAACCTCTTCAACAGAAAGGGCTCGTAACTTGACATAAGTGAAAACCTCTGACCTTCCTTGGAAACACTAGTTTGGATAGTGGTTATTTAACAAGTACAAACACTTGAGTTTAGGGACAAGCAGTGTACCTGATGCTAAAGCGATGGAAGGCATGGTCTTTGGCTTCAAGGTATTTATTATCTTGTTAGGAAAAGTAAAAAGCCACTGATCACTAAGCACAGTGATAGTACCGAGCAGCATTTGTCTAGTGCCCTTTGGTGTTGTTTAGTGCGGTGGGGCTGCCTATGAAAGTAGCTAGTTAGGCCCTTTTGGAAGGAGGTAAGCTTTGACAGTGCCTCCTCCCAGAGTTTTCTTCATGGGGCCCAGCTCTGACATTCTCATCACTTGTTTGGCATCTCTTTGCACCACCCCTGAAGGAGAAAAGACAAATTCCACCTTGGGGCTACAGTAGGGCACAGTGGAAGCAGGCTTCATCCACTCTCTGGTAGCATGACCTTGACCAAGTTATTTAACTTCGCAGCTTCGAATTTCTCATTTCCAAACTAAGTGCTATGGTGAGGATAGAGTCCACCCCACTGTCTGGCACATGGCAGGTTCTGTGAACATTTCCATCTCTCTCTCTTCCTTTTTTTTTTTGAGACAGAATCTTACCCTGTCACGCAGGCTGAAGTGCACTGGCACAATCTGGGCTCACTGCTACCTCCATCTCCTGGGTTCAAGCAATTCTCCTGCCTCAGCCTCCTGAGTAGCTGAGACTACAGGCGCGTGCCACCACGCCCGGCTAATTTTTGTATTTTTGGTAGAGATGGGTGTCACCATGTTGGCCAGGCTGGTCTCAAACTCCTGACCTCAAGTGATCCGCCCGCATCAGCCTCCCAAAGTGCTGGGATTACAGGCATGAGACACTGTGCCCGGGTACATCTCTTTTCTTGATTACCTTCAAAGAATAAAATGAACACTTGGATTTGGCCACTCAGTGGCCTTCCTTGTCACTAGGACTTTCCTAGCCCGTTGACAATGAGGAAAGAAGGCTTAGTAAACCAACACTACTACAACTACTGCTGCTACTGCTACTACTACTAGCTGTGAACACCAGAATAGCTCAGATTGCTTTTGAACCTGTGAGAGGGGCCAAAATGCAGGTCTTATGTGTTCCCAAGGGGCCCCTCAAATGCCACATGGGAAGTTTAGGAAAAGAGGACCAGGTATCAGTCTTTGTGCTGATGTAAAGGAAAGAGGTTGGCAGCACAGACACTTTCTCCTACCTGTCTAGCGGGAAACATCCTCACGTGCAACTGTCAGAAACGCCTGCATCCTTTCCCTGGAGGAGTTTGTCAGACCAAACAAATCTGTATCTAAGAACATGTTTTTCCAGGAAGGCAGGATCTGATATAGATGGCAGATCTAGAAACCCAAAGATCCCTTCTGCCTAGAGTTACATGGACTGTGCTTTTTCCTTAGTCCTGGCGAAGTTGCACCAGTGGGTGGGATGAGGTCAGCAATTAGAGTCAGCTCTTCCTCAGTTAGGATTGGCCTTTGGCTTGTAGGCTGTTTCCTAGGGAGGGAACCCAGCGTCAGAACTTCATCTCACCCTGTGACATGTCACTACTGACAACAAGTGTGGTCCTCTGTATGCTCTATGAGTATGCTGGGCATGCTGCTGTTGGGTCCGTCACTGTGTTATGCAGAAAAGTGACGAAGGGCTAGGCAGGTGTGTGCAGCGTGCCATTTAGCGTATCCCCTCAGGCATGCACCCAGGAGCAGTGTGGTCTGAGCTTGTGTTAATTCTAAGAAGAAATAAACTATTGATGAAACTCTAATTGTTTTTAATGGAAAATGTTCATAAGGTGAAGTTCTTATGCATGCTAAATGATTTTTTCAATTTTGTTTCTTTTAGGAGAACTATCCTATCCCTGAACCAGGCCCAAATGGTAAGTTCTTGGGAAACATGACTTATATTTTATTATTTCCTGTTGTTTCCTTTGGAGTCACATGTATATTGTTCCCTTACCTCTCTTTTCCAACTGTTTATTACTTTTGCATCCATTAAAAACCTATGCTTTTGTTAGGCTGAGAACAGAGTCTACTGCCCACAGCATGACCTGGTGGGAAGTTTATCTTGGCTGCTACATGAAATAAAAGAACAGTGATAGAATCAGAAAAATTACCGTACCAGACTGCTGACTTGTCCCAAAGAGTTTTTGATGTGAAGTATATGGACCAATGACAGAATTCTTCCTCTTTTGACCTAATGACAGTGTACCCTATCTACCAGAAGCTGCTGTTGGAGTGGCCAAGTGTCCTAACCCTAACCCAAACTTTGAAAAGGAGTGAGTCTACAGAACTTAATCTTTAGCAAAGGGAGCATCATGCCAGCTTTCCCCACTCCCCAGGAAGGCCAGTCACCAAAGTGTGGGGCAGCCCAGGACCTACTGTCCAGTGGGGGTGGGAGGTGCTGCATGGGTCCCTGTCCCCTGCCCTAATCAACCAAGCACAGAAAGTGAGTGAGCACACTGGGGCAGGGTTTCCAACACCTTTACTCCACTCCTTCTAGGCCTCTCACTTGCTAAGCCTGTGGGGCTTAGCTGACATGCTGACGCCCAAGGTGGCATCTGCAACTTCCCAGCTTTGGGTTTCTCATGTACAAACTGAGTGCTATGGTGAGGATAAAGCCCAGCCCACCGTCTGCACATGGCAGGTGCTGTGAACATTTCCATCTCTTTTTGTCTGTTGGCTCGGGCAGATCCCTGCTGACAGCTTTCTAATCCCTCCCATCCCTGGAATTCCACTTTGTCATAATCATGCAGGACCCTGAAGTGAGGCTGGGGGCAATGGTCAGAGTGTCTGTAGATACTCACCCTCCCCCTCTCACACCTAGACAGTCAGGTCCCCTTTCTGCCCTTGAGGAGTTGGGGGTGTCCTTTCCCACTTTGTCCTACCTCACACCAGAACCGCAGCTTCTGGGTGAACATCAGATCAAAGGCGGCTTTCCTGGTAGATCCACAGCTTTGCTACTGAAAGGTCAGTTGTGTTATCGACTTGTAAGTGGTAAGAATACAGACTAGATAGAATATAGCCATTCTATGGGTGCTGAGTAAGTATTGTATAGTTAGGGTTCAAGGATTTTCACCAAGATACCATGTTCAGAGAAGTGAAAGAGTTACCTCACTGTGTCCTGAAAAGTTGACCGTTGATTCCAGAAGTGGCCAAACGAGGGCTGTCTTGGACACAGAGTACAAGCTTGGCTCCTGGTAACAGCTTTTCTCCCTGAAGCAGCATTCTGCTTGCACTCTCGTCTCTTGCTACACTTGCATTGGAAGGGAAAAGAGTGCATTTCAGCGAGTGTTCTAGCAAGTCAAATCTAATCTCTCACTACCAATTGCTACTTCAAGAGAGGAAATTCTGAGATGATTTTCCTAACTCAAATGCCTTTTCCCTGCATTTGACCTGAGAATTCACCCTGCCATTTCTTACTCTTCACTAAAACTAAGGAGGAAGAAAGTTCTGAAGAGCCACCCCTGGCAGTCTGTGGCAAGTGCAGTGCATAGCAGAGATTTGGGTCTCTTTGTCTTTCTAAGGCAGAGTGTTTTTTTCAGGGAGGTATTCATAACCATCATCTGAGTCAGAGATGATGGTACTTATTGGTACTTATTTCACCAAAGGGGCTCAGTACCATCTTTATTTTAAACTTAGAAAACTGGCCAGGCGCGGTGGCTTAGGCCTGTAATCCCAGCACTTTGGGAGGCTGAGGCAGGCGGATCTCCTGAGGTCAGGAGTTCAAGGCCAGCCTGGCCAACATGGTGAAACCCCGTCTCTACTAAAACTGCAAAAATTAGCCGGGCGTGGTGGCGCATACCTGTAATCCCAGCTACTTGGGAGGCTGAGGCAGGAGAATTGGTTGAACCGGGGAGGTGGAGATTGCAGTAAGCCAAGATCCTGCCATTGCACTACAGTCTGGGCGACAGAGGGAGACTCTGTCTAAAAATAAAAAATAAATAAATAAATAAATAAATAAATAAAGGAAAGAAAACAATAGGCATGAAGAACTCAACTTGATAGTTCACAAAATGTTGCCAAGCTGAGATTCTACCAGACCTTTTCTCATAAATAGATACGAATCCACGAATCACGCGTAGCATATTAATTGTCTGGAAAGTTATCTTTTGGAAAATAGTTTGTTCTCTTAAGTGGTTGGTACATTTCATCCTACTAATGATATATTGTTTACCCAGTGTATTGGTTAGTGTTGTCCAGAGAAACAAAACCACTAAGATATATGTGTATGTATGTATGTGTGTATGTGTACAAAGGGCAGGCTGGAAATTCAGGTAAGAGTTGATGTTGCAGTCTTGAGGAGAATTCCTTCTCCTTCAGAAAACCTCAGTCTTTGCCTTTAAGACCTTCAAACTGATTGGATGAGGCTCACCCACATTATGGAGGGTAATCTACTTTACTCAAAGTCTATTGGTTTAAAAGTTAACCATGCCCAACACGTATCTTCAAACAACCAGGCACTATAGCCTAGCCAAGTGGACACATAAAATTAGCCACCACATGTGGAAGCTTGTTTGCCTTGCGAGACTTAATCAGGGTTGCTATGGAGCTTGATTTCCTCTGTGGCCTAAATTGTGTACCTGGCCTGGTAACCCAGCCCTCTACCCTGGGCAAAGGGAAATCACTAGGTCACCTCAGAGTGATAGGGGTTGTTCCCTCTCTCACTGTTTTTTTCTTCCTTTCTTTTATCAGAGGTCTTGCTGAGGATGCATTCTGTTGGAATCTGTGGCTCAGATGTCCACTACTGGGAGTATGGTCGAATTGGGAATTTTATTGTGAAAAAGCCCATGGTGCTGGGACATGAAGCTTCGGGAACAGTCGAAAAAGTGGGATCATCGGTAAAGCACCTAAAACCAGGTCAGCAAGGTCCTTCGACTTATGTGTTCATTCAACATAAATATGTGTGCATGCTTTCTTTGGGCCAGGCCCTCTGTTAAGCTCTGGGTACAGCAGGGAACAAGACAATCTTGTTCCATACTCACATGGATCTTACCTTACACAAGAAAAGAGGGACCTGCAGCAGACAGATAGTTACTTAGTCACCATGTGTTAAGGGCAGTAGAGGAGAATGCAGGGTGTGATTAGTGTATTTTACCCAGACCCTTGGTTCATTTGAGGAAGGGACAATTAATCCAACATCTGGAGCCAGGTAAGAAATAAGCCAGGTAAAGGGCTGGAGAAAACATTTGAGGCACAGGAAACCAAACTACCTTTACATGCTGTGAACCACGGCCTTGGATATAATGTTTGCTTTTTATTAGATGGCTGGGAAACCACCATTATTTTTCCTAGATTTACTAAATTCATTTTTCCAGAGGGAGGAATTCTCAGCTGTGGCAGGCTGTGTTGTTCCCTGATACCGTGAATTAAATCCAAGTTGTCTTGGCATAGTTAGCTGTTGGCTTTAACCTTCCTTTACCGGTGAGGCTGCTGTGCAGCCCGGAAATAAGGTCACGTTATTTGGGGGAAGGTGGAGGTTGACAGGAGGCCCCATCCTGTGTTAGTTATAAAGGTCTCTGAGCCCAACCACATGGAGAGGGATTGACCAGCTGTGAAGCAGTCAGGCATGTGTCTTGTTTAGGGATGTTAAGTCATTCATCATTAGTGGAAGTCAAGAAGGCTCCTGTGGTGTTATGAGGTTATTTCCTAGTGGAATGTTTATAGCTTCCAACAGCCACTGATGATTGGTTCTCACCTGTGGGACAAAGTCTCTGACTATAAATTATAACAAAGAGTGGGGTTCTGTAAATGTAAATTATAACAAGGGTTTAGTCAGTTGTCCACAATGAGCTCAGTCTTATGCCACGAGCCCTGAGGGATATAGAAAAATGAGCAGATATGATCCCTGGATGCTTAGTTCTATATGGAAACACTAGATGTCAGGCCCTTCATAAATACCAGCAGTTAGACAGCAAGCCCATAGGGTACAATTAGGTGTGGGAAAGAATAGGCTTTAGGAGTTCAAAGGGCATTTGTTGTGGGCAGAGGTGGTTAAAGAGTTCATGGAGGAGATAGGTCTTTGAGCTAGACATCTAACAGTAGTAACATTAATAAGAAGGTGGCTAATATTTATTGATTTGCTACATTAGTCTCCATGTTAAACACTTAGATGTACAATTCTTTCTTTCTTTCTTTTTCTTTTTTTTTTTTTTTTGACGGAGTCTCGCTCTGTCACCCAGGCTGGAGTGCAGTGGTGCAATCTCGCCTTGCTGCAACCTCCACCTCCTGGTTCAAGTGATTCCCGTGCCTCAGCCTCCCGAGTAGCTGGGATTACAGACATGCAGCACCATGCCTGGCTAATTTTTGTATTTTTGGTAGAGGCTGGGCTTCACCGTGTTGGCCAGGCTGGTCTTGAACTCCTGACCTCAAGTGATCTGCCCACCTTTGCCTCCCAAACTGCTGTGATTACGGGCCTGAGCCACTGCACCTGGGCTATTTATTTCATTCTTGTAACAATTCTATGAGATAGGCATTATTATCTTCATTAATTGAAGAAGAAATTGAAGCCTGGTTATTGCCCAGGGTCACTCACTAGTTGGTCTCAGAACTGGGATACCCACCCTGGTCTTTTGGACTCTAGAGCAAGTGCTCAGAACCACTGGGCTACCCAGCATCTTCATACTTGAGAAAGGTTTTATATTTGAGTTATTGAAGAGGTCAGAGCTAATATTCTAGTTAAGAGGAAGCGAATGGCTGGGTGCAGTTGCCCATGCCTGTAATCCCAGCACTTTGGGAAGCTGTGGTGGGCAGGTCACTTGAGGTCAGGGGTTTGAGACCAGCCTGGCCAATATGGTGAAACTCTGTCTAAAAATAGAAAAATTAGCCGGACATGGTGGCACACACCTATAATCCCAGCTACTTGGGAGGCTGAGGCAGGAGAATTGCCTGAACCCAGGAGGTGGAGGTTGCAGTGAGCTGAGATTGTGCCACTGCATGCCAGCTTTCCAGCCTTGGTGAGAGACAGAGCAAGACTCCATCTCAAAAAAAAAAAAAAAAAAAAAAAAAGAGGAAGTGAACAACAAAATTACAGATATGAGAGTAACACATCTGGGTACAGATAAGTCTGTGCTACTCAGAGCAGAGGTTTTGTGTTGGGGAGTTATTGGAGATGATAAACATGCATAATCTTTATAAAAGTCCCCCTTTAAAAAGCACTTGGCTGGGCATGGTGGCTTACACCTGTAATCTCAGCACTTTGGGAGGCCGAGGCAGAAAAATTGCTTGAGCTCAGGAGTTTGAGACCAGCATGAGCAACAGAGGGAGACCCTGTCTCTACAAAAAATAGAATTAGCTGGGTGTGGTAGTGTGCACCTGCATTTCCAGCTACTCAGGAGGCTGAGACAGAAGGATCACTTAAGCCCAGGAGGTTGAGGTTGCAGTGAGCCATGATTGCACCACTGCACTCCAGCTTGGGTGACAAAGCAAGACTCTATCTCAAAACAATAAAATAAAATAAAATTTAAAAAGCACTGTAAAACTGTGAAATGTCATGTTATCATAATATAATCATAATTAGAAGGTAAAACTGAATAATATGAAAACTCCACCTGATTATGGAGGATCTTGAAGGCTAGGTGGAAGAATTCATCCTTAATGACATAGGCATAATTTGCAGAAAGTTCACTGGACAGGAGAGAAAGCAGAGGGAGTCAGAGGAGATAGAAGGAAGAGACAAATATAGACATTTTATTTTTTCGAGATGAAGTCTCATTCTGTTGTCCAGGCTGGAGTGTAGTGGTGCCATCTCAGCTCACTGCAACCTCAGCCTCCCAGGTTCAAGTGATTCTTGTGCCTCAGCCTCCTGAGTAGCTGGGATTACAGGCACGCACCACCACACCTGGCTAATTTTTGTATTTTTAATAGAGAATGGGTTTCACTATGTTTGCCAAGCTGGTCTCAAACTCCTGACCTCAGGTGATCAGCCCTCCTCGGCCTCCCAGAGTGCTGGGTTTACATAGGCATAAACCACCATGCCCAGCTAAATACAGACATATTTTGGTGGTCATAAAGATTTCTGTGGGTCCTTTTCTTTCCTTAGGATACAAAATTTGGATTTAAAGTCTTTCATATGTTAACTTGGACTTAAAATTCTAATCAACTAATCTAGAAAGAAGACCACAACTCATCAAATATTTCCTAATGCGCATTTACAGAATTTAAACATATAAGTCAGCCGGGCATAATAGCTCACACCTATAATCCTAGCACTTTGGGAGGCTGATGCAGGCAGATCACTTGAGGTCAGGAGTTCAAGATCAGCCTGGTCAACATGGTGAAACCCCATCTCTACTAAAAATACAAAAATTAGCCAGACGTGGTGGCATGCATCTGTAATCCCAGCTATTCAGGAGGCTGAGGCAGGAGAATTTCTTGAACCTGGGAGGTAGAGGTTGCAGTGAGCTGAGATCATGCCATTGCACTCCAGCCTGGGCGACAGAGCAAGACTCTGTCTCAAATAAATAAATAAATAAACAAACAAACAGACATACATACATATAAGTCAATAACTCTAAGGCATGGAAGCATTCCTATTTTTTTTTAAGACTAGTCAAGTGCAGTAGTGAGAAGTGGGGAAAGAGTAGAACAAGGAGTATTATCTGTAACTGAGTATGAACAACCAATTAAGATGATGCACTACCTTCAGACCAGCCTTCACCACTTATTTTAATGAGCACTAACTATGTACCAGGACTCTACACTATTCTGTGAGTACTTTCAACACAAAAAGACTTAGGAAAAATTGTTTATTATTTCCCTGCTGAATAAAGGCCAGACCTTCCATGGCCTCAGCAGGCCTCACCAGGTTCCTAACATCCTCTTCAGGCTCCAGAGGGCCCGAACACTAGTACAGAGGTGAGCAGACAGTCAAATCTCCACAGCTTATCACTGTGTGACCACCTGAGCTTCTGTTTCCTCATCGCTAAAGCAGAGATAACACCATCTTGTTGGTTTATGGTGAGGGAAGGGAGATTTTGTGATGTGCCTTTCCTGGTACCTGGCACACAATGGGCATTTGGTAAATGGCAGGACTTGATCCCACCATTATTGGTAAACTCTATTCTGTGTAGTAGGTTTAAGCACCTCTTCCCAGTGGAGTCTATCCATCAGACCTTTCCTGAATAACCAGGTACTGAGGCAGGATAAGGCCTGTGGGTCCTTTCCTGGCTCCTGCCACATGGCTTCCTGCCTCACTGGCATTCAGCCGTGTTGGTCTCCAGCTTGTTCCTGGCTGCTAGAAGGGGAGATTTCTGCTGTTCTCTGTGGAGTTAGTGTCTGGGCTCAGGCAGGGGGTCTGCCAGGGTTTCTAGTTTGGTCTCTGATTCGCTGGTATGGGTCACTCCCCAGATTCAGACGGAGTTTAAATCCAATTGTAACTTTGATGTGTAGCAATACCTGTGATATTAAAATCCCCTGTAAATCTGCTTTCTATTTTCTGCAAACATGGAGGCCATTGCTGTATTGACAGTGTATTTGGAGTTCCCCTACACAGGGCTGGGTATCTGCATGAAGATGAACCATCTAAACCATCCCAAAACCTCAGGATAACTATTTGTCCTCAATTATTCCTACCTGTCTCCCTTTCCTTTACAACAGAAAAGTGCTACTGTCTTTAACCAACAGGTTTTACTTGTCACATTCCAGGGGAAATTTTTGCCAATAAGTAATGCCCTTCTAGATACTAATGACATTTGTGTCCCATGGTTTGTTTTCCCCCAATCCACAAATTCTATGTTTAGCAATAAAAATTTGTCTAGCACAACAGTAGACACTATGGAAAAATAAATATGGAGCAGAAGACTGACTAATCCTGAGGCATTCCCATCCTTGATGAGGAGGCAAAATAGTCATGAAAAACAACTAGAGATGGACATGGTGGCTTACACCTGTAATCGCAGCACTTTGGGAGGCCAAGGCAGGAGGATTGCTTGAGCCTGGGGGTTTGAGACTAGCCTGGGGATTTGAGACTAACCTGGGCATCATGGAAAAACCCTGTCTCTGCAAAAACAAAAACAAAAATCACCCAGGCATGGTGGCATGCACCTATAGTCCCAGCGACTTGTAAAGCAGTCTAGGGTCAACATAGCAATCTCACTGTCTAAGGTGTTATCCAGAGTTCTTTGTCTCATGACCAGGAAAATTAAGGAGTGTGGACACCAAGAGTGAGGTTGGAACGAAAGTTTAATAAGTGAAAGAAGAAAGCTCTCAGCAGCAGCGGGGGTGGAGGGAGGGGGCAGCAAAAGAGGGTTGCTGTTTCACAGTTGAATACAAAGGTTTTTATAAGAAACTTCCCTTATCTATGTAGCTGCCTACGTAACTTCCCTTATCTGTGTAGCTGCGTGTGTAGCTTCCCTTATCTGTGCAGCTGTGAGCATGTCTTAGGCAAGCACAGGGTGCAGCTTCTCTTTTCTCAGCAACTGCGAGTATGTTTTAGGCAAGCCCCTGCCCACCCCCTTGCAAGTTCCCATGGAGCCCACCATGTACATGCCTGAAAAGGGGAGGAAACTTTTTCCTGGGAGCCCACTGATTACCCGAAGAACAGAGGCATTTCTATGTTTGGCCTTGCTTCCTTATCTGTGCCTGCAGCTTGATTTTTCCAGGCTGCTCTTTTGTTGGAAAGCATTTCACCAAGGACCTGCCCTAACTGTGTGCCTAACTGGTTTTTTTCTTTCTCGTTCCTCATCTCCCACCTCAGGAGTGGAGACTCTAACTGCTGTTAGGGAGGTAGGGCGATAATCTCTCTGGCTACTTTCTGCTGGAGGTGGGGGTTGTGTGGGGGACAGCAGCCAGGGTTCCTTCTGGGGCTTATCTAAGGGTCCTCAGAAGAAAGGTGTGTCTATGTGTGGTTCCATTTGCATCACCATTTGGAGTTTGATAACCTCTAGGCGAGAAAAAACAATGTGGGTTATTAGAAGACATATATCAAAACAAGACAAGGGGGTAAGAAAAGCTCAAAAATCCCAAAGCTGACAATGTGCCCAGATAACTGGCAGCTATAGTTATGCCTGCCAAGATTTGGGTGCATGGGACTTGGCTTTGGTTAGCTCCCTTGGTCTTATTTTCCCAAACAAGGAAACCTCTGAGTTATGGGCTGCCCATTCATTCCCATCATCTGGCAGGATTTGCAGGATAATTGCTCAGAATTAAAATATTGATCCAGATTTTTTATATTACTGATCTCTTTTGTTTCTTCTGAGTTGCAGCCAGAGATCGCTGATTGGTTCACAGGAATAAGCATGGTTAGTCTAAAATGTAGGCTAAGTTTTTAAGTAAAAACTTAAAACTAATGAGATTAGAATTTAATGGACAAATGTATGATAAGTTTTGAAGCATATTTTTCTCTTGCCAGTCCTCACTTTTGTCAAAAACAAATCACAGTAAGACTGAGTTGTTTGCAAAATAAACTTTAGTCTTATACTTGGCCTGATTATTTGCATAAAGTACAGCAAGAATAATTATTTCTACATAGGCTTTTAAAATTGGCTTTGATGAAACTCTGTTTTGCGAGGAACTTCAGATAGGACTTTTCTTTTTTTTTGAGACGGAGTCTCGCACTCTCGCCCAGGCTGGAGTGCAGTGGCGCCATCTGGCTCACTGCAAGCTCTGCCTCCTGGGTTCATGCCATTCTCCTGCCTCAGCCTCCTGAGTAGCTGGGACTACAGGCACCCACCACCAGCCCTGGCTAATTTTTTGTATTTTTAGTAGAGATGGGGTTTCACCGTGTTAGCCAGGATGGTCTCGATCTCCTGACCTTGTGATCCACCTGCCTTAGCCTCCCAAAGTGCTGGGATTACACGCATGAGCCACCGCGCCTGGCCCTACTTTTCAAAGCTGAGCCCAGCCATGGATTTGTATACTCAAATACCTATGAGTTGGGCAAATTCCTCTCTTCTTGAGGTCAAAAGAACATGGAGCCTGTTAGAAAGTGACATTCTTTACTCACCACAGTTTAGGAATCCTGTACAGGGACTGTGTAGACAAGATATGAAGCCAGTTTTCCCAAGGGGCATTTATTGGCTCTGCAACTCCAGCTTGATTTTTTAAAGGGAAGCATACTGTTCCAGTCAAAGCCTTGGTAAAACAACTAGTTTCTCCAGTTGTGTCCTGTTGTAAAAGAAGATGGATTCTTACTGCGCTGATGGAAACAACTATATTGCCATAAATCAAGAATACTCACAAATAGTTTCCAAAGTCTAGAGAAACTGGCAGAAAGAAACAAACATACTCCAAATTTTGTTCACAGGAGTATACATTACTGAATTGTTAAAAGCTGTAGATAGCTCAAAAGAAAAATTCCCTTGACTCTGAAAAACAAGGATTAGCAATGTTTTAAGCAGAAAGTTAAAAAGGATTAGTTCAGTCTTCTATTAGTTCAGTCCATTCCATTAATACTTGCTCTGCATGATATTCATGAACATTTCAGTTCTTCATGAGTCCTATACATTTTTCCTCTATTCCAATGTCACAATCTCCAAGGTTATCAGAAACCTGCATTTGAGAGCACCTATCAAAGTCCTATAGCTGATTATAAACTATCTTTTGAAGATGATTAAAACAAGACAACAATTGTCTGTGAATGACAAAATATCCAGGGTAGCTACAGTTAAAAACACAATTGACAAAGAAATTTGGTTATCTCTGTGGTTTACAATAATTTACACAATAACCTTAATTATGATTGATAGCAAATACTCAGACATTAGAATTTTAGATATTCTATACAATTTTGGAACATAATGTTATTCACTAAAATATAACCTAAAGAAGATTAAACATGACTTTGGCAATCCCACGTAACTAAACATGTCAAATACTCCTGTTTACCTCTCTTTTGGATGCTCCAGGGGCCCGCTATAATACCCAAAAGCTTGGGATTAGAAAAGACAACCTTGAAACTGAAGTTTGATTTGGGGGAGCCTGTTAAATATGTTAGCGGTTCAAAGCACTTGATATTATGAAGTACAATTACGGATTACTATAAACTATTTATTTTAGCCAAAGTCATGACCAAAACATTCTAAAACAAGGCAAAAACCTTCACTCATTAAGAGGGAGGACTTAGCTTCCAAACAATCTGTCTTTAATGTTACATGAAAATCCTGTGCAAGAGGAGAAAGCCAAATTTCACCCTTGCGTTAGTCTACTATTAATGTCAACCCCAACTTTTTTAATGAAACCTTAGAGATAATTCTATCAAATCTTACCCAGTTTGATCATGAGGTGAGATTCTTGTAAACCTTTTATAACTCTCTACAAATTTTTGTTAAGGAGCAGATCAGTGCCTCGAGAAAGCCTTGTTGTGCTTTTATTTCAATGCTCAATTTATGTAAAAAACATAGAATACCCTTCTGAATTTAGTCAATATATTCAGACACAGAATTTCCTTTGCAAGATTAATTTTTATAATGCTTCCACAACTTGCTCAAACCTTCAGCTTTATCTTAACCTAATTCAAAACAATCCTTTATTTCTAGGCAAAATTTACATTTCCATGTCTTCTTATAATCTTTTACCAAAACACATTTTACTTTCCTTACACACCTTGCATGTAAATCTATTTTCAGTAGTCTCTAATTTCCTCTGGGAGGAAAGTGGCTGGGCTTAGGCAATTAAGTGGACTGTAGATCCTTCCAGCAGCAAAGCCTGATATGTGAGGAAGCAATTGTCTGTTAGCCAGAGACTCCAATGTAGCTGGATGCAGAACAGGTGCCTCAAACATAAGGATTGAATGGCTGTTCTCCCTGTGATGGGGATGGGGACAGCACTGAGGCTAAAAGTTGTCTCTCAAGGGTGGCTTCCTCTTGACTATTGAAGGTGGAATTTTGCTGTTTACAGATGGGGCATGGAGCCTGGTCCCTAATAGAGGGATGTAGGAGGGAGAGAAATTGGGGAACTAGAGGCCTTGGACAAAGGGCCAATAGTGCCCTCCACAGAGAAAAATCCCATTTCACTAGGTGGCATGGTAGGGACTGAAATGTTAGGTAAAAACTCTGACTCTAAATTTTTTCCAGGCAGAGGTTAGAAAGAGGTTTGGGGTTTGATAGTCTACCCCCACAGTATGCCTCTTAGCAAAAGAAAATTGTCTCATAGAGTAACTGTTCAAATTCATTGGGCAGACAGAGTCTCAGCCTTGCCACTGCTGCCCCCACCACCCAGAGACTGCTGAGCCCCTGTCTATCCACCGCCACCACCCACTTCAGACACTGAACATCCAGTCATGGATAAAAATGAGCTGGTTCAGAAGGCCAAACTGGCTGAGCAGGCTGAGCGATATGATAACATGGCAGCCT
This sequence comes from Homo sapiens, assembly GCF_000001405.40. Classification (NCBI taxonomy): domain Eukaryota; kingdom Metazoa; phylum Chordata; class Mammalia; order Primates; family Hominidae; genus Homo; species Homo sapiens. The sequence continues at coordinate 45,052,853 of NC_000015.10, forward strand.
GCATGAAGTCTGTAACTGAGCAAGGAGCTGAATTATCCAATGAGGAGAGGAATCTTCTCTCAGTTGCTTATAAAAATGTTGTAGGTCATCTTGGGGGGTCATCTCAAGTATTGAACAAAAGACAGAAGGTGCTGAGATAGAACAGCAGTTGGCTCGAGAATACAGAGAGAAAATTGAGACAGAGCTAAGAGATACTGTCTCTTTTGGAAAAGTTCTTGATCCCTAGTGCTTCACAAGCAGAGAGCAAAGTCTTCTATTTGAAAATGAAAGGCAAGTACTACTGTTACTTGCCTGAGGTTGCCGCTGATGATGACAAGTAAGGGATTGTCAATCAGTCACAACAAGCATACCAAGAAGCCTTTGAAACCAGCAAAAAGGAAATACATCCAACACATCCTATCAGACTGGGTCTGGCCCTTAACTTCTCTGTGTTCTCTTATGAGATTCTGAACTCCCCAGAGAAAGCCTGCTGTCTTCCAAAGACAGCTTTTGATGGAGCCATTGCTGAACTTGATACATTAAGGGAAGAGTCATACAAAGACAAAACACTAATAATGCAATTACTGAGAGACAACTTGACGTTGTGGACATCAGATACCTAAGGAGACAAAGCTGAAGCAGGAGAAGGAGGGGAAAATTAACCAGACTTCCAACTTTTTTCTGCCTCATTCTAAAATTTACACAGTAGACCATTTGTCATCCATGCTGTCCCACAAATAGTTTTTGTTTACAATTTATGACAGGCTTATGTTACTTCTATTTGAATTTCTTTCTTCTTTAAATTTTTTATTTTATTTTATTATTATTATACTTTAAGTTTTAGGGTACATGTGCACAATGTGCAGGTTAGTTACATATGTATACATGTGCCATGCTGGTGTGCTGCACCCATTAACTCATCATTTAGCATTAGGTATATCTCCTAATGCTATCCCTCCCCCATCCCCCCACCCCACCACAGTCCCCAGAGTGTGATGTTCCCCTTCCTGTGTCCATGTGTTCTCATTGTTCAATTCCCATCTATGAGTGAGAACATGCGGTGTTTGGTTTTTTGTCCTTGCGATAGTTTACCGAGAATGATGATTTCCAATTTCATCCATGTCCCTACAAAGGACATGAACTCATCATTTTTTATGGCTGCATAGTATTCCATGGTGTATATCTGCCACATTTTCTTAATCCAGTCTATCATTGTTGGACATTTGGGTTGGTTCCAAGTCTTTGCTATTGTGAATAGTGCTGCAATAAACATACGTGTGCATGTCTCTTTATAGCAGCATGATTTATAGTCTTTTGGGTATATACCCAGTAATGGGATGGCTAGGTCAAATGGTATTTCTAGTTCTAGATCCCTGAGGAATTGCCACACTGACTTCCACAGTGGTTGAACTAGTTTACAGTCCCACCAACAGTGTAAAAGTGTTCCTATTTCAACACATTCTCTCCAGCACCTGTTGTTTCCTGACTTTTTAATGATTGCCATTCTAACTGGTGTGAGATGGTATCTCATTGTGGTTTTGATTTGCATTTCTCTGATGGCCAGTGATGATGAGCATCTTTTCATGTGTTTTTTGGCTGCATAAATGTCTTCTTTTGAGAAGTGTCTGTTCATGTCCTTCGCCCACTTTTTGATGGGGTTGTTTGTCTTTTTCTTGTAAATTTGTTTGAGTTCATTGTAGATGCTGGATATTAGCCCTTTGTCAGACGAGTAGGTTGTGAAAATTTTCTCCCATTTTGTAGGTTGCCTGTTCACTCTGATGGTAGTTTCTTTTGCTGTGCAGAAGCTCTTTAGTTTAATTAGATCCCATTTGTCAATTTTGGCTTCTGTTGCCATTGCTTTTGGTGTTTTAGACATGAAGTCCTTGCCTATGCCTATGTCCTGAATGGTAATGCCTAGGTTTTCTTCTAGGGTTTTTATGGTTTTAGGTCTAACGTTTAAGTCTTTAATCCATCTTGAATTGATTTTTGTATAAGGTGTAAGGAAGGGATCCAGTTTCAGCTTTCTACATATGGCTAGCCAGTTTTCCCAGCACCATTTATTAAATAGGGAATCCTTTCCCCATTGTTTGTTTTTCTCAGGTTTGTCAAAGATCAGATAGTTGTAGATATGTGGCATTATTTCTGAGGGCTCTGTTCTGTTCCATTGATCTCTATCTCTGTTTTGGTACCAGTACCATGCTGTTTTGGTTACTGTAGCCTTGTAGTATAGTTTGAAGTCAGGTAGCGTGATGCCTCCAGCTTTGTTCTTTTGGCTTAGGATTGACTTGGCGATGCGGGCTCTTTTTTGGTTCCATATGAACTTTAAAATAGTTTTTTCCAATTCTGTAAAGAAAGTCATTGGTAGCTTGATGGGGATGGCATTGAATCTATAAATTACCTTGGGCAGTGCTAGCAAGACTAATAAGGAAAAAAAGAGAAGAATCAAATAGATGCAATAAAAAATGATAAAGGGGATATCACCACCGATCCCACAGAAATACAAACTACCATCAGAGAATATTACAAACACCTCTATGCAAATAAACTAGAAAATCTAGAAGAAATGGATAAATTCCTCGACACATACACTCTCCCAAGACTAAACCAGGAAGAAGTTGAATCTCTGAATAGACCAATAACAGGCTCTGAAATTGTGGCAATAATCAATAGCTTACCAACCAAAAAGAGTCCAGGACCAGATGGATTCAGAGCTGAATTCTACCAGAGGTACAAGGAGGAACTGGTACCATTCCTTCTGAAACTATTCCAATCAACAGAAAAAGAGGGAATCCTCCCTAACTCATTTTATGAGGCCAGCATCATCCTGATACCAAAGCCGGGCAGAGACACAACCAAAAAGGAGAATTTTAGACCAATATCCTTGATGAACATTGATGCAAAAATCCTCAATAAAATACTGGCAAACCAAATCCAGCAGCACATCAAAAACTTATCCACCATGATCAAGTGGGCTTCATCCCTGGGATGCAAGGCTGGTTCAATATACGCAAATCAATAAATGTAATCCAGCATATAAACAGAACCAAAGACAAAAACCACGTGATTATCTCAATAGATGCAGAAAAGGCCTTTGACAAAATTCAACAACTCTTCATGCTAAAAACTCTCAATAAATTAGGTATTGATGGGACGTATCTCAAAATAATAAGAGCTATCTATGACAAACCCACAGCCAATATCATACTGAATGGGCAAAAACTGGAAGCATTCCCTTTGAAAACTGGCACAAGACAGGGATGCCCTCTCTCACCACTCCTATTCAACATAGTGTTGGAAGTTCTGGCCAGGGCAATTAGGCAGGAGAAGGAAATAAAGGGTATTCAGTTAGGAAAAGAGGAAGTCAAATTGTCCCTGTTTGCAGATGACATGATTGTATATCTAGAAAATCCCATTGTCTCAGCCCAAAATCTCCTTAAGCTGATAAGCAACTTCAGCAAAGTCTCAGGATACAAAATCAATGTACAAAAATCACAAGCATTCTTATACACCAATAACAGACAGAGAGCCAAATCATGAGTGAACTCCCATTCACAATTGCTTCAAAGAGAATAAAATATCTAGGAATCCAACTTACAAGGGACGTGAAGGACCTCTTCAAGGAGAACTACAAACCACTGCTCAATGAAATAAAAGAGGATACAAAGCAATGGAAGAACATTCCATGCTCATGGGTAGGAAGAATCAATATCGTGAAAATGGCCATACTGCCCCAGGTAACTTATAGATTCTATTTGAATTTCTATATTTCCCATGTGGTTTTTATGTTTAATAGTAGGGGAGTAGAGCCAGTTAACATTTAGGGAGTTACCTGTTTTCATTTTAAGTGGCCATTATGGGGATGTGGAATTTTTATACAAGTTATAAATGTTTGGCATAGTACTTTTGGTACATTGTGGCTTCACAGGGCCAGTGTTCCATATCTAAGCAAAGAAACTTCCATATTTAAGCAAAGAAAACTGCCTATGTATTGGTTTGTCCTGCTGGGGAGTAAAAGGGATCATTGGTTCCAGTCACAGGTGTAGTAATTGTGGGTACTTTAAGGTTTGGAGCACTTACAAGGCTGTGGTAGAAACAATTATCCCATGGATCCCACGTGTTAAACCATGCATATCTGTGGAATACTCAATCTCAATGCGCACACCTTTGACTACAGCTGCAGAAGTGTTCCTTTAGACAGTCGTAACCCATTTTACTCTGGATAAGGGCAGAAACAGTTCACATTCCATTATTTGTAAAGTTACCTGCTGTTAGCTTTCATTAATTTTGCTACATTCATTTTATTTGTATTTAAATGTTTTAGACAACTGAGGAACAAATGTGAAAGTAAAGATGCAGTAAAACTGAATTGGCTGATATTCATTACTTATGTATATCAAGCACAGCAGTAAAACAAAAACCCATGTATTTAACCTTTTTTTAGGTTTTTTGCTTTTGTGATTTTTAGGTTTTTTGCTTTTGTGATTTTTTTTTGATACATGCCTAACATGCATGTGCTGTAAAATAGTTAACAGGGAAACAACTTGAGATGATGGCTAGGTTTGTTTAATGTCTTATGAAATTTTCATGAACAATCCAAGCATAATTGTTAAGAACATGTGTATTAAATTCATCTAAGTAGAATAAAAGTTTTATGAATAGAAAGAAAGATTTGGCTGGGCGTGGTGGCTCACGCCTGTAATCCCAGCACTTTGGGAGGCTGAGGTGGGCAGATCATGAGGTCAGGAAGTGGAGACCATCCTGGCTAACATGGTGAAACCCCGTCTCTACTAAAAATACAAAAATTAGCCGGGTGTGGTGGCAGGTGCCTGTAGTCCCAGCTACTTGGGAGGCTGAGGCAGGAGAATGGCATGAACCTGGGAGGCAGAGCTTGCAGTGAGCCCAGATTGCACCACTGCACTCCAGCCTGGGCAACAGAGTGAGACTCTGTCTCAAAAAAAACAAAAAGAAAGAAAGAAAGAAAAAAGATTCACTGGGCAGTGCTGGGCACAAAGCCCAAATGGAGAGGAGGGTATTCACTGAGGGTGAAATATCCTCCCATACAGTGCCATGAATGCCTATCATTGGGGGACAAAAAGGTCCTTACTAGGTGAAAATTTAGACTGAAATCTTGAATTCTCCCTGTTTCTAGGAAATCACAAAAACAGCAATTCTTTGAGTTACTTTCCTGGTTACTAAGGCACTGGCTGATTCTATCCAACAAAATTATATTCCCAGGTTCTAAAAACACCTTCAGCATAGCATACAAAGAAGGGATAGGAGACATGATAGTCACAAAGGAGAGAATGGAAGAAAATGTGATAGGAAAGACTGGAAGTCCTGGTGCCGACACCGTGATGGGCTGTCAGGAACTGGAGTTAGTTCGGGGGCCTTCAGATAACACTGAGGTGTAGCCTCAACCAGAAACCTTCAGTTGTCCCAGGACCTCCTTCCAACCCTATGTGATGGCTAGGTCTTCCATGAATGGAAACTGGATTGGAACACAGCTGACATTCCCAGCACCCAAGGGCGATGGGGGATTGACAAAATACTCTCCAGCAAGCCTGTCCTCTGAGTCTTACAGATCTGGTGGCTGCACTAACCACTCTTAACTGACCAACAGAGGCCTGGTATTTGTTTGATTTTGAGAGAAAAAAAAAAAAACTATGGATAAGAAACTGCAGAAAGTAAAGTACTGGGGGGCTGCTCCTACTCACCCTTCTGACATATCCCAGATGACCCCCTACAGGTGAAGCAGTCTAGGGTCAGTGTAGCAGTCTCTTTGTCTGAGGTGTTATCCAGAGTTCTTTGTCTCATTACCAAGAAAATTAAGGAGCATGGACACCAAGGGTGAGGTTGGAGTGAAAGTTTAATAAGTGAAAGAGGAAAGCTCTCAGCAGCAGAGCAGGAGACCTGAAAGAGGGTTGTTGTTTTCCAGTTAAATACGAAGGTTTTTATAAGAAACTTCCCTTATCTGTCTAGGTGTTGTGTAACTTACCTTTTCTCTGTAGCTACCTGTGTAGCTTCCCTTATTTGTGCAGCTGCAAGCATGTATTAGGCAAGCACAGAGTGCAGCTTCTCTTGCCTGAGCAACTACGGGCATGTTTTAAGCAAGCCTCCACCCCACCCCATGCAAGTTCTCATGGAGCCCACTGTGTACATGCCCAAAAAGGGGAGGAAACTTTTTCCTGGGAGTGCACTGATTACACAGAGAACCAAGGCATTTCTATGTTGGGCCTCACTCCCTTATCTGTGCCTGTAGCTTGATTTTTCCAAGCTGCTCTTTATGTGCCTGCAGCTTGATTTTTTCCAGACTGCTGTTTTGTTTGAAAGAATTTCACCGAGGACCTGCCCTAACTGTCTGCCTGCTTTTTTTCTTTCTCCTTCCTCACTTGGGAGGCTGAGGCAGGAGGACCACCTGAACTTGGGGAGGTTGAGGCTACAGTGAGCTGTGATTGCATCACTGTACTCCAGCCTGGGTGACAGAGTGAGATCCTGTCTCAAAAAACAAACAAAAAAACCAAAGAAACATGCACAAAAAAAAAACCCCAAAAAACCAGCAATGAGAAAACTGGAAACAACCAGGTTTTTTCCATCAATAAGAGAATGGTGATACTGACTGTGGTATACTCTTACATTGGAACACTATTCAGCCATGAAAAGGAACAAACTGTCATTTGTTTTTGAGACAGTTTTGCTCTGTCACCCAGGTGGGAATGCAGTGGTGTGATCATGTCTCTCTGCAGCCTCAACCTCTTGGGCTCAAGTGATTCTCCCACCTCAGCCTCCCAAGTAGCTGGGACCACATGCACACACCACCATGCTCAGCTAATTAAAAAAATTTTTTTTGTAAAGATGAGGTCTTCCTATGTTGCTCTTGAACTCCTGGGTTCAAGTGATCCTCCTGCCTTGACCTCCCAAAGTGCTGGGATTATGAGATTATAGGCATGAGCCACCACACCTGGCCAGACAGTTAATACCACAACAACATAGATCAATCTGAAAAGCATTATGCTAACTGAAAGAAGCAAGATTCAAAAGAGTATCTACTGTATGATCCCATTTTTGTGATGTGCTAGAACAGGCAATACTAATCTGTGGTACAAAAAAAAGTCAAAACATTGGTGTCCTCTGGGGATGGGGCTGGGGATTGACTGGGAACAGATACAGAGGAATAAGATTTCTGAGGTAGTGGTAGTGTTCTGTATCTTAAAAGGGGTTTGCATTCCTAGGTGATACCTTTAAAAAAGAACCATAAACAAATACTGAACTCTAGTTAATGATATGCAGGCTGAAGCATTTAAGGGTGAAGTATACTGATGTCTGCAGCCTGCTTTGAAGTGCATCGGAAAAGAAGATAGACTGATGGAAGGAGACAGAGATGAGACAGAGGGGTAGATGGATAGATATGTGATAAAGTGAACATAGCTAGATGTTCCTTGAAGAATGTAGGAGGAGGGTATCCAGGTGTTCGCTATACAGTTCTTTGAATTTTGCTGTATGTTTGAAATTCTTCATAATAAAAAGATAGAAAAAATAACAATTAGAGAGCAGTTCTCAGGCTGGGTTTCCAAGCAGGTGTAGTGAGGCATAGAATAGAAATATAATAGAGCTGGCTGTTCAGAAGCCTCAAGTATTACTCTCTACTGTACCAGAGTCCTCTGCAGGTCATTGGCCTTTGCAGTTCTACTACCAGGAATCAGTTGACTCCTAATTATTGTCTAAAAATGACCAGACTGGACATAAAACATGCTGTAATTATAGCTCTTGTCTTTGTAAAGGTTTTGCTTTCTATCTTCCAAACAGATGAAGAAAAAATGCCCGCAAACTCCATGTATTAGCTACCCCTTTTCCAGCAGTGTGAGATGGGAATATACTTGGCTTGCCTTAGCTGGGAAGTGGCTGTGGAGATAGAGGGTGGCTTGGCTTGTTGCAGGAGCTGGAAAAAGGGCAGGCCACACTGGGCTGTGGAGGAGGGGGCTGGTCCTTTTCCCCCAGAGTGACTCTGTGCTTCATCCCAAGTTTCCTCACTTGCCTAGGACACCCTGGGTCCCCAGGGAGGAGGGTGGCTCGTTAAGCTAGATTCTCTCATCTGGCATCTGCCCATGAGCATGCAAGCCTTCATAACATCTCTGCTTCTGCTGTTTTCAAAGGTTGGAAAACAAAGAACCAGACCAAAGAGCGGGCAGACTCTGCTCCCACCCTCGGACATGGTGCCATCTTTGTTTTCCTCTCCAGGTGATCGTGTTGCCATCGAGCCTGGTGCTCCCCGAGAAAATGATGAATTCTGCAAGATGGGCCGATACAATCTGTCACCTTCCATCTTCTTCTGTGCCACGCCCCCCGATGACGGGAACCTCTGCCGGTTCTATAAGCACAATGCAGCCTTTTGTTACAAGTTAGTGTCCACAGTCCCACTGGGTCACCTGGGACCTCTTTCCCTTCATTAGCTTGGTGCTGTTTCCTGTGGTTATTTCTTTATTCTTTTCAGCTCATAATTCCAAACATGAGGCATCACCTGGACAGGCTACTCTTCTTGGTGGCATTGAGAGAGGGTAGCCTCCCTAGGAATAAGACTGACTCACAGTGGTTGGTTTTAGTCTTTCAGTTTCAGTTTCCCTTACTTAGAGCAACAATAGAAAATTATTGCTGAAATCACTCACCCTCTGCAGACATCCTGGAGGGAATTCCTGTGGTTCATCCTCTGTTATTAGTTTCCACTGCAACCACCAGAAACGTCATAACAACAATGACCTCGGCCAGGTGTGGTGGCTCATGCCTGTAATCCCAGCACTTTAGGAGGCCAAGGCCAGTGGATCATGAGATTAGGAGATCGAGACCTTCCTGGCTAACACGGTGAAACCCCATCTCTACTAAAAAAATACAAAAAATTAGCCAGGCCTGGTGGCAGGCACCTGTAGTCCCAGCTACTTGGGAGGCTGAGGCAGGAGAATGGCTTGAACACGGGAGGTGGAGGTTGCAGTGAGCCGAGATGGCGCCACTGCACTCCAGCCTGGGCAACAGACCGAGACTCCGTCTCAAAAAGAAAAACAACAACAATGACCTCGACAATAGCAACAACACACCATGACAGCAACGGCTGACATTTCCTGAGGTGTGGTGTGCTGCCAGGGCTTGAGCTCTGGGATCCTGGATCTACTCCCTCCTGGCAAGTGATTTTGGAGAAATTATTTCACTTTTCTCTGATTCAGTTTCATTTAATCGCCAAAATATTAAATAAGGTGATGCATGGAGAGTCATAATTATTATTACTATGTGCCTGCCCTTGTGCTAATAAGTGGTTTGCATGCTTCAATTTATTTAATCTCCACAAGAATAATGCTGAGGTGGGCACCGTTATTGGGTTAACCAAGGCAGAAGGAAGCTCATTGACTTGGGCACAGAGCACAACCAAGAGTCAAACTGGGGTCTCTGTGAGTCTCAAGCTCCTGCCCTGTGCCCACTCCCCTACCCTACTCCGATTCTCACCCCTGAAATTGTGAAGTTGAGTCTGGAGGAAGCAAAGTGCCTCCCTTTCTGCGTGGCCCCCCATGGCCCCAGCCGTGGAGCTCTAGGGTGCCGAAGTGCCGCTTTCCCCCTGACCCAACCCAGATGCATTCTTCCCCCACCGCAGCCTGGCCCCAGTGGTGGTTTTCAGCCAGGATGGGGCTTGTCCGGTGGAGGCCAGGTGCCAGTCACAGGAGCAGTCTGACAGATCTGAGTTTTTCTAGGGCCCACTGGGAGCCTTGAGAGGAGTCACAGGCCAGAGACCTTGTGATGGGTTTAAGTCAACACCTGAACCTGCTCTAGAAGTAAGCAGGTTACATGTGCAGAGTACACCTTTCAGCAAGTGGTTCCTGAATGGGCCCATCTTTCTCGGGCCCTTTCCAAGTCAAGACACCAAACGAAAGTTTCATGGAAGGCAGAAGAGCATAGTGGTGAAGCCCACTGGTCTCTGCCAATTACAACTGTGTGACCTTGGGCAAGTCACTTAAATTTTGTAACCTCAATATCCTCGCCTGTAAAATAGAAATAGTGATGGTACCTCCCTCACAGAATTACTGATGAGATCCAATGAGAAAAGCATATCAAGTCTCCAGCATGAGGTCTGGCACATAGTAAATGCTCAGTAAATGGTACCAAGCTATGCCATAGTCATGGCCTAGTGGTCTGGGCATGGAGGTGCAGGAGTAGGCCTGAAAGAGAGCCTTGTGCTGGTGGTTTATAGGGAATGATGGGGCTCTGGCTGGCAGTGGCAGTGGCAGTGGGGGTGCTGAGGAAGGTCTCTGGGGAGTCCTACAGCCCTGCCTTTCTTCTCCTCCCAGGGGGCTTTCTGCCTGTGTCCCCAGTTCTTCCCTAGACCCAAGCCCTCCTCTCTGATGTCTTTTTAGGATTCCCATACTACCACAGCCTCTTTATTTTTGTATCTATTTTCTTTCTATTTTCCTGCTTCTCCTTGGCTTCTTGATCATCTGTTACCCAATTTGGACTGTTCCCTGAACCCCATTGTAAAAACTACCAAGTTGCCTCATCACTCTCTGGTGTTTATAAAGCATGAAAGGTTGGGGCTGGGAAGAAACTTGGAGTCTTCTCATCCTCGTTCTCCATCAACCCCCACTGGACAAGATTGGGGAGGGTGGAGTCAGTGGTTTTCCCAAGGTCAGTGGCAGCGGGGCTGGCCTCCAGGACTCCTTGTACATGCTTCTGCCTCCACACCAGGTGGCTTTCCAACACGGTTGGCTGTGTTGGGTGCAGGCGGATGAGGCAGCATCTGCTTAATCAGTAGAGTATTCTTCCTGATAACAATCTTCCCTCATCACCTTCCCCAATCCCATCTCTCCTCGATGTAGTTTCCACGCAAGCCACCCTCTGCATAGAGCCCTTATAAGTTCCTCAGGAGGCCCAGATGTGGAAGGGCAGGCGTGTCTAGGAACCTGTGGAGTCCCTGAGAGAGTTTAGGAATCTTCACGATTTCATTTTCACCTTTTTCCTATTATATAGAAGGGATACTTCTAGGGGGAGTAGAAGGAGTGTGACCGCAGTCAGAGCAGGAGAGTGGATTGGAGTAGGGGAAGTGATGGGAAAGAAGCCGAGGGGAAGGGATAAGGGGGTGGTGGGTGGCAGCTGGGCCTCCATTGGCCTGGTGAGTAGTTCTGTCAAGGATCAGGGACAGTGACAGGAGGACTCCGAGTTATTCTGTTGAAGATTGGAGACAGTGTTGAAAGGATCATGGGGATGAGCACATGGTTTGGCTGTCACATTTATTTCTTTTTGGAACTTGAGGGTTTTCCTGTTCCTGTGTGTGCAGATTTGGGGTGCTGGGTAAATCCTGGGCAGTGAGGAACTAGCAGAAATTGGATATTAATATTAGCTACACAGCTGCTCATACCAGGATGGAGCTGATATGGGACAGGCAGAGGATGTGGAATCAGGACACCTTGGTTAAGTCTGGCCTTCATTCCCTAGCTTCATAACCTTGGCAATTCTCTTAATGTCAGTGAGTTTCAGTTTCCTCTTCTGTAAACTAAGGGTTTTCTAAAAAAGCCTGCCCTACCTGCCTAACATGGTTTTCATGAGGATTAAATGAGATAATGGATGAGCGTGCTTCCTAATCTGTAAAGCTTTATGCAAATATTTGCTATCGTCATCAGCTGTATTATTGATAGGGTCAAGATACCAGTGGAAGTGAAAACCTAGAACCCAGAGTGAAGGTGACACTGCATTTAATCAGCTTTGTGGAACAGGTCCTTTTTTCTTCTTGACTGGTCCTGGGTCAGCAGGGCAGCCACTGTCCTCAGATGTGGTTCTTCTGGAATGTATAATATGGGAGGCGACTATCAGAGTGATGCCCATTGCTAAATCACTGTTCTACAAAACTGGTGATAGTCAGGATTGTTTGCTAAAGTGAAACTAAAAAGGCTGTAAGTTTGAGAAGCAGATGAGATGCTGGAACGTGGCCATGTTAACTCCTTGTTAAATAAACTTTTCATTTATTAATGATAACCACCATACCGTAGCTTGGATAGCACATTAAAGAAAACATAATGTGTTCATTTCACTGAATTGATTTATCCAAAGAAAACCATGTTGCCTTCTTCAGATGGGGACATTGTGGCATGGGTTCTGTGATGAGAACATATCTGTCTTCTAATTTGAACCCTTTGGGCCCCTCACTAGCTTTGGATGGTTGGGGCAAGTCATTTAACCCACCACGCCTGTTTCCTCATCTGTAAAATGGGAATGATAGTACCTACCACAGAACTATTCCAGGGATTTACGTGAGTTAATGTATATAAATTGCTTAGCACATTGCTCTGCACATAAATAAATGCTCGATAAATGCTAGCTATGGTTGTTATTACAGTGACATTGGGCATATATAATACTATTGTTAGCATTGTAGTTAACTCAGAGGATCTCTGTGTGTCAATTGACTCCTCAGGCTTCCTGACAATGTCACCTTTGAGGAAGGCGCCCTGATCGAGCCACTTTCTGTGGGGATCCATGCCTGCAGGAGAGGCGGAGTTACCCTGGGACACAAGGTCCTTGTGTGTGGAGCTGGTAAGAAACAGAAGCCACCCTGTTGCGGGTTCATTGACTGGGAATTCAGGGAACCCTCTGCCCATCTCATTCCCCCTCCAAGGCTTGAGATTTGTTCTAGAATCCTTCTGGGTAAGGGAGGATTGCAGTGTCCCATTCCCTCAGTGACTAGCACTTTGCTAAACAAATGAGTATCTGCAGACATGATATTAACTAGGGTTATATGTCCTAGGCAACATAGCCCTTTTTGTTCATTTAAAGAATGAATTGGCTGGGCACAGTGGCTCCTGCCTATAATCCCAGCACTTTGGGAAACCAAAGCCGGTGGATCACCTGAGCCCAGGAGCTTGAGACCAGTCTGGGCAACATGGTGAAACCCCGTCTCTACAAAAAAATACAAAAATTAGCAGGTGTGGTAGTGTGTGTCTGTAGTTCCAGCTACTCAGAAGGCTGAGGTGGGAGGATCACTTGAGCCTGGGAGGTCAAGGGTGCAGCGAGCCATGATTGTGCCACTGAACTCCAGTCTGGGTGACAGAACAAGACCCTGTCTCAAAAAAAACAAGACCCCATCTCAAAACAAACAAACAAAAAGAATGAATCTGGGCCAGGCGGGGTAGCTCATCTCAGCACTTTGGAAGGCTGAGACGGGTAGATCACTTGAGGCCAAAAGTTCAAGACCAGCCTGGCCAACATGATGAAACCTCAACTTTACTAAAAATACAAAAATTAGCCAGGCGTGGTGGTGCACCCCCTGTAGTCCCAGCTACTTGGAAGGCTGAGACAGGAGAATCACTTGAACCTGGGAAGCAGAGGTTGCAGTGAGCCAAGATTGTGCCACTGCACTCCAGCCTAGGTGACAGAGCGAGATTCTGTCTCAAAAAAAAAAAAAAAAAAAGGAATTAATCTGGCGATTATTTTTGAACCCTTGATGGGAAACTAGGGAAATTTTTTTTTTTCTTTTGAGACAGAGTCTTACTCTGTTGCCCAGGCTGGAGTACAGCAGCGCGATCTTGGCTCACTGCAACCTCCACCTTAGAGAAATATTTTTGATAGTAAAGGGAAGGGCAACTCTTGGAACTTTCAAATTATACCAGCAAAGTGATGGCCTAGTCCCATCTATGAATAAGGTAGACCCTGCTCCCGGCCAGTGGGAGGAGTGAGCAGTGGTCTGCTCCCACACCACTGTGAGCCAGCAATCTGCCTGCAGTAGGGCTGTAGCTAGCTGCCTTCTCTCATCCCCTGTTTCAAGCCATCTGGAACAGGCCCTAGCAGCCTTAGACCAAATCATTCTGGTGACCCAGACAGTACGCTCACGCTCCTTGTGGGTGTGATCTGGTGTTCCTCATACTTGTTTGTGATTTTCTTTGGCTGGCCAAATAAGTGATCACACGGCTTCCTAAGAGGGGTGATGGATGTAGAATAGACTTGCCACAATGGGCTAGCAGACTGCGGGACTCAGGTGACAGATTCTTATAAAAATCTGCATGGATCCAGTACCTTTTTACCATAGAAAAGGAAAATAAGTCACACATACCACACACATGCATGCCTTGCCCCCAACACACACACACAGAAATTCACCTGCAATCCCGTCACCGATTAGCCCAAGAGAACCACTGTTAATATTTGGGTATAGAATCTTTTAGTTAGTTAGTTTTTTTCTGAGACCATGCTAAATACGCTTCCTTTACCTACTCTTTTTTAAAAATCAGGCTGGGCATGGTGGCTCATGCCTGTAATCCTAGCACTTTGGGAGGCTGAAGCAGTCGGATCACCTGAAGTCAGGAGTTTGAGACCAGCCTGGCCAACATGGTGAAACCCCGTCTCTACTAAAAATACAAAAATTAGCCAGGCGTGGTGGTGGGTGCCTGTAATCTCCACTACTTAGGAGGCTGAGGTGAGAGAATTGCTTGAACCCGGGAGGCGGAGGTTGCAGTGAGCTGATTGCACCACTGCACTCCAGCCTGGGTGACAGAGCGAGACTCTGTCTCAAAAAAAATACTGTGAACATTTTTCCATGTCAATAGATAAAGAGTTATGGCGTAATTTTTAGTAGCCATGTAGTTTTTAAATCATGCTTTGTTGGACATTTCAGGTATTATTTTTCAGTATTTTGTTTTCTGAGGGAGCTCACAAAATTGTTCTCGGGGTTGTGTACAAAAAGTAAACCCCCAAAGATAGTCTGCATTGCTTTCATTCCGTGGGTCTGATTTTTATATTAAAACCATAGTGTCACATAGCATGCAGATACCATGGGGAAGCAGGTGTCTCAGGCAAATCCTTGGATACCTGAGTATCCTGGGGCTATCTGGGCACCAGGGCCAACCCAGGGAGCCAGCTCACTTAAGAACCCTCTCCAGGTGGTCCTCAGAGGGCACCTAAAAGGAATATGTCTCTCTCTGGGGGAGGTGTGATGGGTTCTCACAAAGGTAGGGGCAAAGAAAGACCAGGAAAACAAGTCCAGACCTTCTGAGATTTCTTATTTTCTGAATAAGTTTGTGTTTCCTTGAATCCTGTGGTTCTTTGAGATTATCTCCACTAGTGCCCAGGAGTAAGTAGGAAAATTTTAGCTCTGAGGTTTGAGAGGATTAAATAGAACCCAGCACTAGGAGCGTATTTTATGTAGAGAATAATTCTTCATGGATTTATTCACTTCTGCATTCAACAAACAGCCGCTAAGGTCTTATCATGCCAGGCACTGGGATAGATGCTAGAGACACACAAAAGATATGGTTCCTATCCATGGCCTGGACAAGTGGGAGAGCAGATGTTTAATATTTCACGAACATATTCCATCTTCTGCTTTGTTTAGGGCCAATCGGGATGGTCACTTTGCTCGTGGCCAAAGCAATGGGAGCAGCTCAAGTAGTGGTGACTGGTAAGACTTTGTTCTTTATCAATCTCCTTGACTGGGAAACAGCGGGTCCTACTGTATGTGCATGTGTGAGGAGAGGTTATCTGTGACAGTGTGGAGGGGGTGAGTGTGTAGTGTCATATGGATTGTGGAAATATAGAAGAGTGTGAGTGTGTGTTTTGTGTTAGGAGAAGCTATCAGAGAGAGAGAGAGTTTGTGTGAGAGAGTGTGTGTGTGTGTGTCTGTGTGTAGCTGTATGGTGGATATGGGGGTATATGAGGGTGTAGAGCAGGGGTGTCCAATCTTTTGGCTTCCTTGGGCCACATTGGAAGAATGGTCTTGGGCCCCACATAAAATACCCTAACACTAATGATAGCTGATGAACTTTACAAAACTGTTTTTTAATTTCATAATATTTTTAGAGAGTTTACAGATTTGTGTTGGGCCATATTCAAAGCCATCCTGGGCTGCATGTGGGCTGCAGGTTGGACAAGCTTGGTGTGAAGAGTATGTGTGTTGGGCTCAACACCACCACCCATTGCACGAGAGCTTTGTTGCCATCAGATCTTACATCTCCATTTTCTTTTCTTCCTAATGAGTCATCAGATTTCTCTTGTTTGAAAGAATTTTTTTTTTTTTTTTTTTTACCTTCAGATCTGTCTGCTACCCGATTGTCCAAAGCCAAGGAGATTGGGGCTGATTTAGTCCTCCAGATCTCCAAGGAGAGCCCTCAGGAAATCGCCAGGAAAGTAGAAGGTCAGCTGGGGTGCAAGCCGGAAGTCACCATCGAGTGCACGGGGGCAGAGGCCTCCATCCAGGCGGGCATCTACGTGAGTGGGCTGAGGGCAGCTTTGGGGAATCAGCATAGGGGAGTGAAGGAGGCAGAAGTAGGGAGTCAAACTTCTTTACCAGCTTGCTGCGTGAGCCCCAAGCCAAACTTATTCATCTTTTGCCATCTATGTTTTCTTTTTCTTTTTTTTTTTTTTTTTTTTTTTTTTTTTTGAGACAGAGTCTCACTCAGTCGCCCAGGCTGGAGTGCCGTGGCTCGATCTCAGCTAACTGCAAGCTCCGCCTCCTGGGTTCACGCCATTTTCCTGCCTCAGCGTCCCGAGTAGCTGGGACTACGGGCGCCTGCCACCATGCCCAGCTAAGTTTTTTGTATTTTTTTTAGAAGAGATGGGGTTTCACCGTGTTAGCCAGGATGGTCGCCATCTCCTGACCTCATGATCCGCCCTCCTCGGCCTCTCAAAGTGCTGGGATTACAGGCGCTATCTCTGTTTTCTTATCTCTAGTGCGGAGACTGTACTTGAACTTGCCTTACATCCTTATTGGGCCATCTGAGGTTCACACAAGATAACAGCTATACACGGGCCTTGAAAAATGTTAAGGACACACACTTTGGGGATGGGGTTGGCTTCATGATCATATTTGTTAAAAGTGCAGTAGTTTTGGTAAAAAGACCAAGAAGAAAAACAGGGAACCATGCCTTAATTGTATGTGGGAAATCCCCGTCTTATTTTATTGAGGAAAACTGCAGTCTTTAGTCACTTATATAAAATAACAGTCATTTAGTTAGTCATGAAGGTGAGGTGATTTTCCAGGGTCACAGCTGACTACTGCTTGTTTTGTCTCCCAGACCTAGGAACAGATAAGCTGCCAGTGCCCGACTCGCCCCTCAGCGACCCACCAGCCACTTATGGGAAGTTGGCAGGAAGTTGGAGGTGGTGGGAGGGAGTGTCATTGACAGATCAAAGTATGAGGAAACGAAGGGAAAATAACAACTTCCAGGTTCCAAGCCCTACTGTACGCCAGGTTCTCTGCTGTACTTTATAAACATGAGGCCTAATCTGCACAATAGCCCTGAAAACCAGTTACCATTTTATGCTGAGGGATTTGTGGTTTGTTTGAGGCAAGCCAAGTCAGGCCCAGGCCCAGCCCTGCCAGGCCCCAGTGCCTGAGTTGCCCCGCTGCTTAGGAGAGGAAGGGAAGGAGGGCACGAACAACCATGCTAGGGTGGGGGGACAGGGCCAGGGCTGGAGAGGGTAGCAGGCAGCCGCCACCACAGGGGACTCCTGTCCCTGCCTCCCAGACAGCCTCCCCAGGTAGCGTGGGCTTCCTCCTTCCTTCTGAGGCTCACAGCAGGAGGGCACTTTGCATCACATGAGACATTCTAGGGAAGGCTGACCCACCAAGCTGAGTAGCAGAGCTGCCTAGACCTCCTCCTACTAAGTTGCCCAGCGGCCTTGGGAGCTGAGGAAGCAGTGGGGGAGAGGGAGGAGCGGGTGCCACCTTGGCAGTGTCGTGAGTTTCAGCTGGAGTCGGCCAGCCCTCTGCTTCACTGTCATAGGCAGTGGTCGCCATGTGGGAAGGGGCAAAAAGAAGCCGAAGCTCAGAGAGGAACAATGGATCTGTGTGTGATTGATCTACCCATGGTATGTCTTGGGTACCTACCATGTGCCAGGCTTTGTGCTGGGCACTTTGAGGGCTAAGACATGAGTAGGTTGCATCTGCTGTCTTCAAGTTGTCAGCAGGTAAGTGACCTCCACCCCGCAGAGAGGCAGTATAAGCTGGGGGACTTAAAGGACATGGCTCTCCTTCCTCTTGTGCCCTGCCCTTAGAGCATTTGGAACAGTTGGCATTTCCACTGTTGACGGTGGGGGCCTGGTTGCCAGGCTACCTGAGGCAGGCATGGAGTTGAATGTGACCCATGGGCCTCACCAGGCCTGAAGCAGTGTCTCTCCTGACGTCACGCATGACGGGTGCTGTAGAATGCTATAGGCCACCCCGCCAATGAGCAGGCTAGGTGGCTGGACCAAATATGGACAAATCTGAGCATCGCCATCCTGCCAGGTTATGACTGGATAGTGTTTGTGATGAGACGTGGCAGATGCCTTGGGGTAGAATTGATGTCATATCCTTGGTGCAGATGCCATACCTACAGGATAGTGTCCAGGTGGTTCCAGCATTCCTTGACCTGGGGTCAGCAAACTGCTGGCATCTTGGCAGCTTGGAATGGCCAGTTGGTGTTCCTCCTCACCACCAGGTAGAGAGGAAGTGCTGATGAGGAAGTAGTTTCCCTAGAAAATGGGCTGAGAGGGCACGTCCAGGGTGCCACAGCTCTGAAGCAGCAGCGCTGGGAGTCACTCCCACACCACTCAAACCCTGAGTTCACCTCTTGCTCACGGCACCACAGGCCTGTCTCCATGGTGTATCCATCTCAGAAGTGGAGGCTATGATCGTGGTGTATCCTTCGTCTCAGAACTGGAGGCTGTGACATGTGCCTTTCTCTAGTTCCACTGTTTAGCACCCAGAATGGTCCCAATAAATGCTTGCTGCTGACTATAATGAACAATCAGCATGATTGAATTATCCATTCTTCTGTCTCTCACCGCACTGAGCACAGTGATCCCCAGAAAGCTCTGGAACAAGCACAGCACTCACAGGGAGTTCTGGGGAAATTTTCAGGAGAAATTTCACTGCTGCCTGTGACCCACTCCAAGTGGGGAACTGATAAGGCAGATAAACATTCAAGGAAGACAAAACCCATTATGGCTCATACTGTTGAGGTAAACATCTCTGGAACAAAAAGATTTCTAACTGCCAGCCTGCATGCATGTATGAAGCCTTTTTTAAGCCACAGAATACAAGTGGCCCATCTGTCTCATGTTTATAGTTTTCTCACCACCGGTGAGCTTAGAGGGCCAGTGGTTCCTTCCAGCTCTGATGAAAGTGCTGCCTGTGGAGGGGCGCTCTGGGGGAGGAACAGGTGCTTAGACTGTGGAGGTGGCTGAAGCCAATATTGGGTCCCGAATCTGTAAAGCTTTGGAAGATGTTCCCACTGTGCCTGGTTCTCCATGGGTTAAGTGTATGTTTTCACAATACACTTTAAAGAAAACCGTGTTTACTCTCCCGCTCAGTTAAGTTTGGTTGGCAGGTTGAGCAGTTCAGCAGTGTACACAAATCACATTCTCAGGAATTTTTGGATGCTCAGCTGATGCAACCAGAAGATACTTGTGTGATGACAATATGTTATTGTAAGTGGGAAGTCAGTATTTCTTATCTTCTGAGCTTTCTTGTTTTTACCTCCTTTACAGGCCACTCGCTCTGGTGGGAACCTCGTGCTTGTGGGGCTGGGCTCTGAGATGACCACCGTACCCCTACTGCATGCAGCCATCCGGGAGGTGGATATCAAGGGCGTGTTTCGATACTGCAACACGTGAGTATGCCGTGGGTGAGCCGGGATGCCCAGCCTCCAGCAAGACCATGGCAGGCCCCACTCAGCCTCTGGGCCCATGAGTCTCTGCCTGTTTGTTCATGGGGGGCACTCCCTGGCCACACTGATAGCTGTGTGATATAACAGGGATCCAAAGAGAGAACACTCACTGCCAGTTAAAGAATGGGAGGAACAGAAGGATGGATGGAGGGAGGGAAGGAGGGGATTTTGAAGCATAGTCTTACTGAGTGTCTGCTGCTTATCCCCCCCAGGCCCCTTTTTTCCCCCTATTTTCTTAAGTTGCCAGGTCTCCATTTTCTCCCTTTAAAGGGAAGAAGGAGAGAAAGGAGGACAAAAGGAAGAAATCAAGTCCTGTGGCTTCCGTTCCTTAGCCCTAGGGCCCACCCTGGGGAGCGAAAGGGTCTTAGTTTGCCCCACCCATGTTCTGCAGCTCCACCCTCTCCCCTGCTGGGGCCCTCTGGCTGGGACCCCTCTCCCCAGCAGTGTCCCTTACTCCTGGCTTTAGAGGCTGTAACTCCATGCCCTCATCAGGGCGCCAGTTTTCCAGTAAGCTGAGCTGTTAGTGGGTGTGACTGGATTGTCCCGGGCTGCCTCCCCACGGCTTCTCTGCCTTTTCCCAGTGGCCTCCACCATGTGCCTTGTACCTTCATGCCACAGGAATTCTAGGCTCCATGGCAGACGTGGCAGAGTGAGCGGGTGGGTGAGGGGTGGGGGCAATTGCAAATAGGCTCTGTACCCCTGAATCATAAGCCATAAGGTCCTTTCCTGGGTTGTTGGCCTGTAAAATTGGCTTTGCAGAACCACAGTGCTATCAATAAATACGGCCAAGCTGATCTAGTGCTTGGTAGTTTGGGGCACCTGGCTCTTTCCTCTTGAAGGTTGAATATAATGCTCGTGCTCTTTTACAGGTGGCCAGTGGCGATTTCGATGCTTGCGTCCAAGTCTGTGAATGTAAAACCCCTCGTCACCCATAGGTTTCCTCTGGAGAAAGCTCTGGAGGCCTTTGAAACATTTAAAAAGGGATTGGGGTTGAAAATCATGCTCAAGTGTGACCCCAGTGACCAGAATCCCTGATGTTAATGGGCTCTGCCCTCATCCCCACAGTCTTGGGATCTCAGGGCACAATGGCTGGACATGGGTGGGCTCTGATGCAGAACTTTCTCTTTTGAATGTTAAGAATAACTAATACAATTCATTGTGAACAGAAGTCCTTAAGCAGAGGAATTGGTGTGCCTTAAAGATACAATCTGGGATAGTTTGGGGGAACTTGTAGCCAGAATGCCCTGTTCATGCTGAGCAAAGTTCAGCAAGTAGAGCAGAGTTTGGCAGGCAGGTGCCAGGAACTCCCCTTCTTCCTGGAGTGCCTTCATTGAGGAAGGAAATCTGGCCCTTGGGTTTCCTGGTTCCACTGCTACTGACCCAGAGGGGAATGAGGGCTGAGTTATGAAAAGATAACTTCATGAAGACTTAACTGGCCCAGAAGCTGATTTTCATGAAAATCTGCCACTCAGGGTCTGGGATGAAGGCTTGTCAGCACTTCCAGTTTAGAACGCAATGTTTCTAGAGACATATTGGCTGTTTGTTTTGATGATAAAAGGAGAATAAGAAAAGGCATCACTTTCCTGGATCCAGGATAATTTTTAAACCAATCAAATGAAAAAAACAAACAAACAAAAAAGGAAATGTCATGTGAGGTTAAACCAGTTTGCATTCCCCTAATGTGGAAAAAGTAAGAGGACTACTCAGCACTGTTTGAAGATTGCCTCTTCTACAGCTTCTGAGAATTGTGTTATTTCACTTGCCAAGTGAAGGACCCCCTCCCCAACATGCCCCAGCCCACCCCTAAGCATGGTCCCTTGTCACCAGGCAACCAGGAAACTGCTACTTGTGGACCTCACCAGAGACCAGGAGGGTTTGGTTAGCTCACAGGACTTCCCCCACCCCAGAAGATTAGCATCCCATACTAGACTCATACTCAACTCAACTAGGCTCATACTCAATTGATGGTTATTAGACAATTCCATTTCTTTCTGGTTATTATAAACAGAAAATCTTTCCTCTTCTCATTACCAGTAAAGGCTCTTGGTATCTTTCTGTTGGAATGATTTCTATGAACTTGTCTTATTTTAATGGTGGGTTTTTTTTCTGGTAAGATTTAGACCTAAATCGCATCATGCCAACTTGTGACTTTGAGACTATTCATCAAGAATGAGGATATAGTAGCCATGACATAGCTTGAGCTATAGCCTTTAATTCCTTACTTTGGCTATGGGTGGAGGGTGAGTTTGAAGAGGTTCTGATTTTCTTGTAACCTGGGAAAGCCATGACCTTGTGCCCGATTCTTTCAGATTGCTTTGGGTAATAAATATTGGTGGTGGTATCTGACTCATGCTGCTGTTTATGGTCCTGTTTAGTGGGGAATGGACTCAGGTTACCCATTTCCCAGAGGGAAGGATCCCAGGATTTTTGAAGGTTACATATTTTCTGTACCAAATATAATTTCATTGACATGAATTATCTCTAATCCTCATGACAAGCCACATACACAATCATTTTGTAGATAAAGAAGATATAAATGCCAGAGGAGACCTTAAGATTGTCTTACAACACAACCCTTCAGTTAACGAGAGAGGAAATTGAGGCTCAGATTGGGGAAGTGACTTGGCAAATCACACAGTGGGTTAGTCAATGGCCCAGGATTAGACAGAACCCAGGAATCCTGACATCAAATCCTTTACAACATGCTGCCTCTCATAGGCCTGAGGTGTCCAGTCCTAGAGGACAAATGATGCTCCCCATGCCACCACCCCCACCAAGCAGCTCCTACTGATGAGAAGATGCACTAAGCAGTCTTGGTGGAAACATCTTCCTCACGCCCTGTGCCCCCTTTCAGGTGCCCAGAGAAGGAGCTCCAGTGTCTGCTTCAGCCAGGGCTTTAAGAGAGAAGGAAGCTGGGAGTGAGGGGCAGAGGCTCTACCAGAGAATGTCTGCTGGTGTCTTGGAGGCACTTCCTGCAGCCTATGCATGCCTCGTGAAGCCATTTCACTGCTGCCCCTTCATCCTCCTCCTCCCTGAGCCCTAGGTAGAAGTCAGTGTGTGGAGGAGGCCACCCAGAGATGACCCTGACCAGGCCCCACCGCCTGTAGCCAGACCCAGCCTCTGTCCCAGCTGGCTGCTAATTTCTGAGCATTTCTTCCCTGTTATTTGGCCTCTGTACCTTGAACCTAGGTTGACATCATGAGCAGAGGACAGTTCTTAGGAAAGGCAAATATCCCATAAATCCTATTTGCCTCTCTTTCTCCTAACCTCTGGCTCCACCAACTCCCCAACAGGCCTCCTGCACACACAATAGGAGTCAGGAGGGAGGAGGCAGGACTGTGCTACACAAGGGAGACTGGGTGGGGAAGATGTCAGAGAACCAGTGACTGAGTGCAGAGGTGACTTCACACCAGCATCTGCTGTAGCCAGAGGTGGGCTGCAAGAGGGAATTAGAGGAGCCAACATGTCCTCTTTCTCCTTTAGGGTCCATGGAGCAGTCCGCTGCTTCCAGGTTGCCTGTGGGGTCCTTCCCAGCTCTCCGCCCTGACACGTCTTCACTCCCTAGCACTCGTGGAGCTGACTGGGTGGGGACCTCAGTGTTGACTGAAAGCGTGAATCAAGTGCCAGGCACTGGTGACAGAGCACACAGAGGCTGCTGGGCCTCCCAAGGTCGGGGAGCTTGTGGGGAATTCACATTCTTGGTTCCGGGACTGATTCACTGAGTCAATCAATATTGATTGAGCACTTAGTTGGTTGTGGTGGTGGTAGGAATGAATTCCTGGGCTTCCTGCAGCCCCTTTCCATGAATCTATACATATCAAACATGTGCATGCATTTGTAAACATTAATGGGAGTGTACTTTACTTTTTTCATTTTACTCATAAACAGACGAGGACTTTAAAAAAATCACAATTATTAAATAATTCCCATTACTATACCTGACAAAACTAATAATAATTTCATAATAGCTAATACCCCGTCAATCCATGCCATATTTTCCCTCATCTAAAAAACAGAAAAAATTACTTTTTTTTCCCCCAAAGACAGGGTCTTGATCAGAGCTCACTGCAATATCAAACTCCTGGGTTCAAGTGATCCTCCTGTCTCAGCCTCTGGAGTAGCTGGGATTATAGGCATGCACCACCATGCCTGGCTACTTTTTGTAGAGAAAAAAATTTAAAAAGGTCTCACTATGTGGCCCAGAGTGTTCTTGAATTCCTGGCCTCAAGCAATCTTCCTGCCTCAGTTTCCCAAAGCACTGAGATTACAGGCATGAGCCACCATGCCCAGCCAAAACTTTACTTTTTTACACTTGCTTTTCTGGAATCAGGATCTAAACATATTGCATGCGGTTGATATATTAAGCCTGTTTTATTTTTTATTTTTTCTTCTTTCTTAAGCCTCTTTATTATAGTTCCCCCTACATTTTGGTTCACATGCCACTGTTATGTTGAAGAAACTGGGTCCTTTGTCTTCTGGATACCGTTTTACAAACATACTTGTTTTCATTTAATAAATGGCTAAATTTCTTTCTATGTCAATAATTATACACATCATTATTTTAAATCACCACATCCCATTGTGTGGATAGACTATCATTTATAAAGCAAATTGCAGTATTTTGAGTGTTTGGATAGTTTACAGAGTTTTGCTCTAATAATAAAGTTGCAATGACAACCCTTGTTGCATATTTTTGTTCTCCTGACTCATTATTTCCTGAAGTTATTAATATGTTATTTCCTGAAGTTATTAATATGTTATTTCTTGAAGTTATATTTTAGAATGAAAATAGCTGGGGTTAAGGGTACACACATTTTTAAGGTGACCTGGTTAGACAAGAAAACACAGTATTGACATTCAGACTGTCTAAGAAAATCTCTGGGGGTGCCCCAGGCTTTGTGTGATGTGGGAAGACTCTGGGGTCTTGGGTAGCTCACAGGGGCTGTTGAGGATGAGGCCATGAAGCCACTGGCTCTCTGGCTTCAGGCCACCCTTGGGAAAGCAGGGGCCTAGACCCATAAACTTGGACAGATTGCCATTTTCCAGGCCCCAGTTTCCTTATCAGTAAAATTGGTTGTCCCTTTTAGCTCTGGGACTACTGCCAGGACATGACAACAAACAGCTCCTGTAAAGGACTGGCACAGAATTCACAGGGAACTGTGGCCCAGCTACTGTGGAGCAGTGAGCCGCCATCAATGAACTTATACTGGAAGCCTTCCCTACCCCTGTCCCTCCACCTCAATTCCAGGGGACACTGGGTACCGTTCACCAAACTTTTTTTTTCTCCTCCAGGTTTATCTTACAACCAAATCCAAGCAGAGGCTGCCCCACCCCAACACCCCATTTTACACAAGGGGGGAATGCCAACAGAATTCAGCAGCCTGACTCGCTCACCCCTCACCACTTCCATTGCTCAGGGCATTGTGGGGAGGGAAAAATCCCACCTCAGCCCAATACACTTCCAGAGTTCCCTACTACAGGCATTCTGCAATAGTTACACCAGACCTGAGCTCACTGACATGGTTGGGATGGAAGAGGCTGGGCAAATGGCAGCTTCAGCTAACCTTGAGGCTGCCATGTTCACTCTTCCCCACTGGTCCTCAGGAAGGTGAGAATCCCTGATCCCCTGTGGCACACAGCAGAGGGCCCAGGAGGAAGAAGCCAGAGGGAGGCAAAACAGAGAGCCCAGGAAGCTTGCCCACCTACAGAGAGCAAAATGCCCTATCCATTCCCACTGCCACAGCAACAGATGGGTGACTCGGAAGTTGGGGAGCCTCCGTGATGGCTTCAGGGATCTTCCCAGAAAGTACAGAACACATGTTGCTGTCTTTCTCCTGGCTAGGCCCACCCAAGTTAGTGAATATCCAGGAGCCCCTTCCCCTTGTGCCTGACCTGGCGATTTCAGGAAACTAAAGTCTGGGACTCCTGATCTATCTTTTGGCCCAGTAACAATGTTATTCAGGACAAAAATATTTCTGCTTGTAATAACCTAGAATTAGTGTTTCTTATGATATACAAAGATGGGGCATATTGCTGTTGAACACTATCAGCAATGAAACAGCAAAAGAAACAATGGGGGAGAGGGAGGAGCATAAGACCATTGAGATCTGTTTCACTGAGAAGTTCAGGGCAGGAGCCCCTGCAACTCTAAAGAAAGGCCATTCACCAAAGTTTTTTTTTTTTTTTTTTTTGGAGACAGGATCTCATTCTGTCGCCCAGGCTGGAGTGCAGTGGCGTGATCTCAGCTCACTGCAACCTCCACATCCCAGATCCAAGAGATTCTCCTGTCTCAGCCTCCTGAGTAGCTGGGATTACAGGCACACACCACCACGCCTGGCTAATTTTTTGTATTTTAGTAGAGACCGTGTTTCACTATGTTGCCCTGGCTGGTCTCTTGAGCTCAGACAATCTACTCGCCTCGGCCTCCCAAAGTGCTAGAATTACAGGCAAGAGCCACCACATCCGGCCCATTCACCAAACTTTAACAAATCACCAGGAAGAAGTAAGGGTGGTATGTGTAGAATGTTCCTTATTGGTTCTGACCTCTCCAAGTAGGTGCAAATCCATGTGGCATAAAATGACTTGGATTGGGTACTGGCTTAGTCCATTTTGTGTTACTATAACAGAATACTTGGGACTGAGTGATTTACAAATAAAGGGGTTTATTTAGCTCACAGTTTTGCAGGCCGGGAAGTTTAAGGGCATGGCACTGCCTTCTGGTAAGGGCTTTTGTGCTACACCATAACATTGCAGAGAAAGTCAAAGGGGAAGCAGACATGTGTGAAGAGGCCAAACTCAAGGGACGTCCTGGCTTTGTAACAACCCACTCTTGTGGATCTAATCCGTTCCTGAGAGAATCCAGTCTTGCTAGAGTGAGAACTCACTACCGCGAAAATGGCACCAAGCCATTCGGGAGGAATCTGTCCTTATGACCCAAACACCTCCCATTAGCCATCTGCTCCCAACACTGCCACATTGGGGATCAAATTTCAACATGAGTTTTGGTGGGGACAAACTCAAACCATAGCAGGTGTTAATATGCAGATCTTAGATGCTCAGACCCCAAGAGACTTGGCAATTTGTAGAACCCTTAAGGAACTTTGCCTTCTGAGTGATTTGAAAGCATTTGTCACATTGCTGTTTCATTCTGTGGGCACATATGTGTATGTAACGCTGTGCTTATATAGCTTAACAATACTGTGTAGATTTTCGAGTGCTCTTGCATATTTGTGCTATCTGTTTTCAGGAATACCAAAGGGAATCATATCTCTTGCCACTCATCATGTGAGATGGGATAGGGCTGCCAGCGCTGACAGTATTAAGGTCTAATGATTCTCAGGAACTTCTGGAAAAACTGTTATCAGTAAGCAGAAGGAGTCCAACACATGATCTGTGAGAAGGTGAATGCGGAAAAAGCTGGGAGGCAAGGAACTAGTCATCCAGGGCAGACTGAAGAAAGTGACTCAGCTCTGGCCTTTGGGGACTGGGGCTGCTGGTTCTGGGGAGCAGCTGGGCTTTCAGCACAGCACAGGGACAGACAGGCTCTAGCCAGAGCTCTCCTGGGCCAACCCCAACTTGCCTTCCCCTGCACCACACACTAAATCCCCACACCCTGCTGAACACCCAACAAAACTAGGACCTGAGGAAGGCCCTTGCTCCTGCCATGCTGCCTTCCTCCGGAATGGGGTTCCAGAGGGAATGATGCTTCTGAAGGGAAGACAGACATTGCCAAGGTGGTTGGCTGGGGAAGTTTCTGTCATCCAGTCTGTATCTGGCCATGGGCCTGTGGCTGACTGGAGGGACAGCTCTCCTGCATTTGGAAGAGGCACTGGAAGAGGCATTTGGAAGAGGCACTGGGTTGTGTAGATGTCTTGGGCTCCCTATAGTAAGAAAGAGGTGGGTACACGTTAGGCTACTCTGCTTCCTGATGACCTCGAGCAACTCACTTGACTCCTTCAAGCTTCAGGTTCCTCATCCTTTAAGTCGGAAAAATAAAACAAGCCTCAGGCTTGTCATAGGGACAGAATAAAGAAGCCTGATGCTCTTCCCCTGGTGAATGGCACTCTGATTATGTTTATTAAGTGCTTGTACCCCTGCCCTTGTCTCACCAAATTTTCTCTCTTGACCTGTTAAATGAGTAGGATGAATGACCCTCAAGACTTTTCCAGCTCTGAGCCCTGAGTCTGCAAAGGTGCTTGAAGGTACGTGAAGAGTTCCCAGGGTGGCAGAAAAGGCCTCAGCCTGGCCTTGACCCAGCATTCTCAGCAATTCCACAAACCTGCCAGGGAAAGAGAGTTGGCAGCAGACCTGGAGGCCAGGCAGGGAGGAGGAGAGGAACCAGGTGTCAGCACTTAGGAGCTGCCTCTTACCAGCCTGCTCTGCTCTGCTCCCCTGATGCCCCCCCAAAGAGCCGCTGGACCCAGGAGCTCTGGGTGGTTGGTTCACATGAACGGGGACCCCTAGAAGCCATGACCAAGTCTCACATCTACATTATGGAGGTTTCCCTAACTGGCTGGCACAGTGCCTGGCATGTAGAAGGAGCTCTGGAAATGTCTGTAGCCTCACAAGCAACCAGACCTCACTCCCAGCTCCCAGCTATTTCCATCGTGCCCCTTAGCCTGAGCTAAACCCAGAGCAGCCGGGAATCCTCAGGCCGGCAGTCTCAACATGTAGTGACTCTTTGTGGAAGGGGAAGCCAAACCTCAAGGACCAGGAGAGGCACGTCCAGAGACTGCAGCAAGAGGAGGGCTCACCTGGCCTAGAGCCCCCTGCCCCAGAAACCCACCAGAGATACCCTAGGGTGCAAATAAGACAACTGAGCTGGACGTCACTGAGGGAAAAAGAGTAGGACCAGCTGCTCCATCCAGACAGTTTTGGCTTTTAAGGGGGAATTGTGGGGGACCCTGTGGTGTGGTGAAAACAATACCGGACCAGAGGCAGGGTTCTGAGTTCTGGGCCAGGGTCCCCAACCCATTAATTTTAGGAGAGCTAATAGTGAGTACGTTCTTTTTTTTTTTTTTTTCTTTTTTTTTTGAGACAGAATAGAGTCTTGCTCTGTTGTCCAGGCTGGAGTGCAGTGGTGTGATCTCAGCTCACTGCAACCTCCTCCTCCCAGGTTCAAGCAATCCTCCTGCCTCAGCCTCCCAAGTAGCTGGGATTGCAGGCGTGAGCTACCACACCCGGCCTTGTTTATGTACTTGAGTATCCAGGTAGGAGTCGGTGAAACCCCTCAGAATTGTTATCAACTACAATAGAATGCTAAGCTTCTGTGAACAAGAATAAGGAATGAATCACAACAGCTGAACCTGGGTGCCCACTATAGACCAGACACTATTCTGAGAATACCAAATATCTTAACTCACATAACCCTCACAATAACCCTTTGAGAGTAATATCATTGCCCCCATTTTAAGGCTGAGAAAACTGATGTACAGAGGGATTAAATGATTTGCCCCAGATCTCGCCTACTTCCTACATACATATGTTTGAATATGTGTAGAAAATAATGTCCAGGCTGATGGACATCAAACTATTAATAGTAGTTAGCTCTGGAAGAAAGGACTTTGCGGTTTTGTGTTGTTTGCCCAGCGGGATGGTTGGGGACAGGAGGACTTTCATTTTTTACTGTATAAATTCCTCTATAATTTGAAAAATTTTAAAAAAGCATGTTCATGTGTCATTTTTGTAAGTTAAGAAAAACTAATAAGAATGTCACACCTTGCTGTGGCTTTCAGGCTCAGCTGCAACATTTTCATTCCAGAAAGCCCTTGACTGCAGCAATTTCCTAGGAGCAGTGGAAGGCAGGGAAGCACCCACTCACCACTACAAGCCTAGCAGACCCCTGGGCAGCCTGGGCAGGGCGATCTGTGATACCATAGCCCGTGTAGGTTTGTTATGAGGCCTCAAGGACCGTGGGAGGACAGTTAAACAGATCCCGAAAGCGCTGGTTCCGAAAAGCCAGCTGCTTCCTTTCACTGGCACTCGGTCTTTTAACTAACCACCTACTTTATCTGATGGTCAGCGGAGTAACAGTAGGGCAGTCCTTGACACCTCCTTTTAGGTTGTGTGCCTGTATTTTTGGTTTTAGCCGTGTTTTGTGGACGCTGAGTCACTGAGCTTTGTTTTCGAATCAAGATTACGAGCCTTCCACTTTTCTGAGGAGTTCTTCTGGTTTATGGCTGTGACTATGATGCCTGCACGTCCATCCTGCCTTGGATGTACCTTTATTACTTCCTTCATTTGCTTTCTTTCCTTCTGTATCACCCCCTGTGATTTCTGTAGAGGACTTTGTTTCCTGGGTCCTTTTAAATTAGGTCAGAAGGAAATATTATTTTATCTTTCTAGTTTTTAAACTGGATTTACCTTAAGAAGCTTTAACAGACTATTTTTTTGGCCGGGTGCGGTAGCTCACACCTGTAATCCTGGCACTTTGGAAGGCCAAGGTGGGAGGATCACTTGAGGTCAGGAGCTCAAGACCAGCCTGGCCAACACGGTGAAACCCTGTTTCTACTAAAAATACAAAAAGTAGCCGGGTGTGGTGGTGTGCCCCTGTAATCTCAGTTATTTGGGAAGCTGAGGCAGGAGAATCCCTTGAACCCAGGAGGCAGAGGTTGCAGTGAGCCACTATCAAGATCACGCCACTGCACTCCAGCCTGGGCAACAGAGCTAGAATCCATCTCAAAAAAAAAAAAAAAAAAAAAAAAACCTACGAAGCTTTAATACACTATTTTTTATCATTCCTACTATTGATATCTATTAATAAGTAGGTTATCTTTTGACTTTGTTTTAAGGAAATGTAGATGTGAGTGTTTTCTCCTCCAGCCTTACTCACCCTGTGGTATTATATCCCTGTCTAAAAACTGCTGAATCTCCCTGTTTACCTCCTGGGTAGTTCTCACAGTATCATATCTGATAACACTGTTTAATCAGACCTCATGCCATTTGACATGTCTCAGCTAGTCTTTCCAATCACTTCTCCATGTGCATATCCCCACAGTTCATAATGATTAGCTCTGTACCTGAGGACTTGTGTAGATTAATTCTTTCAAGCCTTCCATTTCTTCAAATATTCTTCCAAAGGGGAAAAATAAACTTGGGTCCTTACCTTATGTTGCTAATTTATTTTCCTTCAGGTTGTACGGCTTTCCTTTCAAACTGTTCTCTTTTCTTTCCTTTTCTTTTTTGGAGATGGAGTCTCACTCTCTTGCCGAGGCTGGAGTGCAGTGGCGCGATTTCGGCTCACTGCAACCTCCGCCTCCCAGGTTCAAGCAATTTTCCTACCTCAGCCTCCCGAGTAGCTGGGACTACAGGTGCATACCACTACGCCTGGCTAATTTTTTGTATTTTAGTAGAGACGGGGTTTCACAGTGTTGCCCAGGCTGGTCTCAAACTCCTGAGACCAGGCAATCTGCCCTCCTCAGCCTCCCAAAGTGCTAGGATTACAGGTGTGAGCTACCATGCCCAGCCAAACTGTTCTCATTTCTAAGGCTTGAGAAATAATGTCCAAAGACATCTTATTCTAGCCTCTTAAAATATCTCCTTCTTAGCCCCTGTAACCACTCACAAATACTACATCCACATTTATATTATCTTATTTGATCTTATCTCTGAATTCAGAGTTGGCAAGTAGATATGTAGAGAAATGTCGTGGAGGATCATATTGCTCTCTGAGCTTTACAAACCTTCTCTCATTTTACCCCACATTCGGCAGGAAATTGAGGCTCATTGTAGTAATGGAACCTAAATAAACATAATTGGTATGTCAGGATTTGAGCGCCAGGCTGGTTGCTCCAAAGGCCATTCCCTCAACCACAATGACTCTGTATTTTCTTCATGATATTCTTGGTCACCCTGTTGCCCTTGTACCTTGTAATCTCTTTGTTTAGCTGCTATACCCATCAGGGATTTTTCTTTTTGCATTATGATCAACTCTGTTTAATTTGGCTCTATTTAGACTTTCTATGCTGGTGTTCTTGGCATTGCTAATTATTTGCTCTCTTCTATAATGAGGTTTTAACTCAGCGAAAAATAAAAAGTCCCTACCTTACCTCAAACTCCATTTTCCTAGAGGACTCCATTGTTAACAATTTAGAGTATATCCTTGCAGACATACCCCAAACACTATACCCACACATGTATACTCTCTCTATATATATACACACACACACTACACATACATACATATACATACACATTAATTTAATTTTACAAAAATGGGATTATATCCTGGTTATACAGTCAGCCCTTCATATCTATGGGTTCTGCAACCATAGGTTTAACCAACTGAGAATTGAAAATATTCAGAAAAAAATTCCACCAAGTTCCAAAAAGAAAAGCTTGGATTTGCTGCGCACTGAGTACTATGTTGAATCCACACAAACGAAGTGATGTGTTGGTGTCATATGAGGTGTTGTAAGTAATCTAGAGATGATTTAAAATATACGGAAGAATGTATGTAGGTTATATGCAAATATTACACCATTTTATATAAGGGCATCTACAGATTTTGGTATCCTTAGGGGGTCCTGGAACCAATCCCCCATGGATACCAAGGAATTGCCATATATATTTCCATGTCAGTAAATGTAAATCATATTTATTCCTTTTCATGCCAACATATTGAATGGATGTATACAACATAACAGCCATTGCACATAACATAGCACCTGTTGTATGGATGCACCATGTATCATCAGGCATCATTCATCATTCTCCTGTTAGGGTGTTTTGGTTTCTTCCAATATGTTGCTATTACAAATCAATGAATTTCCTTATACATAAATCTTTCCATATAAGTGCAAATTTTTCTATAGGATTCTTAGAAGTAGGACCATTATGCTGAATGATATTAACACAATTATCAAGCATCACTCCTATGCTTCCTTGGGGGTAGGCAAAAATATTTTTCCCTTTTTCTTTCAGAATAAATGCTACTGAATGAGTTGGAGATTTGTTCTTCAGTATTTGTCCCATTGTTTTTTCCTTCATTGGCTTCCCTTTTCCTTTTGATGGTGAAACGTTGATCTTTTAAATTTTGTTTTGACACAATCATCAAAATTAAAAAGCAATAAAAGTTTGATTTTGACAACAGTCATCACTGTAACACATCAGCTTTGGATTTTTCTCTGCTGGCCTTCAGTCTTTATGCATGCGTAATCATAATCTTAAAAATCTCTACTTTTAATCCATGATTATGAAAGCAGTACATACTTGTTATTTTAAAATCTCAGAAATGCATCACACAGAAAATAAAAGTCGCTCTTAGTTCTACTCCACCCACAGAGATAAATACTGTTAACAATTTATAAGTAAATATTTTCATAGTCACAATCAAAATACAGATATAATTTGTATCTGTATACAGTAGAAATAGAAGTACTATTCCTACTTAATGATATATAAGTATTTTCATAGTCATAATCAAAATACAGATACAATTTGTATCTGTATACTGTAGAAATAGAAGTACTATTTCTACTTAACAATAAATCTTAACTTTTTTTTTTTCTTTTTTTTTTTTTTTTGAGACATGGTGTGGCTCTGTCGCCCGGACTGGAGTGCAGTTGGCATGATCTTGGGTCACTGCAACCTCCGTCTCCTGGGCTCAAGCCATCCTCCCCACTCAGCCTCCCAAATAGCTGGGACTACAGGTGCATGCCACCACACCTGGCTAATTTTTGTATTTTTAGTAGAGACGGGGTTT
Source organism: Homo sapiens (assembly GCF_000001405.40). Taxonomy (NCBI): domain Eukaryota; kingdom Metazoa; phylum Chordata; class Mammalia; order Primates; family Hominidae; genus Homo; species Homo sapiens. The sequence goes on from NC_000015.10 coordinate 45,086,198, forward strand.
CAACATGTTGCCCAGGATGTTCTCGAACTCCTGACCTCAAGTGATCCACCCACTTTGGCCTTTCAAAGTGCTGGGATTACAGGTGTGAGCCACGGTGCTGGGCCACCCTTATCCATTCTTATGTGCTTTTAAAATATTTGTAATTATAGTTTTTCCAAAAAGATTATTGTTTGGATTGGAATCTTGTTTTTTTAAGACATGGTCTCACTTTGTCACCTAGGTGGCAGTGCATTGGCAGGATCATAGGTCACTGCAGCCTCAAGCTCCTGGTTTCAAGCTATCATCCTACCTCAGCCTCCTGAGTAGCTGGGACCACAGGTGCGCGCCATCACACCTAACTATTTTATTTTTTGTAGAGAGAGAGTCTCACTATGTTGCCAAGGCTGGTCTCGAACTCCTCTTCCCAAGTAGTCCTCCCACATCAGCTTCCCAAAGTGCTGGGATTACAGGTGTGAGTCACAATACCCAGCTCTTAAAACAAATTTTTCGTGTATATTTTTTATTTCTTATTATGAATATTTTATATTTTTGAACAATGTATAAAAGTATAAAAAGGAAAATAAAATCAAATATATCATCACCTAGAAATACTCACTCTTACCATTTTGGTGCATTTTCGTCTATAAAAGTAAATATTTGTCTGGATTTCTGGTTATTTTCCTAGGACAGTTTCCTACAAGAGGAATTAGTGGAACAAACCTTTTAAGATTCTTGAGATATTTTGCCAAACTTCCTGAATGTAAGATTGCTCATCTAATAATTTTCATCGCACATGGTTATATAATATTCCATTTGGTTGTATAGTTTACTTAATCATTCTCTGATTGTTGGACATCCAGACAATTATGGCTTCCTGGGGTTGCCGAGAGAATTACACGAGAGAGCTATTAGGAAACCAGACCTTGGGTCTGACACAGAGGAAATCTTCATTACTATTCCTTTGCCTACCCCCTGCTTCAACCACTCCAGGTAATGGGCTTCCTGTCCGCCAGAGAACTCAGCCCTAAATGCCTCCCTTCCCCATCTGGGGCCACTCCAGCACATTCCCCAAAGCTTATGCCTTCCAAAGATGTCAGCCTCTTCTGAGTCCTGATGAGGTGCGGCTCTTGTTTTCCAGAACGACAGTGGGTGTTGTTTCCATATCACACTGGGTGTTGGCAGATCCAAAGGTAAGAGGAATCCAAAGATGCTCTTTCCTTCAAAAGATGCCATCTTTAGGGTCTGGCTGTGGAAGAGGAACGTAGTCCAGTCAGCAGGGTGAGTACTCCAGCCCAGTGATGAATGTGTACATGGACCTTCTTTATCCTTCAAGGTTAAGCTCAAAATCCCCCTCTTGCAAGGACCTTTTCTGAATTCCCTTTCTGAATCCACTCATCTTAGCATTTAATCAGTTGCTTATCACATAGTGTAATGTATTCACGAAATATCCCATGAGAATGTGCTCTCTGTCTGGCACTTTACTAGGCAGGGGAAAAATGACAGTGAACTATAGGCATAGGTCCTGCCCTCTAGGGGGCTTATAGCAGAGAAGGAAAGAGGAACATTGAGCAAGCATTGTGCTTGCTGGTGTGATGAGTTACTGTACTTTCTCCCTAGAGCTGGATTGGTTTTTGGCTCCTGGAGGGCAGGAAGTATGTCTTGCTTTTCTTTTGGACCCTGTGGGATCTAGTATGATCTGTGTTCACAGCAGTTGTTCAATGAATACCATCAGAACAATTAACAATGGAAAATATATTATGAAAAACCTTGATTGCTTATACCTTTAGAGGCATCAGGATGCAAAGAGCAGAGACTCTGAGATATCATAGGATTCAAACCCTCACTTTGCCTGTTACTAGCTGGATGCCCGTGGGTGATGTACTCTGAGTCCCACATGCCTCGTCTATACAATGGAGGCAGTAATACCTTCTCCAGAGAGTTATTGTGAGGATTAAGTGAGGCAATTTATGTAAATGTGTTACAGGACCCAACACAAAGTAAACCTGTAAATATTAGTTCCCTTTCCCCAGACTATTTAACCTTGGTTGAGAGGCCAAGGAAACTGTTTTCTTCTATCCATTTGAGACACCGAGTGCAGAAGGGAAGAGTGAAGTTGCAGGTCTAGAAGGGGTCTTAGCCTAATCCTTTTTTTTTTTTTTTTTGTGAGACAGGTTCTCACTCTGTCACTCAGGCTGGAGTGCAGTGGCAATCTCAGCTCACTGCAACCTCTACCTCCCAGGTTCAAGAGATTCTTGTGCCTCCACCACCTGAGTAGCTGGGATTACAGGCACCCGCCACCACATCTGGCTAATTTTTGTATTTTTGTATTTTTAGCATTTTTGTATTTTCCCCATGGGGAAACATGGGTTTCCCCATGTTGACCAGGCTGATCTCGAACTCCTGGCCTCAAGTGATCCACCTGCCTTGGCCTCCCAAAGTGCTGGGATTACAGACGTGAGCCACCGTGCCCGGCCAGCCTAATTCTTTTATTTTCTTGGTAAGACAAATAGAAGCCCATAAAACTCAGGTGACTTCCCTCAGGTTACTTGGTGATTTGAGCAGTAATGCTGGAAACAAAACTCAGGTCCCCTGATTCCAGCATCCAGTGCATTTTGGGCAGCCTTTCCTAAATTCTCACTGCCAGCCTCTCACTCTCAGAAAAGCTAGAGCCTTCATGTTACAGCTCATCTGAGGTCACTGGCCAGGGAAGATAAGGGTTCCTGTGAAATCAGGGAGAGACTTCCCAGGAAATTTACAGCTCCCTGGAGACAAGACAGGGAGGTGGTCACTTAGTAATTTTCCACTCCATGCAAGGTCAGGATGGATTGACTTTCACATGATCAGGGTGGCTGGGTAGTGTGTCCCTGGAGGTTAGAGCAGGCCTCCTCCTGGCTTCACAGAGCCAGAACCTGGTGGGACACAAGAAAGTGAGCGGGAAGCTGGGGAAATGAGAAGGAGGGATGATGAGATAGGGGATAAATCTGGATTAGAAACAAGTCACTCACCATTACTCAGGCCCCACAAACCGCAAACTCCTCAGACTATGGAGCTCTGCTGTCAGAGCTTCGGCTTCTCTTACTAATAGGTGATGCTCGTAACAATATTACTAGGTGCCAGGCACAATTAAGGGCTCTCCATACATTAGCTTCACCTGAACGCTTGCAGCCTGCTTTTGAGTGACAGGATAAAGTGGTAGTTAAGGGCATGATATCTGGTTAAACTTTCTGGGTTCAAATCTAGTCTCCTCCCAAAGTGGGAAGATCTGCTTGAGCCCAGCAGTTCGAGACGAGTCTGGGCAACATGTCTCTACAAAAAACTTTAAAATTAACTAGGTATGGTAGTGCATGCCTGTAGTCCCAGCTACTGGGGAGACTGACGCAGGAGGATTGCTGGAGCTCAGAAGTTCAAGGTTACAGTGAGCTATGATCATACCACTGCGCTCCAGCCTAGGTGGCAGAGCGAGACCCTGTCTCTATAAAAAGAAAAACCTAGTCTGTCTTCTCACTTACATTCTAGATAACTTTGAGCAAGTTGTTTAAGCCTCTTCGTGCTTCAGTGTCCCTTATCTGTAAAATGGGGATTGTGGCTGTTCTAAGGATTAAGTGAGTTAATGCATTTCAAGTCCTTATGATAGCACTGGGCACACAGCAAGCTCTGTATGCATTAATCATCATAGTTTTGTTGTCGTCATCTTAGAGGGCTTTCTTTAATCATCCTATCTAAAGAGTTCCCCTTAGTCAGTCACTATCATTTCATAGTTTTATTATCTTCAAAGCACTTGTGATCTGTGACCTCCTTCTTCTCTTCCTCTTCCTTCTATCTTGTTCATTGTCTGTTTCCTTCCACTAACATTTAAGTTCCCTAGAAGCTGTGCCTGTGCCCGGGACATAATAGATGCTCAACACATATTTGTTGAATTGAATTATATTATTAGATCTTCCCAAACCCTATGGAGCAGGTAATCATGTTATCCCCATTTTATGAAGGAGCAAACTGAGGCCCTGAGAGTTTTCTTTGTTTTCTCAAGGTCACCCAGCTAGGACTCAAACCCAATTTGACTTAAGAGCCCTCACTCTTAAGTACTATGCTGGATTGACTCCTCTTACTCAAAAATTCTTAATAAATAAGGAGATATCTGCACTCCCATGTTTATTGCAGCACTGTTCACAATAGCCAAGATTTGGAAGCAAGCTAAATGTCCATAAACAGATGAGTGGATAAAGAAAAAATGGTACATATCACAGTGGAGAGCTATTAAGTCATAAAAAAGAATGAGATCCTGTCATTTGCAACAATATGGATGGACCTGGAGAGTACTGTGTTCAGTGAAATAAGCCAAGCACAGAAAGCCAAACGTTGCGTGTTCTCACTTATTTGTGGGATCTAAAAATCAAAACAACTGGACTCATAGAGATAGAGAATAGAACAATGGTTACCAGAGTTGAGGGTGTTGGGAGAAGTGGGGGTTGTTCATGGGTACAAAAATGAAAGAATGAATAAGACATAGTATTTGCTACCACAGCAGAGAGACTATAGTAAAAAATAATTTAATTGTACGTTTAAAAATAACTTAAAAAGTATAATTGGATTGTTTGTAACACAAAGGATGAATGTTTGAGGTGATGGATACTCTCCCCTTCAAAAAAAGAAAATATATTTAGACCTATTTCTAAGCAAAAAAGTTAATGTCAGGACAGTATATGAACTATGATTCAGTCATAATGTGTACGTAAATACAGTATGTGTATACATGTATAAACAAAACCAAACAAAATGAAAATTCTTAGTAAGTAGACAGGAATTATGCCACATCTTAGCAATGTTCTCCTCTTTCACTTGAGGCAGAAGTTGGGGCTGGAAAGTTGGAAAAAGGGGCAAAGATCCAGCCTTCATTCCTCTCCTACAGAGCTCAGCTTCAGCCCCTCCTGTCCTCATCCACTCCTTTTCCCCCTGGCCCCAAAGCCCTTCCATCCAATCTCATGCTTGTCTTCCTCTTCTCCATCCACAGTCCCATTACCATCCAATCCCACCCGATTCCTTGTCCATCCCTGTTTCATTCTCATCCTCATCCCTATTCCTGGGAGGCAGGGTTTGGGTTGGGCTTTGTCCCAAAGCCTGAGACAAACATCTCTGTAACCCAGAGCGGGGAAGATTTGCTTTCCTTTACACGGTTTATGTGATCATTTCCACGAATTCCCTCTGAGTCATCTTCCATCTTTCTCTGGGACATTTTTGTAGCCTCCCTCGTTTGCACATTTTTCAGTCTAATCCCTCCCCGACACACACTTATGCAATGACCTCGCTTTCTGAACCCAAGGTATCACCCAATAGCTGCCTGATCCTGCCTTCTAGCCCACTTCTCAAAGAGTTGGTCATAAAGCCCCAGGAAGGGTAGGACCAGGTTAGTATCTAGGCAAGTGTTGAGGCTGAAGACACTTTTAACCTCTCTGCAAGTCCTTGACTTTTATCCCTGTCATTCAGTGGCTTTCTGGGACTCTGTGCAGGGTTAGACAGAGCAGCCAGATCACATGAATACATGCTTAGGGCTGACATCTACAGCCTGACTGGCGTGTGGAGTCAGGACTGAGGCCAGGCAGGCTGAGTGCCATCTGAAGTGACTCAAGATAATGGCAGCATGTCCCTCTATCCAGCTGGACATACACTTGGCATTGCCCGGTGTTTGGGCAAGAGTTGGCTGGGGATACATCTTCAGTGATGACAAAGTCTTTGGGAGATCCTCACTTAGGCCCCAGCATGGCAGGGAAGTCAGGGCTAAGCAGAGAGTTTTATGGATAATCTTGATAGCCATGTTAATGCCATTCTCCAGTCTAGCAAGGATGGGTGAATTAGGATGGAATGAATAAATACTTTGCACAGTTTTTAGAAAGGCATAGGGAGGAACTGCAGGGTCAGATTTGGGAGTAAAGCTAAGGCTGAGACTGAAGGGGCTGGAGTTTGGGATTACTGACTGGTTGTGCACTTACTAAGGGCAGGAAGGCTGGAGGACTGCAGGAATGATGCTGTTGATAAATAGGTGAACTCATAATCATCACGCACCGCAACTATGGAACACAGTCTCCTGCCTTTTCTCATCTGTGTAATTGTCTGGGCCAATATTGTTATTTGACTTCCCAATACTCTCACAGACATTTGAATAAATGAGGAAGAGGCCCAGAGGAGTTAAGGGATTTCCCTCCATAGCTATTTGCAGATAAAGTGGGCACTAGAATCCAGGTCTCTTGACTTCTGATTGGTGCTCTTCCAGCCTTGTCAGAGAGATACCTTCAACAGAGGGGGTTGGGAACCAGAGGCATTTGGCCTGGCTGAAGAGGTAGGGTGGGGCCAGTGAGAAGACAAACCTGGTCTGAAACTCTCCCTCCACAGGTCCTACTGGCTGGATAACTGTATGACCCAGCAATTCCACTCATAGATACATACTCAAGAGAAATGAGTGCATGATGGCCACCAAAACATAGGTACAAGAACACTCACAGAATTTTTATTTATAATCATTCAAAATTAGAAACAACCCAAACGTCCATCAACAGAAGAATAAACAAACTGTGGTACATCTCTACAATAGAATACTACTCAGCAATGAAAAGGAACAAACTGCTGATACACACAACAGCATGGATGAATTACAAAGGCATTATGGTGAGTAAAAGAGGCCAGTCTCAAAAGAGTATATTTAGTAGGACCAAAACTGGATTTGGTAGAAATCACATCAGTGGTTGCTTCTAGGAGCTAGGGGAGACGAAGTGGAAGGGGGTACAAGGGGAGTTTCTGGGGTGATGGAAATGTTGAAACATTCTATGTCTTGACCTGGGTGGTGGTAAAACATGTACATGATTATTTATTATACCTCGATGTAAAATATTTTACAGCTCAGCTTTTTAGGAAAGAGCCCGATGAAAAAGGAAAAGAAAAGTTAAAGAGCTGAGTATGGAGGGGATGTTTCAGCCTGGCTCTTGCGTAAGGTGACCAGCTGTCCCAATCTGCCTGGGACTGATGGGGTTTCCTGGGGCAAGAGACTTTCAGTGCTAAAACAGGGAGAGTCCTGGGCAAACTAGGACAGCTGGTCACCCAACTCTTGTGGAAGAGGGGAATTGAGATCGAGTACTGAATATCTGGCAGAGAGGCTGGAATCCTTCAGCCCCAGAGCCCAGGGACCACTCCAGTAGATGCAGAGAGGGGCCTGCCCAGGGGTCAGGGCAGTGGGTATCACTGGTGACATCAAGAATATCAGGGCTGGGGAGGCATCTTTGTTTCCTGGTGCCCTCCTCAAAGTTGCTGACACTTTGGGGACGGGAAGGGGTAGAAGTAGGGCTGCTCCTTTTGGAGCTGGAGGGAATAGACCTGGAGACAGAGTTGAGGCAGTCGGGCTGTCCAGGTTCTAAGCATCACAGCTTCTGCACTGGGCTCTGAGGAGATTCTCAGCCAGAGGATCCCAGCCTCCTCCTCCCTCAAATGTCAGTCCAAGCAAATACCAAAGCAACGCATCGATTTTGTGGAAGTCAATTAGAGATGTGGGGAGCTATCGGAGACAAGCACTATTGTACCTTTTCACCTCCACACTTGTCACAAGCAGGGACTGTCTCCTCCCCACTTTGCTTGCCACGCCTGCCATGGCTTGAGCTGGGGTGAGGAGTGGTCTTTATCTTCTTTGGGAGATCCTGACTGGTTGCGCACTTGCTAAGGGCAGGAAGTCTGGAGGGCTGCAGGAATGGTGCCGTTGATAAACAGGTGGACTTATAATCATCATGCACTGCAATTGTAGAACATAGTCTCCTGCCTTTTCTCATTTGTATAATTGTCTGGGTCAATATTCTCCCAATATTGGGAGGGGCTCTGCAGCCCTCCAGCTGAGGCCTAAGGTGGATTCTGATGGAGAGATTGCCAGCAGGGCTGGGCAACTTAGGTGCACAGAAGAGAAGGCAGGATACTGGAAGCAGCAGCCAGGGAGGACAGGCTCAGAAGTTCTCATAGTGGTGCATGAAGTGGGCTCGGTCCTGCCTGTTGACGAGCTGACAGGCCTTCTCTACATTCTTGGTCATTCCTGGAGGGCCGCAGCTGAACACCCCGATCTTGCGCACCTGTCAGGAGATTGGAGAGAGAGAGGGGCCTGCAGCCTAAAGGTGCTCACTCTCCTTGGGAAAAGCTGCTTCCTGAGCCTGGCTGGAATGACTAAGGCTTCAAGCCCAGGCCTTGAGGAGGAGGCTTAACGTGGAGGGGGTGGAAGTCCCCCTTTAACAGCTGACCTCATCCTGGGGCCAGGCAATCGGGTGGAGTTCTCTGCTCAGAACAGAGTGGCAGGGTGCTTCAGGGCCAGGATGTCCTGGCAGGAGAAGGCCAGAGTCCCAGGGTGGGAGGGAGTGGGACTGACCTGTGGGTGGACCTCCTGCAGGGAGTTGAAGAAGGGCTCGAAGGGGGGACGGCCAAAGTGGGTGATGGAGCGCAGGCCCGTGAACAGACTCCGGTTCAGCACTTTCTGGAAGTGCCGCTCGCAGATGTACTGGGGGCACAGGGGCAGGTCAGACCAAAGACAGTCAGGGCCAGCACTCAGCCCGAGCCAGCCCACATAGCCCAAGAGACAGAGAATGGGGAGGGGAGGGAGCTGGAGGCTGAGGATCAGGCCATCAGCTCTGTGCCTCCTGCCAGCTCAGCCTGGCCGTCCACCCACCTGCCCTGGCCATCCTGCCTTACGCTGCCAATCCATCTGCCCGCCAAGTTGCCCTGCCTGGCGGGCCCTGACATACTAGCATGGTGGTCCTGAGGTCGAACTTCTCAGCCAGCTGGGTGACATAAATGTGCACAGACACCAGGTCCTGGTGGTCGTTCTCCTCCACCTCTTGGATGATGTCAGCCAGCCACTCAAACTGACGCTGGGTCCGTGTCACCCAGATGAAGTAGATCTGGGGACACAGGGCTGGAGATCAGGACCCAGCTCAGTTCAGCCTCCCTAGATCCCAGGTGCCTTCACCTGAGAGGCTGGGAAGCCCCAGACCACCTGCAGACACCAAAGCTGTGGCAGGACCCACCAGCCTGATCCCAGGCTTCCAACTGACAGGTCCCAGCAGAGGCCCTTCTGGCTATACCACCAACCTCCCTCCAAGTTTGGCATCTCAACCACTGGGTAAGAATGACCCCTTCAGACTCAGTTCCTGGAGCCAGGAGCTTTCTCTCATGCTCCACCACTTGATGCGGGTCACAATTCGGCCACCTATGCCCCATTTGATGAATGAGGGAGGGATGCTCACCTTCTTACACAGCATTTGGCTGCCCAAGGATGACTTGAAGACCAGGTCTTTGAGGATGGAGGCAAAGGGGGTGACCCCAATGCCCCCTCCCACCAACACTGACACCTCAAATTTATGCCACTCCTGATGGCCCTCTCCAAACGGTCCATCAAGGTACAGCTGCCAAGAGAGGGGGGAGATGAAATGAGCCTGACCCTGCCCCAGCTCTGAGACCAGAAACGGAGACACAGGCAGAGGGAGGATACAGAACATCCTAGTCTTTTCTGAGGCACCCCGGTCCTCTCCCAGGCTGGCTTTGGGACGGCTGGAGCTTCTAGTCTCAGGATAGGGAAGGGCAGAGATCCTCTGCCAGTGCCAGAGGCCCGGAAGCAGGGTTCCCAGTGACGGGCACCTTTGGGTATCCAGCACAGCCATTGCCCTTTGGGGATGAGTAGATCTCCCTGAGGCGAGTGGTCCAGGGCCCCACTGCCCGGATGTGCAGGCTGAGTGTGTCCTCATGGGGCGCGGAGGTCAGTGTGAAGGGGTGGTACTCGGTGGTCCCCAGAGCCAGGCAGGCGATCCGCACCCACTGTCCTGACTTGTACTCAAAGCCTTGGGGCCTCTGGAATTGCAGGTAGGTCACTCCTGGAGGTCATAGACAGGGAAAAGCACAGATGAGAAGGCCTGCTCCTGGTACCTGAGGACTGATAGGCACCTGTCCTCTTCACACCCCTGAGGCCTGGGGAGTAGTCACATGGTCTGAGCAAGCGGGGCTCCTGGGGCTGGGAGTAGGAGGGTCCCCTTCTCTGTTTCCCAGGTAATGCAAGAGCTGGGTTTCTCTGCTCCCCTGTTCCAGCCCCTCTCCTCCTCTCTACTCCCTCTTCCCATGGAAGGCCCAGGCCTCATACCACTGCCTTGAATACCAACCTGCTGGGTAAAGGGACTCAGGCTCACCAGGGACCATCTCAGTGGCTACCAGACCTCCATTTGAGGGTTACCTTTCTACACACCTCCTGCACTATCATTTATCTAACACTTTTCTTTAAATTGACTAACTTTTCCAATTCAATTAATCTTGGCAGGGAACTTTATTGCTAAGGTAAGTGGAAAACCAGTATCATGTGTCCTACATAGAAGACAACATATTTTGTTACCAAATTTTAGCTGGATACTGTTTGTACCATAGCTGAGCCTCAGGCCTGATCTCTTCATTGAAAAAGGAGATCAGCAAGTGCTGGAGAGTAGAAAGGCATACTAACACCACTCTGAGATTTTGTCCTTAAGTAATCTCAATTGAAATAACATTGCAATGAGATTAATTTTTTTACAACATGAGTCCTGAAGGTTAGACAGTCCTGAGATACATAAAATCATCTTTTGCCACCCTCTATGATGATACCAATCCCGACTTTGGCCAGCACTGACTCTCAACAACCCAGACTGGCAATCTGGGCATTTGCCTGTCTCTGAGAGAAGGAATGGGACAGGCATATGTGGCTTCCTGCCCTGCACTTCCCCTGCACCCAGGCCACACATGTGGGGCCCTTTCCCATCCTCAAACCCCTCTGTATGCACGTTCAGCCACCTCTTCTCAGGTCACTTCTCACCATCTGCAAGTCTCCTGGGAGCTAAGCACAGCCCTTTCTGGGTCTACTTCTATCAGGAAACCTTCAGGAACCCCCGAGAGTGGTTTTTTGTTGTTGTTGTTTTTGGAGACAGAGTCAGAGGCAGTGATGGGGTCAGGAGACCTGGTGAACTGTCTCCCCATGTCTGAAGATTTGGCCTCTGTCGCTCCCGACCCAGGTCAGGCTGGGCCTGATACCTGAGGGCAGCAGCTCCGCCTTCACCACGCTGATCTCCACCTTCTTCCGGCTCAGGCTCACCAGCTTGTCACCTCCATAGATGATTGCCGGGACCAGGAAGTAGATGTGGAAAGTGGGCAGCTGGATCAGAGCATAGCTGCCATGGATGATGAGCTGGAGACACGGCCAGTTAGTACAACTCAGGCCCAGCCAGGCCCCTGCCCGGCATCCCCTCTTGCCCAGGCACTAGGCCTGTGCCGGGGAGATAGGGCTGAGGTCTGGGGTCTTAAATCTCAAAGTCTCATTCTGAGATCTTGGATCCAATTCTCCCTCTTTCACCTTCCTGTCCCATCCTGAGCTCCCTGCTCCATGGGCTGGCCCAGGGAAGTCCCTCACCAGGGCATAGAGCAGGATGTAGAGGTGGTGGGTCAGCCAGAAGCCCCGGAAGCTGCGGCGGCGGAAGTGGTGGGAGGCGAAGACATACATGATGGCCAGGACCAGGAGCAGAAGCACACCTGTCATACCTGGGGGCAGGAAGACAGGGCCAGTGAGTAGTCTCAGGACTTCAGCTTGGGCTGAAAAGACAACAGCACATTCCCCTATCCTTCCCTCCTTCCTCTCTCATCCCTCCGGGGCCCCCAGAAAAGCCTGCCTGGAGGGATTTGAGCTGGGGCTTGTCCTGAAGGCTAGAAACAGACCCCATGGCCAGTATAGACAAGTGAGTATTCACAGAGAGATGGAGACAAAAGCAGAAGTCCTCAGACAGAACCCCCAGGTCCCACGTTTCCTACCTGGGACGGTCTGGAAGAACCACCAATAGAACTTCTGGGGAAGCTTGGACCTGGGGGGCAAAGGCACCTTGAGCCTCTGACTGGGGCAGGAGGGGCTCCAGCACTGTCACAACACAGCATGACTCCTTTCCTGCTGGCCCTGACTGCTGAGGGTATGGGGCCTCCACCCAGTTGGCCAGGGATCCCTCCAAGGAACTTGGCACCCAGGCTTCCATGGTTCCACCCTCTGTACTCAGCAATTTTTCCTTCTGTGTTATCCTGAACTCTCTTACTGTGGTTGACCCCTGCTTCCTTGAGTCCCTGGTTCATTATTCTGTAAGCTCCATGAGGGCAGGGATTTTTGTTTCATTCACTGCTCTATCCCTAGGCTTAGAACAATACAAGGCACACAGCAAATCTCGGTAAGTAGTTGTTGAATGACTGCATGTATCTTGACATCCCTACTCTGGCATCTGGGTAGACACATGGGACATGCTGCATAAATGTCTGTCCAGTGAATGGATAGAAGGCAGAGATGGCAAGCTGTGTGTCAGGTATCTATGAGAAAGAGTCTCTGACTTCATCTCCCAAACACCTTTCCTGGCCAATCACAGCCAGCTTCCTTCTTGAAGGCAAGAAATTTACCTTTCAGCTTCCCCCAGGGGACTAGCTTAGCACTGAGCTTCTTGCTGAGTGTCTGGGACTGTCTATTTCTTTCCTTTTTTTTTTTTTCAAGACAGAGTCTTGCTCTGTCGCCCAGGCTGGAATGCAGTGGTACTGATCATGGCTCACTGCAACCTAAAACTCCTGGGCTCAAGCAATCCTCCTGCCTCAGCCTCCTGAATAGCTGGGACTACAGATGTGTACCACAATGCCCCGCTAATCTTTTTACTTTTTGTACAGATGGAGTCTCACTTTGTTGTTCAGGCTTGTCTGGAACTCCTGGCCTCAAGCAATCCTCCTGCCTCAGACTTCCAAAGTGTTGGGCTTACAGGTGTGAGCCATTGTGCCCTGCCTATTTCTTTCTTTTTTTTTTTTTTTGAGACGGAGTCTCACTCTTTCGCCCAAGCTGGACTGCAGTGGCGCTATCCCGGCTCACTGCAAGCTCCGCCTCTTGGGTTCATGCCATTCTCCTGCCTCAGCCTCCCGAGTAGCTGGGATTACAGGCGCCCACCACCACGCCCGGCTAATTTTTTGTATTTTTAGTAGAGACGGGGTTTCACCGTGTTAGCCAGGATGGTCTCGATCTCCTGACCTCGTGATCCGCCCACCTCGGCCTCCCAAAGTGCTGGGATTACAGGCGTGAGCCACCGCGCCCGGCCTGCCTATTTCTTTTTCTATTATACCCTTGGGCCCACCCTATGAGTCCCAGGAGAAACCATCCCCAGAACTGACCCATCATTCACAAAGACGTTGGGGAATATGCAGGCCAGCAGGCTGAGTGGGCTGACTGAGAAGATGTAGACATTGACTGCGTGGCCAGCACTGTGCAAAACTGGAAGAGACAGACCCTGTTAGAGATGCCAACCAGGACAGACTCTACCTCCGATCCTGAGGGAGAGAGGAGGCATAGGGAGGAGAGATGGAGGTATAAGGAGTTCCATCTCCCCACTGTTTCCCCCAACTAGACCCAGGGTGCTGCAGCAAAGAGGAAGAAGCCTGGGAGTCACGTACTGGCCAGGACAACAGCAGCCATGGCGATCCAGCGGTGGAAGTCCACTGCGGCATCAAAAGGCACATAGCGGTTGAGGAAAGTCTCTCGCAGGAAGGTTATGAGGTTGCGGCACATGGTGAGCAAGATATAAGAGAACATGAAGGAGACGCTGGCCGCCGTGCCTCGTGACAGGATGATGCCCACGAGGGTGGTCTGTGCAATGTCCGAGGGTGGCGAGGCAAAGCCATAGTCTGGGGCCGGAGTGAGGTTACATCAGCTTGGCACAGGTGGCCAAGGTCCCGAGCCCTGGGCTCTCCCATGCAGACTCTTAGGATCAGAGGGCTTTCCACTCCTCTCCAAGGGTCAGAGCCTGCTCCCTACCCACTGCCCACAGCCTGGAACTCTTACAGTAAGCACGATCTGCAAACACGCCAACACAGATGGCCGAGAAGATTGCCACACACACGATGTGCCTCCGGTAGTTCTCCACGAAGCGCTTGTACTGCTGCAGCTTTTGGGCTAGGAAGCCTCGCTGCATCTTCTCTTGCAGCGCCTCTGTGTACAGCCGGGGAGTGGGCACTGCTGCCCTATAGCAAGGGGAGGCAGGGCAGCAGTGTGGTAAGGGCCCTCTGGCCTTCCCTTAATGCCACTCCATGAAAGGTGACCTGGGGATCTGGCAGGCATCAGGATGGGCCACAACAGATGAATGGAAAAAAGCAATCTGGGGGCTTCTTCCTCCTCCAACCCTTTACTTCTGTCTTTGCTCCATCCACCCACTCACTGTCTCCCTGCTACTCCCCCTCCTCCTGTCTGTTTTATCCTTCTTTCTTCCTGATCCCAGCACAGGCCTCAAGGCTGTGCCCAAAGCAGGCAGGAGCCAGGAGACCCCTTACTATCATCCTGTTGAGCCAGGACCCTTGCCTGAAGAATGGGGTGCAGAGGCTGGAAGAGGATGAAAAGTCATTCAACACTGTAACCTCTCAGTCAGGTCAGGAACAAATGGAATGAGACTCAGGATGGTCGCTTATATGTCAAGGATATGTGGGTGGGGCCTAGGGACCCTAAGACTTCTCTCCATGTCTCTTTGGGCCCAGGGATTTGGGAGACACTCACTTTTTGCCAAACCTCTTCTTCAGTCCAGGGCCTCCCAGCTCTGGGGCTTCTGGGGCAGGGGGCCCCAGTCCCTGGGGGTGGGAGCTGAGAAAAAGAAATGGGGCTGTTCTCCCCTTGTCTTTGCAGCCAGGAGAACAACTCCCTGGGCAGAGCATGGGGTAGAGGTAGGGAGTGGCTCCTGGTACCAGGCAGGGGGCAAGGCACAAAATGAATTAATAGGATCTCATGATTTGTTTTGTAGAATGATTCTGGCCTGGAGCAGCAGGGAGAGAGCCAAGCATCCGAGCAGCATAGGGTGAGAGAGGCAGCTGGAATGTTTGTGCTACCATGAGCTACTTTCAAAGGGCAAATGCCTGATTTTACCAGGGGCTGATCAGCCAGTCCTACTCCCTTCATTTCTCTGCAGGGGGCTCAGCCAGGCCAACCTGCCAGAGCCCCATTCCTGCTCACCGCTCCCCAGGTGTCCGAGTGATGAACGAGACTCGACAGCTGATGTTTTGTTTAAAGATATCTCTAATACCTAGAGAAAAGAACAAGAGGCAGGACTGGCTTCCCCACAAGGGCAGTGGGGTAGGATGGGAGACTGTGCCCTCCTCCCTTCTGGGAAAGTCATGTCCAGATCTCTGACTCGAGTCCTGTTTCCCTCATTCCCTAGACTAAGCACTCACTGTACACAGGGCAGACAATGTGGCAACTTTGCACAAGAAAGGGGACATCCTCTTAGGTGGATGCAACCCTGCAGGTCCTTTGTGTAAAAGAAACAATGCCTCTTCCTCTGGCCAGATACATCTTAGAGCAATGCCGGTGGCTTTGAGCAGTGTGTAGGATAGATTTCAACCTGCTCCTTGACCTCAGTGGGTATCATTGTGCATTAGGCAACTTGCACACCTACATGTGCCATCCCAATTACATGTGCTTGGTTCTATACTAGGTACCAAGGACTCAGAAAAGAGTAAGACCTGGGTCCTGCCCACCAGGAACTCTCATTTTGAGGACACGCCCCCCCTCCCTGACGCCAACCATTCCTCACACACTCACCATTTCCACCTCCACCTCCACCTTTGACACAGAGCTGCGTGAAGCGGAGCTCGCTGTCATGGTCCCGCAGCATGAAGTGAAAATCCTCCCATGTCAGCTCCTCCTTGTCCTGGAATCCCGACTCCCGGAACATAGACTCCACCACCTCGGCCAGCTGGGCCTTGGACAGGCAGTTGTTGGAGATCTCGATGAAGGATCTGGAGGAGGACCAGAGACACAGCAGCCTGTCACCCAGCAAGGTCAGGCTTGGGTAGGTGCAGGGTGGGGCAGGCCCCAGATTATCTAATGTGGTTACCAGTGACCCGGGAAATGGCACTGAGAAGGTGCTCATCCAGCCTGCCGCTGACACTAAGCTGGGTGGGGTAGCCATGGACTCAAAAGGCAGAACAGAATTGAAAGTGACCTTGACCAATCAGAGAAAGCAGCCCTCAAACAGGGGGCATCTACAACTGAGAAGATAGTCCACTGAGTGCAGGGGTGTCCAGGGTGTGCATGGCCCTCTCTCGTGGCAGGCTCTCTGTCCACTCTCTTCTGTTGATGCCTCCCACATCACCCCTGGATTCCCCCTTTCATAGTCCAGTGGGGGCACCAGGCAGCCAGGTGCCAGGGAGGGGAACTAGCTGCAATGCTGCTGCTTCCTTGTGCCAACACCCCGGGGCACAGGCGGGAGCGTCTCCATGCCCAACCTGATAGCACCCACAGTGGCACCTGCAGTAGCCAAGCTCTATTCATAGGTTGTGCCTCGGGACAGAAAAGACAGACTATGCAAGTTTGTGTAGGTCCGGCAGCAATGCTGTGCCATGCTGGGCCCATAAAACACAGCAAGCACAACCATCACATTAAAAACATCGTCCCACCGACAGTAAGCAAGATACACGCTGAGTTACAGGACAAGAAGGTGGGAATTCACCAGGTGTGGTGGCTCACGCCTGTAACCCTAGCACTTTAGGAGGCTGAGGCGGGCTGATCCCCTGAGGTCAGGAGTTCGAGACTAGCCTGGCCAACATGGTGAAACCCCATCTCTACTAAAAATACAAAAATTAGCTGGACGTGGTGGCACATGCCTGTAATTCCAGCTACTTGGGAGGCTGAGGCAGGAGAATCACTTGAACCTGGGCAGTGGAGGTTGCAGTGAGCCGAGATCGTGGCACTGCACTCCAGCCTGGGTGACAGAGTGACTCCGTCTCAAAACAAACAAACAAACAAACCAAAAAAAGAAGGTGGGAACTCAGCCCTTGGAGGCAGGGACCCTCTCCTAGATTCCCTTGAGCCTCACCTCGGGCTGGGCCTGCAGTGACATACCCAGTGAGGTACAGACTGCAATAGCTTTGCCCTTTCAGAAGCCCTTGTCCAGTTGGGGTATCTGGACCATATGAGGAATGTAGCAGTTAAGGGGAATGCTTAAAGCAATGTTAAGGCTTAACAGGATAGAAAAATTGAAATAATGTGGGCTGTTACATCTATACTTTGTATTCATTTGCTCACTTATTTCATTTTGTCTTACTCAGTTAGTTATGTATGAAATGCCTGCCCTGTGCCAATCACAGTGTAGAGAAGCTGGATTCAACAGGGAACAAGCCCTGCCCTTATGGCATGGAGGGGAGCTGTGTTACTGACGCATTCATTGTCTTCAGGAATGAGAAGCACAAAGCTGTTTTTTTTTACCGGCACAACAAAACCAGAAAGGGCTTAAGATGCAGGAAGAAAGAATGGTTGGAATATGGAGAAGCCTTCCACGTTTCTCTTCCTGACTATCATGGTGATGAATAGCGGAGCAGCAACCAAGGTCATCCATTCACTGTTTCACTGGGTAGAGCACGGTGTTGGGCGTGCCGTAAAATAGTTCACAAAGATCCAAGGGCATCCAAAAGGGATTAGTGGATTTTTGTCGTTGGCCATATTGGTGTTGGGTTTTTTTTTTTCGTTTTTTAACTAGGGAGGCTTTTCTGGCTGGTGTTGACAGTCCAGACAGAGACTCTCCCAGAGGCAGGAGCCAGTCAGGTAAATATTTGAAGGTGGATGCTCTGAGAGTTTAGGATGTAGTGTTTAGGCCACCTCTCAGCACAGATGACCACAGAGCCTCTTTGCCAGCCCTCCTCTGACTGGACCTGTTTTCCTGTTTGAAACACACCAGGAAGTCTCAGGATTAGAAAGGCACACCCCATACCGCATCATGGTGAAGAATTCGTCCTTGGAGAGGAAGCCATTCTCATCCAGGTCATACATGGTAAACATTAGACGGGACTTATCCTCTGGGGAGCCTGGGAAGAAAAAAGGGAATGCAGGTCATCTCCTTGCTGAAAGACCCCTGGATTCTTGGATAGCCTGCCACCTCCCAGCCCCCTACCTTTCATGAAGACCACCAGGATGTCCAGGAACTCTCGGAAGGACAGGTAGCCATTGCCATCCTTGTCAGCCAGAGAGAACATGGACTCCACAAACATGTCCTGGGGCTTGAGGCCCAGGGACTCGGCAAACTCGGCCCTGCTCAGCTCGCAGGTCAGGGCCTCCCGCACCTTCTGGGAGGAGTCCAGGGGCAGGGTCCCTGCGTCGGCCTGGTTGATGTCCAGCACCTGCACTCGGGCAGCAGCAGAGGGAGGGAAAGAGAAGGAGGTGAAGCCTATGCTGGAAGCAGTTCAGTGACCCTTCATATCTCCCCAAAGTCCAAATCAGAAAGGCTAAACTCTGATGGTTCTCCTGATCCTTAGATATACTGACTGGGGCCTCTGTTGTCCTATAGACGGGGGAATCAAATCTCTAGCAGCCTGCCCATTTCTCCCTGGGCCCAAGAACCGGGAACTTCATGCAGTGGGCATGGTGCTGGGGTAGGGAAGGGGAAGGGCGAAGTTAAGGGGAATGGAAAGTGAGAGAGCCTATACTGGGGACAGAAGATGTAGAGACATGGTGGTAGACAGGCAGGAAGGGGCTGGGGCTGTGCTCTCTTGCCAATTCAGATAAGGCTGCCATGTGCCTATGATTTGCCCATTGCACAAAAAGTTTAAAAGTCGCATGTAACAACCATTTATTGTTTTTTGTTTGTTTTTTTGAGATGGAGTCTTGCTCTGTCACCCAGGCTGGAGTGCAGTGGCATGATCTTGGCTCACTGCAACCTCCGCCACCCGGGTTCAAGCGATTCTCCTGCCTCAGCCTCCCAAGTAGCTGGGATTACAGGTGTGAGCCACCACGTCCAGCTAATTTTTGTATTTTTAGTAGAGATGGGGTTTCACCATGTTGGCCATGCTAGTCTCGAACTCCTGACCTTAGGTGATCTGCCCGCCTCAGCCTCCCAAAGTGCTGGGATTATAGGCATGAGCCACTGCGCCTGGCCACAACCGTTTGTTAAATGCCTGCAACATACCTGGCACTTGGGCCAATAAGCACTGTACATAAAACAATGTTTTTCAAACATTAGAGTGTATCTGAATCATCTGGGGAGCTTGTTAAAACACAGATTGCCAGGCCCCACCCACAGAGTTCCTGGTTCAGTCTAACTGGGTAGGTGCATTTCTAACATGTTCCCAGGTGAGGCTGATGCTCTCGGGTCCAGAGGCCAACCTCTGTGTACCACTCATGTAGACGATCTCACCGAATCCTCACAACAATGCAATGGGATGGATACAGTTTTCATCACTGTTTTATAGATGAGGAAACAGAGATACAGAACAGTGATAATGTGACTTGCCTAAGGTCACAGAGCTAAGTAAAGTGGCAATGCCAGGATTCAAACAAGGCTATTTCTCTCCAGGCCATAGAGCGGAAGCTTAGTTCACCCACAGGGGCGTTCTATGCAGCCCAGGTTTCCTCCATTTCTGGGGCTGGACCCATCTCCAAAAGGCACAGGTCATGGCACCTGAGCAAAAAGGTGTCTGAAGAAGATCTCCAGGATGCGTTCCCGCTGCTGCTTTGTCACAGCCTTCCTAAATAGCTCCTTCTCGCTCATCTCAGCCACATGGAGGCCCAGAGCCCAGCGCACGCAGAAGTCCCATAGCTGCTGCACAAAGGCGCCCCGTTCCTCTTCAGAACTAAACAGCAGCACCTGGGTGGGAGGAAGGCGGCACTGACGCAGGGAGCTCGCTGGACCTTCTGCTTCAGCCTCCCCTCAATGGATCTTGGGTTGAGGGGAGGAGAGAAAACTCCTCCCCATCCATCCAGGCTGGGGCCAGGTGTGTGGACGAAGGGGGTCAGGTTGTGTCTGGGGGCCTCTGAAAGGAGCCCCTCTCCCCAGCATCAGCTGTCATAGTTGAGCTCTGTAGCTGAGGATAGGGTGGCCTCGCTTGTGATAATGGAGTCGTGTGAGGGCAGCCCAGGCTGGGGAGGCAGGACGAGCCATACCAGGTCATACTCCTTAGGGATCTTGAGCAGCAGGGTGCGGCATCCTCGGTTGTTGGACAGGATGAGGTTGACCTGCTGCAGAGGCTGCAGCTGGACCACACGGAGCACAGTGAGATGCCTGTTCAGGACCTGCAGACACCTGTCTGACAGCAGCTGGATGATGATGGGACTGCTCCTCTCCTTGGGGCCTGGCCACTCCATCGCTGGGGAAGGGATAATTGGGCCGGGTAGTTCAGCAGATGTCCCCAGGTCCCCGCCTTCAGGTCAATTCCTCTGTGAGTCTGAGCAGGCGCCCTAAAGGTGCCTTGGCTTTCCTCTCACTCTGTAACTTGGTTCTTTCTCCCAGACTCCTGTCTCTCCCCTCCTCCGTCCCTCCTCCCTCCTCTGCCCAGCCCCTGCTCACCTGGCACTCCATCTTTGGCTGCTTCCTTCTTCACGCTCTCTTTGAGTTTCTTTTGTAGCTTCTTGTGTTCTCGGCCCCGGAAATAGGCCACCACTCCAGAGAGAAGCAGACTCACTGAAGTGGATCAGAAGGAACAGTGAGGAGGGAGCCCCTCACCTAGAGCTCCACTGTGGCTTAGGCTATGGCCCCTCCCTTCCAGAGGTTCCTTGAGCCTGGTCTCAAACGGTACCAAATAGCCAGCCCCTCAGGCCAGCAGGAAATGAGGGGCAGGGCCAGTCTGCAGAGAGGCTGCCTAAGAGCTCACCTAAGGGAAGGCAGCAGAGAGCAATGATGGTGATGGCAAAACCAGGGCTGCTGCCTTCAAAGAAGTCAAGCACAGTCAGGGGTGCACACTGGGGCAGGCCGTCAGTTGTGAGCTGCTTAGGTTGAGGGCAGGGTGCACCTGAGGGAGAGGGCAGGGAAGACCTCAAAGTCTGAGGATCCCGCTATGTGGCCAGACCTCTTTCCCCTCTATCCTATAAAGGACCAAGGTATCATCTGTCTTCCCCAGGCCCACCTCCCTGAAACTGTCTCCCTCAAAAAGTCCCCATTCATTTCCTGTCTCTTGGCATCTACCCCATCCACCCCTTCTTGACTGTAGGGTGTAGCTTGTGTGCTAGTTGAGGTCCCTGCTGTGGGAGCCAGCCAAATGCAGGCCTCCTAGCCCAACACAGAAGGTGCCTGGCTCCCTGGACAGCACCAAGTGATTCCCCCGCACCCTCAATCTTGATCCTTCTCTGGCCACTGTCACTCACTTGTGTTCTCCCACGGCACTCACCTTTATGCCAGACAAAGACATTGGGCTGCAGGGCACTGGGGTCAATGTTGATAACAGCGACCAGCACGTCCCGCAGGGTGGTATTTCGGATGTCTTCAATCTCCTTCTTGGAGAACAGCCTAAGTTGGAGGAAGTAGAAGTCACTGGGATGGGAAGGGGATGCAGGCCTCCAGCAACCCCAGGCCCAAGGACCCAGGTGAGAAAAGAGACCCAGAGGGGCTGGGTGCAGTGGCTCATGCCTGTAATCCCAACACTTTGGGAGGCCAAGGCGAGTGGATCACTTGAGGTCAGGAGTTCGAGACCAGCCTGACCAGCATAGTGAAACCCCATCTCTACTAAAAATATTTTTTAAAAAAATTAGCCGGGCATGTTGGTGCATGCCTGTAATCCCAGCTACTTGGGAGGCTGATGCAGGAGAATCACTTGAACCTGGGAGGTAGAGGGTGCATTGAGCCAAGATCACGCCACTGCACTCCAGCCTGGGTGACAAAGCTAGACTCTGCCTCAAAAAAAAAAAAAAAAAAAAAAGAAAAAGAAAAAGAAAAAGAGAAGAGAAGAAAAAAAGAGAGACCCAGAGGGGTTGGGAAGGGTGTGGTGGGCTGACTGGGAATCAAGGGCTCATAGGGGCTGTCTAAGGCTAGACAGAGGGTCTGGGGCTCAGGCTGAGGAGCAGTCTGAGGTGGGGGCCCAGGCAAGCCTTACCCATTCCTGGTGTTCTCAAACCAGTAGCGGTCACCATCCCGCAGCCGTACAAACTGGTCGAGGACAATGGCACTGAACAGGGGTCCAGGGTCCCCATGGCTCTCCAGGAGCCCCCCAAGGAGCAGCTCTAGCTGGGATAGGTCCTGGTTGTACAGGGCAGCTGTGGCCTCCAGCACCTGGGGCACCACAGGAGATAAGGGGTGAGCGTATGTTTGCTGCGGAGGGCAGCCACTGTTGCCCCATCCCTCGGGCACAGAACCTCAGCCGCTGCCTGGCTGCTGCTCAGGCCTGATTTCCTCTTCTTAGGCAAGCCCCCTCAGGCAGGACAAGTCTGGTGGAAGGATCAGTGTGTCCCTACCCACGGTAACACCACGGTCAGGTGCCCTAGGACCATATCCTGTGACCATCACCAGCCTGCCTGACCTCAATGATTAGCAGCTTCAGGGGCACACAGCCCTTGGGGTGGGACCCTGCAGCAACAGGACAATGGCACCCAACCCAGAAGCCACCCTGCAGGAATGGTACAATGCAGTGGTTAGGAATATATTCTGGAATCAGATGGCTGAATTTAAGTCCCTCCTCTATGATTTACCAACTATGTCATCAGTAAAATGGGGAAAATGATTATACATACCTTACAATATTATTATGTAGATTAAATGAGTCAACATATGTAAAGGGTTTGGAACAGTATTGCCATAGGAAAGCTTTAGCTGCCATTATTATCATTACTATTCCTGACCTGGGGGTCCACATTAGGGTTGAGATCACTCCAGTTCCTTGGGATGTCCAGCCCAAAGGCCAGCAGGGCCTGGCTATAGCTGGGCAGCCCCATATCTCGGCCACGTTGGATGCTGCTGGCCACATAGTCTGTACGGGAGAATTTGCCAGGGCCAGGCCAGTAATCTGAAGAGGAGAGAAGACTAGACTATGGGCTTTGTCCTCTCCATCCTTTTTTGCCCTGCAGCCTTGTATCTGACTATTGGCACTACGGTTCTTCCCTCCTGGCTACCCCCAGTGATCCACATGAGATCTGTGCCCATGCTGACCTTGCCTTGCTGCAAGGCCAATGTCACCATGGGTGATCAGAGCCAGTTTTTCCAGTAAGACCCTTCCTCTAAGACTCAAGACTGTTCTAGTCACCAAGCAGTAAATTCCCTGTCCTATGCCTCCCTAGTTTCAAGACAGGGCTGAATGAAAACCTTTAGAGACCTAATTAAGCACCAAAGAGATTGTGGTACCACCCCTCCCCAATACTCAGACATAGTTAATTTAAAATAAAAGCAACACAAAAGTGTAAATTAAGC
Source organism: Homo sapiens (assembly GCF_000001405.40). Lineage (NCBI taxonomy): Eukaryota > Metazoa > Chordata > Mammalia > Primates > Hominidae > Homo > Homo sapiens. Next base: position 45,109,354 of record NC_000015.10, read on the forward strand.
AAAAAAAAAAAAAAAGTTCAAAGTTCATTTTCTTCTTATGGCTCCTTGAAGTCTGTGTTTGTATCTGTGTTCCTGCATCGTGAGCGCCCTAGGTCTGCTATTGATGAACCCAGAGGGATCCTCAGGCTTCCTGGTCCCTTACCATCCACCCCTTCTGGCTCTGAGCTCACCCCTCAGATCTTCAACCACTATGTTGTCCTCCAACTCCGAAATCTGGGAGGCCATTCCCAGCAGCAGCTCATTCACCTCCTGGGTACTGTTCAGATTGGGGTTCTGGAAGTAAACAATGCACTCAAGATAGGCCTCTACCCAAAACTCGGTCTCTCTCAGCCTGGACCACTTTAGTACCCCAGGACAAAGGGCCCTTGGCCAGTCCCAGACTCTCTTGAACTGTTGTCCCCGGATAATTTCCTCTACCCTTCATCTCCCATGAACCTGGGGCAGCAACACTCAAGAACTGGGATTGTTGCTTTTCCCAGCCTGTGTGAAGAGACTGACCTTGACCCATCTTCCCCTGACCCTGACCCCAGTCTGACCTCCCGAATCCAGTAGTTGTTGCAGACCCTGAGAGCTTGGGAGCTTTGAAAACCCTTGTTCAGGACCTTCCGGAAATGACAGCTGGCATTTCTGAAATTGAGAACAAAGGATGTGGTGAGGGAATTTGGAGAAGAATCAAAGATGGGGTTGAGTGGGCTGAGGGACTCAGTGGGGGTTCACTAGGATTGAGCAGTGGCCCAGGAACTTCCTTGAACACGGCAGAGATTTGGTGATGTGCGTTTACTGAAGATAGAGTGCGCTCCTAGTCCAGGTAGGGTGGGGAGAGGAGGGAAGGGAATGACCCAGCTGCTAGACAAATCCTACACCCAGCCACCAAATTTCAGCCCTTAGGAGAGCTGGAGAGATTTCCCTACTAAGCCTACACATCTTACCCCAGGGTTCTGTTTCAGGGCCCCAAATTTTTGCTTCCCCTTCTCTAGTGAAACTGCGAAGGAGTGTGAAAGGCCCCAGCCCCCAAGGCAGCTCATTCTGCACCTTTCTTAGTGTGGTGCCCCTCTCTGCCAACCCCTCCCTCACCTCATGTAGACACCAGGGGGCACCATGGTAGAGAAGAACTGCTCAGAGGCCACCACAAATTCCGGGGAGATGCTGGGGTCTAGGAAAGGACGGTATCCTGCAGGAAGGAGACGGTGATGATGGGGAGACAGGCTTCTTGCCTCCACATCCTCCCATCACAGGCACCTGTCTCCTTCCCCTCAGGATTCTCCGCACAGGTGTCCTCCTTCCCCGCTCCCTCACCTGTATACTCCGGGAGTGTTTTCTGCAGGAAGCTGGGCAGCCACTCATACACAGCGATGTTCTGAGGGGCAGAGAGGGGCGAGGGGAGGCACAAGTTGGATGGTGTGGGGCCTGGAAGGGTCTGAGCCCAAGGACGGCTTCCGTGTGGAGATGAGACCAGGAAGGGTCAATCATGGGAGAAGCAACTCAGACAGGAGCAGTGTGAGGCCTGTCCCCACAAGGAACCAGGGGATTTGAGGGAGTGGGGGTTGGGGAGGTGATAAATAATCATCACCAGCCAGATTTCTCCTATAAACAGCGCGTGCCTCCCTATCATTTACAGGGGCTTCCCTAGACCTCGGCTGTCTGGGGAGGGGTTTCTGGGTGGCGGTTGTCCACAGATGGGGAGCTCCATGGGGCAGCGGAGTCTCCCGTGGGCTTGCACGCGGAAGGGAGGACGTCGCGGGGCGCGGACGGCTGACCTGGTAGGTGGCGATGACCCTCTTGCGTGCGTGCTGGAACAGCTCCTCGTCCTCCCAGTCTGGGTGCTGGCGGGCCAGCCTCTGCGCCCACAGGTTGTGGTAGCGGAACCAGAGCAGGCCCAGCGCCTGCAGGAAGGGTTCCCGGTTCCCTCTCTCTGCCCCGAAGGCTGCATCCGACGTGGGGGCGCAGGGGAGGAGACGAGCGGTAGCGTGATCGGGGGAGCCCACACTCGCAGACCCCCAGCCGGCCCCGTCCCGCCCCTGTGGCCTCACCGTACAGCCCCCGGGGCCCGTTCTGCCCGGTGGCGGGGTCGGGCGCCGCCCACATGAGCAGGGGGTTCTGCGAGTCTCGGGGGAAAGCGGGGTCGGGCCCCGACGCCAGCTGTCCCCCCGAGAAGCTCCGCAGCGCGTCGCTCCAGGAGTGCGAGGAGCCATAGATGGCGCTGCCGTCCAGCCAGCCCGTCACCTGGTTGGCCTGCGGGGCACGCGGCGGGTGAGCCCGGGTCGAGAGGCGGCGGCGGGCCAGGGAAGGCCGGGGCCCGGCGGGTGTCCGCGGCTGGGGAGTGGGCGCCTCTCCCCTCCAGGCCCTGCCAGGCCCGAAGCCCAGGCCCCACCTGGCTGGGGTGCGGTCCCTTCCCGCCGCCTTCCCCGCCTCACCAGGTCCCGGGGGTTGCTGGGACTCCGTCCGGTCTCGGGGTCCCAGCGGCTCCTCTGGAAGGGCAGCACCACGTCCCCGCGCTGGTCGGGGTCGAACACGGGGTCTCCAGGTGGGATGCGGATGTTGAGGAACTCGGCGGGGCAACCGGGCGTTTCCACGCTCACCACGTCGGAAAGAACATGGTAGCCTGCGGGCATGGGGCGCCAATACGTGACAAACCGTCCGTATTGCGCCCTCCCCACGGCCAGGGCGGCCTCCAAGTGTCCTCAGGAGCCAAAAGACAGAGGTCCCAGTGCCAGCTCCGCCACCAGCTCTGCACGTTAGCCCCAGGTAGCCTCAATTTTCTAATCTGCAAAGTAAGACTATAGTGAGTTCCCTTCCTACTCAATTCATAAAGCTGTTGTGAGAATCAAAATGATATAATTTATGTAGGGGTACCCCAAGTCAGTCCTCCTCCCTCTGGGCTAGGGGGAGGTAAAATGGTTACAAACACACGGTGAGGAGAGCGGTGGCTGGGGAGCTCAGTTCCCAAGAGCTATAATGGGGGTCCAGTGACACCCCTAGGTTGGAATAAGGCGTAAGAGAAAGGTTAGATACAGAGCAAATATCTCTGTATCAACATCCCAAAATCTCTCCGAGATGAAGGCAGTCTCGAAGTGCTGCGTAGAGAGGAAGTGGTTGGGAGTCGGATGGGTCTCCTGTGGACTCGCAGACGGGATCTGGCCCCTCCCCCAGGCTGAGCAGAGCGCCAGATCAACCCCACTGGTCTCCCCCTTTGCCCTCACCAAAGAAGACCCCCAGTACGGTGCGGTTGTGGAGCGACGGCAGGCCGGCTATGCCCCGCGTGGCTGCGTTGCTGAGCCGGCGCGGGTTGGGCAGCTGCGGCTCCTCCAGAGCCTGATACACACCGTCGGCGTAATTGGCTGGTACGCGGCGCTGCAACCGGCAGCCTGCGGAGGCAGGGAGCGGGGCTCTGTCTAAGCACTCCATCCCCTAGGATCCCCCAAACCTCTCCCTAAGCCTCCCTCAACCCCCATCCCACTTCACTGACAGAACCTTCCCTCAAGGGTCTCTTGGCCCCGGGAGCGCATAAGATTGCGCTGTGTAGGCAGCGGAGCTGCTGGGCGCGTGTTCCCCGCAGATTCCCCGCTCAGGGCCTTTCGCGCCCCGGCCCTTCGCGAGCCACGGCCCCAGCACGCCCGGGCCCCCAGAACGCACCAACAGCACCACGCTCGTGGTGCCTCAGGTTGTTAAACCAGCCGTCATAGCGCTGCACTTCCCAGGGCAGTGAGAGTGCGTCCTGACTGCCTGTGGGCACAGAGAAGGGCCTCCTCAGCACTACGCTCCCAGCTACCCCTCCCGAGCAACGAAGGCCTTGGCCAGTCCTTCCCCAGCTCGCGGAGCGCCCCTAACCGGACCCAAGTGTCGGGCCGCACTGGGAAGTTTCCCATCCCGCTGAGCTGCACGGCGAAATGACCTTCCAGTCTCAGGGAGCCGCTTGCCGCACCTCTCCCCGCCCCACCTCCCAGGGATCCTGGGGAACACCCCGCCGCTAGAGGAGCCTGATACTTGCCCGATGGACCCAGGGATCCAGTCAGAAGAGCTCCCAGGAGCATCAGTGCCTCTGGTCTTGCACGGAGCATGCCAACCCTGCAGCCTGCGGGGTGAGGGTGGGGGTGGTAGGTGGTATGCGAAAGCCACTGTTAGGGCGTCCTCTATGCCTCCCCTCTTGTTCCTACAGCTAGTACTGGAGGAGGAGCACCAGCTGTTTCCACTTCTGGAAGGTAGCTGTTAGAAGCATCACCGAGGACCTTCATCCAAACGCCACTCTTTCCAGGACAATTGGCAGCTCTGGAGGCATTGACACTGTTCCCCATCCGCCACCCCATCAGAGAGTTAACCCCCGACCATAGGAACCCACTGGGCAGGAGTCTTCTGGGGCATGTCAGTCCAGGGCAGGACTGGTCAAGCCTCCCAGGGTGTGCCCAATGTCTCCAATGTTTCACCTCCACCCGCCCCCGATCCGTCAGGCTCCGCTTCTCCTCCAGGAGGCAGGGAAGGGAAAAAGGTTACTGACCTGGGAGTGAGGGACTGCAGCACCCTTCCACAATGAATCCCCCCTTCCCCAATAAACTCCCCTTCTGCAATGAACGCCTGTGCATGATGGGCGAGGGCTAGGGTCAGATCCCAAACTCTGGTCTAACCTGTGGTTTAGGGTGGTGTTGGGTTCAGATGTCTTCTTTCCTCTTAAAATCTTTGCTTCTGTGCTCTACTTCTTGCCTTCACCCTCACTCTTCCAGCTCCGCCGATCCTCAGCCTCCCCGGCTGCACTCTCACCTTTCTCTCTGGGTCCTTGGTCTCGCCACTGTGCAGGTGTCGGCTCAGGACAGACCTGCGCCAGTGTGAGCATCTGGACCTAGGGCTCACCCTCCTGCCGTGGAGGTGGGGCCCTTATTTGCACAACCTCTTCCAGCTCAGACCAGCCCCTGGGCTGGGACACCCGTGTGGCACGTCGCCCACGCTGCTATAAAAGGGGTCCCGCGCGACTTCCAAACTCAGCGCCAACCCGCAGAACCAGGAAAGTAACGGCTACAGACAGTGAGAAATAGTTTCGCTCGCCGGCTAGAAAAACTCTGTCGGTACCAACCCCAGAGCGTTGAGAGCAGCCCACCTCCACGCTTCCTTAACGGAGAGGTGCAGGACTCAGACTTCACCAGCCCACTCGGTCCCAGCCTTGTACGCAAAGAGACGCCAAGGACGCGCTCTCCCGCGTCCAGGCAGCCCCAGCTTGCTGGCTTGCCTGCCCGCCTGCGTGCAGCACTCGGCCGGCGTGCAGCATGACCCTGTGGAACGGCGTACTGCCTTTTTACCCCCAGCCCCGGCATGCCGCAGGCTTCAGCGTTCCACTGCTCATCGTTATTCTAGTGTTTTTGGCTCTAGCAGCAAGCTTCCTGCTCATCTTGCCGGGGATCCGTGGCCACTCGGTAAGGGTGTCCTCATAGTGCAGGTAGAGTGGGGGAAGGCTCATGGGCAGATTGTCTCCTGAGGGACCCAGGACAGGTAAGACTGTACAAGAGCCTCCATGAATAGTCGAATTGAGGCTCAGGTGGAGTGAAGTCAGGAGTCTGGTGCAGCAAGCACCCCTTTCCAAGGATAGGGAGAGCTCCCCATCCAGGATATCCTGGAGAAGGACCCCAGCTGGGTCCTTGGGAAGGCTGCTGCAGAGAATGGGCACCCAGTCCAGTAATCCTGAGGAACAGTCTAGGCTTCTTGTGCTGGAGGGCCTCCCACCTCTCCCAGGACTAAAGCTGCACTCTCATCCCATCCGGTGGGTGATGACCTTCAGGCCAAAAGGACAGATGCCAGCAGCTCAGACTGCAGTGTTCCCCTTTGCACTGGGTTGAGACACATGTGTATGGGTGCCTCATCCTCAGGACTGAGACTCCCACATTGGATTAGAAGTTGGAGCCAACTGGGTGCATTGTCTTAGACTTTCCCCCTCTCCCAGAACCTAGGTTGTGCATTTTTCAGTTCTGGGAGGACCCAGCTTTTCTGCATCTTAATCTGTGTTGCTTTCCCTGGAACTGGTGCACCTAGGAGTATCTGCATTCCCACCTCCTCCCCTCGGAGATCAGGCTGGGGCCTCCCTCTTCTGAGGGAGGTGACCCCTGCGTGCCTAGCACTTCTGGACTCACTGAGCCTCACCAAGCAGTGACTGGACCAGGAGGCAGAACCAGGACCAGGCGCCAGACAGCTAGGGGAGTGAAGGTGGTGGAAGAGTGCCAGGAAGTGGGGGTGGAGGGGAGGTGCTGTTAGGGTAGATGGGAAATGGGGCTAGGGAGGTGAAAGTGCGTGGTCACAAAATATCAGAAATGCCAGTAGCCCAGAGGGACTTGCAGGAAAAGCGTGCCTAACATTAGTCTCAAAAGTCTGGATATAACTAAAGATCCAGGTGAAGTGGGGTCAAGGGTGGTCTTGGGGACTCTGGTTTGGCAGGGCTCAGGCCTGACCCGGGTGCCTATTCCTGCAGCGCTGGTTTTGGTTGGTGAGAGTTCTTCTCAGTCTGTTCATAGGCGCAGAAATTGTGGGTGAGTGTGTGGTGCAGCCCATGGGGAGAGGACGGGGTGAGGAAGGAGGTGGGCAGAGGGCACCTGGGACAATAGGGAACTGGGGTTGGTTTTCTGCTCCCTCTTCCCACTCTCCAGCTCCTTCTAGGGCCCACTTTTTGGCCCTTACCATGCAACCACATTGGACCTCTAAGTCCCCATCTCTCTGCAGTGTCCCACCTCCCATACCACTCTCTAATTCCATTTTCCCACCCTCATCCCACCCCCACCGTGTGCCTTTCCCTACAGCTGTGCACTTCAGTGCAGAATGGTTCGTGGGTACAGTGAACACCAACACATCCTACAAAGCCTTCAGCGCAGCGCGCGTTACAGCCCGTGTCCGTCTGCTCGTGGGCCTGGAGGGCATTAATATTACACTCACAGGTGAGGGGGCTGGGGCTAAATGAACTCCTGGAGCTGGGAGATCCCCGGTTAGGTGAGTGTGTCAGGGATAGCTGGAGGGCCTCTCACATCCCACAAGCTCAAATAGCTTGTGGTCCTCGTGGATTTGCGTTTTCTCCAACCACCACCGAACCCATTTCTCCCGCCGAGAGCGCCACACCCCCACTTTCCTGTCTGAATCCGCTTAGTTGCGAGGTCTCCGACCGCGGGCAGCCCCATGAGCCCGCCTCACCCCACAGGGACCCCAGTGCATCAGCTGAACGAGACCATTGACTACAACGAGCAGTTCACCTGGCGTCTGAAAGAGAATTACGCCGCGGAGTACGCGAACGCACTGGAGAAGGGGCTGCCGGACCCAGTGCTCTACCTGGCGGAGAAGTTCACACCGAGTAGCCCTTGCGGCCTGTACCACCAGTACCACCTGGCGGGACACTACGCCTCGGCCACGCTATGGTAAGTGCTGGAGGGAAGGCTGTGTGCACGTGTGTGTGTGCCAGGAGCTGGGCCGTATGAGCGGGAGGATGCAGGCCTCGGAGGCGCTGAGCAGCTGCAGCCAGACCCGACGCGCTCGGGGTGGGCATGACAGCCTCGCGGGTTAGAAGATCCACGAGATCTGCACAGACGGAATCCGGAGAGACTCCAGCCACCGCCTGGACCTCAGGAGCCCGCTTCTCCCCCGGGGAATTCCCCTGCACCGCTGCCATCCCAGTCCCTGGCTTTGACGCTGGGGTAGGGATAAAGAAGAGCGCAGCTGTGGGAACCCCGGTGGGCTGGGAGAAGCCCGCTCACAGCGGGTCCCCCCACTCCCCGGCAGGGTGGCGTTCTGCTTCTGGCTCCTCTCCAACGTGCTGCTCTCCACGCCGGCCCCGCTCTACGGAGGCCTGGCACTGCTGACCACCGGAGCCTTCGCGCTCTTCGGGGTCTTCGCCTTGGCCTCCATCTCTAGCGTGCCGCTCTGCCCGCTCCGCCTAGGCTCCTCCGCGCTCACCACTCAGTACGGCGCCGCCTTCTGGGTCACGCTGGCAACCGGTGAGGACCGAGAGAATGGGCCCCGGGGGCTAAGGGTGGAGACAGGATTCACACCGGGTGTGCACTTTCCAGTTTACAGAATGAATTCACATCTATTACCCTATTTGCCCCTCTCAATAGTTCGCAGAAACAGGCACTGTTATGACCATTTTACAGATGAAAAGTGGGGGGCTCAGAAGGGTTTGGTGTCTTGCCGTGTTTCATGTAATTCAGATTAGAGGTGTGTGGCGGGAGGTAACACAAGGGGTAGGCTCCAAAAGATGGAAGAAGGCCCGGGCATCACGCCTGTAATCCCAGCACTTTGGGAGGTCGAGGCAGGAAGGTCGTTTGAGGCCAGAGTTCGAGACCAGCCTGGGCAACATAGCCCTGACTCCACATGCCCTCCTTTCTTTCGATCCCCACCGCCACAGGCGTCCTGTGCCTCTTCCTCGGAGGGGCCGTGGTGAGTCTCCAGTATGTTCGGCCCAGCGCTCTTCGCACCCTTCTGGACCAAAGCGCCAAGGACTGCAGCCAGGAGAGAGGGGGCTCACCTCTTATCCTCGGCGACCCACTGCACAAGCAGGCCGCTCTCCCAGACTTAAAATGTATCACCACTAACCTGTGAGGGGGACCCAATCTGGACTCCTTCCCCGCCTTGGGACATCGCAGGCCGGGAAGCAGTGCCCGCCAGGCCTGGGCCAGGAGAGCTCCAGGAAGGGCACTGAGCGCTGCTGGCGCGAGGCCTCGGACATCCGCAGGCACCAGGGAAAGTCTCCTGGGGCGATCTGTAAATAAACCTTTTTTTCTTTTGTTTTTTAAAAACTGTTTTTCCCATTAATTTTCATGGCTTCTCCGCGCCGGGGTCGCACGTCCTCATGAGCTTCGCTGGGCTGGAGACAGCCTAGTACACTCTCCGCAGTGCTGTGAAACCTGATTCTCTGCGTCGACTCCAGAGTAATAGGGGCGCCCTCTAGTGAGGCCGGAGGGACCCTACCAGAGCTAGCATCTTTCTGAACCACCCCAGGGGGACGTTAGGTGGCAGTGATGAGGCAGGTCACCCACTCCCCCGTCCTGGATGCCACTCAGCTAGCCCAGCTGAGTGGGGTGGGAAGGAATAGCGTTTTGGAGTTGATTCCCTAACTTCCCACCTGGCTTCTTGTGAGGTGGTGTTTGAGGGCCAAGGTAGGTGTCAGCAAGGCATAGAAAGATAAATCCCAAGATTCTTGGCAAGTCTTGCAATCTTATGTAGCAAATTTGGGAACTGAAGCTCAAAGAGAATGTGGCATAGTTGGTTAATGTTAGACCTAGGATGAGAAGTTTGGTTTCCCCTCCTTTCCAGTGCTGTCTTTCATTGTACCAAAAGGCCACACAAGCTGGAGAAGTAAAGGAAGAACAAAAGGAACCCAGGAAAAAGGAAAACAAGAGGTGCCGAGGGATGAGAGGAAACCATAGGAGAATCATATGTAACCCCCACCCTGCTGGTGTTATGGGGGTGAAGTTAGGTTTCAGTGAATAGCATCTTGAAGAGGCAAGGCAGCACGGAAAGGCTGGGTTGCTGTGCAGATAAGCTAGCCCCTGCTTGGCCTTATCATGGCAACAGGCTTTATGGACAGGCCCAGCATCTCTTCAGTCCCTTAGGGCTTTTTGTTTTGTTTTGTTTTTTAACATCAGTATATAGAGCCTCCTTTTTCTACTCCGTCTGTAGATTGGTGCTGGGTGTCTGGTAACAGCCACCCTGAGGGCAGTTCTGCTGGTTTTATGGGGCGCCAATGAGGTTTGGAGCCAGACTGGAAGTCCAGGTGGCCTCCACGGGGAGGAATGTTATAAAGCACAATCAGGATCTTTGGGGTGTGCCTCCTTACAGTATGCCTTGGTGGAGGAAGCCTCTGACAGGGGAATGTCCTGGGACTTGGGACTGTCAGCCATGGACCGGTAGCGGGGGCTCAGGAGTCCACCTTCCTCAGGACTCCACTCCAGCATGGGGTCTTCATCCACACTCTGGTTGAAGAAAGCCTTCAGCCTGTGAGGCTGCATCCTGTGGGCCACCGCCATAGCCAGGCCCAGCAGCACACACAGCAGTCCTGGAGATGAGGGCAACAATTGTCCCACCTTAGTGCTAGTAACACCTGCCGAGGATATCTTCCCCTGGGAGTGTCAGAACAACTCTAAGGGAAGCCTAGAGCCCCTGCTTCAGGGCAACTTGGGCTCAGAGAGGTGACTGGCTGAGGGGCATGTGGCTGGTGTGGCTCTGTTGTCCTAAGTTTCCAGACTCCAAGCCCAGTGCTCCTTCTGTTATATCCCGGGAGAGAGAGAGAGAGAAAGGGGGAGAGGGAGAACTCTGAAAATAGGGAGAGAAAAGAAAAAAACCCTGGGGAAGGGCAGGGCACAGAGGAGGCATGAGGAGGCACATGAGGGAGTAGACAGCGGGACAGGAGAGGAGAATAAGACTGCAGGACAATTTAGGGATGTGTAAGGCAGGACAGGGAAGGGTTTAAGAATGGGGACCCAGAGAAGGGTATTTGGAGGAAGCAAGAGGGGACAGGGGGTTGGAAGATTTTAGAAGCAGCTGGGTGAAGAGAGTTAGGGGATGACAGAGACAGAGAAGATACAAGGGAGTGGGCATCTCTGAGGAGGGGGGGGAAGTGGCACTGGGGAGAGAAAATCAGGAGATAAGAGATACAAGAGGGTGGGACTTTAAAGAGGGCAAAGCCATCCTGGCCTCCAGGAACAGACCCTCAACTCTACCGACATGATGCCCCCAGGCCCTCCCTCCCTGGCCTTGAGACTTCTAGTGCTTGTCTTTAGGGCTGGGTCTTACCTGTGGTCAATGTGATCCAGAAGGCAGGCCCATGGTGAGTATGCAGCACAGAAGCGCCCAGGTGCAGGGGACAGGGTGAGGTGAGTGATGTGGCCATGGAGAAGAAGAGCAGAGCCAACAGCTGGAAGATGCCCGTGGCCAATAGCATGTAGCCACCATATACCAGCACAGGCATGGAGAGCATCACATTGGCCAGCAGCCAGCAGAGGAATGCCACCCTGGAGAGCCAGGACCCAGTGAGGACTGGCCCAGGTACTTCTACCTGCTGGTGAATTTGGATGGGCCCAGGCGGAGGTTCAGGGACCCAAGAGTGACCCAAAGATATGAGGTAGGGATTCCTTCCCATGGACTTCCCAAGCCAGCACCATGGGGACTGGTGCCAGGCCACCCCACCTGAGATACCCACATGAGTGGAGGAGAGATGGGTAGAAACCCTGTTCCTGAATCTAGGCTACCAGGGCCTCCACCCCGTCTCCTTCCCATCCTCACCATAGCATGGCTGAGGTGTAGTGTCCCGCCAGGCGGTACTGGCGGTATAGGCCACATGGGCTTCTTGGAGTGAACTTCTCAGCTAGGTACAACACAGGGTCTGGCAGCCCCTTCTCCAGAGCCTTTGCATACTCCTCAGCATAGTTCTCACCCAGGCGCCAGGTGAACTCCTCGTTGTAATTGATGGTCTCATTCAGCTGCTGCACGGGGGTCCCTAGGGCACAAGGCAGCTCTGCTCAGCAGGAACCCAAGGGCCAGAGTGGGGCCTAGGTAGGGACTCACCCACACTGGGCAGAGGGACAGGAAGTGGTCTCAACTGAGAGAAGGTAGCTTCCAAGGCCCTGAATTTCCCTTCCTACCATGCCTCTGACCTCCCACCTCACACATCCTCCCAGCCCCTGTGCCAGGCATCCTATAGCTCTTTGACCACACCAAACATAGATCCCAAAGATGGCAGAGCCTTCCCCCCCACCACAGGTAAGAGCCCTCCCTCACCTGTGAGTGTGATGTTGACTCCACCCAGCCCGACCTGCAGCCCAATATCAGCGCTGATCCACTCAGAACTGAAGGCCTTGTATGATGTGTTGGTGCTGACCTGGCCCACAGACCACTCAGAACTGAAATTCACAGCTGTGGTTGGGGAGTTGGACATATGGGAACTCAGAGATGACTGGGCATTACTAGGTTAGAGTCAGAAGGAGAAATACAAGGGGTCCATGTCTGTTTTGGTCATAACTGGATACCCGTTAACTAGCCAGGGTCTGGCTCATGGTAAGTCTGCCAACCACATGTGTGGGATTTCCCTTGGCCATATTCTGTTTACCTCTTCCCTCCCTTTCTCCCTGCTTTAGGGAGAGTCACTCAGGGAGCTGGGAAGGAAACATGAACCAAAACCATGCCAGGCAAGGCAAACGCAGATAGCTTCAACAAAAACTTTCTTTGAGACGGAGTCTTGCTCTGTCTCCCAGGCTGGAGTGCAGTGGCACCATCTTGGTTCACTGCAACCTCCGCCTCCCGGGTTCAAGCAATTCTCCTGCCTCGGCCTCCCGAGTAGCTGGGATTACAGGTGTCTGCCATCATGCCCAGCTAATTTTTTGTATTTTTAGTAGAGATGGGGTTTCCCCCATGTTGGTCAGGCTGATCTCGAACTCCTGATCTCAGGTGATCTACCCACCTCAGCCTCCCAAAGTGCTGGGATTCCAGGCATGAGCCACTGTGCCCGGCCTCACGGAGACTTTCATCTCTCCTATTTGCCTCATCACCAAACTAAAGCAAACAGCTGTTTCCCATTTCCTCCCTTCCTTTCTGGGGCCCTCTCCCCACAGACATTCATTTTGACCTCCTTTCCCCCGAATAAAAGTGTTAGGAAGGTTGAGGAGATGCATCCAGCTTGTTTTCCAGGGTGACACCTCTCCAGGCAAGGGTAAGAGTGGGGAGATAAGGCCATGGTGAGAGAAGCATATGGGCAGGGTCTGGAAGCCACCCTGAAGCAAGGGCCCACCGCTGTGGGGAAACAAGGAGAGGAGATGCAGGCTGCTGAGGGAGTTGAAGGGATGGAGGCAGCAGCCCAAGTCAGCTGCACTTCGCACTCACCCAGGATTGCAGCCCCGATGAATAAGCTGGTCACCACCCGAAGCAGCCAGAACAGCCTCTGAGTCACAAGGTAGGTGGGTTAAGTAAAGAGTGCCTTCCTTCCACATCTACCCTTCCTGTTTCCAGACTTGGGGGAGGGGCGGGAATTCTAAAGCTGAGATCACTTGGTCAATTGAAATCAGAGTGTCTGGCACATAATAAGTGCTTATGTATTTATGTATGCATTTATTTATTTATTAGAGACAGGATCTCACTCTCTTGCCCAGGCTGGAGGGCAGTGATGCGATCTTATATCACTGCAGCCACTCAAGTGATCCTCCCACCTCAGCCTCCCAAGTAGCTGCAACTACAGATGCACACCATGATGCCCAGCTATTTTTTTTTTTTAAGAGATGAGGTCTATACTATAAACCCAGGCTGGCCTCGAACTCCTGGGCTCAAGCAATCCTCCCACTTCAGCCTCCCAAAGTTCTGGGATTGCAGGCATGAGCCACCATGCCCCACCAGCGCTCAATAGTGAACTGCTGAATCAATGAATGGGGAGCTTTCTGCCTGGGGTCGTGGCTATCTTTTCTCCGCACTGGGGTCTCCTTCCTTAGCCTGGTTGTAGTCAGAGACTCTGAACCCCTCAGCCTGAGGCTGAGGTCTCTCTGGGCTGGGGTCTCCAGGACTGGGTTTCTCACCGTCTTTCCCCGAATGCCAGGCAGGATGACGATGAACGTGGCCAGTGCAGTCAGAAAGATCATGATGATGCTGGCCAAAGTGGTGTCCATCGGGAAGGTTGGCTTGGGGCCAGCATAGAAGGGGAATGTGTGTCCCAAAGTAGCCATCTTGGTGAGGTGGTGCAGGGGGGGCAATGCTGTACAACAACAATAGACATTTATTGCATGCCCTCAATGTACCTGGCACTGTTTTTAGTGCTGGAGATACAGCACAGAATGAGCCAGACTAGGTTCCTCTTCTCTGGAGCTCACATTTTGTGCATCATCAGACTCTGCTATTACCACCGTTCCACTGCCCCTCAGCCATCCATCTCCCCATCTTTTAGGTGACAGAATGAGGGTCTTTGCCATCAGTCTCTGTTGCCCCATTCTCCTCTCTTAACCTCCAGGTTCCATAAGTCAGTGCTACCACCACCCTGGGGGCTTCTCTGTTTCTTCTGGGACTGTCTCAAGAAATAAAATTCTCTTCTCTCTCCTTCAGGCCCCTAGCACAGATAGATCACAGAACATAAAAGGAGCTATATTATCAGGTGAAGGCATAAGGTGAAAGATGGTACAGATTACAAAAAGATTGGCTTTCTTCCTCAGTCCCCAAAGGAACAAAGGCCAGGCAGCTCTCTGCTAAGTATATAATCCAGCCACATCATCAGAGGACTGAATTCCAGACCTAGCACTGCCCACACAGGTCTGTCCAGCTTTCTCAAGCACCCTGGCTCTTGTTCTGGTAACTGCAGAACAGTTGAGCTTCACTGAGTTCACCTAAATAAGCACTGAAGGGGCACCTGCCCTCTATCAGGCAGTGCTGGGGCCAGATGTCCTTCTATTCCACACATTACCAACAATGGCCCTTCTCTTTGATTCAAATTCCCAGGCCAAGTTTCAGCTCAAACGCTAGCTGTGGTCTTCTCTGCCCATCCCCTGATCTGAGAACTTGTTTGACTCTTATTTGTTCTTTTGCAGACAGGATATTGGGAAAATGGTACCTGAACTTAATGTGTTTAGTTAAATCTCAGACAGAATGGATTGCATGACACACTACTATTTTAGCACAAATAAAGGGGAAAAAAAGTCTTGCCAATTAAACCATGGCCACCATTGCTGGTGAGATGTACCTAATTTCAGAGATGTCAGAATGTGAAAAAAAAAAAATGCATCTTAGAGTCAATGATCCCAGTTTTCCTCATTTCATGCAGTGTGATCTGTACTGGGGTTTCAGTTTGCCCAGAAGGCTCCATAATTTAGTCTGACCACACATTGTCTTATTAAGCGTTATAATGAAAGAATAAGCTTGGGAGTCAAGTAGCCCCAGAGGGTTTGAATTCTGCCTCTGCCTCTTGCAAGTTACTTGACCTTTACAGACATCCAGTTTTATTAAAAATTTGAGATAGTAATGTCTATCTTGTAAGCATCATTGTGAGCATGAAATGAGATTGTGTATATAAAGTGCTGAGAATAGTACTGGAAACAAATAAGCTATCAAGTTGGGAAAGAGGGGGCATTTTGTTACTCCATTTATCTCTTTCTTCAATCTCTTTTTTTATTTTAAGTAAATAAAAAATGGAGTACATTTAAATTTTTTATTAAGTTCTTATGTTCCATTATTTTGTTTGTTTGTTTGTTTGAGACAGAGTCTTGCTCTGTCACCCAGGCTGGAGTGCAGTGGCACCATCTTGGTTCACTGCAACCTCCGCCTCCCAGAATCAAGCAATTCTCATGCCTCAGCCACCTGAGTAGCTGGGATTACAAGTGCGGGTCATCACACCCAGCTAATTTTTAAGTTTTTTTTAGCAGAGACGGGATTTCACCATGTTGGCCAGGCTGGTCTTGAGCTCCTGATCTCAAGCAATCCACCATCCTTGGCCTCCCAAAGTGCTGGGATTACAGGCATAAACCACCGTGCCCGGCCTCTCCAATCTTTTTTGAAGAGAACCCTGAGCTGGAATCCATTCTGGGACTAGTTTCTGTTCTTTACTAATATTGTCATATTGGACAGGTAAGCGACAACCTCTTGAGTCCTTGGTTTCTTCATCTGTAAATGGATTTCATAATCCCCAGGTCCCTTTTAGTTCTAATGCTGGGATCCTCCTAATATGCCCTAGCTCCCAGCCTTCCTCTCTCCTTCTAAGCTGGCCACCTTCTTGTGTTGTCTGTGAGAGTAGCATGGTGTCAGGCAAAGAGACAGAAAGACAGACAGTTTTAACTTCTAATCCTGTATTTTGGGCAAGTCACTTAATCCCTGAGTGTCAGTTTTAACATGAACTTTTTTGCTTTTTCTTAACTACTCAACTCTCCCATCCCTGAGGAATAGGCGTCTCTCTTCTCTCCTATTCTGCGAATCCATCCTCCTGGGCTCTAGCCATTCATGCCTGCCTTCTCCACCACCTTTATCATCAGTTGTCCCCCTTCCCATCATAGCGTCCCAGCTTCTTTTTCTCTGCTGGCTCCTTCTCTCAAGGGTATACTGAAATTTTTCCCACCTTAAGAACACACAAAAAAAGAACCTTCTCCCTTGATCTTCTTGGTCCCCTCCAGCTACCATCCTATTTTACTCTATTCCTGTCACAGCCAGGCTTTTGAAAAAACAGTGTATATTGGCATTTCCATTGCCTTATCTCTTCAACCTACCACAATCTGACTTTTCCTCATCCCTGCCTTCTCCATTAGGTCACTAAGTGTTAAATCCAAAGGGCAGTTTTCACTTTTCATGCTTCTTGACCTCTCTGTGGTATTTAACACTGCAGACCATGCCCCCTTTCCTCAAACTTTACCTCCTTACACTTCCATCACACCATGTTCTCCAGGGGCTCCTGCTTTTGGCCATCTCTTTGTGGCTCCTCTACTAGTTCTTTTTCCTCCCTGTTAAATGTTGATGCTCCCCAGGAATCTGTGGTGGCTCTCTTCTTTTAGCAGTATTCCAGATTCCCTGGGCAATCTCATCCATTCCCATGGCTGATGGTTCTCAAATGTCTTCAGGTAGTCCTCCTACCTGAGCTCCAAACTCAAAAGGGCCAACCACCCTGTGGACATTTTCACTTGGATGTTCCCTTGATGCCTGAAATTTTAACAACCCCTCAAATGGAATTCATTGTCTCTGCCCTGCTTTTTATTCTATTGTCTTTGTATGTTTGGCAACATCACCACTGGTCAATCAAATAAGCCAGACACCTGGACCATCTTACCTCCTAAATATTTCTTGAAACTATCCATGCATTTCCTTCTGTACTGCCTCTGCCCTAACCCAAGCTCATCCTCTCTTACCTGGTTCCAAAATAATTTTTTTTCTAGTAAGCCAATATAATCATTTCACTTCTCTGCTCTGGCTAAAATCTCATCTTCTTACTTTCCCACATAAAGTGCTTTATAACCCGGTTCCACCTATACTGTCTCCATCTTTTGCCCAGCCTAGTCTATAGCCATACTGAATGACTGACCTCTCCCTGAATCTGACACGCTCTTTCAAGCCTTCAATACCTTTGGATATGCTATTTCCTCTGCCTGGAATGCACTCACTCTCTTGGCAAATGCCTTTTCACCCTTCAAGTCTCAGTTTGTGTTCCCTCCTCTGTGAAGTTTCCTCTGATGCCACTGGGCCAATGTAGAGGTTCCCACTTTGAACATTCTGATTGCATTTTGAACATACCTTCATGATAACAATGATTACATTGTACTCTAATTGTCTGAACATCTGTCTCCCAATTAGACTGTAATCTCCTTGAGGGCAGAGATTTCATCTTTCCATCTTTGCATCCCCTGGATGTAGAGTATACTAATCAGGCTCTGGATCAAATGAATAAATATGAATGAGTTCCTCTCCCCACAGGTGGCTTCTGATTTTGCACACAAGGGGGAGCTATGCTCCCTTATTGCCCTGTGCTAATAATTCAATATTAACTGAGTGTCACCAATACAGAGCTAAGGACTGGGCACAAAGGGATTTGACTAACCCTGTCAACTTTTAGTAATTTCTCAAAATTTTCAGAAAGCCTCTTCCAATAGTTAGAGTCTCCAAGACTAACAAAGACCCAAACATGAATTTTCATGTTTAATTGAATCAGAAACATACATCTCAATCTTAGCTGAAATGAGTAACTAAGAATTCGTGTATTAAATTATTTTATAAAATATGTGATAGTGGTATTTATTTTAAAGCAGATGTTTACTGACGTAAGAATTCTTTATTTATGACATGTAGACTGAAGCTATTATATTTTTAAATAAAAGTTCATAGGAGGAAGGTCTATAAAATGTAAAATATCTTGGCTAATAAGATAGAAGATAAAGCGAGGCTAACAGCAAGAACACATGTGATACGCTGGAGTTCAAAAAGGAGTATTTTTAATATATGTGAATAAGAGATAATATAATGTATTTTGGTCAGGGTTAAATATTATTCCTGCATTTATTTTAAAGGGAGGTTATAAAAAAATTTACAAGAATGTTTCATTTCTATTAACATGTGCTTAAAAGAAACACTAACAAAAGGCTTTTCGTATTTTAAGTATAGAACAATGTTAACTTATTTCCAGTTCTCCAAAATGTCATATTTATTAAAGATGACAGAAGCAAAAAAACAGTTGGTAAATGAAATTTGCCTTTCTTAATTTCTTCTTGTTCCATTTCATAACTTAGGTCTTCCTTTATTTGCATTGCCTAATTTAAAGTTAATTTTTCATGACCCTGACCCTAATTTTGTTTTCATTATTAAGCTAACAGGGCTCATGCATGAAGAGGTGGGACAGAAATGAGAAGACCCCACACCCCACAGTCCTGCTTTTCCTACAACGCTTGTGTTTCCCTGGGGAACATCTTTCTTTCTGGCTCGTCAAGTAACATCTGACAGTAAAATTAGTTTTAATGTGAGAAAATCTCATATCAATATTAACTTGACCCACTCCTCCCCTACCTCATCACCATGACTAGGATGTATGCACAGTGTACATTGATATAAATAAGCAGACACAAGATACAGTCAAATATGCACCTACAAATTTAGATAAACAGAGACACAGACGCAAGAACCACCCAGACTGTCATTCTCAGTAATATAGACTTCATCCCAGGCCCCTGTGACAAAATTGGGATGCTTTCTCATGGGGTGGGGGGAGTTTCCCACACTTTAGGGTCCTCCTTTCTCACCTGGCCTAGGGAGGAGGAGGCAGCATCCTCCCTTTCCAGGCTCCCTTATGTACTGAAGACTTTCCTTATGCTCAATCTTATTATAGACACAATTACCCAATCCTTACCTACCACAGGTTGAAGTGGAGTTCCTATGTGTGTATGAGAGGTGGGTAAAACATAAAGTTACAATCTTTAAGAAAATTCAGCCTAGAACAACCTCCAGCCTTCTTCATTCAAAGTTATGTGCTAACGTCTTGTGGCCTCTCTTGTAGCCTGACAGGACTTTTTTCCTGAAGTCTTCCCCCTTGCCCACCTCCCCCATCTGCTGGAAACTATAGAGTAAGGGCCACTAATTCTCCACAAGTGGGGAGTGGGTGACATGGCTGGAGTTGCCAAGACCTCTGATTGGTAATGCACAGCTACTGCAATGTGATGCTTTTTTCTCTGATTGGGGTAGACCCCATTAAACGTTTACAGCTGTGGCTAGCTAAGGGGACCCTGTCAGGAACTCCTGTGCTAGACTTTCCTCTTCAAGGAAGGGGTCTGTGTGTACGTGTGTATCTGTGTATGAATGTATATGTGTGTTGTTGCACAAAAATAGGAGTTAAGTGGAGAAATTGAACAAGATCTGAAAAGTGGATTGGAGGCAGGATTCCCCAGTAAGGGCTGATGTGGATAAGGAATTCAAGGGTGCAGAATCATGCAAGCCAAAGTATCCAGACTCGAGTTAAACTGGGATGGCGATTCGATGTCTATAAACCTTGTGGCATTTATGGCCTTAAGAGGTTTTCCTTGCCTCCCCAGTTTCTTACCAAACTCTCTCTTTGAAGAACTCCCACTTGATCCGAACTTGGTCTGGATGAAAGCAGGAAGTGCAGCCCTAGGTGCCAGGGCGGGAGCAAGCACTTCAAGACCCCCTCCAAAATCACCTGGACCGCACAGATCTAAGCAGCCGCATCCCCCACCACCCACACCCGGACCACTATTCCCTACCTTCCCCTCTTCCAAACAGTGCGTGTGTGGCAGCCTGCGCCTCTCGCCTTCCCCCGTGGAACCTCACACGAAGCGCCCCCGGGGGTGTGATTAAAGAGGGAACCAGGTCCCGACGTTCTGTGAACAAACGCGCGCCCTTACTCTCAGTGGGGCTCCCGTCCGACCCCCACTCCTCTCCTAACTCACGTAAGGACCCGGCTGTGACCGGACAAACCGGGTCTGGGGTGCTTCCAGTCACTCTTCAAGTCACTCCCAAACTTCTCAGACTGCACCCGAGGCTCTGCGGCGCCGCCTCCCTCTCCCGGCCTGGTACAGAGAAGGGCTGGGTGCGCCAGGACAGTAGTACCGGGGTCTGCCAGCTCCGCAGAGGTCCCTCCAATCCCCCCTCCTCCTCTGCGCCCCCCCACCCATGCCCAGCAATCCCAGCAGCTCCAGCGCAAACCTAGCGACGCAGTTCCGGGTCTGGCGGGGCGCGGGCGCGGCTCGCAGGGCGGTGGGACCCCCAAGACCTCACGAGGATCCCCGGAGGGAGACGTGACTCCGGGGTCTTAGAGGGGTTTAGGTCGGATGGGTGACTTGCTTTGACGCCTGGCCTGGTCTGTGGGTGGCAGGTGATCGATGGCCTTGGACTTGGAGCCCAGACCCGACGGTGTCGAGAGGATCTGAGGAGAGTCTCCCCTCCCCATACCCTCTCCGCCTCCCACCCTCTCCCCAGCCCCATGGGACTTGTGAAGGCGGACTTGCTTTTTTCGCCGTCCACACAACCGCACTAGCCGGGCCTTCGGCACCGACGGAACATCTCTACCTGCGCCCCGGGAGCCCTCGCCGTCTCACCTCGCGCGCTGCCGTCCGCTGGAAGCACCTCCGCGCCTCCCCAGGCGCCAGACTCCATCCCGCCCCACTGCGCCCCGCCCCGTGGCTGAGCCGAGCCGGGCCGTGCCTTCCCCTCCTCACCCCCAGCCCCGCCCGTCCCGGCGCAGAGCTGCAGAGGCACCGGACGAGAGAGGGCTCCGCGGGCCCAGCTGGCAGCCAGGCCGGAGACAAGTTGCAGTCCCGGGCTCTGGTGACGCCGTGGCCGCAGGTCAGATTTGGGAGGGCTTTTCCCGGCCCGCGGGCCTGGGCGCTCCGGGGGAGGGAGCTCCAAGGGCAGGGTGGCGGGGGAGCCGCAGCTCCTCCACGTTATGGAAGAAAGGGGAATGCTAGCCCCCTGCGCCTCCGATCTTATCCTAAGGCTAAAACCGGTCCTGTTAGGGCCTGTCCTCTGCCCAATCAAGGTTTTGAGAGACTGGGTTCTTTGGGACCTGGGAATGTTGGGTGGCCTAGTTTGCCTGGGCCTGCGGGTTCTTCTCCTGGCACCAGCACAACATACCAGGGAGGGAGCTTTGGGCTTTAGGATCCAAGCTTTCCCCCTCAGCCCTCCCTTAGGACCAAGATGGCCTTGACCCATCTTCCTCCCACCTCAGGGCCACCAGGGTCACCACTCTAGGGCTTCAGGCTGGAAAAGCAGCCATGTGGGGCAAGAACAGGCAGGCCTGTGTTCTCTCTCTGGTTCTGCCGCTGGCTCTGCCTGGGGCTTCACTGCCCTGTCCTGGGCAACCTTCCTGTCAAGGTTGTTGAGAAGTTACTGCCCCATCGTTGTGTAAATCATTAAGGGCAACCCACCCACAAGGAGTGGTTATTAAGCATGTCCACCTTCCTCTTCAGGTCATCCCCACACAGCCTGGTCTGAAAGCCCATTTCATGCCCTTAGGGGCTGAGTGGTACATTAGCGTTGAGGCCCAGGATCCTGAAGACATGGTGGTGGCGGGGGAGGGGAATGACATCTTGGGATCAGGGAAGGACCGCTGTGGCTACTTCCGTATATCCAGCTTTACAGCTTCAACCATCCAGAGCCCAGCTCTTCATGCACTATTAAAGGCCAGCACCTGGACAGACTCTGTGAAATGCAGCAGGTGATACTGAGCTTTCCAGTTATGGCAGGGCCTAGGTTTTTTCATTTAATAGGAGATGGAGTAGGGATGAGGTCACTCCCTGGGTTCTCTCCTCTAGACAACCCATCCAGGAACCCTGATGTTTGGCTGGGGATGAGGCTTTCCCTGAGCTCCTTTCTTCCTCTATCCTAACCCCAATCTCCAGGTTGCCTTCAGGAGGTCTTCGCCGGCTTTAGGTACTCCTTACTCGCACTCAGGAGTCCCAGCCTGAGTCCTCTGCTGCCTCTGTTTCCCTGTTGACTCTGGGTGGAGAGAGAGAGAGCAGGAAGCTTGCACTAAATACATGAGCACCTGGTAGTGCATCCCTTCTGGATCCAACCAGAGGAGACAAGCTCCCGCCTACCCTCTCTATATCACATTTGCCCAACACCTGTCACTTGCTTTGAATTAAACCTCCTTCTCACATTTGATTCTGGCAACCATGCTTAGAAGTAAACAGTTCAGGCATATTTGCTCCCATAGCTGGAAGAGGAAAACAAGGATCAGATTGGAGAAGTGATTTATCTAAGATCCCACAGTGGACTGGGAGCAGCACTGAGACCTCAGCCTAGTCTCCTGATCCCCAAGCAGGGCCCTGCCTAAGGAACACACTCTGCAGAGTGCTGGGCCAAAGCAGGGTTTTCCAACTAATCTTAGAAGGTAAAGTCCATGAAGGTATGTACCAGGGATTTCTGTTTGTTTTGTTCGTCACTTAATCTCCAGTGTCTATGTCAGTGGCTGGTATGTAGTGGTGCTCATGAAGTATTTGCCGAATCAATTAAAGAATTTTCGGAAAGAGTGAGTCTCTTGAACTTTGCTACCTACTGTGACCTTGGCCCAGCCCCAGGCCTTGATTCACAGAGGCCTGCAGAGTCTTTCACCTGATTCTTCTGAGTAGCTGGGGCTCATTCTTTGCCTGTCTTTTTCTAGGGTCTCCATTTTGGGACATTCTAATCCCTGAGCCCCTATTATTTTCATCATGGGCTTCTGCCTGGCTCTAGCATGGACACTTCTGGTTGGGGCATGGACCCCTCTGGGTGAGTACAGATTGGAGGAGAAGCATGGTTAGGAGCAGAGGAACCCAGCATCCTCTGGGCTCCCCCAAGGACAGGATCCATTTGATATTCATCTGTATCTTTAGTCTCTAGCTGACACAGTGCCCTGCACATGAGAGTTGCTCATTTCTAGCTGTTGAAGAAATAGATGGATAATGGAATGAAAATTATCCCCAAATACACAGAATTAGGGAGCCTTCAGCTGCTGTCAGCACTTTCTCTTTTATTCTTACAGTTTGGGGGCCCTTTCTCTCTCCTCTCTCTTCTCTTGTTTTCCATAAAGTGAGGGCCTCTGACTCAAAATAGGAAAAGATTGATTAGACACATAAGACAATAAAGGATCTTGGGGTCAGATTGGACCCAAAGCTGAAGGGGAGTCATCAATATGTTTAAACATTATGATGAAAAACAAAAGCAATATCTTCCATAAGAGTTTCATGTTGCTGCCTTCAGTAGACAGTTTCTTGCTGGAATCTGAGGCTGCTCTCTGCAGTCCGGATCTCTGTGGAGGGAAGTGGGCCTACAGTGCCACAGTTAAAGTTAAAAGATCAAGTCCCTGATCACTGGGGATGGGAGATGCAAAAGCAGAAAGCAGAGAAAACCTGTAGAAGGATCTGTCCTGGCTGGAGGTGACAGGATGGTGACACCTTCCCTACAACTTCTCCCTTGCCAGAGCTACTCACATCCACGTTCCTTCCAGCCCTCTTCTTTCCCTAGCTTTGGATTTCCCTTTTTTCCCTCAGCTCTCACCTCTTATCCCCAAGAGGCGCTTTCCCTGTACTGTCCTGCAAAGGCTCTCTCCTTTATGTGCCACAGGTTCATTTTATTTTAGAGATCACATGTGTGGCCCTGCCCAAAGTCTTGAACCTTAGCTGGGTTCTTTGCTCAAACATCAGGCCCTGAGTCATTTTCCCCCCTGACTCTCTGCTGAGTGAGTGTGAATGTGTGCGTCTGTTCTCTGAAGTGAGCAGAGAAGAAGCCCCAGGCCTATAGACTCCTAGTTTGGGGGAAAGAATCAGGCCAGCTATCTGCTCTACTGATCAGAAAGATCCCTGCTCCATCCCTGATTCCATTATCCATTCTGGATCTTCCCTCTGTCCCTCATTCCTCAGTTCTTTCCCCAGCAGCTGAGTGCTCCCTCCTGGACCCTCATTTTGGAGAATACAACAGGATCAAGAGGAGGAATTGTATGGGGGACAAGATGCCCCAGAAAAAGGGCAAAGTCATCCACATCACCAGTCCAGTCCCTGGTCCTACCCAAGAAACTGGGGAAAAAAGCAGTAGCAACACCACACCCTTGCCCTGGGCTCTGCTCAGCCAGAGATGACTAGTCCCCTCACCACACCGACCCTGCCCAGGGATGGGTCACAGAATGACATGTCCTTCTCCGGTATGGAGTGTGGCTGGCTCTTGCTCTGTGTGGTGTCTTAGGGCTGGGGATGGATTCTGTCCTGTTGTGTCCCCTCAGGGAGCTGAAGTTTAAGGGGAGTAAAGTCCCCTGCATCCTATTCCCCATCACCACTGCTCTCCTCCAGCCCCCTCTCCCTCTCTGAGGCCGTCTGTCAGCACACTCTGCTCCCTGCTCCACTGCTTTTTGGCTCCCTGCCATGTCTCCCCCACTGAGCAGCTTAAAGATCTGGCTTGAGTTTGGACACTACTTTGCCCTGGTTTTTCCCTCTGCACCCTACCTCTCACATCCACTTCAGGTATCCACTTTCTGCTGCTCCAAGTGCCAGGCTCACAGCACCCATATCCGGCAGGCCTGCCTGTCCTCTCACGCACTGACTTGCCCAGCTGCCCCTTCCCTCCATTCTCACACAGGAGCTCAGAACCCCATTTCGTGGGAGGTGCAGCGATTTGATGGGTGGTACAACAACCTCATGGAGCACAGATGGGGCAGCAAAGGTAAGTGAGAGCCAAGTGGGGATAGAACCCCAGGGCCAGGGGGGTACTGAGTGCTGCGGGGCAAGAGCTGGCAAGTACCAGCAAAGGCCATCCATTTCCAAGGTTTTAGGATCCATGACATGGAGGAAAGCCTGGGAGAGAGGGGGTCAAGAATGCCCCCTGAAGATTCATCCTTATCCTTACCCCTCCTACCCCAGGCTCCCGGCTGCAGCGCCTGGTCCCAGCCAGCTATGCAGATGGCGTGTACCAGCCCTTGGGAGAACCCCACCTGCCCAACCCCCGAGACCTTAGCAACACCATCTCAAGGGGCCCTGCAGGGCTGGCCTCCCTGAGAAACCGCACAGTGTTGGGGGTCTTCTTTGGTGAGAACTTCAACCTCTGGGGAAGGAAGCCGGTGGGGTCGGCTGGACACCTCTGCATGTGAAGAGGGGTCAGAGGATGAGAGAGAAGTGATGGAAGGCCTAAGGGATGAGGGTGAGAGGTGGAGGAGGCAGTGGGGTATGGTAGGGGTAGAAGCAGGTGGAGAGAGGATCCATGCTGAAGTGAACTCTGGTTGGGGAGGCAGAAATCTGCCCCACACAGAAAGATGAGGGGTGGGGTTAGGGAAAAGGGGCATCCCTCCTCGTTGGGTTGTTGGTGGGGGTAAGGGGCTGGTAGAGGCAGAAACATGAAAATAATCTGGGAGGGCCTCTCCGTGGGACCCTGTTCTTAGGCATTGCCCCATGGCTTCTAGGACAGGCTCAGGGCAGGGTTCTGATTCTGGCAGAGTGGACTGAGGGGAAGTCAAAGTGGGGGTGCTAGGATGGCTTGACCCCAGTGACAGGATTGGTGGCTGGTCCATCAGGAATGCCTGGCTCCTGCTGCGTTTTGGAGCTGGTGCTGCCGGCCCGTTTGCCTAGGCACACTCACAGGGCACCTCCCAGTTACCAAGGAGAAAGCCAAACTGTCAACGACAACAGCTTGGATCAGGTGTAGGCACAGAGGGACAGAAGAGACAAACAACTGGGAGGGAGTGCCTAAGGTCAGGGCTTGGACTTGCCCATAATGGCTGCTGAGTCTTTTGAAGCTTCAGGGGAGGGAAGGAAACTGGATACCTAGGGTAAGAAGGAAAGTGGCCCTCTGCTTGCCCTAGCACCCCCTCCTGCACTGCCCGCAGGCTATCACGTGCTTTCAGACCTGGTGAGCGTGGAAACTCCCGGCTGCCCCGCCGAGTTCCTCAACATTCGCATCCCGCCCGGAGACCCCATGTTCGACCCCGACCAGCGCGGGGACGTGGTGCTGCCCTTCCAGAGAAGCCGCTGGGACCCCGAGACCGGACGGAGTCCCAGCAATCCCCGGGACCCGGTGAGGCGGGGAAGGCGGCGGGAAGGGACCGCACCCCAGCCAGGTGGGACCTGGGCTTCGGGCCTGGCAGGGCCTGGAGGGGAGAGGCGCCCACTCCCCAGCCGCGGACACCCGCCGGGCCCCGGCCTTCCCTAGCTCGCCGCCGCCCATCGACCCGGGCTCACCCGCCGCGTGCCCCGCAGGCCAACCAGGTGACGGGCTGGCTGGACGGCAGCGCCATCTATGGTTCCTCGCATTCCTGGAGCGACGCGCTGCGGAGCTTCTCCAGGGGACAGCTGGCGTCGGGGCCCGACCCCGCTTTTCCCCGAGACTCGCAGAACCCCCTGCTCATGTGGGCGGCGCCCGACCCCGCCACCGGGCAGAACGGGCCCCGGGGGCTGTACGGTGAGGCCACAGGGGCGGGACGGGGCCGGCTGGGGGTCTGCGAGTGTGGGCTCCCCCGATCACGCTACCGCTCGTCTCCTCCCCTGCGCCCCCACGTCGGATGCAGCCTTCGGGGCAGAGAGAGGGAACCGGGAACCCTTCCTGCAGGCGCTGGGCCTGCTCTGGTTCCGCTACCACAACCTGTGGGCGCAGAGGCTGGCCCGCCAGCACCCAGACTGGGAGGACGAGGAGCTGTTCCAGCACGCACGCAAGAGGGTCATCGCCACCTACCAGGTCAGCCGTCCGCGCCCCGCGACGTCCTCCCTTCCGCGTGCAAGCCCACGGGAGACTCCGCTGCCCCATGGAGCTCCCCATCTGTGGACAACCGCCACCCAGAAACCCCTCCCCAGACAGCCGAGGTCCAGGGAAGCCCCTGTAAATGATAGGGAGGCACGCGCTGTTTATAGGAGAAATCTGGCTGGTGATGATTATTTATCACCTCCCCACCCCCCACTCCCTCAAATCCCCTGGTTCCTTGTGGGGACAGGCCTCACACTGCTCCTGTTTGAGTTGCTTCTCCCATGACTGACCCTGGCTGGTCCTCATCTCCACACGGAAGCCGTCCTTGGGCTCAGACCCTTCCAGGTCCCTCCCCATCCAACTCGTGCCTCCCCTCGCCCCTCTCTGCCCCTCAGAACATCGCTGTGTATGAGTGGCTGCCCAGCTTCCTGCAGAAAACACTCCCGGAGTATACAGGTGAGGGAGCGGGGAAGGAGGATGGGAGGGCTTGCGTGTGTCTTGCGGGGTGGGGTGGGGACTACGTTGGGGATTTTAGGGCTAAATTCTTCTGTCCTCTCTTCTCCTATTTCCCCAGGATACCGGCCATTTCTGGACCCCAGCATCTCCTCAGAGTTCGTGGCGGCCTCTGAGCAGTTCCTGTCCACCATGGTGCCCCCTGGCGTCTACATGAGGTGAGGGAGGGGCTCAAAGGTGTGTGTGCTGGGAGGGATGGGGCTGTCAACTGAGGAAAATCTGCCCTCAGGAGCCCTCTGTACAGGATTATCAGTCTGAAGTGTCCCCAAGGGAAAGACCGATAGAGAGGGGAAGAAAACAATTGTTTTAAAAGATACATCACTGTGGTTTTTAAGTATTTTTACTTCCATTCTCCTGCTGCTGGTGTAGATATTACCCTCCCCCCCACCATTAAATATAGAGTAATAAAGGTTCAGAGGGTGTCACAAAGTCCACTGGTCTAAACCTCATGTCTTGACACTACACTGGGGACATTTTTAGCTATAATCACAGAGCCCAGGGCCTGCAACCTTTTGGGGGCAGAGGGTTCTAAAATGTGTGCAATCTGAAGGAAAATATTGGCTTCAAAATAATGAAAAGGGAACTTTAAAAAGACATAGGCCGGGAGCAGTGGCTCACGCCTGTAACCCCAGCACTTTGGGAGGCAGAGGTGGGTGGTTCACCTGAGGTCGGGAGTTAGAGACCAGCCTGACCAACATGCAGAAACCTCGTCTCTACTAAAAAAAAAAAAAAAAAAAAAAAAATTAGCCAGGCATGGTGGTGCATGCCTGTAATCCCAGCTACTCGGGAGGCTGAGGCAGAAGAATCGCTTGAACCCAGAAGGCGGAGGTTGCGGTGAGCCAAGATCGTGTCATTGCACTCCGGCCTGGACAACAAGAGTGAAACTCCATCTCAAAAAAAAAAAAAAAAAAAAAAAAGACACATATTTAAATAATGTATATGTATGTATATGTATATGAAACAAAGCATGTCCATTTATATTTTTACAATTGCTTTATAATTTAAAACAATTCATAGATTAGATTTACTCTGGAATAATCTCTGGGGTATGCCTGATGATGTCTGAGAAATAGACAATTGAGTTATTCATAGACAAGTAGTTTCAGAAGAACAATTTTTGAATCCTTTAAATAGGTATATATGTACACATATATTGTACATATAACTGTGTATATATATATTTTATATGTGTGTGTATATACATATATTGAGAGAGAGTCAGAGAGAGAGTGTGTGTGTTAATGAGCTATGAGTACATTTTAGATATTTGGTCTGATGTTGTAGATGGGACCTTCCAAAAGTCAGACCCTCCAGGATGTGCTAAGGTCCGAACCACACACCACCTCGGAAAGACGATGGCCTGGGGTCCCTGGATACCGCCTCAGAGACCAGAACTGATGCCTGACATTATAACCCCATTATCTCAATCACCATCTCCCTGCTCCTTGCATTTCAGAAATGCCAGCTGCCACTTCCAGGGGGTCATCAATCGGAACTCAAGTGTCTCCAGAGCTCTCCGGGTCTGCAACAGCTACTGGAGCCGTGAGGTCCGAGCTGGGGGCCACATATGTGGTGGATGTGTGTGTGTGCATGCTTATGTGTGTGTGTGTATGTGTGTGTGTGTGTGTGTGTGTGTGTGAGTGCATGGTGAAAGTGGTCAGTAAGGCTGACGCAGGTAGCTGGGATAGGCTGGGGTGAAGGAGGCAGCCTGGAGGACCTCAGGCATCTCCCCTACAAAGTCTGAGGTGACCAGGTAGCTGAACATGGCCAAAAGCCAACCCACCACCCCAACCTCAGGGCTGTGGGAAAGCCAGTGGGACCTGTGCAGGTATGGTTCCGCCTTCGTTGCTCCCTCTCACGTTTTCCCTCTCCTTCGACAGCTTTGGGCGTCCTGTAGGCCTTGGAGTACCCCAACTAGTCTCACTTGCCCCAAGGAAACATCCCATTAGACACACATCCCGGGCAGTGTGTGAATGCGTATGTGTGAGGGGGGTGGGGAGGAAGCAGGGGTTCCTAGAGATTATTGGGGATTGTCCATCCATCCAAATCAGGCCAGCATGGGTGAAGAACATTGATTGTGAATTTAAAGCAAAATGAGATACTTTGTGTAAAGTGTTTACTAAGGGGAAGGGAGTGGGGAGGAAGAAAAAAGAAGCCATAGAATCAGAGCCCTGGAGCTGAGTTGAAAGAGGACTCAGTGTCCCCCTCATCAGAGTCCCTTTTTATTAAGGGAAGGAAACTGAGTTCAGAGAGGGCCTGTGACTTGCCCAAGGTCATACAGCTGGTTAGTAACAGAGGACTAAGACCTAGATCTTCTGGTTACTTTGCCAACCACACTGTCAAGTATCCCAAGGTCAAAGTAAAATTTTAAGATCCCTTGTGCTTGTATAGACCTCTGTCAGGCAGCACTGACAGAGGGGACACCCCTCACCCTGAGTGGGGAATCAACCTGCAGAAGAGGAATGTCCCACCGGTTTGGGAGCAAACAGCAGGACTGGGTGGGCTCAGGGATAAGGATGATGGTGTGGAGGGAGCCGGCTGTCTAACCTCTGACCCCATTAACCACACCCCTTTCCTCCCCACCCCCAACCTATAAAGCACCCAAGCCTACAAAGTGCTGAAGATGTGGATGCACTGCTGCTGGGCATGGCCTCCCAGATCGCAGAGCGAGAGGACCATGTGTTGGTTGAAGATGTGCGGGGTGAGTCTGAGGCTGTCCCTGCAGGTTGTGAACTCCTGGCCTCTGGGAAGAGGCTCAGCTGGACTTCCAGAACCAGGTATGAGGGGGTGCCTGGGGCTGGGAGCCTGCACTGCACTCACTGATGAAAGAGCTTCTGACATGCTGACCATGGCTCCTTCTGGCTCAAGTCTCCTGGGGCTGGTTGGAGCTTGGGGCCTGGACTGGACACTGCTGTGGTGGCCCTGAGCTCCCTCAGACTGTCTGGTATCTTGTCTCCAGATTTCTGGCCTGGGCCACTGAAGTTTTCCCGCACAGACCACCTGGCCAGCTGCCTGCAGCGGGGCCGGGATCTGGGCCTGCCCTCTTACACCAAGGCCAGGGCAGCACTGGGCTTGTCTCCCATTACCCGCTGGCAGGACATCAACCCTGCACTCTCCCGGAGCAATGACACTGTGAGGAGGGGTCAGGACCCAGAGGGTAGGGCGGGAGGGACAAGGCACGTGGGCCTGAGACATGGAAGATAGGCAGTGAAACTTGAGCACAAGAGACAAGCACCTAATGGGAGGGGCAGGGCTTACCCAGATCACTTTTCCCAATATTACATATCAGGATGAAGATTACCAGACCAGCAAGATTTGGCTTTGCACTCGGATTGTTCAGATCCAGCAAGCGTGTATTAAGCATCTATTGTTTGCTAGGCACTTAATAGTCACTATCTTATTTACTGTTCTCTCCACCCTCCTGAGTGGGTATAGAAGGTCCTTGACTTAGGAACAATCTGTGCTTTCTTGCACCGATGTTTAAGCCACCTTTCAGGAGTCAGCTGTTACACCCTGAGCTACCACCTGGACTGGTGGCCCAGGCCAAGGTAGAGCCTGAGGCGGAGGCCCAGCATGCCTTACCCATTCCTGGTGTTCTCAAACCAGTAGCGGTCACCATCCCACAGCCGCACAAATTGGTCAAGGATGATGGTGCTGAACAGGGGTCCTGTTCAGCTGCTAGCCAAGAGACCAGATTGGGATACCTTACCATCTTGACACAGCAGTGTTTCTACAGTTGTGTGCCTATTCTATTGCATTTTGCCCTTACTATTTTATAAAATTATTGGAAAGTGGGGATTTGAAAGGCCAATAAAGAAGTGATATGAGCATGGGGGCTCGTAAACTTTATAAAATCAATATATAGATAGGAACCACCAGGCACACCAAAAGTAGCAAATCTTTAGCTTCAAATGGGCCTCAGTGGGATTAAGCTGGTCAAGTGCTATTTACACTGTGGAGAAAAGAAAACTAAAATAAAGGTCAGGTAGAAAATGCTGGTGATATGTTTTTGAAAACTGTCTCCAAAAGGCAATATATAATCAGGCATTTGATTAAAAAAAATTTTAGTTCTAAAGAATAGAAACCTTTTATAACACATCATTCTGCCATTCAACTTTTGCACATTCTGATTTTGTCCCTTCAACTTTCATACCTTTTCAAGAACAAGTTATGAATGCGGATTGGCTGGCTGTTTTATTACTTTATAAAATAGGCAGCTGAATGTGTGAGAGGGTTCCCATAAATGGAGTTCACTTATGTAAAACACTCAGAGAAGTGCCTGGGGCATAATAAGCACTGTATAGGAGTGAGTTACTGTTACTGTCATTTATTATTATCATCCCTGGGGCTAATCCCTGGGAGCCACCTCTTTGCCTTAGGGTGGGTGCCGTGTCCTTTCTCTTACTTCTGCCCCTTCTTGGTTCCAGGTACTGGAGGCCACAGCTGCCCTGTACAACCAGGACTTATCCTGGCTAGAGCTGCTCCCTGGGGGACTCCTGGAGAGCCACCGGGACCCTGGACCTCTGTTCAGCACCATCGTCCTTGAACAATTTGTGCGGCTACGGGATGGTGACCGCTACTGGTTTGAGAACACCAGGAATGGGTAAGGCGTGCTGGGCCTCCGCCTCAGGCTCTACCTCGGCCTGGGCCCCAGACCCTCTTTCTGGCCTTAGACAGCCCCCATGAGCCCTTGATTCCAAGCCAGCCCACCACCCACTTCCCAACACCTCTGGGTCTCTTTTCTCACCTGGGTCCTTGGGCCTGGGGTTGCTGGAGGCCTGCATCCCCTTCCCATCCCAGTGACTTCTACTTACTCCAACTTAGGCTGTTCTCCAAGAAGGAGATTGAAGAAATCCGAAATACCACCCTGCAGGACGTGCTGGTCGCTGTTATCAACATTGACCCCAGTGCTCTGCAGCCCAATGTCTTTGTCTGGCATAAAGGTGAGTGGCCAAGGGGTGGCTGGAGGAGTGGTGGGTCTGGAGCCTCGTCCCTCTTCAGCTCTGGGCTTGGCTCAATGTGGCTGAACGTCAATCTCTGTGCTCCAAGAGGGGAGTGAGCTGTGGTTCTGCCCTTGGGAACTCCAGGTGCCAGGGCCACCACTTGCAGCTGTGTAGGGTCCCCTCTGCAGAACTCCAGGAAGTGCTGAGTGAGGGCAGAACTGAGACTCAGAGAGAGCTGGTGAGGAGGTTCACATTCGGCTGAGATGGAGCTCGGGCTAGGTATAATATTAGGAGGGCTCAGTGCAGTGAGGATATCCCAACCCTACAGCAGTGAGGGAAGCGTGTGTGTGTGTGTGTGTGTGTGTGTGTGTGTACACTTCTGTGTGTGAGGGAGAGATGGAGGTTGGGATTCATTTTTTACCCCACTTGTTACCCAAGGCAGCCCCTTCCCCTCAGCTACCCAGAGTGCCCCCACCCCCTTTCTGCCACCCTAACCTCCTCCGTGATCCTGTGCCAGCACCTGTGGCCCAGCACCCAGGACGCTGGCTTCCTCTGCCTTCCCAGGAGACCCCTGTCCGCAGCCGAGACAGCTCAGCACTGAAGGCCTGCCAGCGTGTGCTCCCTCTGTTGTTCGTGACTATTTTGAGGGCAGTGGATTTGGCTTCGGGGTCACCATCGGGACCCTCTGTTGCTTCCCTTTGGGTAAAATCATGGACAGAGTGGGGTGGGGTGAGAGATGCAAGCTAGGGGATGCAGTTTGGGTGGTTCCACTAATGACAACAAACCACGCAAACCACACAGAGCATGGTCCCTTTGGGTAGGAGAATGAAACATTAGAGGAGGAAGGGACAAGAGAAGTGTTTGACCTGCAGAGAAGTCAGCTCCAGGGAGAATTGCCTCCCTGTTTTCCTGGGACTGCCCCCAGGGCCCAGCATTGGTCAGGAGCCAGGGGGAATCTATAATCCACAGCTTTTTGCAGGCCTGAGCCTAGAGGACTGTCAGAGGCAAATCCCTGTTTAAGAACAAGGGCTAAGACGGGGCGCGGTGGCTCATGCCTGTAATCCCAGCACTTTGAGAGGCCGAGGCAGGCGGATCACCTGAGGTCAGGAGTTTGAGACCAGCCTGATCAACATGGAGAAACCATGTCTCTCCTAAAAATACAAAATTAGCCGGGCATGGTGGCGCATGCCTGTAATCCCAGCTACTCGGGAGGCTGAGGCAGGAGAATCAATTGAATCTGGGAGGCAGAGGTTGCAGTGAGCTTAGATCGCGCCATTGCACTCCAGCCTGGGCAACAAGAGCGAAACTCTGTCAAAAAAAGAAAGAAAGAGAGAGAGAGAGAATGGAAGGAAGGAAAGAAGGAAGGAAGGAAGGAAGGGAGGGAGGAAGGGAGGGAGGAAGAGCAGGCTGGGGCAGACATAGTCGCTGGAGTGAGGGCTTGGGGCTTAGTCTTTGGCAAGGCTGTGTGTGGGTCAGCTAGCAGCCTGGTGGGGTGAGTCTAGTCTCTGACACAAGGACTCTGGACTTAGTCTCTGGCCAGGAAGGGACGTGAGTGGTGGAATCTGAGGAGGAAGGGTGGGTATCTTAGATGCTACCCAAAGCTCCCCATGGGATGCAGAGCAGCTTCCCCCAGGGACCTTCCCAATCTGAAACAATTGAGCAAGCTGACCTAGGAGGTGGGGACAATAGGTGGTATTGCCAGGTAAGGAGCTGAGAAAGGAGCTGCTTCCATCCCCTAGACCCCCACGTCTCCCTGAACCTCTGCCTCTGCCCTCCCAGTGAGCCTGCTCAGTGCCTGGATTGTTGCCCGGCTCCGGATGAGAAATTTCAAGAGGCTCCAGGGCCAGGACCGCCAGAGCATCGTGTCTGAGAAGCTCGTGGGAGGCATGGAAGGTAGGTCTAGGGCTGGCCAGGGTGGTGGTAGGGAGGACATGGCTCAGCGCTACAGCTACCCACCTCCACCCCAGCAGCCTAAGGAAAAGGCCTCCCTTTTCTAGGACTGTAGGCAAGGCCACAGTGGCATTAAGCAGAAGTTGGACATGGAGTCCTGCAGCCTCCAGAGTTTCTCATGTGCAGCAGTCATTGGACCTTGCCTTACAGGGAGTAAGTGTAAGACCCTGTAGTGATCTTACAGGGTCACTATGACTTACGAATCCCTGGGAACTGCTGATTTGTAGCATCTCACGCTGGAACTCCAGGCAACAGAGAAGTGGTTAATGAAGGTCCAGAGTCAGACTGGGATTGGAATCTTGGTTCCACCACCACTATGGGCTATTGGGCCTTAGGCAGATTTTTGAATCTCTCTAAACCATTTTTTTCTTATCCATAAAATAGGAATAATAATAGCACCTACCTCACAGGTTTATAATTAAATGAAATAATTCATGCAAAGCACTTGGTATAGTATTGAGCACATAGAAAACATTCAGGAAATGATAGTTACTATTCTTTTCATGGGGCTAGAGGCACAGCCAGGCTTTCAGGGAGGGAATGACTCTCAGTACCCCAGAAGGGGACAATGAACTGTGGAGGCCTTGATCTAATTTCAGCCCTGAGCTGGCCCTCTTCCTCCCAATGTACCTCTGATGGGTCCCAGCTGACGAAGCCCTGTCTCTCTCCCCCTAGCTTTGGAATGGCAAGGCCACAAGGAGCCCTGCCGGCCCGTGCTTGTGTACCTGCAGCCCGGGCAGATCCGTGTGGTAGATGGCAGGCTCACCGTGCTCCGCACCATCCAGCTGCAGCCTCCACAGAAGGTCAACTTCGTCCTGTCCAGCAACCGTGGACGCCGCACTCTGCTGCTCAAGATCCCCAAGGAGTATGACCTGGTATGGCTCAGCTGGCATCTGGCTCCTTGTCCACAGCCAAGGCCAGGGAGGCAGCCAGGTGGAGGGGAAGAAGCATGGGGTCAGGAGGCAGGAAATGATAGTTACTGTGCAGGAGTCTGGCTTCTTGTTCCCAGGTGGAGTACCTGATAGAGAGATAAACTTGGACACGTTTATCCTGCTCCGGGTCTGCTGGATGACATAATCTCCATGGTTTCCTCCTAACTCTTGCAACCACAGTCTGCCTCCTCCTTTTCTAAGGACAACCTGTCAGGTCCCAGCTGGGTGTCCTTGGAAGAAGCAAAGCCCTCTTCCCTGTCCTCTTATCTCAGGATGTAGTGAATTTTTAGAGATTTTGGAGGAGAGCTAAATCAGAGGCCTGGCCCATGATCCCCTCCATCCTCTGGCCTTCCTGCCCTCCTCTGCCTTCTCCAGTATGGAATAGAGGGAAGAATGTCTTTGTACATGTGCCTTTAAATCCAAACTCTGCACCTATGAGCAAGTCACTTAACCCTACTGAGCCCCTTTCCTCTTCTGTAAAAGGAGAAATAATATCCCTTTTTCAAGGCCACCCCAGTGGCCCCTCTGACATAATCCACATAAACTGCCTAACCTCAAGAGGCCTTGGCAAATGGTTGCTTTTGCTCGGGCTGCCCCCTTAGGTGCTGCTGTTTAACTTGGAGGAAGAGCGGCAGGCGCTGGTGGAAAATCTCCGGGGAGCTCTGAAGGAGAGCGGGTTGAGCATCCAGGAGTGGGAGCTGCGGGAGCAGGAGCTGATGAGAGCAGCTGTGACACGGGAGCAGCGGAGGCACCTCCTGGAGACCTTTTTCAGGCACCTTTTCTCCCAGGTGTGTACATGGGACCAGATCAATCCTTATGCTGTGGTGGTGTCCTTACCTGCATGAGGCCATGGGGTGACTCGAGGGGAAGTCAAAGCCCAGAGTTCTCAGCTAATAATCAAGTCTATTGCAATTTTGGATGAATCACCAGACTTTATCATAAGGAGTTGCCCCTGCCCCCATCTGAACCCCACCTCCAACTACGAGGCTCCAGTGGGGGGATGCCCAGGAATGGGCTTCTCTGCATGTGTTGCTTATCGCTCTCCTCAGGGCTGCCCAGACTTTCCATCCTCACTCATCTCAGCCTGCCTCAAAGGCTGCAGAGACCCAGAGCAGCGTGGGCACCATAAGGGATATTGTTCACCCCTTCTTGGGGGAGTGCAGCTGCCAGAGCCCTCCATGGGGCATTGATGTCCACCTTGCAGACTTCTGAGAGAGACTGGGAGGATATAGGGAAACAAGACAAAAATGCAGAGACTTGAGTCCACAGCTGGCACAAAAATAGAGGCAGCCTGGGAGCAGGGTAGTGGAGTGGAGAAACATGGTAGATAAAGATAAATATGGTCAGGTGCGGTGGCTCACACCTGTAATCCTAGCACTTTGGGAGGCGGGGCAGGTGGATCACTTGAGGTCAGGGGTTTGAGACCAGCCTGGCCAACATGGTGAAACCCCGTCTCTACTAAAAATACAAAAATTAGCCGGGTGTGGTGGCGGGTGCCTGTAATCCCAGCTACTTGGGAGGCTGAGGCAGGAGAATCACTTGAACCTGGGAGGCAGAGGTTGCAGTGAGCCGAGATTGCACCACTGCACTCCAGCCTGGGCAACAGAGTAAGACTCCATCTCAGTTAAAAAAAAAAAAAGATAAATACAGCATGGTTCTCCCACTGAAGAAGCTTATCCTTCCACTGGGGAGATGGAACATGCACAGAAAGGAAGATAACTGGCAAAGAATGAAGGCTACAAAAGTGATTCAGGAAATCAGCAATCCGGGAGCTCAGAGAAGACAGTGAGTCTTCAGCCTGCTGTGAGATCATGATGGAGGTGATATTTGGCAAGGACTTAAAGTTGGACAAGTTTTGGCTCAGAGGAAAGGAACAGGAGGGACTAAAAAGAGGGCTCCATGGAAGAGCAAAGAAATTAATGTTTGAGGAGAAAAAGCAGGATCATGTGGTTGGGGAGAGGATTCATGAGAGAAGCATCCATTGAACAGACATTTACTCTGTGCCAGGAACATGATTTAAAGTCATTTGAGGACAAACAAGTTGAACTTGAATATGTACAAGAACAGAGGGACCCTCAGCTGGGTGACTCCTTCCCAGAGCCCAGGCAGGACTGGGCATCTCCACTCATTCAGGATCCTTCGGGGCTATGGGAACTCCCTGTGCTGAGACACGAAGGGTGCTGATATATCCTGGGGGTGGCTGTCAGTGTCTCATATGATTTCAGCTTTCAGAACATTTTCAACACAACCACTTTTGTTGATCTCGCAATAAACCTGTGAGATAAGTAGGGCAGATGAGGAAATGAATTCCAGGCAACCGAAGAGACTTGCATGAGGTCATTCAGCAAGCAGGTGACAGAGTTGGGACATGAACCCAGGTCTCTTGCCTCCAGCCCTAGGCTCTTCCCACTACAGCACCTTGTTTGAAGCTGTAAGGTTTACCCCATGAAACCATCACCAGACTTGGAGTAGGCACCTCACTTGACAGGCAGGAAAGACAGGTACTGTGGCCTGTGGCCTGCCTGCTTCCTCACTGTCTGTTCTCTCATACTGGGGAAGCCTCTGGGTGGGCTGGGGATGGCCACAATGAGAATTCCCCTTTCTCAAGCCCAGCTTTTCCTCAATCCAGCTGAAGCCTTGTCTTAGTTAAAACTTTTTTTACACATAAATAAGAGAAACCCCAATAAGCTAGCATTGACAAAGGGTCACTTGACTCTGAGAATACAGAGATGTCTCAGGAATTCCAAAGGGAGGACATCAACCTGGCCTGAAAGGACCTAGAAAAGGAAAGCTGTCAGCCAATGAGGCCACTCCTCCCCTAGGCTGCCTTTGCCTTACTTGATCTCTAAGTGGCTGAGCACTTGGAGGAAGAGAGTGGTCCACACTTTCTGAGCTTTCTTGTGCTCAAGTCAAGACAGACCTCACACTTCTTAATTCCAAGTGAGTTCCCTGTCCAGTCAGCTAAGGCAGAGGGTCAGGGTTCTGTAGAACAAACATGGCCTCAGGCACCACCATAAGGCCTCCTAGCAGAGGGGGTCCTGGGCAGACACCTCAAAAGGTGGCTCCTACAGGGCTCAGCTGAACTTCAAGTCAAGGAAGCCTTGTCTCCTCTCCCTCCCTCTGCTTCTGCCCAAGTGCAGGTGCTGGACATCAACCAGGCCGACGCAGGGACCCTGCCCCTGGACTCCTCCCAGAAGGTGCGGGAGGCCCTGACCTGTGAGCTGAGCAGGGCCGAGTTTGCCGAGTCCCTGGGCCTCAAGCCCCAGGACATGTTTGTGGAGTCCATGTTCTCTCTGGCTGACAAGGATGGCAATGGCTACCTGTCCTTCCGAGAGTTCCTGGACATCCTGGTGGTCTTCATGAAAGGTGAGGGAGGAGGGAATGATAGGAGAGGCTGGACAGGGGCTGATCTGTTGGAGATGGGGAAGCCCTGGGACCAGGTCTCCAGCCATGGCAGATGCCCAGAAGTGCCCAGGCCGAGGTCAGGAAGCAGAGCGACCCTTGCTGTGTCCAGAAGTGGGTCATCACACTGGTGTGAGGCCCCTTTTGGCCAGCCTGGGGGTTCAGGCAGGCAGGCGGGGGCTCTCCTTATGGAGTCCTCCCTCTCCCAGGCTCTCCTGAGGAAAAGTCTCGCCTTATGTTCCGCATGTACGACTTTGATGGGAATGGCCTCATTTCCAAGGATGAGTTCATCAGGATGCTGAGGTTTGTTCTCTGGGACAGCCAGGAGAATGGGCCAGGGCAGGGATGCCAGGGCAAATAGATGGGACCTGAAGGAGAGAGCAGAAGGGCCAAGGAAGGAAGCCTCCTCCTTACCCATGTAACCAGAGGCTGTTCAAACTAGCAGGGGGCTTGGGATGTGGCCAGTCGGGGCCCCTCCACATGGGCACAGAGAACTTGGTGCGATGGAGTCAGTGTGTCCTGTGTCTGGGTCGCAGGCCCCAGTCAGGGCCGGATGGTTCCTCTCCCCCAACCCCAGATCCTTCATCGAGATCTCCAACAACTGCCTGTCCAAGGCCCAGCTGGCTGAGGTGGTGGAGTCCATGTTCCGGGAGTCGGGATTCCAGGACAAGGAGGAACTGACATGGGAAGATTTTCACTTCATGCTGCGGGACCACAATAGCGAGCTCCGCTTCACGCAGCTCTGTGTCAAAGGTGGGGCAGCCTGGTAGGCAGCACTGACTCATTGGTTAGGCATAGTAGGCACAATGCCCACATACTTTTAGGAGTCCACAGAAATGTTTTAATTTCCATTAAAATCAGAAGAAAAAAATGAATGTAGTAATATGTAATAATGTATCCAATCTGGATTGTAGTTTTCTTTATATCAACATAATTATACAATATAATTTTAAAATATTATTTTTTATTTTTATGGAGGAAAGGACCCAAAAAGGTGAAAGTGCCTAGGGCCCAGGAAAGTCATAATGCAGCTCTGCTGGTGGGGTGGGTAGGGTCAGGATAGGGTAGGAAATGGTGATTGGAACTCTGCTTCCCCTGGCTCCCTGCCAAAGCCCCCTGTGCGTGGTGCCCAGGGCAGGGGGAGACTGTCTCCCTGTTACAGCCCTACCCAGGCCATACTTCCTTCAGCTGGGATGTCTGGTTGTGGGGGTGGGGTGGTATCTCTTGGGGTTTTTTTTTGCCACTATATCTCCTGGCTGAGTGCTCAGTAAATGTTTGCTGAATACATGAAGACCCAGTTCTGTTGTCCTTCCCCCTACTTCCTGCCCCACCAGTGTCTGATTCAAGTGGGTGGGGGCTAGAGTTAGAGTGAGGAATGGGCAAGCAGCAGGCAGGAGGGTCTGTCTGTGGCCTGCTCTGAGCTGTTATGGTATCTTTGCATCTTAGGACTCTCACTGGGGCATGTTGAGACCAAACCCAGCCCCTCCCAGAATTATGAGAAGGGGTAGGCTGAGCAGCCTCCACAGGGAAGAGGGGCAAGTTAGATAAGACACAGATGAGCCTCTGGTCAGGGCTTCCCCCTGGGGGTAAGGAGAGCTGGAAGAGAAGGAACCCAGCACTCCTGATTCTGCAGCTTTTTACCTTTCCCAGGCAGCCAGGGCAGCAGGCACCTGAGCCTAAGGGCAGGGGCAACGAAGGTGCATGGAAGGGAGCCCACACCACAGAGTCCCAGGGACATCCAACACCTGGGGTGGAGGGTAAAACCAGGCTTGGGGATTGAGGAAGATTAGCACTGAGTATTGTTTTCTTTTAATTGTTATTGACTCCAGATTTTTTTTATAAAGATTTTAAAACTAAAGAAAAGGAACAAAAGGCCAGGTGCAATAGCTCATGCCTGTAATCCCAGCACTTTGGGAGGCCAAAGTGGGAGGATCACTTGAGGTCAGGAGTTTGAGACCAGCCTGGCCAACATAGAGAAACCCCATCTCTATTTAAAAAAGTACAAAAATTACCCAGGTGTGGTGGCACATGCCTGTAGTCCCAAGTACTCCAGAGGCTGAGGCACAAGAATCGCTTGAACCAGGAGGCGGAGGCTGTAGTGAGCCAAGATTGTGCCACTGCACTCCAACCTGGGCGACAGAGACTCTGTCTCAAAAAAAGAGATGTTCCTTCACTTTTCACCTAGATATGCTATTTGTTACCATTTTACCACATTTGCTGTTTGTGGAACATTTGAGAGTACAGGCATTAATACTTTGTTTTAAACATTCTGATTTAATTTTAATATAGTTCAGCTTATCTTCTTTTGACCTCAACTATAGACCAGGGTCATCTTCAGGCTTGGTTCAGCACTTGGAAGAAACCCAGAGATTCCCAGGACTCCTGTAAGAATTTGGCTTTGCAGCTTAGTCCTGCCCTGCCTTCAGTGCTCAGCCTAGACAGGAACAATGGGGTGGCTCCTGGGAGAGCTTTTCTCCTGCATATTTTATTATGAACATTTTCAAACACAGAAAAGTAAAAAGAACTGTAGCGTGATCTCCCATATACCTACCACCTAGATTCTACATTTAGCTCTTGGAGGTTTTAAGCTAGAGGATCTTAAGCCAAATTTTTATGGCAGAGCAGGCTCAGAAGGCAGGTTATATACAGTTCCCGAAATCTACCCCATAGTCCCAGAAGTGGGACTGATGATGGACACACTTTAGGGAAGCCTGCCTGGCCAACTTTCTTTCAGGCCTTTTCCCTGCCCACCTATGGCTGGGTCCAGCTCCCATTGGGGACAAGGGCTGAGGTTGGAGCACCCGAAAGCAGGGCCTCCATTGGTCTGGGACTGTCTACTGTGCCTGAGCATGGGATGGTAGGAGTGCTGTGCGTTTGAGCCAGGTCTTCCTGGGCTCTGGACCCTGAGCTGCTCCCTAGCCTGGCTCTGCTTTGCAGGGGTGGAGGTGCCTGAAGTCATCAAGGACCTCTGCCGGCGAGCCTCCTACATCAGCCAGGATATGATCTGGTGAGCACCCATCTGGGAATGTCGGGGGGAGGAGTTGGGGAGTTGCCATTTCTCTCCCCTGAATGGCTGGGATCAGGGCCACCGCTAGCCCATGCAGCACCTTCAAACAAATTAGAAAAGGACACCCCTTTCTCTAGGCAGACACAGCCCTGTGCCAGGGCAAGCAGAAAGCCTGCTGGATTTCCGCTCTCACTTACGGCCTGGCCCAGATGCCCTTGTGAAGGGTAAAGGCATATGCAGCAGCCTTAGCGAGGACCCCCAAGATCAGACTCTGTCTATAGGTGACTGTGGGAATCCTGCTGTCCCCTTGCTGACAGCTCTGATCCTTCCTCAGCAGAATGGGTTTGGAGGCAGACCAGGATAGCAGAGGAACGAGTGGTTGAGATGGCCAGCATCCTATCTCTTACCATTCTTGTCTTAGTCCCTCTCCCAGAGTGAGTGCCCGCTGTTCCCGCAGCGACATTGAGACTGAGTTGACACCTCAGAGACTGCAGTGCCCCATGGACACAGACCCTCCCCAGGAGATTCGGCGGAGGTTTGGCAAGAAGTATGTCTGCTCTTCCCCTTAAGCCCAGGCAGTTCATCCATTCCTTCAGCTTATAAACATCTTTTCCTTGGTGCCAGGCACTGTGCTAAACATTGTGGGTACAGGCAGGGTGAATAGTCCTTGCCCAAGAACATCACAATCTAAGAAGAGAATCTGGTACACTGATAATTTCAATGTCCCACTGATGACTGTTCTAATAGTGGTAAGAGCGAAGGGCTTTGGAACTCAAGGAAGCACTCACCTCTGCCAGGGAGGTCAGAGATGCCTTCATGGAAGAGGTGTCCTTTGAGTCTCTAGTAAAGGCTGAATATGGGCGCCGGGTGGGAGTTGGGAGCTACAGACTGGAAGGAGAGGGACTGAGTGTGAATGAACACAGGTAGATGGAGTACATCCCCTGGGAAGAAATGACCACTCCAAGCCAT
Organism: Homo sapiens; assembly: GCF_000001405.40. Taxonomy (NCBI): domain Eukaryota; kingdom Metazoa; phylum Chordata; class Mammalia; order Primates; family Hominidae; genus Homo; species Homo sapiens. The sequence goes on from NC_000015.10 coordinate 45,151,671, forward strand.
CCCTCCACTGCCAGCTTGCTTATGCAGTGCAATATAGCCTGATGCGGTGAGGTCTGAACCCTTCTTCCACAAGGGTAACTAGGTTTCTTTCTCGGAAGCAGTGGGCTTCCCTCACTTCTGGGCGGCTCACCTCCGTGAAGTGGGGCCCCACTAGCGTTGGGTCCCATGGTGGGTGCCAAAGGCTAAGGCTTCCTGTCTCCCAGG